>NC_000005.10:136856743-137505722 GCF_000001405.40 Homo sapiens
CTGTCCCAGGATCCTATCCAGGATACTACCATACACGCACATCATGTATCCTTTAGGATCCTCTTAGCTGTGAAAACTTCTCTTGATTTTCTCATTTTTGATGACTTTGACAGTTTTGAGTACTGGTCAGATATTTTGTAGGATGCCTCTCACATAGGATTTGTCTGTTATCTTTCCTCACAATTAGACTGAGACTGTGGGCTTTGGGGGGAAAACCACAGAGATAAACTGCCATTTTCATCACATTATATCAACATGGTTTCTCACTGCTGATGTTGGCCCTGATCGCCTGGCCATGGGTGTTTTCTGGGTTTCTTCACTGTAAAGTTACTGTTTCCCTCCTTCCTTTCCATGCTGTACTCTTTGAAAGGAAGTCACTATGAGAAGCCTGCAATTAAAGAGTAGAGATTTATGCTCTCTTTCTTAAGAATGGAGTAAGGAAACCATCATTCTCAGCAAACTAACACAAGAACAGAAAACCAAACACTTCATGTTTGGTTTTCACTCATAAGTGGAAGTTGAACAATGAGAACACATGGGCACAGGGAGGGGAACATCACACACTGGGGCCTGTTGCGGGGTGGGAGGCAAGGGGAGGGAGAGCATTAGGAGAAATACCTAATGTGGATCACGGGTTGATGGGTACAGCAAACCACCATGGCACATGTATGCCTATGTAACAAACCTGCACGTTCTGCACATGTACCCCAGAACTTAAAGTATAATAATAAAAAAATTGTAAAAAATGTTACCGGAAGTGAGATGCATGTTGGCTATTTTCCCTTCTGTCAGATCTTGATGAATAAAGCAATCATAATTCATCTCTAGAAAGATTATTTATACCCTGGCATTTGAAATGCTTTTTATTTAGAATAGTAGTAAAAATGGAAAAAGAAAAAGGAAATGATGATGGAATACCAGACCAAGGGAATTTCTTGGATTTTTCCGAACACTTTAACCAACTTGAATTTTTGGAAACACATGGACACCTTATTCCTACTGGTGCTCAAAGTCTTTGGGTAGGCAATTCTGAAGAAGACGAAGAGCAAGATGAAAAAAATGAAGAGTGGTATCAATTGCAAGAAAAAACAATGGAAAAAGACCCAAGCAAATTGCTTCTTTGGGCTGCTGAAAAAAATCGGCTTACTACAGTACAGAGACTACTTTCTGAAAAGGCTGCTCATGTGAACACTAGGGATGAAGATGAGTATACCCCTCTTCATCGTGCAGCCTACAGTGGACACGTAGATATTGTCTAGGAGATCATTTCACAGGGGGCAGATGCTCATGCAGTGACTGTGGATGGCTGGACGCCCCTGCACAGTGCTTGCAAGTAGAATAATATGAGTGGTTTCTTTCTTACTGCAGCATGATGCAGATATCAATGCCCAAACAAAAGGCCTCTTGGCCCCCTTGCATCTTGCTGCTGGGAACAGAGACAGCAAGGATACCCTAGAACTCCTCCTGGTGAACTGTTACATCAAGCCAGGGCTGAAAAACAACTTGGAAGAAACTGCATTTGATATTGCCAGGAGGACAAGTGTCTATCACTACCTCTTTGAAATTGTGGAAGGCTGTGCAAATTCTTCACCTCAGTCTTAACAGTTCTGGAAATTTTCTTAAGTTTCTAAGTACCAGTGCCTCCTTTGTGTGAGATGTAAAGTATTCCCATAATCAAAGTTGACATTGAACATCTTACTACAAAAATTCAGTGGTATTCATTATAATGTTCTTCCAAGTGAATTGACTGACTTTGATGTCAAAATGTATTTGAAAGTTGTTTGCATACATATTTAATGATTAAAAAAAGAAGGGAGTATCTACATGATTTACTTGGAATTCTTTTGAAAGGGTCATTTGTTTCTTCTCCATCATTTATTTAGTCATTTTCAGTATAGACTTACAGATATTTATGTTACACTTTGGGTTATAATCCAATACTGCTATATTTTGTTGTTCAAATTGTTCCAGCTTTGTCCATTGGAAATTCTTTCAGTTGGGCTCTGTGTCCCTCTGTTCCTCTGACATAATCCCATCATTGTAAGTTTCTTTTAATTTTTAAGCACTTCCTTACTTTCTGATATTACAAGATGCTTGAGGCTTGTCTTGTTTGTTTCCTGCCCCAAAACTATAATCAGCCATTTCTCCAAGGAATCCTGGTTCTTTGTAATGGTTCCTATACTTGTATTATAGACCAAGATCTGGATTCTAGGTGTGTTCATTGCTGCTGGGGTGCTGTTCTTTCTAGCCCCCCTCAGCTAACAGAACGAGGAAATACGTATGTATATACTAAATTATGAATATACATTTATCCATAAGTATTTCTGTATCTGTATTAAACTAAATATAAATTCACACTGATGTCTCCAACTGTAATGAATTACTACATGGACCATTCCATGCTTATCTATAGCTCCTTGCTTATCTGTAACCTCCCACTTTAATAGTGAGGAAACTGGCTCCCACACTTCTACTGCACATTTACTTAATTGTTCAGTTGCAGCATACATGTGTAGCAGTATCTGGATTATTAATCTGTTCCCCATAAGAAACAACTTTATCAAATAGCGTACAGTGCTTATTTGAGTCTCTTTTGACTTTAGTCTTATAGACTTTACTTCTAGACTAAAGTTACATAGGTCAGCACCTATCCTACCCCCTTCAGTGGTGTAGTTTTGTATATTTGCAATATAATCAGAATCTCTTATCACAGTCTGAATTCCTTCCTGGGATTCTTGGAGCTCCTAATTTTTTGTTTGTTTGTTTGTCTACATTAAGGTTCTCTCTTTGTGCTATAAAATTCTATAAACTTTGAAAATAATGTCATGTATCTAACATTATAGTATCGTGAAGAATAGTTGTATTATCCTAAAGATCGATTGTGCTTCACCTGTTTAACCCTCTACGCCTCCCCCAAGCCACGAATCTGTTTACTACCTTTACAGTTTGTCTTTTCAGAATGTCATATAATTTGAATCATATGGTATGTGGTCTTTTCAGACTGAATTCTTTCACTTAGCAATATGCATTTAAAGTCTATCGGTAGCCTTTTGTGGCTTGATAGCTCATCTCTTTTTAATCAGTGAATAAATATCTATTCACCTGTTGAATGACCTCTTTGTGGCTTCCAGTTTTTGTCAATTATGAATAAAGCTGCAGTAAACACTTGCTTGCAAGATTTTCTGTGGAAATAAGTCTTTAAATAGGAAGATGATGGCTGAATTATATGGTAAGACTATATTTAGCTTTGTAAAACATTGACAAACTGTTTTCCAAGATGACATTTTTTATCCCCATCAGCAATGAATGAGAACTCTCCCTGCTTTCCCAGGATTTCTTTTTGGGTTTGTTTGTTTGTTTGCCATTTAAGTAGGTATGTGTTAGTATCTCATTGGTTTAACATAAAGTTCCTTGATGACAAATAATTTTGAAATTTTTTTCGCATGGTTATTTTTTATCTGAATATCTTCTTTGATGATGTGTCTATTCAGATCTTTTGCCCATTTTTAAATTGTTTGTTTGTTTTCCCATTGTTGAGCTTCAAGTGTATTTGCATTTTGGATATAAGTCCTTTATCACATATGTGTTTTGTAAATGTTTTCTCCCAGTCTGTTGCTATATTTTCATTGGTTTTTTCTGTTGTTGTTGGTTTTTTTTGTCTTTTTTTTTGACATGGAGTCTCACTCTGTCACCCAGGCTGGAGTGCAGTGGCACGATCTCAGCTCACTTCAACCTCTGCCTCCCAGGTTCAAGCAATTCTCCTGCCTCAGCCTCTGGAGTAGCTGGGACTACAGGTGCACCACCATGCCCAGTTAATTTTTTTTTTTTTTTTTTTCAGTAGAGACAGGGTTTTACCATGTTGGCCAGGTTGGTCTTAATCTCCTGACCTTGTGATCCGCCCACCTTGGCCTCCCAAACTGCTGGGATTACAGGTGTGAGCCACCATGCCCAGCCTTCAGTCTTTTAATAGTGTGTTTCACAGAGTAAAAGATTTTAACTTTAATGAAGTACAACTTATCACATTTTTTTCTTTCATGGGTCATGCTTTTTTATTACCTCTAATCACCAAACCCAAGGTCACCTAGATTTTCTTCTGTATTTTCCTCTAGAAGCTGTATAATTTTGCAATTTATATTTAGGTCTACAGTTCATTTATTTAAGTGATCATTTCTAGATATTTTTTTGAATTTTGACATTCAATTGTTCCAGTACCATTTGTTGAAACGGCTATTTTTTCTCCATTGAATTTCTGCATTTTATATTTGCATATTCCTTCTTGTACAATGAGAATGAATAGTCTATAAATAGGCATAATGAGAACTGTGGTTCTCAGTATCAATGTAGTTACTCATTGCTCAAATCTACAATACAATGATTAGTGGTTTCAAAGTTACTACACCAATACCACTACCAAAACAAATCTCCTAAATAGAGTTCAAGGTTTCTTTGTTGTTCCTTTTGGTCTTTAAAATAAATCTCAACAATTGTATCTAGTGATATATTCAAAAGTTACTTGAACAAATCCTGGTTTTCTTTTGTATGATTTTGATAGCTATTTGATATTAACATAGGATCAATAGTCTGTGTTTAAATTTCATTTTAGCTTTCCTCCATCTTTATTAATTTATTTTGATTATTTAGCATATGTAAAACATTAATATGGAATCAAAGGAAAACTATAAAAAGATATACTCAGAAAGACTCCAATTTCTTCCATCACTCCTATACTGTATTCCTACCCATTCTTGTACATTACTAATTACTTGTTATAGTAAGGTTTATTTGACCCCTCCAAATCTCATGTTGAAATTTGATTCTCAATGTTGGTGGTGGGCTTAATGGGAAGTGTTTGGGTCATGGGAATAGATCGCTCATGAATAGATTAATGCCCTCCCTGGGTGGTGGGAGTGAGGGAGTTCTCACCCTATTAGTTTCCTCAAGAGCTGATTGTTGAAAAGAGACTGGTATCTTTCCCTGCTCTTTCTTGCTTCCTCTTTCACCATGTGATCCCTACACGTTCTGGCTCCCATTCACCTTCCACCATGGGTAGAGGGAGTCTGAGGACCTCAACAGAAGCAGATGCTGGCACCATGCTTCTTATATAGCCTGGAGAACCATGAGCCAAACAAATGTCTTTTCTTTATAAATTTCCCAGCCTAGGTATTCCTTCACAGCAGCACAAATGGACTAAGACATTAAGTAACTAATTTTATTGGTTTCTGGTTTATTCTTCCTATGTTTCTTTTTGCAAAATAACACACACACACACACACACATGTGTGCGCGCACACACATTATTTTTTTAAATTCTCTGTTTGGATTATTTAAAAGTCTTTAATTGTTTAGAGCAGTTTTGGGTTCACAGCAAAATTGAGGGAATGATACAATGATACAGAGATTTCCCACATATCCACTGCCCCTACACATGCAGCATCCCTCAGTATCAACATCCTCATCAGAGTGGTTTATTTCTTAAAATTGGTGAACACATTATAATCACTCAAGGTCTATAGTTTGCATTAGGGTCTGCTCTTGGTGTTTTACTTTCTATGGTTTTGGACAAGTGTATAATATGTACCCACCATTATAGTATCTTATGGAGTATTTTCACTGCTCTAACACTTTTACATGCTCTGCCTATTCATCCCCTCCACCTCCAACTCCTGGAAAACACTAATCTTTCTACCGTCTTCATAGTTTTGTCTTTTCCAGAATACCATGTAGTTGGAATCATAAAATATGTAACCTTTTCAGATTGGTTTCTTTAATTAATATTACACAATTAAGTTTCCTCTGTGTCTTTTCATGGCTTGATGCTTGTTTTTTTTTTTTAACACTTAATAATATTCCATTGTCTGAATGTACCATAGTTGACTTACCCATTAGCCAACTGAAGGACATCTAGGTTCTTTCTAAATTTTGGCAATTATAAATAAACCTGCTTTAAACATCCATTTGCAAGTTCTTGTATGGATGTAAGTTTTCAACTCCTTTGGGCAAACACCAAGGAAATTTATTTTAATATAAACGGTAAAATACTATATATAATTTTGTGCATTGTGCTTCTTTTCACTTAAAGATACATATTCTGGAAACTATGCCAGATCATTTCACAAATATCATCCTTATTTATTTCTACAGATGCATACCATTTCACCGTATGAAAATACCACCAGTATTTTATGACTAGACATTTTGTTCATTCTAATATTTTGCTACAATAAATAACTCTTCAGCGAATAATATTGCTCATCTGAGTGGTTTTGATATTATTGAGAATCAATCTTCAGGGTAAATCCTTACAAGTGAGATTGCTAAATCAAAGTGTTTCTCAGCCATTTTCCTCCCTTGACTTGAATGCTTAGATTCAATTTTGAAAGCAGGGCTTTTTGTTTGTTTGTTTGTTTTGCTTTGCCTTTGTATTGTGGAGGGGTGGGGAAGAATATAAGAATATTTTGTCTATGCAAAATTGTCAAGGCTGAAGCAATGGAGAACTAAACTCTTAAGTGTATTAACTTATCTCCGTATATAACAGCATCAACAGGCAGGCCCCAAACTGGAAGTAAGAGGAAATTTGACTTATTCTTATTCTGGATCTAAGGAAAAACACAAACAAAAACGAAGATATAAATACCAGCAGGGCTGCCACACTGGCAACTCCATAAGGTGCTATTCATATGTTATAAAATGTTAATCGTGTCCCCCAGGAGTTACAGAACATGACAGCTCTGGGAACTTGGACTCTAGAAGGGAAAGGCCTGTTCAGACCTTTGATATTTGGGCACTAAAGGGAAGGTGAACCTGCAGATATCAGGACCATCTGGACAACAACAACAGCAAAAGTTTGTTTGTGAGCAATTGGATGGATTTAACACAATTTAACTTTCATTTGGTGCATACTTTACACAGGGTTTTTCAGGATACAAGCAAGCACTCAGTACTTGCTACATGCCATAGTCTGTAATGTTAATTACTTCGGCTAGTATTAACAAGTTTGTAAGTTAGGTGATATTCATATCCCCATTATCAAGATGGGGAAACTGAGATTCAAGGTGTTTCGTGTATGGCAGAACAACCAAAGTGCAGTTCAGCTACTTCTGCGCTATATAGCCTCGGGTAATTTAGTTAACCTGAGACTCAGTCTCCTCAGTTGTAATAAAGGAGATTATTAGAACATTAGAACACAGTCTAGAGCAGTCTCAAAAAGCAGCATCAACATCACCTAGGAACTTTTTAGAAATGCATATTCTCAGGCCCAGCTACAGAATCAGAACTGGGCATGGTGGAGGAGGGGGTGGTTAGGACCCAGTAATTTATGTTTCCATGAGCCTTCCAGGTGGTTCCAAAGCATGCTCAATTTGGAAGACTGGTGGTGTAGAGTAAGGATGTGGATTCTGGAGTCTGAGTCCATGGTTTTGAACCCCGGCATTGTTTCATTGTTATACTTATTGGTGGTGTTACTTTGCTTACTAAATCTCTAGTTACTTAATCCATCTGAATCCAAATTCACTCATCTATAAAATGGAAATAATAGCTAT
Source organism: Homo sapiens (assembly GCF_000001405.40). Taxonomy (NCBI): domain Eukaryota; kingdom Metazoa; phylum Chordata; class Mammalia; order Primates; family Hominidae; genus Homo; species Homo sapiens. Next base: position 136,864,282 of record NC_000005.10, read on the forward strand.
ATCTGCTTTGTTGAGATTGTTATACGGATTAAGTTGTGAATGTACATAAAACACGTGTCTGGCACATACTGAGTGTTGTAGTGAGTACTTTATAGCTGTTTGTTAAACAGAATAAATAAAAATGAGGTTTGTTGGGGGAATTTGGGTAATGTATGTAAATTGTGCTTGGCACATAGTAAGTGCTCAACAAATGTTAACAATTATTGTCATTAGTAGCCATAATGTTCTAATAACTTGTTCTAAAGTCCCACAGCCTCTAAGGGACAGGAGTGAGCTTGGTGCGTTTTATACCCTCAACATACATACAGTGTAATCCACATGAACACAGTCTCTGTTTTCAAGGGGAGGTGAAAATAAAAAGTCCAAACTAAGCAGATAGGCATCAGAGTAGAACTAAACCCAGGAGCCCTGGGCAGTTGCAGATATTGCTGCAAGAAACTCGATGTTGGTCTCAGAGGGATGACATCAGTATGGGGGAAACAGTGGAGGGAGGAGGCTGATGGCTGCTGGGTCAAAATTGAAAGGAACACACCATTTCAGCTGGAAACACTCAAAACATCATTATTTCAAAATTGCGGAGCAAATTTAATGGCTGGTATTGCTGTGCTAATGCGTTAATAATAATTCTGCAGTTAGAGACAAGCCTGGGCTGTTAGCGTTCAAGGCCACTTAAATTTTAAAGAGTCATTTTATGGAAAGTTTTAATTAGCTCTGGATTGTAACTAACATTCTCTTTAAAACTGTTGTGGGTGTTTGATGAGGTCTGAGTTCCAGTGGATGGAAATGAGAGCTGGATTTTACTCATTGCTCTCACAGTCTGTCCAAGGCAGTTCATGTTTTCGGGGCCTTGGCATGAGTGCTGTGTAGCCAGGCATTACGCCCACCAGAGATTTCAGGCCTGCATGTCCTGTCATTCTCTGCGCAAAAGGAAAAGGGAGCTGGGCCCTTCAAGGGGGAAGGTATTTCTGATCCTAGACTGCAACCCCTGCTTCCCTCCTGCTGCAGCTTACATCTCTTCTTCCGAAGCCCAAATGCCCTGCCTATCCCTCAGGACAGTCTCCTGAGCACAGCTACACACTTCAGCTTCATGCTGTCCCCTCCTGTCTCCCTTCTAAACTCCTACCCAGCAGGCCCAGCCGTTCATCTTTCTTCTTTGCAGCATAGTGCAGTGGGACTAACAGCAGGATTCTGGTGGACTTAGGTTTGAAAACTGGCTTTGCCACACATAAGCTATATACCTTAGGCTTATTAATTCTCGGACTCAGTTTTTTCATCTATAAAATGGGGAAAAACACCTAACAATGTTACTGTGATGATACTCAGTAGCAAGTATTCAAGGAGAATTTTATCATCATCTAATCACTTCCAACCATTCTAACATTTACTTCGGTTCTGCCTGTGTCCTTCTTAAATTATTCCATCATGTCCTCCCTTTAACCCCTGAGAAGAAGGATCTGGATGACTTCTTTGAATACTCTCCTACTGCTCCCCCCACCTAGTTCCCTGCACACGAATCCAATTTCCCTGGTGACTGGCAGACATGTGCACAGGACATGAGCACCCTTGCTCATGGTGGAATTGGAGGATTATAAAATGACTCCAATGGTGTAGCACTTAAGCAGAAAGAGATCTAGAACTCTTTCAAATTTGAGATCTAGAACTTCACGATCCATGCTGATTCTGGTGATGGAGGAAGCCCAGGTGTGAGAAATGATTTGTGCCACTTCTGCTGCTGTTTATGTTACTTGAGGGTCAGAGAGTCTCACAGGAAGTCAAGGGATTTGGAGGAAGTAAAATGGATCTCACCCACACCTACGATTGAGCAGGGGGAAGCAGAGAGCCTAATAAAGAAGTGAGTAAATGGAAATCAACCAGTAGGGAATGTTGTGGCCTCTGACAGCTGTCCTGAATGAGATCCTGAGGCTTTGGCTGGCAGAGCAGAAAGAAGGGAAAACCTGGATGAGGACAGAAAAAGACAGGCAGCATTAAAACTCACTCCTGGTTGGTATCTTTGAAGGAACTCGCTGGGCTGTGTGTGTGCAGTGACTATCCTTGAGCTTCTTCCCTGCAGTGGACCACCTCCCACCTTGTGACTGGCTGCCCATTTCTGGCCATTTCCTGTTTTAAATGCAGTCTTTTTTCCTACTGGGCTGTGAGTTCCTTGGGACCAAGAGCTCTGATTTTTTTTAGGTTTTGAATTCTGGGTGTCTACTCTGTGGCTGGGCCATAATGAGGAAACTCTAAATGGAAATATAAAAACAATATTATCTTTGGAATTAACCAGACCTCAGTTTCAATTCAGCTCCAGCATCTATCTGCTTGTCTAGTTATATTGGACAAGTCACTTTGCCTCTTTGCTCTTTCTTATCTGTAAAATGGCCAAAATGAGGCTTATCTTTCAGCTGTGAGATTTCCCTCTTGAGGCACGTGTAACATATTACCTGCTCATGAATGGCAGTTATTTGGTGCTCAATCACATTGGTGGCTCAGGTAAGGTCTTGGCCTAGAACATCCAGTGATTTCAAGGGATGACAACTAAACCCAAATGACAAAAGCTCTTCAATTTGACAGCTAATTTAGTCCAACCATATTTAGCTAATTCAATCAGTTCTCATTCACCAATGGATAAATTGTGCTCATCATAGGCTTAACCACACAACTAATATGGTTTTGAGATAGATTGATTAACAAAGCCCTAATTGAGGCTAAATAAATGAGATAAATCTGTAAGTCTGTAATATCAACCAGCAATTCAGAAACAACCAGTGGCAATATTCAGTCACCTGCTTTATTTAGCAATATTTCAACAAATACTTATCGTGTGTCTACTCTGTGCATGCCAGGGATAAGACTATATCCTGTGTCAAAGCTGGATATTAAGAGAATATTAACTCAGCTGTGGTCAGTCTGAGTAGAATATAACTAAGAAGGATGATCACTGTGGGATCAGAGTTAGAGCAGAAAGTGTAAGGCCAGAGACAGAACCAAGCTGAGAGAGGGACCAAAAGCCAAGGCCAAGAAGCCAATATTGCTGCAAGAAACTCGATGTTGGTCTCAGAGGGATGATATCAGTATGTGGGAAGCCATGTGCGGAGGAGGCTGATGGCTGCTGGGTCAGAATTTTCCCAGACACACTGGGAGTCAAGAGGATCTCAAACAGCTAACAGAAGTGAGGATAGAGCAGGAAGGGACAAACAGAGATCTAAGAGTGATCAGTCTGAGACCAGCATCTGTGTGTGGTGGGGAGGAAGGACAGGAATCAGAAGGGGAAGACTGAACACACAGGCTTCTTTTATAGGCTGGCTGCATTCTTGTATGTCTGAGTGAACTAACATAATTTATGAGGACCAAATAGATGTAGGTTTGTTAGAATCACCACAAAATGCTACATTCTTGAGCCAAATATGACCTGTTGACTTTACAGCTCTGAGCCTATCTGTCCTTCCTGCAGAGAGTGGGAAACTGCACAGACAAGCAAATATGTGCCTATTTTCTTTCATTTTAACTGTGGCCTCAGCACTACGCCCATGTTGTCTAAATTTACTGCACATACTATTTTCTGAGCAGGGCCATCTCGCATACTTGCTTTGTTCCTCAAATTGGATTTCCTGACATTGGCCCTGTTTCTTTTCCAACTTGCACAAAAATTCAATGTCCACTTTATTGTCCAATTCAAATTGGGCTTATCATCTTTTCCCTAATAAAAGTTTTTATCAGTCTTCACCCAAAACATGACACCTCTGTCCCCTCTGGCAACTATGGCTAAAAACAGAGATGCGGCATGTGATGGCTAATTTTATGTGTCAACTTGTCTGGGCTAACAGGTGCCCAGATGGCTGGCAAACATTATTTCTGGATATGTCTATGTGGGTGTTTCCAGAAAAGATGAGTGTTTGAATCAATAGACTGAGTAAAGAAGATCTGCTTTCACTGTGGGTGTGAGCATCATCCAATCCACTGAGGGCCAGCATAGAACAAAAAGGCAGAGGACGGGCATATCTGTCTTTCTGCCTGAGCTGAGCCATCCTTCTTCTTCTGCCCTTGGACATTAGCACTCCTCATTCTCAGGCCTCCAGACTCAGACCAAGCTTTACATCTTTGGCTCCTGGTTCTCAGGCCTTTGGGTTGGGCTTGGGCTGGAGCTACATCACTGGCTTTTCTGGGTCATCAGCTTGCAGATAGTAGATCATGAGACTTCTTGGCCTCTTTAATTGCATGAGCCAAAACCTTCATAATAAATCTCTTTGTATTAATATATAAATCATATAACTTTTTATTAATATACTTATATTAATATATAAATCTTATTGATTCTGTTTTTCTGGAGAAGCCTGACTAATACAGAGCAGAAGACTCTGCATCTTCCCCCGATGGTTTTAAATGAGTTTTAATCATCCCTCTCCACCCTCATGCAAACATAGCTCAGGCAAGGAGTTTGAACCTGCAATGCATTTTTTTCTCCCTTTATGTAATCCATTGATATTTTCCTATTTCAGCCCTTGGGTAGATTTGCTTCACTCATTAGCTAACAGAGCTTATTTTACCTACCTAGGATCTGTACATCTCAGGTTCTTAGTCTTGCCCAGAAGGATGTCTGCTATTTAAAGGAAATAGTGTGTTGTATGATCCCAAATTGCTGTCTTCAGTTCTGGAAACTAAGATTTGGGAAGGGCTGTCAGTTTAGGATGGTTCCAATAAAAGTTCCATGAGAAAATAAAAGTATGCTCCAATGATATGTCTTGGAATTCAGTTGGCTTCTGAATACATCCTAAATTTCTTTTGATGTGTGACTTGGTTATACTTAGTTGAGAATGTTGTTGACCGGAAATTATATTCCACTATTGAAATGCTGATGGCACTCAGGGAACTGGTGAGATCCTAGGAAAAGGTTGAGAGAAGGCCTAGAACTCTCTAATTCTTCACACTTTTTTTGAGCTTTTGTTTTCTTCTATAAAAAAGGAGTAACTTCCCTTCTTGAGTCCCATTTTAGAAATGCCACCTATAAAAGAAAGTTTTTCTAATAGCAGATCGGTTTCCCAATTAATTGTGTTTACATCAGAATCAAAGTGAAAGTAAGGGCAGAAAGAGATCATTAGTTTGCAAGGAAGTCAGTGTCTTCCTCATCCGGCTTCAGCTCTGAAGGCTATACCAGCCCCAGAAGCAGCTGACTCATAGAGGGACACTTGTATAGCATCATAGATGTTAGGTATCAGCCATTAATGCCACCTATTTAACAAGAATGAACTTGCTCTTCTAAGTCATCTGTCATGGAGAGTTTGAAGAATAGAAAAACTCACAGCAAAACATTTTCTTAGTGTGTCTACCTAGTGGATGGGCATTTGGAATCCTCTCACATTCACCTTAACCCCTTTGCTTTGAGTTATAAGGCAACTCCTTGAACAAAAGATTTGTCGGTATCTTTTTTTAAGCTAATTATTGAAGTTGTCCCCATACTGTTCCCTCTCAACTGCTGAAAACCATTCTAACAATACTGTCTCTCAGCTCATATACTTCTAATCTAAACTCAGAATAAATTTTTAGAACAATATGTTTAGAAGCAGGTTTTTGACATTTTCAATTAGAATTTGGAACATTTTTTCTGTATCAAATGCACAATGGCAGAATGTACCCCTAATCTCAAGAAGACTCATTAAAAACTTCCATCTTGATACATAATTATCAAGAGTCAAAATGGTCATGATTAGTCAAGCTTCAAAATTAAAATCCTCTCTTTGATGAACTTTTGAAATAAAATGCCATTATCATCTAAAACCTCTATCATCTATGATAATGAAGCTCTCAATTAATTCTTTTGTTATTCACAAAAAGATTAATAATGCTAGTTCATAGTTTTTTTAAGTATCCACATCTGCAAGAGGCATACCATATAAACCATATGTAACTAATCTCTTCCAAGGGAAACAAGAAACAGATCTGAGCATGTTTTATGGACAGCTAGTATTCCCCTACAATAATGGCTCATGCTAATTATTTTTCTTAAATTGATTATGCTTGCAATAAATTATTAACTTTATGACTATTTCTAGTTTTAGGAAAGTGTTCATGAAATAAATGGTGATTAGTCTAAATGACCTTGCACAGACTTAGTGTTTCAGATAAATGCCACATTAAGTGGATAATTGTTGTGAGCTGATCCTAACTCTTCTAACAGCTTCTTCTGGTCCAGCTGTTGCTTTAGAAATCTTCAGCACCAAACTGAATCCTACAAGTATTAAGACTCTATTGGAACCTATTGATTGGAAAAGTCCTTACATTTGTGTGGAATATTGTCCTGGGCATTGTAATAACAACTTTGACTTAGGTGGCCAAGTGTGATCACATTGATGGCTTTTACCTATTTCAAGGTGGCAATCCACCATGGAAGCCAAAAAATGACTTACACCTCACTTGCCTGTTAGATCCCTAGCTAAAAACAATATTTGGTCATCTTCCTATGAAAATTCTCTTAAAGTTCATAAGACACTTGGTCAAGAAAATCTGCCTTTATAATTTAAACTTATTTTGTATCATGTTTTATCCTAGTTGCAAAAATAACTAGGAACTAGGTGCTCAAACTCTATTAATCGTTGCTAGACACATCATTGAGAGAGAAACTATTTATAGAGAAGTAAGATTACATAGCTAACAGTAGATATGTATTATCTATTGCATACAGGAGGCTTCTGAAGGGTCAGCTCAGCAGTCTCTTTTGTTGTGGTTGGGGAAACATCTCATGAAGTATTCAAGTTCAAATGAAATATAAGCTAAATATCTGAATCTAGCCTCAGTGAAATGAGCTTAGGATCCTAATATTTATTATGTCTTCCTTTTTATCTCTGATATACCACAGTGTTCAAAAAATATACGAGGCTTTCATTATGCTGGACCCTACAGGAGAGTTGTGAATTAGACAGCCATCTCACCTGAGCAGTCTACTGAGGGATATCAAGTAGAGAATGACTATACAAGGCTATGGTGTTGTTATGGTGTTGAAGGTATATGGGGCTGCATAATCAGAGAGGTGCCCCTAAACCAGGTGGGAGTTATGGAAGGCTGCCTGGTAGGAGTGACATCCAGGTAGAATTCTGAGAGGTGAACAGAAGTCAAGAGAATGCAAGGCAACCTGGGTGAGGTCTGAGAAGGCATATAGAGACTTTCTTCTAGGTTCTAGGCAATAGGTACACATATATAACCTTCCAACGGCCAAGAAGACTACAGTACACTTTGAGAAGAGTAGTAGCTAAGCCTGGGGAGGGAAAAAGATTGCATTTTATACAGAAAGTAGAGAAGAGCCATAATAGGGTATTAGGAGGGGAACAATGTTATCAGATGTGCTTTTGAGAAAACACTCTGACAGCAATATGGACTATGGATTGAAGGAGGGTAGGGGAGACCCATAAATATGCTGGAAATAGAGCCTAGCACTAAGAATGGGGCTCACTTCAATCAGTCTCATTTTTCCATGTTCTCTGCAAGTAAAATCCACTTTGGGAACCAACTCAACAATTCAAGGGTGTTTTCAATTATTCTTTGTAATAACATAATCTACTTCATATGAGAAAAATCCTGTTTGCCATAGTTGAAAAATGCTCAGTTGGTAGTTCTCTGGGAGAAACTACTCAGTTTCCTAAAATTTAAATACCCACAGAGTAAAAACAAAGGCTGCTAATAAGAAATGTGTCATTGAAATTGAACAGAAGCTAGAGAAGTCCCATTTCTTGTTCTTTTTATCTTTGCAAAAGCATAGTTCCACAGCAATTTGCCCATGATATCATTCATCCTTTGTATCATTAGCATTTGGGAAAATGCCTGAAACTGTCACCATGAGACAAGCAACATGTAGAAACTAGAAATGCAGTTTGGGGAAATTAGAAAATAAAACTCCTAAAGAGGAGGATTGAATGTTTCATTAAGCATAAACATGATGCAAAAAAAAATCCTTTCTGACTTCAACTGTTGTTGGCTACTAAAATGTCATCACCAATTAGGCCTTTTTGCATGCTCTGTGGTGCAAAACCAATTATCCTGACTGTCCCTGTCCTCAAAACACCAAGATCACTGATGTGGGCAGACAGAAAAAGAGCCAACTTTGATACAAACACATATTAAAGCAGGTACCAATTTTTAAAAGAAAGTCATAGGTAATCATTCATTCATTCATGTATTCATGCCAGTATACACCATGCAAGGCAAGGGATAGGGGAAGAGGGATAGGTGCTGAAACTGGATTAGGGTCATGCCCATAGTAGGCTTAGTTATAGTCTGGTAGGTATGTCACATCATATAATTAAGTGACAGAAAGAAATGAAAGTGGAAAGTAGTAAGTATCAATACAGACTGTGTTTCAGTAAAAATAGATGAGGAAAATGTTGGAGAGTGGTAGAAAGTAAAAAGTAGAGGGAGGAGGAAAATTACAATAGTTCACATTTTACTGAACCAAGCACTGTATTTGTGTATTTATATCTTAGATTTCATGTGATAGGGACTATAATTACTCATATTTTAACATCAGGGAACTAAGACTTAGAAAGATTAAATAGTTTACTGATTCTTGGATATGGGTAGCACTGGGGATCACCATTGTGCCTGGTGTTGGACTTCAAAGCAAGCGCATCAATTTATTTCTAGCCTACTCTGGAGTTGAGGTTTCAGAGGGAAGAAGACATTATGAGTTTGGTTCAGGATTTTGCAGACTTTACTAGATCAAGGAGCCATGATCACATGCATTTTTGAGAATTCCATATATACGATTCAAACAGTAAGACAGAGGGCAGGAAGCATGGAACTTATGAGGTACAGAGTCTCTTCTACTGTGGTACCAAGATAAGCAATTTGGATGATGAGGACTCTGGAATTTCAGGATTGAGATCTCATCCTGCCAAGGAAGGTTTCCTAGAAGAGGTGGGGCATAAGCTGGGCCTTTGAAAGTAGGACATGAGCAAAAGGAAGTACAAGGAAACCCTCCGAGATTTCAGTGAGCTGTGATCACACCACTACACTGCAGCCTGGGCAAAAGAATGAGACCCTGTCTCGGCCAGGCGTGGTAGCTCACGCCTGTAATCCCAGCACTTTGGGAGGCCAAGGTAAGCAGATCACAAGGTCAGGAGTGGGCCTGAGAAAATGAAATCGATTCTGCATTCACTGAAAGGTAATTTGATTCCAGTTAAGGTGTCTGACCAGTGTCCGACCAAGAAGTGATACTCTGACGATTGCACACCAGAGTGTTCTGCACTGTGCGGGTTGGGGAGATATGATTTCAGAAGCAGCCAGTGGTATAAAATGAAAGGCTGAGCTGCTCCTTTAGTCTCCACTTGCCTCTCTCCATCCTTGGATGTGCACAGGGAACATTTTCTTAGTTTTGACAAATGTAGCTTTAGACCTCCCTCTTACCCCTCCCCACCTTCCAATCAGATTATATAGATATGGCCCCCTGGGAGCCATCCCCTCAGAAAAGGGTAAGTTAAAAGAAGAGGGTTGGAGATACTAGAGTATATCATTTATTCTCTGGCTGTCACCATCTCCTCCTACATTTTAAATTTATATACCTGGTTTGTAATTTTCCTCCCATCACTGATGGAACATACCAATAAATACATTCAATGCCAGAGAACTCAAGCCTGTATGCACATGGCATTCTCCAGTGAAGGTTATAGCAGTGGGATGGAGGGTTGAAGGTAGATCATAGGATTCAGGAATCTTGGATATATTCTGGACATAGCTTTGATATAAGAACTAACTTGTTTTTATGAGAACTGAGGTAGTAAGCAGTTCCTCTTGTTCTTCACCTTATTTAAAGGAAAAGAGGTTGGGGGCAGAGTTGCAGGGGAATGTCTTACACAAATCAGAGAAGTGTTATTAGGAGGACAGAGTTAGATTTTCTAAATAGCTCTCTACTCCTCCACCTGAAGTTTGAGTGTATGATACATGGCTTGGATGTCATTGGCAGATGACTGATAAATACAGTGACTTCTAGCAGGCTTAGCTCTGTCTGTAATAGTGGTTGCTCAGTTGAAATCGCCCCAGTGTTCACAGATGAAGTTACCTGTTGAGGTAGAAGACCCAACGACATATACAGTTTAGAGATGTAAAATGAAGTCAATGTAAAATGAAGGAAAATGCATAGCTTTAAATTTGCCTTTGAAAAGACCTTGGGGAAGCAAGACATTTCTCTGGTTGTTCCTCTCAAATCTGGATTGGTGAGGAGACTAACTTGGTTTTGAGTGAGTTTCTACAGAGAAGGTAGGAACCCATACTTTCTTTTACTATCACCTTTTGACATCTCAGATGTCTTCTTGGTCAATACAGCGCCTTTTTGAGATACCTTTTCTGTCTAAGTAGCTTTCCTTCAGCCTTGCTGTCATTCAGCCCACCATGCCAATTTTATATCTCCTATATAAGAGGAGTCTGATTCCATTTGTGACAAGAGGAGCTGCTATCTGGGCAATCTTCTTCAAGCACTCTCTCGATTAAGCTGGTACTCTATATATTGTAAGGATACAAAGTTCCAGTTGAATTAAACAGAATATTGCCACAGGAAACAGGGACAAAGAAAGTAAAAATAAATTCTCTCATGTTAAACACTTGGGTGGATTCATGCTTTCCATATTCCAACATCATAAAATATTTACCTATAACCAAGACATCGTGCAAAATAAATCAATGGTACCATTCTGTTTTTGAAGAACCAATCATCTCTACAAAGTCAGTGTTTTTACATAGGGCTATATATTGATGTGTTAGAAAAAAAATCAACACTACTAGCAAAAGTGCCCAGCTTCGTCTTGCTATTTTAGCCATTATGCTATTCCTGTTTCATTCTCCTTGATTAAATCAGTGGAGGCTTAAGACAAAGCTAGAAATATAAAGGTGATTAGGAGAGAAATGAAGGAAAAGAAAATAAAGTACCCATAAAGGTTGGGTGGTAATTACTACTTAGGGAGTAGGAAGGATTAATTAACATTATTCTGTCTAGTGTAAACCCTCCTCCCTACCACTGTGAACTAGGAAGTCCAATAAAATGTAAGTGAATAAAGTATAATCAAATCTACTTCTTTGAAATGTACTTTAAACAGAATTTTTACAAATTCTTAAACATTTCTTTGTTGCAAGGAATCTACCTATGTAGTAATACTTTAGTTCAAGTGGCTATTAATTTTTAAGCTAATTTTATGCCTAATGCTATACATCAAAATAATTTCCAGATGAGCTAAAAGTTTATATATAAACATCTATATGATAAAATTACTTAAAGAAATTATAATGCATTATAAAATTGAAACAAAGCTGATATTTCCAAGTGTGACTCCAAAAAATGAACCTATCAAAAAGGTGGGGAGGGAATAGGTGAAACTATCAGCATTAAATTATTTCTAAAGTTTCTCCATAAAAATATATTGTAGATAAAGCTAAAAGGGAAGTTTGTAAAACTGAAAAAAAAATTACAACATATGACAAAGGACAAATAGGGGGATAAATAATTTTTAAAAGAAATTAAAATAGCCTATAAGTGTACACAAAGTATTCAACTCCCCTAGTGATGATGTCAAAGACATAGCAAAATGGCAAAGATTTTAAAATCAACAATGATAAGGGAAATAGATATTTACATTCAGTCATGGGTGTTTGGAAACAATATTTCTAGGTCAAACTTTGGCATCACATTTCAAATTTGACTATACCTTTTGATCCAGAAATTTCATACTTAGGAATCTACCCTATGAAATACAGGTTGAACACCCTTAACACAAAAATCTGAAATTCAAAGTGTTCCAAAATTTGAAACTTTTTGAGTACCGACATGATACTCATGGGAAATGCTCATTGGATTATTTCAGATTTTGGATTTTTTAGATAAGGAATGTTTAGCTGGTATATAGTCTTCAAATATTCCAAAATCCAAAAAAATCAAATCTAATATTTCTCTGGTCCAAAGCATTTCAGATAAGAGGTATTATAATAACAAAAATTAAATTATAAAATAGCTAATTTCCACTCCATATTTATTACGTGAAAGGATCTGTGTCAAGTAATTTAAGTACTTCATCTCATTTAATATTTCCAATAATTTTATGAGATGGGGGCTGTTATGTTCTTTTATGAAAAAAATGAAATAACTTAAAAGTCTAAGAAAGGAATTTGTTAAGTTATGCCACAGTTATACAATGGAATTCAGCCGTCCTGACATTAAAAAATGGTATCAAATATTTTTTGACATACAGAGATGCCTATGATGTATTAAGTGCAAAAAAGCAGATTACAGGAGAGTATGTACAGTATCATCTCATTTTATTTTAAAAGTATCTACATATTTTTCCTGTGTACATACCAGATACATTTTTATTTGTCTCAAAGTGTATGCATCAAAATATTAATGGTATTTATGTCTATAGTGCATTAATTTTCTTTTTTGTTGATTGCTTCTTTTATCTCTCTACATTGAATGTATTTTATTTGTTTAATATAAAAGGTGACAAAGAAAAAGAAGCAAACAATTTATAACCCAACTAGGAAACAATTAACAATATGACAGAAACAAAACCTCACATATCAATATTAACCTTGAACATTAATGGTCTGTGTGTGCTCCACTTAAAAGATATAGACTGGTGGAATCAATAACAAAACACATTCCAACTGTATGGTTCTTACAAGAAACTAATCTTAGCTGTAAAGACATATAGACTGAAAGTAAAGGGGTGAAAAAAGATATTCCATGCAAATGGAACCCATAAGTGATCAAGAGTAGCTATGCTTATATCTTTATGCTTTAAACTTTAAATCAAAAATAGCCAAAAAAATGAAGAAAGTAATCAAATAATAATGGGATAAATTCAACAAGGAGATATAACAATTCTAAATATATATATGCATCCACCACTGGAGCACTCACACTCATAAAAACAAATATTACTAGACCTAAAGAAAGAGACCAACAGTAATATAGTAATAGTGGGGGTTTCAAAACCGCAGTCACAGCATTAGATTTTCAAGATAAAAACAAAATCAACAAAGAAATATTGGACTTCAATTAGACTTAAAGCCAAATGGATCTTAAAGACATTTACAGAAAATTTTATGTAAACAACTGCAGGATATACATTCTTTGCATCAGCACGAAGTACATTCTCCAAGACAGACTATATGTTACACCAAAAAACAAGTCTCAACAAACTTTTAAAAAATAGAAATCATATCAGGTATATTCTCAGACCACAGTAGAATAAAACCATATATCAATACCACAACAATGTCAGAAACTATACAAATACATGGAAATTGAACATGCTCCTGATCATGAATGATCACTGAGTCAATGAAGAAATTAAGATGGAAATTTTAAAAAAATTGAAATAAATGAAAATGGAAACACAACATACCAAAACCTGTGGGATACAGCAAAAGCAGTGTGAAGAGAGACTTTTATAACAATAAATTAAAAAGTGGAAAGAATGCAAATTAACAACCTAACATCAAACCTAAATAAACTAGAAAAGCAAGAATAAGCCAAATCCAAAATTAGCAGAAGGAAGAAATAACAAAAATCAAAGCAGAACTAATGAAATAGAGGGCAAAAACACAATACAAAGGACTGACAAAACAAAAATCTGCTTCTTCAAAAAGATTTTAAAAATTCATTAACTTCTGGCTAGGCTAACCAAGGAAGAGTGAAGATCCAAATAAAACAAGAATGAAAAAGGAGACATTACAATTGATACCACAGAAACACAAAACATCATCACAGACTATTATGAACAACTGTATACTCGCAAACTAGAAAACCTAGAGGAAATAATAAATTCCTGGAAATATACAACCTCCCAAGATTGAACCAGGAAGAAATGGAAAACCTGAACAAACCAATAATGAGTAGCAATATCGAGTCAGTAATAATAGAAAAATCTCCCAAAAAAGAAAAGCCCAGGATCAGATGGATTCACAGCCAAATTCTATCAAACATACAAAAAACTAATACCAATCTTCCTGAAACTGTTCCAAAAAATTCAGGAGTAAAGAATTCACCCCAACTCATTCTATGAGGTTAGTATTATCTTGATACCAAAACCAGACAAGGACAAAACAAGAAAACTACAGACCAATATCCTTGATGAACATCGACCAAAAATCCTCAAAAACAAAAAAGGAAAAGAAAAAGAAAAAAGAAAAGAAAAGAAGAAACTAGCAAATCAAATCCAACAGCACATCAAAGTGATAATACACCATGATCAAGTATGTTTTATACCAGGGATGCAAGGACGGTTCAACATATGCAAATAAAAAAATGTGATACATCACATAAACAGATTTAAGGACGAAAATCATATAATCATCTCAGTAGACGCAGAAAAAGCATTTGATAAAATTCAGCATCCCTTCATAATAAAAGAGCTTAAAAAACTAGGCACAGAAGGAACATACCTCAAAATAATAACAGCCATATATGACAAAACCACTGCCAACATCCTGCCAAATGGGGAAAAGTTGAAAGTATACCCTCTAAGAATTGGAAGAGGACAAGAATGCCCACCCTCACCACTCCTATTCAACATAGAGCTAGAAGTTCCAGCCAGAGGAATCAAGCAAGAGAAAGAAATAAAAGGCATCAAAATTGGAAAAAAGGAAGTCAGATTATCCCTGTTCACTGAAGATATGATCTTATAGCCAGAAAAAGCTAAAGACTCCACCCCCAAAAATCTCTTAGACTTGATAAATCAATCTGGTAAAGGTTTAAGATACAAAAAACAATGTACACGAATCAGTAGCTTTTTTTTTGAGACAGAGTCTCTTTCAGTCGCCCAGGCTGGTGTGCAGTGGTGCAGTCTCTGCTCACTGCAACCTCTGCTTAGTCCAAGCAATTCTCCTACCTCAGCCTCCCAAGCAGCTGGGACTACAGGCACAGACCACTGCACCCAGCTAATTTTTGTATTTTTTTTTTAGAGACAGGGTTTCACCATGTTGGTCAGGCTTGTCTCGAACTCCTGACCTCGTGATCCACCCCACCCCCCTCAGCCTCCCAAAGTGTTGGGATTATAGGAGTGAGCCACCGCACTCGGCCCAAGAATCAGTAGCATTTCTATACACCAATAATGACCTAGCTGAGAATTAAATCTAGAAGCCAATCCCAGTTACAATAGCTACAAAAAATAAAAAATAAAATAAAATACTTTGGAATATATTTAACCAAGGCAGTGAAAGATCTCTACAAATAAAACTACAAAACACTGATGAAAGAAATAATAGATGACACAAGCAAATAGAAAAACATCCCATGAATATGAATCAGAAGAATTGACATCATTAACATGCACATACTGCCCAAAGTAATCTACAGATACAATGCAACTCCTATCAAAATACCAAAGTCATTTTCCACAGAATTAGAAAAACAATCCTAAAATTAGTAGGGAACCAAAAAAGAGCCTAAATTGACAAAGCAATCTTAAGCAAAAGGAACAAAGCTGGAGGCATCACATTGTCTGACTTCAAATTGCATACTACGAGGCTATAATAACCCAAACAGCACGGTGCTGGTTTAAAAATAGACACATAGATCAATGAAACAAAAGAGAGAATCCAGGAATAAAGCCACATATTTACAGCCAGCTAATCTTTGATAAAGTTGACAAGAACATACATGGGGGAAAGGGCACTTTTCTATAAATGGTGCTGGGAAAAATAGATTTCCATATGCAAAAGAGTGAAACTGGATCCCTGTCTCCCACTATATGCAAAAATCAACTCAAGATGGTTAAAAGACTTCAATGTAAGACTTAAAACTATAAAAATAAAAGAAAAAAATGGAGAAAAACTCTTCTGTACATTGGTCTAGGCAAAGAATTTATGATTAAAACCTTTAAGGCAACAAAAACAAAAATAGACAAATGGGACGTAATTATACTAAAATGCTTCTGCACAGCAAAAGAAATAATCAACAGAGTGAACAGGCAGCCTTCAGAATGAGAGAATATATTTGTAAACTATGAATCCAACAGGGGACTAATATTCAGAATTCACAAGGAACTCAACTCAATGAAAAACCACAAATAATCCCATTTTTTAAGTGGGCAAATGACATGAATAGACATTTTTCAAAAGAAGACATATAAATGACCAACAGGCATATAAAAATGTTCAACATCACTAATCCTCAGAGAAGTACAAATTAAAACTACAATGAGATATCATCTTACACCAGTCATAATGACTATTACTAAAAAGACAAAAACCACTAGATGTTGATGAAGATGTGGAGAAGAGAGAACTCATACACTGGTAGAAGTATAAATTTGTACAACCTCAATGGAAAACAGTAAGGAGATTTCTCAAAGAGCTAAAATAGAACTACCATTGGATCCAGCAATCTCACTACTGTGTATCTACCAAAAGGAAAATAAATCAATATATCAAAAAGATACATATACTCATATGTTTATTGCAGTAGTATTCTCAATAGCAAAGATATGAAATCAACCTTAACATATGTTGATGTTAAGTGTCCATCAACATATGGCTGAATAAAGTGGTATATATACATATATAATATACATATATATACACAATGGAATACTATTTAGCCATAAAAATAATGATATAATGTCTTTTGCAGCAAAATGAATGGAACTGGGGGTCATTATCTTAAGTGAAATGAATCAGATACAAGAAGACAAATATTGCATGTTCTTGCTTATAAGTGGGAACTAAATGTGTACATATGAACATAGAGTATGGAATAATAAACAGTAGAGACTTGGAAGGGTGAGGGGGTGAGAAGAGGGTGGATGATGAGAAATTATTTAATGCCTGTAACATACATTATTCAGGTGTTGGGTACCCTGAAAGCCCTGACTTCATCACTATGCAATCTATGCATGTAACAAAATTGCACTTGTACCCCATAAATTTATAGAAATAAAAATACCAATTAAATTAAAAAATAAAAAATGACAAAAATAAAAGCAAAACAAAGTCGGTTAATTGTTGTTAATTTTTTATATCAAGTAGAAAGTAGATCTTTGTTTAATTGTACTTAGTAGACAATTAAACAAAGCAGCCTCAAAAGAAACTGGTTTCAATGGGACTTTCTAAAGATTTTCTTAAATACCAGTGAGTAAAAATTAAAGTGCACAGCAGAGATAGACTGGAGGGTTATGTGTCTTTATAAAAAAACAAAAAGGAGTCTCTCTGAAGTTGAATTGCTGGGTCACTTATCCAAGTACCTTTATCTAGAACTGATTCTAAACTTGGGGACCAGAAACAACAGGACACCAGTTGGTTTTGCTTGGTTCAGGAGCTGCAAATTGGTGGCCCTTGGATGAGTTTCATTCAGCCTCCCCCGTGTTTTTAAAAATGTGTGTTTGAATGCCTTCAGTTAGACTTGCATGCTCAAACTTTCCACAATTGCCATGGTCCCTTCTTGCTGCTCAGTACTCCTTTTTAGTTTACTTGCCTGGCATCCTAGAAGATCCATGGACAGAATTAAGGCTGCCCATGATCTTGGGTGGAGGGAAATTACATCTTTATTTTCACTAAGATCTAGCTACAAATTAAATTTTCCTTCAGTTATAAATGTAGGTAGTAAACCATCATTTGCAGCACATGTGACTTTGCCACCAATAGAAAGCCCATATGGTTTCATATTATAAGATATTACTACTTATGTTTATTATTTCTTTAAAATTATGGTAGTTATTAGCTCTGCAAATATGCTTTTGTCCTAATTATTTAATGCAATAATAAAGAAGCACCTATACTCTCATATACTCTTTAAGTTTCTTTTTTAATATTTTGCAAAAAAAATCTCAATATCATTGGTTTCCTTTGGACTTTTATGTATCTTAATTTTATGTGTTTAAAAATAATGACTCAAAAAAAAAACCTGAGTTTAGGATAAAATATCTTCAGCCTCGCTCCCTTGAAGAACACAGACTTAACATTGCAGCATCTGAATACCGAATAACGAAGGTTTGGTTTCTTCACCCGAAAATATTTTTATCAGTTAAATCCAGGCCCATGTGTTTTTCTGGCTAACTCAGTTCACTCAAGTCCATTTGTTCCCTCTTCTAGAGCTGTGCTGTCCAACATAGTAACCACATGCTATACATGGCTATTGAGCCCCTGAAATGTGGCTAGTATGAATTGTGATGTGCTATAAGAATAAAATACACTTTGGCTTTTGAATATTTAGCAGAAAAAATATAAAGTATTTCATTAATGATTTTGTTGCATTAACTAGTGTCACAGTGCTGGTGACAGAAGTGTGAGCAAAATGGCTGCTGCACAGCGAGCATTTTTATGTATGTCTATCTTTTCTCTTCTCCTTTCCTTACCTGCCTCTGAGTGGCTAGTGGCTATCCCTGACTACAAGCCTACTAAACAATAAGAAGTTATTAACTAGCTATTTTTTACATGCCCATATATCTAACTCTACTGAATGGGGGCTATTTTCCAACTGAAGTATGTGTAAACAAAGTCACCATTCAAACCTCTGCTGAGTACACATCAGGTACAATGCCCACAGTGTGATCTTTGGAGACACACAAACTGCTAGCTTCTTGTCCTCAAGGAGAGTTCTAGCTGATGGGACACAAAGGAGGTGCATGCAAACCATTTTCACAGAAGGTGGATGGTAGAAGGAGCATTTGAGCTTGATTTCGGGGTTTAGTTGCACACTTGTTTCTGGGATCTTGGCACTTGCCTATTTGTTTTCTTTGTAGAAGTTTGGCTTCTTTTTGTGATGTTCTTATGAAAAAACAGCATTAACAAAAACATACTAATCATCCTTTCTCATCTCTTTTTTGAGTTTGCTTTTCTGTCCCTTTAGCTGTTACATCCATTGCTTACCATTGAGCAATACATAGTAGGTGCTCAATTGCTATTTTTCTGGTGGATGAATGTAGCTAGCTTACAAAACACTTTGACATCTGTTGACTTACCAGTGCTTCTTAAAGTGTGATCCAAGAAACATCTCACGATATTGTTGAAAGTAGGACTAGGACTGATTTTAATCTGCTGAGTCAGAATCTCTGAAATGAGGCCTCAGAAATCTGAATTTCTAAGTTATTTCTCTTCCCTTTCTGGCCCATTTCCCCAGTGATTTTTGTTCACATGAAAATTTGAGAATTACTATTTTACATGATCTTCACAAAAATCCTATAAATTAGGTAGGCTGAAAACCATCAGTTCATTCTAGAAATTAGGAAAATGAACGTAAGTGATTTTGTTTAAAATGATACATTTATAACATGGCAGCTGATAAGAGTATTATTCATAGAGATAGAGCTAGGCAGAGAGGGAGAAATGTAAGAAGAATTCCTGTCGGCCAGAACCTTGAATTCAGTCACAGACAATGGGGAGTATAAGATGGGCATGGAAAGTGGGAGGCTGGGGGAGAAAGATAGTTCAGGAGAGTTGCTGCAGTAAATTTAGGCAAAGGGAAGCCAAGGCTTCAGTGAGGACAAGTGTATCAGGTAAGAGAAGGAAAATGCATAGTTGATTCTCATTATTCACAGATTCCATATTTGCCAATTCACCTACTGGTTACAATTTATTTATAACCTCAAAATCAATACTCAGGGTGTTTTCACTGCTGTTTACAGGCGTGTGCAGAGGATCAGAAAATTTGAGTTGCCCAATACTCACACTTCCAGCTGAGCTGGAGCAAAATGACACTCTGTGATACAGTTTGGCTGTGACCCCACCCAAAATCTCATGTTGGATTATAATTCTCATAATCCCCATAATCCCCACGTGTCAAGGGAGAGACCAGGTAGAGGTAATTCAATCATAGGGGCAATTTCCCCTATGCTGTTCTCATGATAGTGAGTGAATTCTCACGAGATCTGATGATTTTACAAGTGTTTTGTAGCTCCTCCTGCATTCATTCTTCCTCCAGTTACCTTGTATAGAAGGTACCTGCTTCCCCTTTGCCTTCCATCAGGATTGTAGGTTTCCTGAGGCCTCCCCAGCCATGCACAACTGTGAGTCAATTAAACCTCTTTCCTTTCTAAATTACCCAGTCTCAGGCAGTTTTTTATAGCAGTGTGAAAATGGACTAATACACTCTGCCTTACTGTTTCAGCTCTCATGCCGTAAACAAGCGTCCTTTTTGTGGTCTAATAGTGCCATTTTTTTGCATTTTTGTGCATTTTATTGGTGATTTAACTGTTTAAAATGACCCCAAGCATAATACTCAAATGATGTCTAGTTTTCTTAAGTGCAAAAAGGCTCTGATGTGCCTTATGGAGAAAATATGTGTGTTAGATAAGCTTCATTCAAGCACAAATTATAATGTTCTTGGATACAAGTCCAATGTCCATGAATTAGTGAAGTATATTAAGTGTCTTTAAATAGAAACACACATAAAACAAAGTTACATAATGATTGTTCAATGATAATGTTGTGATCATATGTTTATAGGAACCTAGCCCTGTATTTCCCTAGAACCAATGGTTCAATATTCACTAATTTAGTGTCTGTGGCAACTTTATAGAACATAACCACTGTGAATAACAAGAATCAACTGTAATGATTATAGCAAGAACAACTAAAAGTAGCTGGGTGTGGTGGCTCACACCTGTAATCCCAGCACTCTAGGAGGCTGAGGCGAGAGGATTGCTTGAGCCCAGGAGTTAGAGACCACCCTGGGCAACATAGGGAGACCCCACCTCTACAGAACAAAACAAAATGAACAACTCAAAGTATCTACTCAAAGTAATAAAGTACCAGTCTCTCGGTGCTTTAATAGCAGGGCTATCAACCCTTAACAACACCTGCCCTGCATCTGTCATGATCTACACTGCAAGGGTTAGGAAACTGAGGCTCAGGATGGTTGAGTTTATCCTAAGTCACTTCTGAAAGAACTGCCAAGTGCTGGTTTGTGATAGATATTTCACAGTCAGAACCAACAGGGCTCACTTACTGTTAGGATGGAAGGGAAGGGAAGAAGGGAGTGGCTTAAAAATAATCCCAAGATATCAAGCCCTGTCACTCAGGAAGGTAGTAATGCCACTAGAAAAAAGAACAGACTGAGAATCAAATGTGTGCACTTGGCATGGTGGAATTTAATTAGAAAGGCAGGACTTGATTTTACTATAGATTTGGAACTCGTCCACAAAGATGCATTTATAGTCAGAAAAGAGGATGAGACACAATCCCCACCACCACCACCACCACCAGAAGAAAGTAGAACTTGAAAATGCTTGTATTTAAGGGAGTGAGGGTGCAAGGGAAAGCAAAGAAAGGGAACAAAAACCACATCCAAAACCAAGGAGAGAAGAAAGAAATTGCAGGATAACGGAAGCAAAAATGAATTTTCCATAAAAGACAGAAGAGACGGTCCATAGTATGAGACACTCAGAAAGGGCAAGCAGCATGAAGACTCAGAAAAGGTCACCACATTTGCTGATAGAATGTCATTAGTGACCTTTGGGAAAGCAGTTTCTGTCAATGATAGGGACTGAAGACAGAGAAAGAAATAGTGACTAGGAAATGGAGGCTGCAGATGTGGACTGCTCTTCGCTCTTCTCCCATCTGCAAATTCCAGAGGGACGAAATGGAATGATCACCTTAAAAGGAGAGTGGAACAGTCTTGGAGACCAGAAAACGGAGACCACAAAAACTGGAACAGCAAGAAATGTGGTTTCAAAACACAGGAGAGACTGAAAAAGGAGGAACAAGCAAATCTCTCCCATGGAAAGAGAAGTCATTTCTTCTTTTTGAGACAGTGTGCAGCTTACATCTGCTGATCTGTAGAAACAGAAATCTAAAGTTCTCAGCTAAGTTCTAAACTGATAAACATGGTCATCTGAAAAATGAATAAACTGCAAGAAAGATTTGGACACTTGGTGTTTTCAGTCTCAGAGATAATATGTCAGGACATCCTCAATGCTGATGGGAGCATATCTAGTCATTTAAGGAAATAACATTGTTGGAGAAATAGACTACAGTTTTAAAGCAGGAATAGTTACTTGGCTACTTCTAAAAAGTTATGACCTAGAAATCTTGCTGAATCTGCTTTTGCCATTAATAATAACTAGGAGCCGGCATTTTCAGGCAGACACCATGCTAAAGTTCTTTACAAATAAAACAACAACAACAAAAAAAAACACTTAAATCCCTCAAGTAGGTTAAATGTTTCCTATCCTTACTTGTCTGTTTTCCTTGTTTATCAAGAAATGTGGCAAATTTTTTATATACAGATGTTGCAGAAGCAAACTTCAGCCAAGCTTATGCTTAATTGTCACAAAACTCCAAATGAATAAGACCTGACTGCCTAACTCCACACCCTGGCTATACCTGAATACCCTTAATTTCCCTGCCCATGGGCATGGGAAAGTGGGCTAGGCAATTTGAATGCATCTTGGTTAAGTCTCCTCAATGATAAAATGCTTCCAGACATAAGATGTTCCAAACAACCTGTTCCAGGGAAATACCGTGTAGAAGCTGATGAGTAATAGCAGCTTGCTCAGCTAAGCCCAGCCATGAGAATTGAGTTATTAAAATTTGATATGCTAGGGAAGCTATTCTAACCCTGGGTCCAGCTCACAGCTGTCACTGAGTACAGCGGAAATTGCTCACCACCACCTGATACTCCTGTATAGAGGCCTCGTGCTGGACCTCTTGGTAACTGGAAGCCCTCTAGCTGTATCCCTACCCCCAGGGATTATGTAGTTGGCCTGACCTGGGTTCAGACCCCAACTATGTCAGGAAAGTGTGGTGCAAATTCAGGCAACTTAGCATTTCTGAGCCTGTAAAATGGGAGCATAAGGCTTTTGTAAGATGCAAGCAAGAATGTATATGAAGCACTTAGCAGTGGATATGATACATAATAGGCTACAAAGACGATGCTTTCTATTACCCCTTAGTACTATTTGCTACTTTATATGCTAAGCAATTTAATGTTTCTATGGTTTTATTCTTTTTAAGTGAGATTCCAGTAATCTGTGTGCATCGTGGCAACTCAAATGACACAGAGGGGTGCAAAGAAAACCTTAATTTTCTCTTCCTCCTTTCCAGTACATCCTCCACTCTCCCTGAGGTATCCAATGGTCAGTTTCATAGGGATCCCTCACACCTTTCTCTTTCCTCACAGGAATACATACGTAATCATCAGAGATTGTTTTCCCTAAGTTCATATGTATTGTTTTTGTTGTTGTTTTATCAAAATGAAATCATAATGTCCTTAAAGTTACTCTTTCTACTTTCACAAATATCTCTCTTGGGTCAATATTATAAATCAACTTATTCTTTTGAAGAGCCACATGTTATCCAAAACAGCCTGTTAATATAATGAGTACATAGTATAATGCTACTGTAATTGACTCAACCAACCTCCTACTGATGGAAAGTTAGGCTACTTATAGCTTTGTTTATCTAGCAGAAATATTGTCATTAGTAATAGTAGTAATGTTCCATTATGGTCATAAGATTGGGCCACCAGAAATATCCCTGTTTTGGTGAGAAAACCAGAATTTATAGTTAAATCCTATATTCTGCATTGTTTTTTCTTCCTCAACTCCCCTTTCTCTCTCACATACCCCTCTATCTTCCCCTCCATCACCCTCCCTCTTTCTTCCTCTTTCCCTTCCCCACTTCCCTCCCTTTCTCTTTCCTCTGCAGAAAAACCTGGAAACAAGGGGACATTGAAGGTTTGTTTTCATTTCTGTAGTTTATTGGATCTGGCCATCGGGGATCCTATAGTTATTTTTGTGACAAAGTATTAGTTGTAAGAGGACTTTGCAATCCCTAAGCAAGAGGTCTTACAGAAATGAATTACCAGGTTGTACTCTCCCTGCTCAGTGGACACGCTGTCCCATCCCTGATCAGCTCATTCTATTCTATTAGTACCCTCAGGAAAACCAGAAATACAAGCATTCTCTTAAGCAGAGGAGAGTTCTTATTTCACTCTGGAGAAGAAACGTTGGAATTTTTTTTTACAATTTATGTTGTAAACTGCATCTTTGAGTCTGCAGGCTCAGAGGCATAAACTGTTTCCTAGAGTGTTGTTTGCTCTCTTCTTTCCATAGCTTCTGCTTCTGGCACATGCCAGGATTAAGTTGATTGTAAGGACAGAGACCCAAAGTCTTACTCTCCCGTGGTGGTTCCCACAGTTGGCTAGTGCTGGACCCATGGTGGCAGTGACAAGGGCTGGAGAAGGAGGATAGGGCTGGGCTCAGTGGGATAAGTGCTGGCTTCCAGGGCAGGGAAGAGCTGGCTCAGACAAGCCCTCATCCCTCTGCCTGGCAAGGAGAAAATTAAATTTAGTCTAACACACTATATTCAGTTCAATTTACAGTGTTTTGGTCACTTTTAGTTTAAAAGTCTCTCCCAGGTATTAAGTCCAATTTACATCCTGTCAGTATTTGGGAACTACCCACCATTCAGAGTTTTCTCTCCAGGGCTCCCACAGATGCACACACACTTACTGATTCCAGGTATCTTGAGGTCTCACTCCAAGCAGAAAGGGTAGGTAGGTGGAGGGAGACTGTCTTTTTATTGGTGCCTCTCCAAATACCCCTTCTCTATCCTCCTGGAACTGGAGGCATGGAAGATTCCACCTGCCTTCATTAGCCTCTCTGCCTTGGCCTTTGTTCTGCAAGGTGTACTCAGTGTGTACCTTGTCATAGGACAGCGAGCTTCTCCCTGGTCCAGGCCCACAGGAGTCTGCCATGCTAGCTCAAGTTTGCAGGGATTCAGTAAGCTTTGCCATCTGCTTTCTCCCTCTGCCACCCTACCACCTCTGCTGCTCTGTCCAGCTCCCTAAGGGTTTCTGCTTAGGAAACTCCCATCAAAAAGTGGGTACTGGACCTTGTATTAATAGTCACTCCAAAACTGTCGAGAACATTCTCTGGAGATCACTTCTTGACTTTCTCCAAAGTTCCTCTCCTCTCTTTCCCAGTCCTTTTATTCCTTCTGTCTTGGTGGCAAATAACCACCGCCCCCCATCCCCCCCACCCCCACTAAACCAGTTATGCTTTATTTTCTACTTGGTATTGACTGGGAGAATCTGCCCCCAGGAAATACATTTCTTATCATTTAGAAGATGAAGGACACAAACTCTCTGGCTGTCAACTGTGAGCTTGCCTTCTATAATTGGGCACTGATGGGGGTAGGGACAGGCAAACAACCAGTTGGAGCAGGGAAGGCATCTTTTTGTGACATTTTACATCACCTTGTGCCATAATTATATAATTAATTTTGTGACCAGTTGCTTTACATCAGCTTCTCATTTGCTGGAGGAGGCAGCCCGTCTCATGGTGACAACATCCATGTTTTTGTTCACTGTTATAGCTCTAACACTGCATGTGACCTGCCATGTAATAGGTGCTCAGTTAATGTTCGCTGGGTGAATAAAGGAGCCATCAAACCAGTGCCCAGGGTCAGAACCTGACCACCTACAAAGGCGAGTTCTGTCAACTTCACAAGGGCTGACTGATGCTCCTTTAAGTCCTCATCCAAAGACCAGAGTTAATAATACCTGTGGCCAGGATAGCCAGATTGAGCAATTGGTAGAAGAGAGGCAAGGATTTGGGGAACCAGGTAGGACCTAACAAAAGCAGATGGCTATCTGCTAACTACAAGTCTCCTAGTCTGAAATGCAAGTGTTTATGTCTAAATATGAAGAACAAGACTCTTTGTCTGCCAGTGCAAGGTTCCAGCTGTCATCCACAGTCATTTTCTATACCTTACTTGGGTTGAATTCCAAAGGAAAGAGAGAAAAGAATCTAAATCCCATCCACTTTGCTCTTTTATTTGAAAGGGTTTTGTCTGTGTGCCTGGGTGCACGTGATTAAAATCCACAAGTGTGGAGCTCTCTCTTCATTTTTATAGACATTTGTTATTCCCAATTTTATGTGGGAGGCAGTGTAATATAATGTAAAAGGTTGAAATCCAAATTCAGCTACTTGTTAGTTGTATGGCCTGTTACTAAATTTTCGAAGCATCAGTTTCCTTATCAGCAAAACAAGGGAATGGGCTTGTAATAAATACTAAATAAATGTTAGCATATGTAACAGGCAGAAAGAAAACACACCTCACACTCTTGCCACTCCTTGTCAATTAGTCTCATGAATGCCATGTAAACCCAATTGCATTCATTTCTTTATAAACTCACTCATTTGACAAACCCTTCTTGAGCCACCACAATACAGTTGCTAAGACCACAAGCTCTGGAGCTCTACTATCTAGATTTGAATTCTTAATATTTATGTACTGGCTGGGTCACCTTGGGCAAGTTATTTAACCTCTCCATTCCTCCAAACCCCCATCTGCAAAGCAAGTATACCAATAGCATTTATTTCATGGATGATTATGAGGATTAATTAGGTTCATGCATGAAGAAGTTGGCAAGTACCCAAACAAATGTTAGCCACTTTTATGACTATGAGCCAGGCACCATGCTAGGGGTGGGATACAGTGTTAAGTAAAAATAGATGCAAACTCTGACCTAACAAAGCTTACAACCCAGCAGGAAATGTGGCTTACAAATAATTACACAATATTCTTATAATTATAATCATGCTAAGTGCTAGGAAAGCAATGTAAAGAGGTCAATGGGCAGATGGACCAGAAACTTGATCTGGAATATGTGGAAAAGGGGCCTCCCAGTGAAGTGACAGTAAAGCTGTGCTTTGAGAATTAGAGAGATTTGGTCAGGCAAAAGGCAGAGGAAATGGCAGGTGCAAAGGTCCTGTGGTGGACAGAACCACAGCAAGCTAGAAAAACTGAGACTTATCTGGTGTTGTTGGGGGGAAACAAAGGGTGACCAGGCTGGAGGCACGGGCAGGCACCAGATGGTGCGGGCCTTTGGAAGCAAAGTGAAGATTTCAGACTTGCTCCAAAGAGTATCAGAAACCATCAAGGGGTTTTAAGCAGGGAAGTGATATGGCAACTTTCTCACTGTCTTTTTCTATCTTTAGAGCTACAAGATGAGATTAGGACATGGCCCTTTGGCTACTGAGGCATCCTAATGCTTTCTTTCTTCACAGCTTCGTTAGGTAATTCATCTCAGCAGTCTAAAAGCTAGGGACAAATCTGGGAAAACTCTAGGGCCTGAAAAACTTGATTCTTCAACCATTGCTGTCTAGCATTCCCCACTAGAGGATGCAATTCTAGAGGAAAATGGTAACACATATTTTTCTTTTCCAATTACACCCTCAGTGCTTACCATACCATAAGGTGTGATATAAATTGATCCATGCATAAATGGTGGCTGTTCAGAACCATCACCAATACTGACATCATTAGGAGCTCAAGAACACCAACCCCAGGTTCCTTTTCACTCTGGTCTTTATGATTTTGGTGGGTGGGACAGGGGCCTCAACAACGGCTTCCTCCTTTGAAGCCCTGGTGCGGCGTGAGTCAGTTATTTCTGATTTTAGGCAGCTCTGAGGTTCACAGGGACAAGATGTTGTGACACTGCTTTGCTTTATTTCTATAGTTTTCTTTGAGCAGCCATTTGTTCCCTCCTCTTGTACCTCTTTGAAAAGCTCCCGATTCCCCATGAAGGATTGAATTCATTTGCATTACAATACATTGTGTTCTGAGCCAGAGTGTCTGTGCTGGTGAAACCTTCCCTTGATCAAACTCCACGACTTCTGTAGAGTGTTTGGAGAGGCACAATGCTTTTTTTGCTATGCCTGAGGAGTATGTTTTGAGAAGAAAACATTGCATTCTCTGTGTAACAAATCATACCTGTCAGGTAGGCTGTCCATCTTAGAGACAATTAAGCACAAGCCCAAACTCTCTGCAGTTTTCCCTGGACCATAGCTGATTTCTCAAGGACTGATTAAACAGCAAATGCAAAGTCTCTACAGACAAATATAGGTCATCTTCCCCTTCAATGGCTGAATTCTATCTGCAGCCAGAGCTCCTGCATGTCAGACCCCAACAAGGTTTTGTTTTACATTGCAAACACAAGCAGGCTCATAGAACCCTCTGCCCCGCCGACAGACTCCAGACCTCAGCTCCCCCTGCACAAACGCAAGGCTGTCCCTCCTGCCAAAATCCCAGGACTTGAACCAAATGTAAAAACAGTAGAATTCAATTCAGGTTCAGTTTAGGGAATATTTTTATTTTCTGGTTGAATAATTCTAGAAAAGATATAGGTTTAGTCCTGAGTCCAGCTGGCTTATTGGATTTATGTATTTAAAAACAACTTTGATTTGCTTCCTAGCTTGCTTTAAAATAACCTGGGCTCAATCTGATTCTGGGAATGAGAATGACCCATTCCCGCTTCTGCTTAGTGCTCAGTTCAAGACCCTGTGCCCTACATAGAAAGCTAAATGAAGCTCAGTTCTGAAAAATAAATCTTCCTAGTCTGACTGTGCTTGGGACCCAAGGACAATTGAAAAAGCCCCAAAGTTCCTTTTAAACAAAGAGTTGGTCTATAGATAATTTTAATAAAAACATTTTTACTTTTTGGCAATGACCATAGATCAGCCTTCCGTAGGGCAAGGGAAGCCTGGGGGGTGGTGGTTGTTGCTAGCAACTATCCTGGAAACTTGGCAGCTGATCTAAGTTATTCTAAGAAATAAAAAATTGACTTTTGTCCAATTCTAATCATGGGATTTGAGGGATCAGAGAGAAGCATTTAGCCCATCAGGGGAACTAAGGTGTCTCCCCTTTTCTCAATCCTTCATTGTCTACATGTTCGTGATTCCTCTTGCTATACCTGGAACCAAGCATTGGGCCAAATATATAATAGGTGTTTTCTAGGTGTAAGTTGCATTAATTCCAACTCTTACCTTGTAGAAGTTAGGATTAGATTGGCTGCAAGAAACATAAATTCCCAAGAGTGACTTAAATGAGATTGAAACTGGTTTCTCTGTAGTGTAGAAGCAGTTCAGAGGTACATGGTCCAGGGCTGACTTGGCATCACCGTGATGGTCTAGAACCCAGTTTTCCCTCTGCCATTCATACTGAGTAAACCTGTTTCTCCACCAAGGAAGTAAGAAAGAAGGATGTTCCCCTCACTCTTTTTAAGTTACTCATTGTGAAATGTAACAGACATATAGAAAAACATAAAAATACATTATCATAAAACAAACACATAACCAATACCCAGGTCAGAAAATAGAATATTGGCAGCAGCCCAGAAGTTCCCCTCTAGGTTTTTGCCTAACCTTTCCCCTTACCACCATCACTCCCAAAAAGAAAACTACTAGGCTGACTTTAATAGTTGACAGTCCTTACTTTTCTTTATAGTTTTATCAGTTAAGTTTTATCCCCATAGGCTACAGCTTAGAATTGCCTGTACTTAAGATCTTTATAAGTGGAATCATGCAGTGTGTATAATTGTTTGTCTGATTTCTTTTGCTCAATATTATGTTCATGAGATTCATCCATATTGTTGTGTGTAGAAATGGTTTTCACTGTTGTGTGCAATTCTAGTAAATGAACAGTAGTATCTCATTGTGCTTTTTATTTGTGCTTTCCTGATTACTAATGTAGTTGAGCACTTTTTTTGTGGCTTTTAGTCATTTGGATAACTTCTTTTGTGAATTACCTGCTTAAATCTCTCATCTATATTTTAATTAGCATTTTCTGTTTTATTTATTTATAAGAACTCTGCATATTCTGGATACAGTTTGTCAGTTATTGGGATATAAATATCTTCTCACACTTTGTGGCTTTGCCTTTTCATTCCCATAAGAGTGTATTCTGATGGTAAAAGTCCCTACTTTTAATGTAGTCAAAATTATCCATTTTTTTCTTTGTGGTTAGCAGTTTTGGTTTCTGGTTAAGAAATCTTTCTATGCCCTGAGGCCATAAGAAAATTTTCCTATGTTATTTTCTACAAGCTTTACTATTTTGCCTTTCGCATTTTCGGTCTACCATCCTCCCAAGATTGACTTTTATATATGTGTGAGACGAGGTCAAATATTCCCCCAACTAGATAGCCAGTAGTTCTAGTACCATTTGTTAAAAAAGTCATTCATTTCCTACTCCTCTGCAGTGTCACCTTTTCCATTAGTCACATCACATGTTCATATACGCACGGTTCTGTTTCTGAGCTTTCTATTCTAGTCCATTGATTTATTTGTCTCTCCTAGGTTTCAATCCTGCATTGTAAAAATTACAATGTAGCTTTATAGTAGATCTTAATATCCAGTAGAGCCTGTTTTTTTCATTTTCTTCTCCAAAGATATCTTGACTTTTCTTGGCCCCTTGTATTTCTCTCTGTTTCAGGATCAGTTTGTCGAATTACCCATGCACACAGATACGACGTAAATCTGGTGGACTCTTGATTGGAATTTCTTTAAATTTATAGATCAAATCTAGGGAGAGATGACATCTATATAGTCCATAGTTTTCAAACCTGTGAATGTGGCACATTCCTCTTTTTAATTAGATCTTCTTTAATTTCTGTAAATAATATTTTACAATTTTCTGTGTGAAGTTCTTTCACATAGGTTATTCCAAGGTATTTGATTATTTTAAGGTTATTGTAACCATACCTTTAAATTTCATTTTCTAACGGGCATATAGAAATGTAATAAATGCTCATATTCTGATCTTGTACTGACAATTTTTTCGAAGCTTAGTTGTTAATTCTAATGATTCTTCTATAGATTACTGTGAGTCTTTTACAAATATAATTATCTCTATAATTAATGGCAGTTTTATTAATGAAAGTTTTCTACCTTTTCAATCCTTATACCTTTGTGTTTATTTTAAATTTCTTTCACTGTATTTGCTAAGACTTCCACTGCAAGGTTGATTAGAAGTGACAATAGTGAGCATCCATTCTAGTTTGTGATCTCACAGGGAAATTTTTTAATATTTCACCACTAAGTTGATTGTTTGCTCTAAGTTATCTGTAAATATCACATTTCAGGTTAATAGACTTCTTCTATTCTAAATTTCCTAAGATATTTTAAAAATCATAAATGGATATTGAATTTAATTAACTGCTTTCACTGTATCTACTGAGACGATCATATAATGATCTTTTTTGTTGTTGTTAATGTAGGAAATCACATTGATTTTTTTTTTTTCTAATGTAAAACCCAGCCGACATTCCAGGAATCAACCCAACTGGTTCATGAAATATAGAAAGTAGATTGGTAGTTACAAAAGGCTGGGAAGATACAGAGGAGGGAAAATTAAAAGAGGTATATAAATGGGTATAAATATACAGTTTGATGGAGGAAATAAGACCTACTGTTTGATAGATCAGTAGGATGACAATAATTTACAATAATCTCTTTTGTGTTTCAAAATAGCTGCGAGATAATAATTTGAATTTTTGTAGCATATAGAAAAGCCACAAATTTAAGGTGATGGATATCCCAATTTTACTGATTTGATTTTTTCAAATTATGTAAATGTATTATCACATGTATCCTGAAAATATGTACATCTTTTTTTGTTTGTTTGCTTGTTTTTGAGACAGAGTCTCACTCTGTTGCCCAGGCTGGAGTCCAGTGGTGCAATCTGAGCTCACTGCAATCTCCACCTCCTAGGTTCAAATGATTCTCCTGTCTCAGCCTCCTTGGTAGCTGGGATTGCAGGTGCCTGCCACCACGTCTGGCTAATTTTTTTTTTTTTTTTTTTTTTGTATTTTTGTATTTTTAGTAGAGATGGGGTTTCACTGTGTTGGCAAGGCTGATCTCGAACTCCTGACCTCAGGTGATCCACCCACCTCAGCCTCCCAAAAGTGCTGGGATTACAGGCTGTGTACATCTATTTGGTATCACTTTAAAAAAATTTAAAAGAGAAATAGCCTTTCAAACATATTACTGAAGTTGGTTTGCTAATATTTCACTTATAACTTTTGTGTCTATGTTCATGAATGATATTGGCTTCAATTAAATAATATTCTATTCTTAAGGTTCTTTCATGTTTTGATTGTATAGTTATCCTGGGCTCATAAAAATATTTGGAAAGTTATTTTTTTTTCCAGTGGCTGAAGCAATTTCTGTAAGATTAATGATATTTCTTCCTTAAATATTTGGTAGAATTCTCAAAGAGGCTTCTTTGTAGTAAGGTCTTATAGATTCAATTTCTTTAATGAATATAAGCTATTCAAATTTCCCACTTCTCATGTTAGTTTTAGGGTGTATTTTCTAATAATTTCTCATTTCATCTAAATTTTAGCTTACTAAAAATTAAAAAATAATTCATAATAATATAACTTATCTTTTTAACATCTGCAGGACGTATACTGATATGTATCTCCTTTAGCCCTGCCCTTTATTAGGCAATTTTAAAACATGATCTCACAAGAAACTTGTCAATTTTATTAATTTTGTTAAAAAGCCAACATTCAACTTTGAGCCTATTTTGTCATGTAACATTTCAGGTTTTCTATTATTTTTATGTACTTCCTTTTTTTTTTCTTTTAAAAAATCTTTTGGGTTTTAATACCTAAGTTTTTTCCTAACATTTTTAGATGGGTTTTAACTTATTGATTTTTCCCAGACTTTTAAATTTTCCAATAAACACACAAAGCTCTAAATTTTCTTTTCAGCATGGCTTTCATTCCATGGGTTTTTGTATATAATATTTCTATATGTAATATTTTCTTATAATCCCATTAAAATATTTTCTAATATCAATTGCAGATTGACTCATGGAGTTTTTTAGAGATGTATTTATTAATTTCCAAATAATTAGGGACTTTGGAGTTTTCATTTTGTTATCAATTTCTAACTTAATTTCATTATGGACAGAGAATGTATTTTATATGATTTCAATATTTGGAATTTTTTGTTTTGTTTTTTGTTGTTGTTTTTATATAGTTACAGGGTCTTGCTCTGTCACCGAGGCTGTTGTGCTGTGGCCCAATCATAGCTCACTGCAGCCTTGAACTCCTGAGCTTAAGTAATCCTCTCACCTCAACCTCCCCAATAGCTAGGGCTAAGGCTGATACCACCATGCCCAGTTAATTTGTTGTCATTGTTGTTGAGATGGGGTCTCACTATGTTGCCCAGGTTCACTATGTTTCCTGGTCTCGAGCTATGCTTCTGCCTCAGTCTCCCAAAATGCTGGGATTACAGGTATGAGCCACTGTGCCAGGCCCAATCTTTGGAATTTGTTGAGACTACTTCTTGGCCCAGGATATGGTCAACTTCTGTCAATCCATATATGCAATGCTTTTATATGTCCAATAAGTCAGGTTGAATAACCTGTTATTCAAATATTTATCACATATTAAAATTATGACTTTATATAATTGTGAATTTGACTATTTCTCCAGATTATTTTTTGCTTATTTTAAAAAATGAAACTATAATACTAGATATAGTCAGATTTAAAACTGTCACATATTCTTAGTAAATTGAACTATAATTATATTTAAATTAAAATCACTTCTTTATCTCCAATAAGACTTTTTGCCTTAAAGTCTACTTTGATGTTAGTATAATTATATTAACTTGTCTTGGTTAGTGTTTTCATGGGATATCATATCCCATCACTTTATTTTTCAACCTGTCTATGTCTTTATGTTTTATGTGGATCTTTTGTAAATAGGGTATAGTTTGATTTTTTTCCTTCCTAATCCACTATGTCAATCTTTCTCTGTTAATTGAATATTTAAATCCATTTGTAATTAAGAAAATTCCTATTACATTTGTGTTTTAATATTTTCTGTTTATCCTGACAGTTCTACATTTTTTCTTTTTTCTCTTTTCTTGATTTCTTTTGGGTTATGTATTTTTGTTATTTCCTATTTTATTTTGTACAATTTTTCAATTAAGCTACCTTTCATTATTTATTCATGTTTTAGTTATTCACCTAGAGATTATAACATGCATCCAGATCTAACATTACAACTTCTTTAACTATTCAAGGGCCATATAAACTCTAATTCTCTTATCTTGCATTTTTATTTATATATATTTTAACACGTAAAATCTATTTTTTTTTATTTTACTTTACGTTCCGGGACACATGTGCAGCACGTGTCAGTTTGTTAGATAGGTATATGTGTGCCATGGTGGTTTGCTGCACCTATTGACCTGTCCTCTAGGTTCCCTCCCCTCACTCCCACCCCGCAACAGGCCTGGTGTGTGTTGTTCCCCTCCCTGTGTCGATGTGCTCTCATTTTTCAACTCCCACTTATGAGTGAGAACGTGAAGTGTTTTGTTTTCTCTTCCTGTGTTAGTTTGCTGATGATAATGGCTTCCAGCTTCATCCATGTCCCTGCAAAGGACATGATCTTATTCCTTTTTATGGCTGCATAGTATTCCATGGTGTATGCATACCACATTTTCTTTATCCAGTCTATCATTGATGGGGATTTGGGTTGGTTCCATGTCTTTGTATGGTAAATAGTGCTGTAATATACATACATGTGTATATGTCTTTATAGTAGAAAGATTTATAATCATTTGGGTATATACCTAGTAACAGGATTATTGGGTCAAATGGTATTTCTGGTTCTAGACTCTTGAGGAATTGTCATACTGTCTTCCACAATGGTTGAACTAATTTACATTCCCACCAACAGTGTAAAAGCATTTCTTCACAGCCTCACCAGCATCTATTGTTTCTTGACTTTTTAATATCACCATTCTGACTTGTGTGAGATGGTATCTCATTCTGGTTTTGATTTGCATTTCTCTAATGATCAGTGATGTTGAGCTTTTTTTCATATGTTTGTTGGCCACGTAAATGTCTTCTTTTGAGAAGTGTCCGTTCATATCCTTTGCCCACTTTTTGATGGGGTTGTTTGATTTTTTCTTGTAAATTTGTTTTGGTTCCTAGAAAATTCTAGATATTAGACCTTTGTTCAAATGGGTAGATTGCAAAACTTTTTTCCCATTCTGTAGGTTGCCTGTTCACTCTTATGATAGTTTCTTTTGCTGTGCAGAGGCTCTTTAGTTTAGTTAGATTTCATTTGTCAATTTTGGCTTTTGTTGAAATTGCTTTTGGTGTTTTAGTCATGAAATCTTGTCCCATGCCTATGTCTTGAATGGTATTGCCTTGGTTTTCTTCTAGGGTTTTCATGGTTTTGGGTTTCACATTTAAGTCTTTAATCCATCTTGAGTTAATTTTTGTATAAGGTGTAAAGAAGGGGTCCAGTTTCAGTTTTCTGCATATGGCTAGGCAGTTTTCCCAGCACCATTTATTGAATAGGAGATTCTTTCCCCATTGCTTGTTTTTGTCAGGTTTGTCGAAGACCAGATGATTGTAGATGCGTGGTATTATTTCTGAGGTCTCTGTTCTGTTCCATTGGTCTATATGTCTGTTTTGGTACAGGCACCATGCTGTTTTGGTTACTGTAGCCTTGTAGTATAGTTTGAAGTCAGGTAGCATGATGCCTCCAACTTTGCTCTTTTTGCTTAGGATCGTCTTGGCTATACGGGGTCTTCTTTGATTCCATGTGAAATTTAAAGTAGTTTTTTTCTAATTCTGTGAAGAATGTCAATGCAGTTTGATAGGAATAGCATTGAAACTATAAATTACTTGGGCAGTATGGCCATTTTCATGATATTAATTCTTTCTATCCATAAGGATAGAATGTTTTTCCATTTGTTTGTGTCATCTCTTATTTCCTTTAGCAGTGGTTTGTAGTTCTTGAAGAGGTCCTTCACGTCCCTTGTTAGATGTATTCCTAGGTATTTTATTCTCTTTGTAGCAATTGTGAATGAGAGTTCATTCATGATTTGGCTCTTTGCTTGTCTATGGTTGGTGTAAAGGAATGCTTGTGATTGTTGTACATTGATTTTGTATCCTGAGACTTTGCTGAAATTGCTTATCAGCTTAAGGAGTTTTTGGGCTGAGATGACAGGGTTTTCTAAATATATAATTATGTCATCTGTAAACAGAGATAATTTGACTTCCTGTCTTCCTATTTGAATACCATTTATTTCTTTCTTTTGTCTGATTGCCCTGGCCAGAACTTCCAATACTATGTTGAATAGGAGTGGTGAGAGAGGGCATCCTTGTCTTGTACTGGTTTTCAAAGGGAATGCTTCCAGCTTTTGCCCATTCAATATTATATTGGCTATGGATTTGTCATAAATAGCTCTTATTATTTTGAGATATGTTCCATCAATCCCTAGTTTATTGAGACTTTTTTAACAGAAAGGGATGTTGGATTTTATCAAAGGCCTTTTCTGCATCTATTGAGATAACCATGTGGTTTTTGGTTCTGTTTCTGTGATGGATTATATTTATTGATTTGCATGTGTTGAACCAGCCTTGCAACCCAGGGATGAAGCAGAATTCATTACGGCGGATAAGCTTTTTGATGTGCTGCTGGATTTGGTTTGTCAGTATTTTATTGAGGATTTTCGCATCGATGTTGATTGGAATATTGGCCTGAGTTTTCTTTTTTTGTTGTGTCTCTGCCAGGTTTTGGTATCAGGATAATGCTGTCTTCATAAAATGAGCTCGGG
Organism: Homo sapiens; assembly: GCF_000001405.40. Taxonomy (NCBI): domain Eukaryota; kingdom Metazoa; phylum Chordata; class Mammalia; order Primates; family Hominidae; genus Homo; species Homo sapiens. The sequence goes on from NC_000005.10 coordinate 136,900,626, forward strand.
AGGAGTCCCTCCTTTTCAACTGTTTGGAATCGTTGCAGAAGGAATGGTACCAGCTCCTCTTTGTACCTCTGGTAGAATTCGTCTGTGAATCCATCTGGTCCTGGGCTTTTCTTTGGTTGGTAAGCTATTAATTACTGCCTCAATTTCAGAACTTGTCATTGGTCTATTCAGGGATTTGGCTTTTTCCTGGTTTAGTGTTGGGAGCGTGTATGTATCCAGAAATTTATCCATTTCTTCTAGATTTTCTAGTTTATTCACTTAAAGGTGTTTATAGTATTCTCTGATAGTAGTTTGTATTTCTGTGGGGTCAGTGGTGATATTCTCTATCATTTTTTATTGTGTCTATTTGATTCTTCTCTCTTTTCTTCTTTATTAGTCTAGCTAGCAGTCTATCTATTTTGTTAATTTTTTCAAAAAAATGGCTCCTAGATTCGTTGATTTTTTGGAGGGTTTTTTGGGTCTCTATTTCAATTCTGCTCTGATCTTAGTTATTTCTTGTCTTCTAGTTTTTTGATTAGTTTGCTCTTGCTTCTCTACCTCTTTTGATTGTGATGTTAGGGTGTTGATTTAAGATCTTTATAGCTTTCTGATGTGGGCACTTAGTGCTATAAATTTCCCTCTTAACGCTGCTTTAACTGTGTCCCAGAGATTCTGGTACATTGTCTCTTTGTTCTCCCTGGTTTCAAAGAACTTCTTTACTTCTGCCTTAGTTTCATTATTTACCCAGAAGTCATTCAGGAGCAGGTTGTTCAATTTCTGTGTAATTGTGTGGTTTTGAGTGAGTTTCTTAATCATGAGTTCTAATTTGATTGCACTATGGTCCAAAAGACTGTTCATTATGATTTCGGTTCTTTTGCATTTGCTGACGAGTGGTTTACTTCTAATTCTGCGGTTGATTTTAGAGTAAGTGCCTTGTGCTACTGAGAAGAATGTATATTCTATTGATTTAGGGTGGAGAGTGCTGTAGATGTCTATTAGGTCTGCTTGGTTCAGAGCTGAGTTCAAGTTCTGGATATCCTTGTTCAATTTCTGTCTCATTAATCTCTCTAATATTGACAGTGGGGTGTTAAAATCTCCCAATATTATTGAGTGGGAGCATAAGTCTCTTTGTAAGTCTCCAAGAACTTGTTTTATGTATCTGAGAGCTCCCGTATTGGGTGCACATATATTTAGGCTAGTTAGCTCTAGCTCTTCTTGTTGAATTGATCCCTTTACCATTATGTAATGCTGTTCTTTTTCTTTTTTGATCTTTGTTGTTTTAAAGTCTGTTTTGTCAGAGACTAGGATTGTAACCTCTACTCTTTTTTTGCTGTAAAAGCTATTTTTATTGCACTTAATATTTATTATGTTTATACATATGTTTATCATTTTCATTTGCTCTGTATTCCTTTTGGTGTCTGGAAACTACTGCTTCAGTTATTTTCTTCTTTCTTTTTTTTGTTGTTAAAGTCAGCTCTCAGTCTAATTGTTGCTCCTATAAAGGTTAATGTTTTTTTTTGTTTTTAATTCTGGCTGCTTTTTAGACTTTTCTCTTTTTTCTCAGAAGTTTTACTAGTGTGCGTGTATGTATGGATTTCAGTTTATCATGATTGAGGCTCATAGTGCCTTTTGAATCTAAGTTTCAATGTCTCATTGGCTTTGGAAAAAGAATTCTCAGTCATTTTCTCTTCAAATATTGCTTCTGTTCCACTTGTCTCTCCTTTTATTTAGGAACTTCAATTGCATGTATGTTAGACCATCTAACTGTCTTTTTTTGTCTCTTTCTCTCTTTTCTGTGTCTTCCACCTTTATGTCTCTTAGGGTTTTATTACTGATATATTATTTTATCCTAAATCCTAGCACACTAATTCTCTCTTTAAATATGTCTAATTTTTTAAACACATCCATTTGAATTCTTAAATTCAGCTTCTTCAGTTCTATAATTTTTACATGATTCTTTTGAAAATATATTATGTTACTTTTTTTAGTTTCTAATTCTCTGTAAGAATTCACATACTTTTTTTTAAATCCTCAAGTGTAGTAAGCATAATCATTTTAAAATTTGCTATGTGGAGCTTCTCTGGATGTCTCTGTATTGTCTGTTATTTCTATATGCTCTTATTCATTTTCTCATGAGCCTGGTAATTTTTTTACTGGATGTCAGTAATTGCATACACAAAAAGTGTAGAGATAATGTGAAAGCTAAGATGATATCTTCCTACAGAAAGAATTGATTTTTGTCTCTGCCAGCTTTCTAGTGATGCTGGTAATGCAGAGCCTTTTAAACCAATTTTTGGGACTGAAATATTTGAAGCTGAGCTGAAGTTCTGTGACAGCTTGTCTAGGTCTCATTTATCACTATTCCTAGGGTAGAACCCTTTAGAAGTCTAACCTTAAGCACAGAAGATTTATCAAGGAGGATCCACTTCCTTGGCAGACCTTGGACAAAACTTTTGTCTCCCAGTTCCAATGAGGCTATCAAAAGTACTGCTCGGCCTCTTAGCAGTCTGTAAAGTTTTCTTCATACCTAATCATGTCTGCAAATAAGAGTTTTACTTCTTCCTCTTCAATCTGCCATTTACCTAATTATCTTGCTGTATTGCACTGGCTTGGACCTTCAGTACAGTATTAAATAGAATTGGTGACACAATATCTTTGCCTTGTTTATTATTTTAAGAAGGTATTATTGAGCCCTGCATTATTGTCTATAGGTTTACATAGATGCCCTTGATTAGCTTTAGACAATTCTCTTTTGCTCCCTGTTTTTGGAAAACTTTTACCATAAAAGAATATTAAATTAAGGGGTGGGAGCTATCTGCGTCTATTGAAATAATTTTGGGGTTTTTTTTCTCTTTTGTACTAATATAATAAATTGCACTAATTGATTTTTTAATCAATTAACTTGATTGGTATTCCTCCTCCTCTGATTTTCCAGAGAGATTAATATTCTTTCTTCCTTAAATATTGGATAGAATTCACCAACAAAACAATTAGGGCCAGGAGTTTTTTGTCTTCAGAAAAATTTTACATTACAAAATTCAATTTTCTTAAGTGAGCTAAATCTGTTAAAGTTTTCTATTTCTTCTTGGGTCAGTTTTGGAAATTTGTGTCTTTCAGGAAATTTTTCCATTGTTGTCTAGATTGCAAAATTTGTTGTCATAAAGTTACTCATAATATTATCTTATTATCTGCTTAATATTTGAAGGCTCTGTAGTGATATCTCCCTTTTTACTCTTCTACTTTATTTCTTGATAATTCTGGCTAGAAATTTTATCAGTTTTATTGATATCAAAAAACAAGCTTTGATTTCTTTTTTTCTTTATGGTTATTTTATTTTCTATTTTATTAACTGTTCTTGTCTTTATCTCATTTTGTCTGATTGCTTTATATTTAATTTGCTTTTCTTTTTCTAGATTTTTAAGATAGAAGTTAAATCATCAATTTAAGTTCTTTCTTTTTTAATGTAGCCTTATGAACTTACAACATTCCCTCTAAGCATTGCCTTCAACTCAAAATTTTTGATATCATATTTTTATTATCACTCAGTCCAAATATTTTCCAATTTCTCATGTGATTTCTTTTTTCAGAAGATTATTTAGAACTGTATTGTTTAATATCTATATACCAGAGATTTTATTTGTAATTTTATCATTGTTATTATTGACTTTAAATATTTTCTCTGCATTCTTACTCTCTCTTCTCCTATGGCATTTCAAATACATGTATGTTTACTGTTTGATATAATATTATCTAACAGATCCATAGATTTTGTTTATTTTGTTTTTAATATTTCTTCTTTCTCTTTCACCTTGTATAATTTCTGTTCCTTTATCTTTGAGTTTACTTTTTTCTCCATTATGTCGATTTGGCTATTAAGTCCATCCTATGAATTTTTATTTTAATTTTTGAGATTATATATTTCAGTTCTCTAATCTTCATTGCTTTATTATCTCTATTTCTCTGCTGAGATTTTCCTTTATTGAAAATATGTTTGGGTTTACTTTTTAAGAATAGTTAAAATGTTTGTATGTTACTTTAAAATCCTTTTATGTTACTTACAACATTTGGTTCATTTCAGGCTAGGACTCAATTACTATTTTCTCTTGAGAATGTGCTCCATCCTCTTTGTTTGTTTGTTTGTTTGTTTTTGTTTTTGTTTTTTGAAACAGGGTCTCACGCTGTCTTCCAGGCTGGAGTGCAATGGTACAATCATAGCTCACAGTAGCCTCAAACTCCTAGACTCAAGCCATCCTCCTGCTTCAGCTAAGCATGGCTTCCTGAGTAGCTGGGAATATAAATTGGTACCATCACACCTGACTGATTTGACCTAATTCCTTCCTTCCTTCCTTCCTTCCTTCCTTCCTTCCTTCCTTCCTTCCTTCCTTCCTTCCTTCTTCCTTCTTCCTCCTTTCTCCTTTCTCCTTCCTTCTCTTCTTTCTTCTTCCTCTTCCTCCTCCTCCTCTTCTTCTCCTTCTTTTTCCCTTTCCCCTTCATCTTTCTCTTCCTCCTCCTCCTCCTCCTCCTTCTTCTTCTTCCTCTTTTTTTTTTAAGTAGACACAATGTCTCTCAATATGTTGCCCAGTCTGATCTCAAACTCCTAGCCTCAAGTGATCCTCCTGCCTCCACCTCCCTGAGTGCTGCAATTACAGGCATGAGCCACCAAACCCAGCCAATCTTTTTAATTCTTTGAATGTCAGATAATTTCAGATTATATCCTGAACATTATGAATGTTAAGTTAGTAGGATTTGGGAATCTTGGGTTTTGGGGGTTTGTCTGCTTGTTTTTAACCCAATGGTTGTTGCTTCCTTGGTCCTTTGTTTCAGCAGATAATTTTTCTTGGCTGGGCTTGAATTTGCAAATTCTATTTCTCAGGCAGCAGCTTTGGTCTTAAAGAAGACATTTTGTCTTCAGCTTAGCTGCTCTAAATCTGTTCCATGCCTGAATAGTTTAGGGATTATACAGAGATGTGGGTAGGCAGAGTTTGGGGATCTCCTATCTGGCTTTTCTTCTCTTTTGAGGGTCTCTCACTCTTCTCTTCAGCACCCAGCTCAATTGCCCAGCTTCACTTCTCTGGTTCCCCAGGCTGGAAAGATTTCAGGTTTTTTTCATGCAACCCTGTCTGCCTCTGTGTATTCAGCTTAGCCTTAGGCTAAAAGCCTCAGAGGTGGAAACTTATTTATACAGCTCCCTGGCTCCCTCATCTAAACTATGCACTCACCACCAGTCTGTCTGCTTTTGTTTACTTTCCAGGATCTTTAGGCACTTGGGTTTTGTATCATATCCAGGATTAGTACTGGTTTTCTCTAGGTGAGGGAGGTTGTCTTGTCTTATTCCATCATGCCTAGAAGTGGAAGTTCTCTTTTAGGATTCCATCAGGGAGATAAGGAGAGGTGGAATCCAATGGCAGTGGGTCAGGATCCAGACTGCTCTACTGCTCCACTTGATATAAATATTTCATCAATAAATTTTCTTATTTCTGACATTAGGATACAGGCAACACGATCAAACTGCCTCTCATTCTAACCAGAGTTCCCAGATACATTGGCCTTCTGAGCTGGTGCCACAAAGTGGGCCCAAGATGTATACCTACACTGACTATTTGGAAAGTTATTGAGTTTCAGGTATACTCAATAGGGCATGAGTCAAGCCTAGTAATTAGAACCTCCTGTCCCATAAGGGGGAACCCTTCCAGACCCTTGTCACCAATGTTCCCCAGTAAGAACAGTATATATGGTCTTATAGAAATCAGACATAGGAGAATTAATCAGGAAGGTATAGAATTTAGAGGAAGATAGGAAGAACCCACCGTGAAATTCACACTGAGAAATAAAAACATAAAAAGCACTGGAGTTTATTAAGAAGTGACTTACTGAGCCATCTGGGAAATAGTCAGGAGCAAAATGTGGGCAGACAAGGGGCTGCTCAGTGGGTCCAACTGGGCATGATTACCACAGGGCAGGAACAACTAAATATTGAGTGCCCACCATCTTCTGCCAGGGCTGCCTGAGGGCCTCTGTTGGACAGAGAAGGAGGTAAACCTCAGACAGCTTTTACTACTTGCTCAAGGTTTCACAGCTAGTAAGGATGTGAATCATGGTCTGCTTGGCCTCAGAACAGGTAGATAATCAAGCTACGAGGTGCTGTGGTTTGGACATTTGTCTTCTCCAAACCTCATGTTGAAATTTGATCCCCAGTGTTGGAGGTAGAACCTGACAGAAGGTGTTTGGGTCATGGGGGCAGATCACTCATGAATCACTTAATGCCCTCCCTATTAGTTCCTAGAAGAGCTGGTTTTTAAAAAGAGCCTGGCCCCTCCCCCACTCTCTCTTGCCTCCTCTCTGGCCATGTGATCTCTGCACACACCAGCTCCCCTTCACCTTCCATCATGTGGCAGCAGCCTGAGGCCCTCCCCAGATACAGATGCCCAATTCTGAACTTTTCGAGCCATCAAAATCATGAGCCAAATAAACCTTGTTTTCTTTATAAATGACCCAGCCCAGGTATTCCTTTATAGCAACACAAAATGGACTAAGACAGGAGAGAACTTCACATTGTTCTCTGCATCAGAAGTTCTCAGCCTTTTCCAGGCCTCAAGTATACAGTATAGATAAGACAGATAGTGGAACTTTATCACCTACTCAAGAAAGCAAATTAAAAGATAGATGAGCAAGACATTGTTAAAACTTAACCAGGAATTTCAATTTATTTCAGAAAAAATTATTCGCACAGTTCAGTGCCTTGATTATTATACACAACAAATTACATGAGCCACCATGTCATAATTTATCCTGACCTATCAGGGTGAAAGCACTCAAGGCCTGGGGAATGTTATTCTGGAGAAAGGGAAATATTTGGATGCAGGGACTCAGCAGGAAAGAAGCTGAATCTGTTTCCTCAGGGGCTTTGCAGCACAGCAGCAAGAAGCAACCAACCAGAAACCCAGCTTCTCCCTATCTACTCCCATCCCCTCTCCACCTCCTTGCTCACTCCTTGCCTGCGATCAATCTGGCCTCTTAGAGCTATTGACCGGGCTGCCTGAAAGTCATTGCCCAAATTCCATCTCCTCTCAAATCCATTTTCCCTGCCTCAGAGAGAGCCAGTTGGATTTCTCAATTATCAAATTGTACAGTCGTGAGCTTATATACTTCTAAGAGGTAATACAGTGTAAGTTTCTTTTCTGTGGAAATGTCATATTAGCTCCTTTGGGAAGTGAATGGAATATTTAAAATACTCTTTCAGTCTCTATGGCCCATTAAGAGGAATGCCAAGATGGAATGTGACTTTGCTAAGGCTGCAGTAGAAACGTATGTTCTTTAAGAAGCTTGGAGGCAGTTTGCTTTACTGATAACACCACTGCCTAATCTTATATTATCTTTCTCTCTCTTCTCTTCTACCTGGATTTAAAAGTACATAAATGGGCAAATAAAATTTATCCCTTAATACATACCTGTAACACACATAAGCCAGTTTTGGCAATGTATTTAGCACCTTTAAGGCTAATTAAATCAACACTGCTTGTTTATTTTTTAAAATAATAAAAGCAACTACCATTTGTTTGATCTGTATTTTGTGCTAGATAATATTAAGGCATTTAAAAATGCTATTTAATTGTAAAAATTAATGTTTGTTTATACATATAATATATGCATACATTCTCCTTAAAAATTTCAAATAATTTAAATAATACTAACTCAGTTTGATCTCAATCCTTGTTCTCACTCAAGGCTCTGCTATTCTACTCAAAAGTAGCACATTTTCAATTTGGTGTGTCCTTCCAGAATTTGCTATGCACTTACATACATATGTTTCTGTAAAAGAGATATAGTACCATGAATCTCTGTGTGTGTGTTTGTTTTATAAATACAACCATCAATATGTTTTATGCTGCAATTTGCTTTTCACACTCAACAATATGCCCTGGGTATTTCCCCATGTTGGTAAGAGAGTTCTGGCTCATTCTTTCAAATTCCTGTTTCATTTTCCATAACAGTATAGCAGTAAACTTTATTTAGCTATTTCCCTTTTAAAGCACAATTAGGTTTTCTTTTTGCTTTTCTTTTTCCTTTTGTGGTTACACACAGGGTGAATTTCCACAGTCTCCATCTTATTTGATGATTGTTAGCTTTCTTATTGCCAGTGAGAGGGTGCTGCAAATGCAAAGTCGGCCACAGCCTAGTGTGTAGGGTTACACAGACAAGATTCCAGAGCCTCAATTCCAGTATCCAATCATAGACAGGATTATCTGCATTTTATTTTGAGGGTGGTGATAAGGAGAAAGAAAAAAGCTAAAAATGTAAACAATAGCTGTTGAGATATCACCTCTGGGATATTACATATTTTTCAGACAACATGAAGGACTACCAAACAATAGGAGACAGTCATTGTTTTCATCTTGATTTCTTGGTGTTTTTAACTGGAAACTATCAGAAATCTCCTGCAGATATGAGAAAAACAAACTCTTAATTAAGAAGAGTGTACGAGGCATGTGAAGAACCCTTTCTTTCCAGACATTACATGTAAATGCGACTTCCTGTACATCCCCATAGGCTTGCACACACCATCTTGTGGCTAAAGCTCTGATCAGTGCTGCTACCCTCTCATGGTCCTGGATCTCAGACAGCTGCACTTCTATCCTGCAGCCTTCAGAAGAACAAAACACAAATGTTCACATTTGTTTATCTTTTCTGAAGTAGTAGGTTTGTTTAGTGACAGAGTTATTATAAACATGATTTATACTCATACTAGATATTCAAGCATTATGGAAATGTATAAAGAAGAAAGTAAAAATAAAATCTCCCCCAGTTTCCCTATCCTGATGTGAATTAACATTTTGATAAACATGCTTTCTCTCTCTCTAAAAATTGAAATTTCTATACTTGGCTATAACTAGTTTTTTTTTAAGAACTAGCTTTTTTCACTCAACAGATGTTCTATAATATATTTCCTTAACAATGCTAATAGATATGATTTATCCTAGACACTGACTAAATCATAATCAGGCACATAGTGGTATGGTACACTTGTTCATTCATTTATTCATCTATCTATTCATCCATTTGTCCTCCAATCTTCGTTTTGTGGCTTGCTACATGTCAGGCAGTGTACTAAGCACTGGGCACACAATGGGGAGCAAGACAGGCACAGCATGAGGCCCATAGATTATAGTTCTAGCAGAGGAAACAGATAAGCGATAACAATATGCGGCAAATCTTACTATACCCAGTTTAGGGATGTGATTAGGAGAGGCTTCGTGGAAGAACAAATGACTATGCTCAGAAGTCGCAGATGATGAGGGGGGAGTTTGCCAGGCAACAGGGAAGGGGCAGGGGAGGTGTTTAAGTCAGGGGGAATAGCCCTTGCAAAGACCTGGAAATGAGAGAGATATTCACCATTCTGCTGAATATATTGTATCTAGCTGGAGTACATTGTTTTCGGGGGTATGGAAACAGATGAAGCTGGAGATTAGGCAATAGCATTAGCCTTGCTCAGTGACCCTCTAAACTGAATCAGCAGTTATTTTCCAAGCATGAACATATTACATCCCTAAGTCACCTAGTTAAATTCAGACCTGGGCATGACTCAAATAAAAAGGAAAATCAAAAGTTAGTTTCCTCTATTTTGATATATTGTAAAAAATTGTAAATATGACCAGGGACTTTCATAAAGACATTTAAAAGGAGGCTGAAGACTTTGGCCGTGAGAGACCATGGATTGGCTCTTTTGCTGCTACATAATATTGTTGAGTGGGACGTAAAAAGAAGAAATTGAATAGGCACAGGAATAATTGCCCAAATACCTGTTTTGCTATTGTCCAGGTCTGGCTGATTTTATGAAGGGTGGGTGGGTAGTAAGACAAATATCATGAAGAATATTATAGTATTAATATTCTAGAAACACTTGAGCACAGAACAAACTTTTATCATTCTGGGGCCCAATGAAGCGAACAAAAGCAGGCAGCCAGGCCCTGCTGGCTTAAGCACAATGAGACCCCCAAGACAGTTGTAAGCCAGATGTCTGTCCCATGTGCTTCAGGAGCATATGCAGGTTAGGAATTATGAGTAAGGTAAGTGGCCAACATGGAAGATTTGGGACATCAGAAGCAAGAACACTGATCTCTGCCAGAGGACAGGACTCCTCTCCCATCAAATCACCTGCAGCAGAGAGAGGGAAAGTAGCCACAGAGAAGGCGCTGACCCTGCACCTCCAGTGCTCTGCCTGGGCAGAGCGCCAAGAGGCTCCCACCAGCCCAGGTCTGCTCAGGGGCAGAGCAAACCTCCTGGGGAGTGAGGAGCCCCTAAGTATGCATCAGTGCCAGAAGTACTGGCCAAGGGTTAATTAACAAGGTTATGATCTCAAAGATGGGGATACAAGGGCCAATATAGGGAACTGAAAACTAAACAGTAACTTACAATTTTGACATTTAAAGGTAGCCTCCGCTGGGCATGGAGGCTCACACCTGTAATCCCAGCACTTTGGGAGGCCGAGGCGGGTGGATCACCTGAGGTCAGGAGTTCGAGACTAGCCTGGCCAACATGGTGAAACCCTGTCTCTACTAAAAATAAAAAATTAGCAGGGTGTGGTGGCAGGCACCTGTAATCCCAGCTACTTGGGAAGCTGAGGCAGGAGAATCGCTTGAACCCGGGAGGTGGAGGTTGCAGTGATCTGAGATCGCACCACTGCACTCCAGTCTGAGTGACAAGAGCGAAACTCCGTCTCAAAAGAAAAAAAGAAAGTAGCCTCATTTCCTAAGAGTGGTTTTAAATGGACATTTTTATATTCTCCACTAAGGGAAATTCTGGAAAATGAAGATAGAGCCATGGTTCTGCTTGCTTTTTAAATTCTGTGGTTCTCTGAGCTTTCTGGTGAAACTATTTGGTTTTTTTTTTTCCTCTATGTTGAGTAAGTGTTTTGAGTACCTGGCAGGACACTGAGGTACACTGGGCACTGTCCGAAGTATAAAAGGAGAAAATATATTTTATCACATTTGGACCCCAATTGTCAGGTTAGAAGCAAATAATTACAAGACAGTGGGAAAGGATTCGCAAATGAAGTAAATTCCAACGAGTGATACCACAGGTGGCTTGTACATTAGAGGAAAATGTTTATTGACTATATATTACACTGAGAAATAGAAAAGATAAATATTTGTGCTTCCATTGAGACACATTTAAAATTCCCAAACACCCATTGCATAATCTGCTAAGCAATTTGCCCAACTGTTTTGCATTTTTTTCCTGAACAGGTGATTACACTGATATTTATTCTAGTCTGTGTGGATTTGTTTTTGGTGATTATTTGTAGTTGTTATTTATCTGTTGTTGAATTTTTTTTGAGGGGAAGGTAGCAACTTAATATAAATTTTATATAAGGTATTATAACAAATCTCTGATTTTTAAAATCACAATCAATTTTGTTTTTCCATTGGCAAAATATACAAATCTACAATCTTAAGCATTGTTTATGGAACAAAAATATTAATTAAGTAGGATAAACTCAGTTTTTAAAGTCATGGAATGGGGTTTCCAGGTTAATCAAATATACTAGTTAATAAAGAGCTACCACACATGTGATACACCTAGAATATAATAAAATGTATATCACTAAATTAAGATGAAACAGATATCTTTTTTGGATGTTAAGGAGGTGTCTCATGGCTGGGTACAATGGCTCACACCTGTAATCCCGACGTTTTGGGAGGCTGAGGTAGGCAGATCACTTGAGGCCAGGAGTTTGAGACCAGCCTAGCCAACATGGCGAAACCCCATTTCTACTAAAAACACAAAAATTAGCCGGGCATGGTGTTAGGCATCTATAATTCCAGCTACTCGGGAGGCTGAGGCAAGAGAATCGCTTGAACCCAGTAAGTGAAGCTTGCAGTGAGCCGAGATTGCGCCACTGCACTCCAGCCTGGTCAATGAAGCAAGCAAGACCCTGTCTATTTTTTTCTTTTTTTTACTTTTTTTTTATTATTATTATACTTTAAGTTTTAGGGTACATGTGCACAATGTGCCGATTAGTTACATATGTATACATGTGCCATGCTGGTGTGCTGCACCCATTAACTCGTCGTTTAGCATTAGGTATATCTCCTAATGCTATCCCTCCCCCCTCCCCCTACCCCACAACTGTCCCCATAGTGTGATGTTCCCCTTCCTGTGTCCATGTGTTCTCATTGTTCAATTCCCATCTATGAGTGAGAACATGTGGTGTTTGGTTTTTTGTCCTTGTGATAGTTTACTGAGAATGATGATTTCCAATTTCATCCATGTCCCTACAAAGGACATGAACTCATCATTTTTTATGGCTGCATAGTATTCCATGGTGTATATGTGCCACATTTTCTTAATCCAGTCTATCATTGTTGGACATTTGGGTTGGTTCCAAGTCTTTGCTATTGTGAATCGTGCTGCAATAAACATACGTGTGCATGTGTCTTTATAGCAGCATGATTTATAATCCTTTGGGTATATCCCCAGTAATGGGATGGCTGGGTCAAATGGTATTTCTAGTTCTAGATCCCTGAGGAATCGCCACACTGACTTCCACAATGGTTGAACTAGTATACAGTCCCACCAACAGTGTAAAAGTGTTCCTATTTCTCCACATCCTCTCCAGCACCTGTTGTTTCCTGACTTTTTAATGATTGCCATTCTAACTGGTGTGAGATGGTATCTCATTGTGGTTTTGATTTGCATTTCTCTGATGGCCAGTGATGAGGACCATTTTTTCATGTGTCTTTTGGCTGCATAAATGTCTTCTTTTGAGAAGTGTCTGTTCATATCCTTTGGCCACTTTTTAATGGGGTTGTTTTTTTTTTTTTTTTTTTTTTTTTTTGAGACGGAGTCTCGCTCTGTCACCCAGGCTGGAGTGCAGTGGCGGGATCTCGGCTCACTGCAAGCTTTGCCTCCCGGGTTCACACCATTCTCCTGCCTCAGCCTCCCAAGTAGCTAGGACTACAGGCGCCCGCCACTACACCCGGCTATTTTTTGTATTTTTAGTAGAGACGGGGTTTCACCGTTTTAACCGGGATGGCCTCGATCTCCTGACCTCATGATCCACCCGCCTCGGCCTCCCAAAGTGCTGGGATTACAGGCGTGAGCCACCACGCCTGGCCTGTTTGTTTTTTTTCTTGTAAATTTCTTTAAGTTCTTTGTAGCTTCTGGATATTAGCCCTTTGTCAGATGAGTACGTTGTGAAAATTTTCTCCCATTTTGTAGGTTGCCTGTTCACTCTGATGGTAGTTTCTTTTGCTGTGCAGAAGCTCTTTAGTTTAATTAGATCCCATTTGTCGATTTGGGCTTCTGTTTCCATTGCTTTTGGTGTTTTAGACATGAAGTCCTTGCCCATGCCTATGTCCTGAATGATAATGCCTAGGTTTTCTTCTAGGGTTTTTATGGTTTTAGGACTAACGTTTAAGTCTTTAATCCATCTTGAATTAATTTTTGTATAAGGTGTAAGGAAGGGATCCAGTTTCAGCTTTCTACATATGGCTAGCCAGTTTTCCCAGCAACATTTATTAAATAGGGAATCCTTTCCCCATTGCCTGTTTTTCTCAGGGTTGTCAAAGATCAGATAGTTGTAGATATGCGGCGTTATTTCTGAGAGCTCTGTTCTGTTCCATTGATCTATATCTCTGTTTTGGTACCACTACCATGCTGTTTTGGTTACTGTAGCCTTGTAGTATAGTTTGAAGTCAGGTAGCGTGATGCCTCCAGATTTGTTCTTTTGGCTTAGGATTGACTTGGCAATGAGGGCTCTTTTTTGGTTCCATACGAACTTTAAAGTAGTTTTTTCCAATTCTGTGAAGAAAGTCGTTGGTAGCTTGATGGGGATGGCATTGAATCTATAAATTACCTTGGGCAGTATGGCCATTTTCATGATATTGATTCTTCCTACCCATCAGCATGGAATGTTCTTCCATTTGTTTGTATCCTCTTTTATTTCATTGAGCAGTGGTTTGTAGTTCTCCTTGAAGAGGTCCTTCACGTCCCTTGTAAGTTGGATTCCTAAGTATTTTATTCTCTTTGAAGCAATTGTGAATGGGAGTTCACTCATGATTTGGCTCTCCTGTTATTGGTGTATAAGAATGCTTGTGATTTTTGTACATTGGTTTTGTATCCTGAGACTTTGCTGAAGTTGCTTATCAGCTTAAGGAGATTTTGGGCTGAGACAATGGCGTTTTCTAGATATACAATCATGTCGTCTGCAAACAGGGACAATTTGACTTCCTCTTTTCCTAATTGAATACCCTTTATTTCTTTCTCCTGCCTCATTGCCCTGGCCAAACTTCCAACACTATGTTGAATAGGAGTGGTGAGAGAGGGCATACCTGTCTTGTGCCAGTTTTCAAAGGGAATGCTTCCAGTTTTTGTCCATTCAGTATGATATTGGCTGTGGGTTTGTCATAGATAGCTCTTATTATTTTGAGATACGTCCTATCAATACCTAATTTATTGAGAGTTTTTAGCATGAAGGGTTGTTGAATTTTGTCAAAGGCCTTTTCTGCATCTATTGAGATAATCATGTGGTTTTTGTCTTTGGTTCTGTTTATATGCTGGATTACATTTATTGATTTGCATATATTGAACCAGCCTTGCATCCCAGGGATGAAGCCCACTTGATCATGGTGGATAAGCTTTTTGATGTGCTGCTGGATTCGGTTTGCCAGTATTTTATTGAGGATTTTTGCATCAATGTTCATCAAGGATATTGGTCTAAAATTCTCTTTTTTTGTTGTGTCTCTGCCAGACTTTGGTATTAGGATGATGCTGGCCTCATAAAATGAGTTAGGGAGGATTCCCTCTTTTTCTATTGATTGGAATAGTTTCAGAATGAGTGGTACCGGTTTCTCCTTGTATCTCTAGTAGAATTCGGCTGTGAATCCATCTGATCCTGGACTCTTTTTGGTTGGTAAGCTATTGATTATTGCCACAATTTCAGATCCTGTTATTGGTCTATTCAGAGATTCAACTTCTTCCTAGTTTAGTCTTGGGAGAGTGTATGTATCGAGGAATTTATCCATTTCTTCTCGATTTTCTAGTTTATTTGCATAGAGGTGTTTGTAGTATTCTCTGATGGTAGTTTGTATTTCTGTGGGATCGGTAGTGATAGCCCCTTTATCATTTTTTATTGTGTCTATTTGTTTCTTCTTTCTTTTTTTTCTTTATTAGTCTTGCTAGCAGTCTATCAATTTTGTTGATCCTTTCAAAAAACCAGCTCCTGGATTCATTAATTTTTTGAAGGGTTTTTTTTTGTCTCTATTTCCTTCAGTTCTGCTCTGATTTTAGTTATTTCTTGCCTTCTGCTAGCTTTTGAATGTGTTTGCTCTTGCTTTTCTAGTTCTTTTAATTGTGATGTTAGGGTGTCAATTTTTGATCTTTTCTGCTTTCTCTTGTGGGCATTTAGTGCTATAAATTTCCCTCTACACACTGCTTTGAATGTGTCCCAGAGATTCTGGTATGTTGTGTCTTTGTTCTCGTTGGTTTCAAAGAGCATCTTTATTTCTGCCTTCATTTCGTTATGTACCCAGTAGTCATTCAGGAGCAGGTTGTTCAGTTTCCATGTAGTTGATCGGTTTTGAGTGAATTTCTTAATCCCGAGTTCTAGTTTGATTTCACTGTGGTCTGAGAGACAGGTTGTTATAATTTCTGTTCTTTTACATTTGCTGAGGAGAGCTTTACTTCCAAGTATGTGGTCAATTTTAGAATAGGTCTGGTGTGGTGCTGGAAAAAATGTATATTCTGTTGATTTGGGGTGGAGAGTTCTGTAGATGTGTATTAGGTCCTCTTGGTGCAGAGCTGAGTTCAATTCCTGGGTATCCTTGTTAACTTTCTGTCTTGTTGATCTGTCTAATGTTGACAGTGGGGTGTTAAAGTCTCCCATTATTATTGTGTGAGAGTCTAAGTCTCTTTGTAGGTCACTTAGGACTTGCTTTATGAATGTGGCTGCTCCTGTATTGGGTGCATATATATTTAGGATAGTTAGCTCTTCTTGTTGAATTGATCTCTTTACCATTATGTAATGGCCTTCTTTGTCTCTTTTGATCTTTGTTGGTTTAAAGTCTGTTTTATCCTAGACTAGGATTGCAACCCCTGCCTTTTTTTGTTTTCACTCTGCAGGATATTATCCAGGAGAACTTCCCCAATCTAGCAAGGCAGGCCAACATTCAGATTCAGGAAATACAGAGAACGCAACAAAGATACTCCTCAAGAAGAGCAACTCCGAGACACGTAATTGTCAGATTCACCAAAGTTGAAATGAAGGAAAAAATGTTAAGGGCAGCCAGAGAGAAAGGTCGGGTTACCCACAAAGGGAAGCCCATCAGACTAACAGCTGATCTCTCAGCAGAAACTCTACAAGCCAGAAGAGAGTGGGGGCCAATATTTAACATTCTTAAAGAAAAGAATTTTCAACCCAGAATTTCATATCCAGCCAAACTAAGCTTCATAAGTGAAGGAGAAATAAAATCCTTTACAGACAAGCAAATGCTGAGAGATTTTGTCACCACCAGGCCTGCCCTAAAAGAGCTCCTGAAGGAAGCACTAAACATGTAAAGGTACAACCGGTACCAGCCGCTGCAAAATCATGCCAGAATATAAAGACCATCGAGATTAGGAAGAAACTGCATCAACTAACAAGCAAAATAACCAGCTAACATCATAATGACAGGATCAAATTCACACATAACAATATTAACTTTAAATGTAAATGGACTAAATGCTCCAATTAAAAGACACAGACTGGCAAATTGGATAAAGAGTCAAGACCCATCAGTGTGCTGTATTCAGGAAACCCATCTCATGTGCAGAGACACACATAGGCTCAAAATAAAAGGATGGAGGAAGATATTTTTTTTTTTAAAAAAAGAAGTGTCTCCGGGTCTTAGAATGTCCGGGGGTGGGGCCACCATTCATCATGTGTCATTGTGTAGAAGATCTGTGGAAATGTCACAGGGAGGAGGGCTCTGATTAGCCAGATACCAGATAGCACAGCTTGCCATGCATTTTCTTCATTTGCCATCTTCATATTCAGAGACTGATCATTCAGGAGACTAAATGGAATAAAGTATGTTAGGCGTATTTGCCTAGCAAGTGCATGTATGATAGACTGGATTAAGAAGAAATGGTAGATGTAAAGACCAGTTATGGGGTTCTAGGATAAATCCAGAGAGGAAGTAAAAGGAAAGGATAAATTTCCCCAAGAAAGAGCCAAACAGTAAGGACAATGAGCCAAGAATGCCTAAGGCAGCAGGAACACTTGGGTTGTGGGGGAAATAAGTAAATATATTACTTATATAGCAAGTGTGACATCCAAGGGACTCCATGCTTTTCTGGGTCATATTGGCACTCTTCATTTCTGAGAGCCTTGTGGGTAGAATGTGGTTGATCATGGAACTTTCCCTCTGTATTATAATTGTCTTTTGCCTTCCTCCTTCCCTAGACCATGAGCTCTTTGATAGCAGGGACTTGGTCTTTCATCTTTGAATTCCAAAGCACCTAGCACCATGCCAGGCACATAATAGATACTTATTAAATGTTTGAAAAAGGAAGAACGTGGTCAGGAAACTGAAGGAAGTGAGAGGTTAAGTTGAGAAGGGCACTGGCATGTGTCATTGATATTCATGTTAAAATTGAATAACTGAAAGGAAAAAATTCTTGAGTAATATCTTTAGTTTATGGAATGGTAAACTGAGGCACATAGGTAAAGATGGCAACTTGTCCAATCCAGCTCAAAATCAAGGAGCTACAGGCAGAGACAGGGCCAGAAAGTAGGTTTATTCTGTTCACTGTTCTATCCCCATCTGATGAGCAATCCTGCCTCCTTCCAGGGAGAGCAGTACTTTTTTTACTTCTCTCAAAGTAAACAAGGTTTGGGACACAAGAAAGCATAAAAAAATATGAAAAATGTCTTTTAATAAACAGAGAGTGGGGCATGATAACTCTATCAAGACTAGGTTTAATCCCACAAGGCTGACCACAGAACACATTGATTGACTCTAGAAAATTAAATTTTAAAATTATTACTTGACTAACTTTTGATAAGAGTTCAATTGCATGATTTGAAACTTTAAAAAGGCATAAAATATTTAAAAAGGTATAAATATTTTATTTTTGATACAGTGTCTTACTCTGTCACCCAGGCTGTAGTGCAATGGTAAAATCATGACTCACTACAGTCTTGACCTCCTGGGTTCAAGCAATCCTCCCACCTCAGCCTCCTGAGTAGCTAGAACTACACATGCACACCACCATGCCCAGCTAGTTTATATTTTCTTTAATTTTTTGTAGAGATGAGATTTCACTATGTTGCCCCTGGTCTCAAACTCTTGAGCTCAAGCAATCCCACCTGGGCCTCCTAAAGTGTGGGGATTACAGGTTTGAACCACTGCACCCAGTCTTAAAATTTCTTTATGGTTATTCAAGAAAAATATGAATAGATATTCATGTTTACTTCCTTTTTATTACACAAAATGTAGCATACGGAAAAAAACACATATTGATCTGCATCTTTATTTTATAATTTAAAATATATCTTGGAGAACTCTCATATGAACACAAAAAGAACTATCTTTATTCAGATACAAAGTATTTTATTAGAGGGATGAAACATAATTTAATTAAATGGCCTCATTGATAGACATGGGAGTTATTTCTAGTCTTTTGATTTTAGAAAAATTTTCTTTAGTGACTAACATTGTCCGTAGTCCAAGGGTTTGTGCATTTGTAATTTTGACATATTGCCAATTACCCCTGTAGTGGTTATACCAATTTACATTCAAGTCAGCAGTCTGAGAGGACCTGATTCTTCACAGCCTGTACATCCGAGTGTGTTATCCAACTTTAGGATGTTAGCCAATATGGTGGGTGAAAAATGGTATTTAAGGGTAGTTTATTTTGCATTTATCTTAGGAATGAGGTTGAGCATCTTCAAAATACTAGAAAATGGAAGTATAGAATGAAACTAAAACAGCATTTTCTTCTCTTATCAAGACCAAAAACCTGCACACAGCGGGCCCCAGAGAAGGAAATCTCAGCTTCCTCTGAGAGGCATTTGGGAACAGACCACCTCTCAGTACAAGTACTTCACATGAATTAACCCATTCAAATTCACACGTCCTTGAATTATAGGCACTTTTATATCATTTTACAGATGAGAAAACTGAGGTTGAGAGAGCATAACCTTCCCAAGATCTGTTAAATGACAGAGCAGGGGCTTAATCCTAGGTCTGGAGGACTTCAGGACCCTGGTTATCAACCACTAGCCTGTACCATTTAGGAGGCTGTATTTATGCATGGAGTTTGAATTAGGCCATTTGTATGCTGTTCTTCTCCCATCGGATTTATGCTCTTCTCACTGGCCTAGCCATCTTCCAACTCTGCGCCTGGTTTGGAAGGATATATTTTTTCTTTAATGTAGCTCTGGTTCATTGCTTTTCCGGGTAGAGTTTTGAGATGCAGCAAGTTCATTCTCAGGCAGTCTCTACCTCTCTGTACTTTACCCTTTTCTGCCTGTGTCTTGATAGAAGCCACTGTGTTTGTAGCAAATTATAAATATTGATCTGTTTTCTCTCTCACCTTCATATAAATATGGGAGTTGGAGCATTGGGCTGTGTAGTGATCATTTTTTAAAAAGCAATTGGGGAAAATTCATTTCTTGATTATATATGAGGGATTAACTCAACGTAATCATGTGAGCACAAAATAATGTAAGACTAGTTGATTTATAATTCCTTATTAAACACAACTGAACTTTCCAAAATTACTTAGGAAAGGCAAATTCCTCCCAAGTAGAGCTATTACATTGAAAATAATGGGCCGGGTGCGGTGGCTCACGCCTGTAATCCCAGCACTTTGGGAGGCCGAGGCGGGCGGATCATGAGGTCAGGAGATCGAGATCATCCCGGCTAACACGGTGAAACCCCATCTCTACTAAAAATACAAAAAAATTAGCCGGGCGTGGTGGCAGGCACCTGTAGTCCCAGCTACTCGGGAGGCTGAGGCAGAAGAATGGCGTGAACCCACGAGGCGGAGCTTGCAGTGTGCCCAGATCACGCCACTGCACTCCAGCCTGGGCGACAGAGCAAGACTCCATCTCAAAAAAAAAAAAAAAAAAAAAAGAAAGAAAAAGAAAAAGAATGGAGAATTTAAAAGTTAGTTCTCTAGCTATATAGCAGTTGTGTCTATACCATCATAGCCAGAGTGAATTATTAGTCTTCCACTGAAGTGGTGTGTACTTCATTAGAATGGATTGGGAGCCCTATCAGCAACAGCTGTCCATCAAGGAAGCCTTCAGTAGGTTATAAAATAACTAACCTGTATTCACGACTGCTTGCAAACCCTTCCAGGTTCCTTTGATTTCATGGTTGCATCTAGGCATTCTCATTCCCAGCAACCACCTTCAGAAACTTCTCTCTGGTAACCCAGGACAGCACTTCTACAGCTGCTTCTGCCTTGCCTGTCTAGCTCTCTTTCCTCCTCCTAGCCTGAAACCTCAGCACGGCTGCTGTAGGAAAGCAAGTTTTTTAAAGCTGGGTCCCCTTCCCATGAAACCTGCACCAGCAACATCTAGTTTCACAATCTTGGGTCATAGATGTCCTGGAAACCAAGGACCAGGTTAAGGCTGTTTAGAATAAAAAATCACCTAGGCAAATCAAATCACTTGAAAATTGCTATTACTATTATTAAAAAGTCAAAAAATAACAGATGCTGGCAAGACTGCAAAGAGAAGGGAATGTTTATTCACTGTTGATGGGAATGTAAATTAGTTCGGCCACTGTGGAAAGCAGTTTGGAGATTTCTCACAGAACTTAAAACAGAGCTACCATCTGACCCAGCAATACCATTACTGGGTATATACATAAAGGAGAACAAATTGTTCTACCAAAAAGGCACATATATTCATCGCCATGCTATTTACAATAGCGAAGACATGGAATCAACCTAGGTGCACATCAACAGTGGATTGGATAAAGAACATGTGGTACATATACAACGTGGAATATTATGCAGCCATAAAAACGATGAAATCATGTCCTTTGCAGCAACATGGATGCAGCTGGAGGCCATTATCCTAAGAAAATTAAAACAGAAACAGAAAACCAAATACCACGCATTCTTACATATAGGTGATAACTAAGCATTGGGAAACACATGGATGTAAAGATGGGAACAATAGATGCTGGGGACTACTACGAGAGGGAGAGAGGGAAAGGAGGAAGGGCTAAAAAACTACCTATTGGGTACTGTATTTACTACCTAGGTGACAGAATTACTTGTACTCCAAGCCTCAGTATCTCACCTTATACCCATGTAACAAACCTGCACATGCATTCCCTGAATCTAAAATAAAAGTTGAAATTAGAAAAGAAAAAAAAAAAGAAAAGACAATTGCCCTTAACGTGTATCTCATGTCCCTGCCATACAATTCAGTTGAACAATGAGGGAATTTAAGGAATTGCCACCCCATGCGCTGCCTTTTACCCCATCCCAAGGGCTCATCTCAAAGGTGTCTTTTTCTGTCCTGGGTAGAGGTAGGTCTGGAAGAAGACTTTGGCAGGAAAAGAAGGAAGGGGAAACAAGATGCAGGTGCCTCTATTTTTCTTCTCTCTGCTTCCATTGTGAACAACTTCCTTTTACATGGTGGTTCCCCGCCCCCTTGGCTACATATTGGAACTACCTGGAAAGTTTTAAAAATACTGATGCCTGGGTCTCATTGTATTTGGATGGTCTAGGGTGCAACCTGAGTTGTTTAAAGACCCCCACATGTACACACATGTTTATAGCAGTATCATTAACAATAGCCAAGAGGTGGAAGCAACCTCAGTGTCCACTGATGGATGAGTAGAAAAACAAAATGTGGTGTATGTATATAATAGAATACTATTCATTCCTAAAAAGGAAGGGAATTCTGATATATATTACAACATGGATGAACCTGGAGAAAACTCATGCTTGAGTCTGATAAGTGGACTAAAAGACAAATACTGCATGATTCCACTTGGTAGAGGTAGACTGCTAGAGTAGTCACGGACTTTTGGCTCCTATCATACATATGAGCAGTTCTCACATGGCAGTTTCCAGATTTGCTCTGCAAGAACCTCCTGGGGTCTCTAATTTTCATCCTACAATTATAGAATCTGAATTTCAATGGTTGGAGCCTGGGAATATAAACTTCAATCATCCCCCCAAGTCATTCTGATGAGCTGTAAGTGCTGGAAGTCACTAGATGTCCTAAAATCCAAACTCTCTGATCTCACCTGAGGTCTTAGGCACTCTGGCTCTAGCACATTTTTCCAGCCTTACTTCCTATCTTCCCTGTGCCCTTTAGAGAGGGCATTGTGTCCTTCGTCTCCTCTGCACTTACACCATGCCCTGGTTCAGAATTTTCTTCCTGCCTAGAGTGCCTTCTACTCCTTTGCACTTTGCCCTTCTCCTCAACCTTTGAGGCTTGGACCAACTTCTGCCTCTTCCATGGAACTTCCCTGGATTCCTTTCCCCATACTCATTTTTTCTCTCTCCTCTCCCCACCACTGGTCACAATTTGTTGTGAGCTGTAGGGCCCTTTCCATTGTAGTGTGTGCATATCTCACTTTTGACATATTCAGGATATGGTCTCATGCTTGGTTCTAATTCTCTCTGGGCAAGATGAGGAAGTTCCCTGGTACCAGCATGATGCTTGGCTGAGAGTAAATATTCAATATTTGTTGCACTAAAATGAATTTAACTTTCCAGCTCAGACCTTCTTTACTTCTAAAGTCCAGATAAATATATCCAGAGGTCTACAAGATGTCTCAAGCTATTCAAACAAAACACAGTCAAAATGAAGTCTTGATATTTCCATACAGTTCTCCCTTTCCTAGTGTCCCTGTCTCAACAATGGCATCTCTAGCACGCAATTACTTGCTCAAGTGAGAATGCTGGACATCACCTTTTATACCTCCGTGTTTCTCTCCTCCCATATCCAATCAGACACCAGGAACTGGCAATTTCATTCCCAAAATTAATTACAAACCCTCCCTTTTCTCTCCATCTTTATTTCTCACCACCTGGTATTGTCATCTCTCTCTAAAGTGAAATATGACCTTGTCTCAAACACCCACCTTGCCCCTTCCAGCTTATTCTCCTTACTGCAGAGAATGTGGTTCTGGCCTCATTCTGGCCATGTCACTCCATTGCTCAAACCCTGTCATTGGGTGCCCATGACATCTGGCCATGTCACTCCATTGCTCAAACCCTGTCATTGGGTGCCCATGACATCTGGCCATGTCACTCCATTGCTCAAACCCTGTCATTGGATGCCCACTGCTGTTGATAGTTACGGTCGTCTGTAGGATCTGGAAGGCTCTGAGTGATCCAGCCTTTGCCAGTGCCTCCTGCCTCGCACCCTGCTTTTACTCCTGCTACAGCAACACCATCTCCACCACTGTGCTTTATTTTGGCCTCACTTCTTTCCTTCTCCAGAGAATTTGCCCATAATGATCTCTCTGCACAGAGTTCTGGTACTATCTACCCTGTGAGTAACAACTACCCATTACTCTTTTTTCAAGCTTTAGTGTATATGTCACTAATTTAAAGTGAGATCTGTCCTCAGCCCAAGTGTAGAAGGCGGCCAGATTCCCTCCACAGAGCACTCTTGATTTTTCCATCTTAGCCCCTGTTATAAGTGTACTTATTAAAAATAATAATTTCTTGGATATTCCCACTCTACTGAGTTTCATCCCTGATTGCATCCCCATCTTTAAGCATATAGTAATTGCTCAATAAATAATTGCTGCATGAATCAACTCCATCCAACCTGCCTGCACAGACCATCCTCATTTTGCAAGCCCCTCTCCTTTTCAACCCCAAGGTAGAAAAAAAATCGTTAATGTATCTGCCACAGAATTGCTCTTTTCTTGAGCTGGCCCAAGCTAATCACTGATATGCAAGATGGGGAGGGCTGTCTTAGGAGGGAGAAATGCAGGAGTGGGCTTCTGGTCACCATTGTGCTAAAAACCCAAGTCCTCCACCCCTTCTCCACTGAGCACCCACCATGACTGGAACACAGTTCTGTAGCCTCTGGCCCCTACCTGCCAGGCTCTGGACCTGGGACTGGAAGTTGGGAGGGAGGGAGGGAAGCCCCAGCCTTTTCTCTTTGCCTTTCAGGGCACATTGTCATGAACAAAGGCAGGAGAAGGCGGATTCTTTTCTTGTGATGAATGCTGCATTTTAAATGAAGTTCCTTAGGCATTT
Source organism: Homo sapiens (assembly GCF_000001405.40). Classification (NCBI taxonomy): domain Eukaryota; kingdom Metazoa; phylum Chordata; class Mammalia; order Primates; family Hominidae; genus Homo; species Homo sapiens. Next base: position 136,924,836 of record NC_000005.10, read on the forward strand.
AAACAATCATATTTATTCTACATGCAACAGTAGTTTCATTATATATAGTGAAAATCCTTCTAAATGTTAATGTAACATTGGACCAAGGAACCTCACATTTGGAATGAATAAACCAAGACGTGGCCTCACATTAGTGAAAATATACTGAGCTTAGTTCTCTGCTGCAACTTGTTTTAGGAAGAAAACAATTTCTCATAGTTGTAAAGAACACAGGCTTTGAAGCCTCTGAAAGACCTGGGTTTAAATCCTAGCTTACTAACCTGGTGGCTTCAGGTAAATTATTTGAGGTTAGTGAACCTTCTTTATAGGGCTTTTTGAAGGGATTACACTGAAGAACATATATCAACTTATTAGTATACAGTGCTTTCAGTATATAGTATGCAAATGGCCCTCCATACCCATGGGTTCTGCATCTGTGGATTCAACCAAGCACAGATCAAAAATACTTGGGAAAAGAAATTCATAAAGTCCCAAAAAGAAAAAACTTGAATTTGTTGCACATCAACTGCTGTGTCAAACCCGAGTGAGGTGATGTGTAGGCATTGTATTAGGTATTATAAGTATTAAAATTGTTAGTAGTATTATAAATTCCTTATATTCTATTAATAGCACAGTGATAGAGCTTATCTTGAGTCAAGTTGAATCTTACCTAACATCCACCATTCATTCCATAATTATTTCTTGAGCTCCTACTTTGGTTCAGGCAGTATGCTAGGTACTGGGTAATATTTTGGTGAGTGAAATGAACAAGGGTTTGCCCTTATGAAACATAAAGTCAATGAGGGACAGAAAAACAGGTAAACAAACCAATTAGTATATAGCTATTAAAACAAAATGTGACTTGTGCTGCAGGGGAATGAGCTGTGTGCTGTGAGAGGAGATGATAGGGAGGAACTGCACAGATGAGGTCATCAGAGACGTGCAAACCCACGAGTGCAACTGAGAAGATCAGGCCCTTGGCTGACTCCTGTTCCCACCCGCACAACACAGGACCATCAGAGACTGTCAAAAACTGTGTTCATTCATCGTGGTACTCTTCAAATTTCCTGACATTTTACAAAGCTAGCCTCACTCTGATGCTTTCCCTAATCTGACCAAAAACTGGTGATTGTACAACACACACCCAACCTTCAGATCGGTAAATTAAAAAGAAAAACTCTTAAATAAAATGTTAGCAAACGTAATCCAGCAGCATTTAGAAAGAATAATTCACCACAACCAACTGGATTTATTCCCAGAATATACAGGTACATTGATATAAATTAATCTGCTAATATAATTTATCCTATCAGTCCCTCAAAGAAGTAAAACTGTATCCTCATCTCCTACAGATGGAAAAATTCTTTCATTGTATTCAACATTCAGAATAAAGTTTTTCCTTACTACTCATTGCTGTGGTTATTTTACCTGAAGTTCTAAGGCTTTTGATTACCAAGCATGATGACTAACGTAAGCAAACATCAAGGTTAGAACAAAAATATTGTGTGTATCTGTGTGTGTGTGTGTGGAGTAGGGGTAAACTGGCCATTTCTACCAGGTTCGTTTAGATTATATCAATATCCATAAGACTTCAAAACCAATATAAGCACCATTTCAGCACAGTTCATGACTTGTACTTAGCCTAGGAACTGAAACAGAAGTAACAGGAAAAAATCCCCAAAGGCTATGGCCACTCAAAAGTGGGATGGTTTATGCTAAGGTATAACTGACTGACAGCCTCTGCTTCTGAAATTAATTACGTTTCTTCTGGAGTTAAATTTGCTGATGATGCTTCTCACAAAAATATGAGATCTTTACATAGCAAATGCTCTAATTAAATAAGAATAAAGGCAGAAAACTTCAAGACCTAAATGAGATACATTTATTCCGTGCATGTGGTTGAATCTTTAATAATTTGAAATGTAACAGCCTCTTCCCTCCTGGGATAGCGATGATATCTTGCTCTTTCCTGAATTTGCATCTATCTCCCGTCTGATGTTTATTTATGACTGTGGTAAAGAGGAGAGATGCATTCACTTTGTTCTTTCCCTGCCACCCCCTGCCCAAGCTCTCAATCTGCCGTGCTGTGTACGGAATGGTGTCTTCCCCAAATTCATATGTTGAAGCCCTAACCCCCAATATGACTGTATTTGGAGATAGGGCTCTTAGGAAATAATTAAGGTTAAATATGGTCATAAGGGCATAGGATCCTATCAGATCCTAATCTGATAGGATTGGTGGCCTTATAAAATCTCTCTCTCTTTCTTTTCTCTGCACCTACAACAGAAAGGCTCCATGTGAGCACACAGCAAGAAGGTGGCCACTTGCAAGCTGGGAAAAGAGCCCTCACTAGAACCTGACCACACTGGCTCCCTGATCATGAACTTCCAACCTCCAGAACTGTGAGAAAATCAATTTCTGTTCTTTATGCCACCCAGTATATGTTATTTTGTTATGACAGCCCAAACAGATTGTGATACCCAGAGGGGAGAAAAAGGAATAGCTATGAGTATAGGGAAAACAAAGAGATCCAGCTTTTTCTTCATTCTTCTGTTTAAACATTCTTTCCTGCTTTCAACACTTGGCCCACTCAGGGAAAAATGCTGGGTTACTTGTGCCTTTGAACTAGTTTCCAAGAGACTAAGAATTGGTATACACTTCCCTGCCGAGGGACTACAGACATCATTGTTGTCTCAGAATCAACCTCTCTTTTCAGCATCCCTCCTCCACTGTAGGTCAGAACACAGTAAAGATGTATGGCAGGGGCAGTGGCACCACTATGTGCCAGATGCTGGGCTGGGCACTGCAGCCAGAGACCAGTCATTTTAATCCTCATATGGGCTGCATCAGAAATACAACAAAGGAGCCTCAGGCTATAAGTCATAGAACTTAGGCATATCTGGCTTTGAGACTAGTCCTCTTGGCACAGTTCTCTGCTCAGATCATGATGCTTCCAAGAGCTAATTATCCCAGGAGCCACAGCTGGCCAAGAACATGTGTAATGCAGACATCAGGTGGATTTCCAAACTAGTGAGTATTCTCAAAAGGATGCTCAACTTCTACTCTCCCACTTCTCCCCCATTCCCCTTCACCCTAGAATTGGATCCATTAGGCAAAGAAGATAGACAAGTCCCAGGTGCTCCATGCCCTCAAAGTTCCCAAAGGTTGCTCTTTTAAGTATTTGGGGGGAGGAGAAAGGAGCAAAAGAAAGAGAATATGTTAAATGAGAATCTTTCAGTGGCAAGCTAGCTTGGGTAGGGATGAGGAGAGATTTAATGAATGACAAGGGGCAGTTCACAGAACCCAAGAGCAGAAAAGTGCTGGGCCCTAGGAAGAGTTACTAGAGTTAGGAACTGGAAACTGGACAGGATGCCCTGCAACTCTTGTTCTCTGTCCATCCTGCTTAACTGGTTTATCCTCCTCTCTGTTCATGTAACAACAGCTTATTATTATTATTATTATACTTTAAGTTTGGGTACATGTAAAGAATGTGCAGGTTTGTTACATAGGTATACATGTGCCATGGTGGTTTGCTGCATCCATCAACTTACATCATCTACATTAGGTATTTCTCCTAATGCTATCCCTCCCCTAGCCCCCCATCTCCCAACAGGCTCTGGTGTGTGATGTTTCCCTCCCCATGTGCATGTGTTCTCATTGTTAAATTCCCACTTATGAGTGAGAACATGTGGTGTTTGGTTTTCAGTTTCTGTGTTAGTATGCTGAGAATGATAGTTTCCAGCTTCATCTATGTCTCTGCAAAGGACATGAACTCATCCTTTTTTATGGCTACATAGTATTCCATGGTGTATATGAGCCACATTTTCTTTATCCAGTCTATCATTGATGGGCATTTGGGTTGGTTCCAAGTCTTTGCTATTGTGAATAGTGCCACAATAAACATATGTGTGCCTGTGTGTTTATAGTAGAATGATTTATAATCCTTTGGGTATATACCCAATAATGGGATTGCTGGTCAAATGGCATTTCTAGTTCTAGTTCCTTGAGGAATCACCACACTGTCTTCCACGATGATTGAACTAATTTACACTCCCACCAACATTGTAAAAGTGTTCCTATTTTTCCACATCCTCTACAGCATCTGCTGTTTCCTGACTTTTTAATGATCGCTATTCTAACTGGCATGAGATGGTATCTCATTGTGGTTTGGATTTGCATTTTTCTAATGACCAGTGATTATGGGCTTTTTTTCATATGTTCATTGGCTGCATAAATGTCTTCTTTTGAGAAGTGTCTGTTCATATCCTTCACCCACTCTTTGATGGGGTTTTTTCTTGTAAATTTGTTTATTTGTAGATTCTCAATATTAGCCCTTTGTCAGATGAATAGATTGCAAAAATTTTCTCCCATTCTGTAGGTTGCCTCTTCACACTGATGATAGTTTCTTTTTCTGTGCAGAAGCTCTTTAGTTTAGTTAGATCCCATTTGTCAATATTGGCTTTTGTTGCCATTGTTTTTGGTGTTTTAGTCATGAAGTCTTTGCCTATACCTATGTCCTGAATGGTATTGCCTAAGTTTTCTTCTAGGATTTGTATGGTTTTAGGTGTTACATTTAAATCTTTAATCCATCTTGAGTTAATTTTTGTATAACTTTTTTTGTATAATTTTTTGTAAATTTTTGTATAATTTTTTGTAAGGAAGGGGTCCAGTTTCAGTGTTCCACATATGGCTAGCCAGTTTTCCCAGCACCATTTATTAAATAGGGAATCATTTCCCCATTGCTTGTTTTTGTCAGGTTTGTCAAAGACCAGTTGGTTGTAGATGTGTAGTGTTATTTCTGAGGCCTCTGTTCTGTTCCATTGGTCTCTAAATCTGTTTTGGTACCAGTACCATGCTGTTTCGGTTACTGTTGCCTTGTAGTGTAGTTTGAAGTCAGGTAGCATGATGCCTCCAGCTTTGTTCTTTTTGCTAAGAATTGTCTTGACTATGTGGGCTCTTTTTTGGTTCCATATGCAATTTAAAGTAGTTTTTTCCAATTCTGTGAGGAAAGTCAATGGTAGCTTGATGAGAATAGCATTGAAACTATAAATTACTTTGGGCAGTATGGCTATTTTCACTATATTGATTCTTTCTATCAATGAGCATGGAATGTTTTTCCATTTGTTTATATCCTCTCTTATTTTCTTGAGCAGTGGTTTGTAGTTCTCCTTGAAGAGGCCCTTCATATCCCTTGTAAGTTGTATTCCAAGGTATTTTATTCTCTTTTTAGCAACTGGGAATGGGAGTTCACTCATGATTCAGCTCTCTGTTTGTTTGATATTGGTGTATAGAAATGCCTGTGATTTTTGCACGTTGATTTTCTATCCTCAGACTTTGCTGAAGTTGCTTATCAGCTTAAGGAGATTTTGGGCTGAGATGATGGGGTTTTTTAATATACAATCTTGTCATCTGCAAACAGAGACAGTTTGACTTCTTCTTTTCCTAGCTGAATACACTTTATTTCTTTCTCTTGCCTGATTGCTCTGACCAGAACTTCCAATACTATGTTGAATAGGAGTGGTGAGAAAGGGCATCCTTGTCTTGTGCTGGTTTTCAAAGGGAATGCTTCCTGTTTTTGCCCATTCAGTATGATATTGGCTGTGGGTTTGTCATAAATAGCTTTTATTATTTTGAGGTACATTCCATCAATACCTAGTTTATTGAGAGTTTTTAGCATGAAGCGCGTTGAATTTTGTCAAGGGCCTTTTCGGCATCTATTGAGATAATCATGTGGTTTTTGTCATTGCTCCTGTTTATGTGATGGATTATGTTTATTGATTTGTGTATGTTGAACCAGCCTTGCATCCCAGGGATGAAGCCAACTTGATCGTCGTGGATAAGCTTTTTGATGTGCTGCTGGATTCGGTTTGCCAGTATTTTCTTGAGGATTTTCACATGGAGGTTCATCAGGGATATTGGTCTGAAATTTTCTTTCTTTGTTGTTGTTGTTGTTGTTGTTGTTGTTGTTGTTGTGTCTCTGCCAGGTTTTGGTATCAGAATTATGCTGGCCTCATAAAATGGGTTAGGGAGGGTTCCCTCTTTTTCTATTGTTTGGAATAGTTTCAAAAGGAATGATACCAGCTCCCCTTCGTACCTCTGGTAGAATTAGGCCATGAATTGTCTGGTCCTGGACTTTTTTTAGTTGGTAGGCTATTAATTATTGCCTCAGTTTCAGAACTCGTTATTGGTCTATTCAGGCATTTGACTTCTTCCTGGTTTAGTCTTGGGAGGGTTTATGTGTCTAGGAATTTATTTCTTCCATATTTTCCAGTTTATTTGCATAGAGGTACTTATAGAATTCTCTGATAGTAGTTTGTGTTTCTGTGGGATCAGCGGTGATATCCCCTTTATCATTTTTTATTGTATCTATTCGATTCTTCTCTCTTTTCTTCTTTATTAGTCTGGCTAGTGGTCTATCTATTTTGTTGATCTTTTAAAAAAACCAGCTCCTGGATTCATTGATTTTTTTGAAGGGTTTTTCATGTCTCTAACTCTTTCGGTTCCGCTCTGATCTTAGTTATTTCTTGTCTTCTGCTAGCTTTTGAATTTGTTTGCTCTTGCTTCTCTAGCTCTTTTAATTGTGATGTTAGGGTGTCGATTTTAGATCTTTTCTGCTTTCTTTTGTGGGAATTTAGTGCTACCAATTGCCCTCTAAACACTGCTTTAGCTGTTTCCCAGATATTCTGGTACATTGTGTCTTTGTTCTCATTGGTTTCAAAGAACATCTTTATTTCTACCTAATTACGTTATTTACCCAGTAGTCATTCAGGAGCAGGTTGTTCAGTCTCCAAGTAGTTCTGCAGTTTTGAGTGACTTTCTTAATCCTGAGTTCTAATTTGATTGCACTGTGGTCTGAGAGACTGTTATGATTTCCATTCTTTTGCATTTGCTGAGGAGTGTTTTGACTTCCAATTATGTGGTCAATTTTAGAATAAGTGTGACATGGTGCTGAGAAGAATGTATATTCTGTTGATTTGAGATGGAGAGTTCTGTAGATGTCTATTAGGTCTGCTTGTTCCAGAGCTGAGTTCAAGTCCTAGATATGCTTGTTAATTTTCTGTCTCATTGATCTGTCTAATATTGACAGTGGGGTGTTAAAGTCTCCCACTATTATTGTGTGGGAGTCTAAGTCTCTTTCTAGGTCTCTAAAGACTTGCTTTATGAATCTGGGTGCTCCTTTATTGGGTGCATATATATTTAGGATAGTTAGTTCTTCTTGTTGCATTGATCCCTTTACCATTATGTAATGCCCTTCTTTGTCTCTTTTGATCCTTGTTGATTTAATGTCTGTTTTATCAGGGACTAGGATTGCAACCACTTCTTTTTTTTTTTTTTTTTTTTTTTTTGGTTTCCATTTTCTTGGTAAATCTTCCTCCATCTCTTTATTTTGAGCCTATGTGTGTCTTTGCAGGTGACATCGGTCTCCTGAATACAGCACACTGATGGGTCTTGACATCCACTCAGAGACCCCATCAGAAGGTCACCAACATCAAAGACCAAAAGTAGATAAATTCACAAAGATGGGGAGAAACCAGTGCACAAAAGCTGAAAATTTCAAAAACGAGAATGCCTCTTCTCCTCCAAAGGATTACAACTCCTCCCCAGCAAGAAAATAAAACTGGATGGAGAACGAGTTTGACGAATTGACAGAAGTAGGCTTCAGAACATGAGTAATAACAACCTCTTTCAAGCTAACAGAACTTTTTCTAACCCAATGCAAGGAAGCTAAGAACTTTGAAAAAAGGTTAGAGGAATTGCTAACTAGAATAACCAGTTTAGAGAAGAACATAAATGACCTGACGGAGCTGAAAAACACAGCATGAGAACTTCATGAAGCATACACAAGTATCAATAGCTGAATCTATCAAGTGGAAGAAAGGATATCAGAGATTGCAGATCAACTTAATGAAATAAAGCAAGAAGACAAGGTTAGGGAAAAATAGTGAAAAGAAATGAACAAAGCCTCCAAGAAATATGGGACTATGTGAAAAGACCAAAACATTTGATTGGTTTACCTGAAAGTGATGGAGAAAATGGAACCAAGTTGGAAAACACACTTCAGGATATTATCCAGGAAAACTTCCCCAATCTATCAAGGCAGGCCAACATTCAAATTCAGGAAATACAGACAACACCACAAAGATACTTCTCGAGAAGAGCAACCCCAAGACATAATCGTCAGATTCACCAAGGTTGAAATGAAGGAAAAAATGTTAAGGGCAGCCAGAGAGAAAGGTCGGGTTACCCACAAAGGGAAGTGCATCAGACTAACAGCAGATCTCTTGGCAGAAACCCTACATGACAGAAGAGAGTGGGGGCCAATCTTCAACATTCTTAAAGAAAAAAAATTTTCAACGCAGAATTTCATATCCAGCCAAGCTAAGCTTCATAAGTGAAGGAGAAATAAAATCCTTTACAGACAAGCAAATGCTGAGAGATTTTGTCACCAGCAGGCCTGCCTTACAAGAGCTCCTGAAGGAAGCACTAAACATAGAGAGGAACAACTGGTACCAGGCACTGCAAAAACATACCAAATTGTAAAGACCATTGACACTATGAAGAAACTGCTCAACTAACAGGCAAAATAATCAGCTAGCATCATAATGAGAGGATCAAATCACACATAACAATATTAACCTTAAATGTAAATGGGCTAAATACCCCAATTAAAAGACACAGACTGGCAAATTGGGTAACAGCAGCTTTGACTCTCCAGTCTGCAGGGTGAAATGTGGGTGCCCCACTTGGGCAAGCTTCCATGTTTTTGCATCAGCTATCTAGAGACTTCTGGGTTATCTCTTATTTATACATCCCTAGGAGACGTATAATGAACATGGGTGAATGTTCTACCCTTGGTCCAGTTTGCTGTGGCCAAGACAGACAGAGTCATGAAGTAAGAAAGGCAATGAGGTGAGAACAAAAATACATCCCTCACAAAAGCAATGCACCACAAAAAAAAAAAAAAGGAGAGAAGAAAGCCCAAAGGAGGAGAAAGCTGGCTGGATAACTTTTATTGACTATCTCCCAGGTGTCTTACTATGTTCTAGATGTTAGAATGAACGCAAGGTGTGATGCTTAGTATTAGGTGTCAACTTGACTGAACTGAGAAATGGCCAGATGGCTAGTAAAGTATTGTTTCTGGATGTGTCTGGGTATATACCCAGAAAAGTTGTTGCTAGAGGAGATTGACGTTTGAGTCAGTGGACTGGGAGAGGAAGACTCACACTCATTGTTAGTGGGCACCATCCAATCACCTGCCAGTACAAGAACAAAGCAGACAGAAAAAGGGCGATAGGGTTGCTTTTAGAGTCTCCGGGCTTTCTCTCCTCCTGCCCTTGGACATCAGATTCAAGGTTAGTTGGCCTTTCAACTCTGGGTCTTACACCAGCAGCCTCCTGGGGGTTCTTGTGCTTTAGGCCTCAGACTGATGGCTGCACTGTCAGCTTCCATGGTTTTGAGGCTTTTGGACTTTGAGCCATGCTACTGGCTTCTTGCTTTTCCCAGCTTGCAGATGGCCTATCCTGGGGCTTCATCTTGTAATCATGTCAACCAATTCTCCCGATAAACTCCCTTTTATATGTACATATATCTTATTAGCTCTGTCCCTCTGGAGAATGCTGGCTAATGCATAAGGGACAAATAAAGCATGACCTTCTAAGGACCTAGTTGGGGAGACCAGAGAGACATGGAAGAGACAATTCCTGGTCAATATGCAGCAGCATTTACCCATGAGCTGAACTGTGAGGCCAAGATGCTGTGCCTCAGGTTGCAGAAGGAGTAGGGTCTGTGGCAGTGAGAAGGAAATTCGAGTTTACTGTGCCAAGCATCTGCTAGCATGTTCTTATCTGACTCCAGCCTCTCAACAATTTATCTATAAGATAAATGCTACCTGAGAAAACTTCCTGGAAGATAGAGGGAAAGGGCATGTTAGTGGAGATAATAGCATGGTCAAAGTCTTGGTGGTCAAGAAGACCATGGTTTGTGCAGGGGAGATTCAGGTAACCAGTCTAAATGCTTTAAACTCTCCAGTCTGCAGGGTGAAATGTGGATGCCCCTCCTGGGCAAGCTTCCATGTTTTTGCCTCACCTATCCAGAGACTCTGGTGTAAGACCCAGAGTTCAAATCCTTTGAAGTAGGAAATGCTTTGAAAGGGTGGAATTTGTAGGAAGGAAGTTTAATAAGAGCTCAAATGAATGAAACCAATATTCGTTTATTCAACTTACTTCTTGATCCCTACTATGTTGTATGCCAGGCTCTGGGTGTGTCCCTGCTATGGTGCGCCAGTCAGGTATTAGGGACAAAGAGATAAATAAGATACAGCACAAACTTTGAGAAGTCCACACTCTAGTGGGCAGAAGAATACATGTTGGAAACAACAGGCACATGCTTCACACATTTCAGAGACTGAAATGTCACCCATAGATTCTGGTTTCTCGGTATATCAGCCATGTTTTTCCATGGCAAATAAGTAAGGCAGAGTATTAAACCCAGAACATCAGTAGTGCAGGCTTTATGTGTCTCTACCATTTAAAAAAGCATCTAAGGAGATTTTTAAAAGAGATTTAACAATCTAATAGTCAAGTCTTTGGGGATTTTAGGGTGACCTGGTACCCAAAGCAACAGCATGCTGAAGACACTAATCTACAGTACCAACTCTGAATAATACTCTAAAAAAGTTGATGCCATACCATTGGGCAGTCACTTTGTAATGCTGTTCATATAGAATAAATCTCATTTTTAACAAAAATGTATCTTTAAGATATATACAACGATTACCCTAGAAATAGATTGGGCTGTCTATTATATTGATAAATACGCAATCTTGGAAATTTGTCTCTAGTGCCTGGTTTACTATACACCAACAGAATTTAGAGCTGCATTAAAATACTTTATAGCATTCAGGCAGCCATGTTCCTATTTCTTATGCGGATACATTGGAAACATGGTTGGGGCTGTCATTCATCCCTGGCACCTAAATGTTTTTCACAAATAGTTGTTGCCTTAAGAAAGTATCACCAAATAAAATGTTTTTATTTGGTTCTTTGGTGATATGTCAATAGACATTAAAATAAAAACTTCCTGTACTTAGGTGCAATAGTCCCCTTCAAAGTGTTTTCAAGAGGAGCTGGAGGGTCTCTAAGGACCCATCAGTGGGAATGAGGAGGCAGAGCTGAGGGATTATTACCTCTTAAAAGGATAGATCTTTCTATTGGCCACTTCACCTTTATTGGGAAGGAGGGAGCATAATAGAATTTTATATGTACTATCACACATCCAGAGGAGGATCATTGATATACTGTGTGCCTCGTGCATCTGCCAGCATGGGAGCAGGGCACACATGGGCCTTGTCTCTAGACACCAACAAAATGCAGTTGTCCATTTCTTCAATGAACTCAGTTCGTGGTAATATCTTTGGATATTAATAATAATGTCTTTGGATATTACCATGAACTGAGTTCATTGGAGAAACGAGATATTACCATGAACCGAGTTCATTGAAGAAATGGACACCTGGATGTGGTTCAGGAGGAGGATAATATGCAGGCCTTACACAATGATTTATTTATAATCTATTTAAATAAGGAGGCCTCATAAAACAATGAAAATAGATTTTTTTTCTTCCATAAATTAGACTTACCTTCCCAACTGTATTGCCTGGGGTTTTATATATATATGTATATATGTGTATATATACACATATATACATATATAAATATATATGTATATATGTGTATATATACACATATATATAAAATATATATGTATATCATATATATGGAAATTTGATTCATTCCAGTCATATAAAAATAGTATTACTAAAAATAGCAACAGCACTCCCTTAGCCCCTTCATTGCTTTAGTTTTCTCCATAGCACATATTGCCTGATATACTATTTATTTTATTATTTCTGTATGATTTTCCTCCCTCCACTAGAATGTAAATGCCATATGGGCAAAGATTTTGACTTCTTTCTCCTCCCCCACCCTCTGCATCTATCCCCAGAGCCTAGAACATGTCTAGCTCAAAGCATGTGCTCAAAAAATATTTTGTAAACAAATGAAAAAGCTATCCCTTAGTAAGTCTTGATTGCATACTTTACCTCATTTAATTAATACAATACTATGAGTAATATTATTTCCATATTTTTAAGAAAATACATGAATTATTTTTCATATAAAGAGCTAAAATGTGGCCGGCATGGTGGCTCATACCTGTAATCCCAGCATTTTGGGAGGCCGAGGCAAGTGGAGCACTTGAGGTCAGGAGTTCGAGACCAGCCTGACCAACATGGTGAAACCCCATCTCTACTAACAATACAAAAATTTGCTGGCCATCATGGCTGTAATCCCAGTTACTTGGGAGGCTGAGGCAGGAGAATCGCTTGAACCTGGGAGGCAGAGGTTGTAGTGAGCTGAGATTGCGCCACTACACTCCAGCCTTGGTGACAGAGCTAGACTCTATCTCAAACAAACAAAAAGTTAAAATACTACTAGAGGCAGATTATAGTCTTTAAATACCATTTTCTAGTAAAATGAACAAAGGCTTCCTAGAGAAATGACTGATTCTAGATCTAGTGTGGGAAATACATAGAATGAGACTAGAACATCCTGTTATGCAGAAAGCAAAGAAGCTATCAAAGACTACTTGAGTTGTGGCAAAGATTTAAAAGACCAGTTTAAAGGGACTCCCACTGTCCAAAGCTGGGGCAATAATGATTTTAAAAAGAATAACTGCAACAGATTGAAAACCTTAAAATGTTAAAATCCATTAGTTCATAATAGTACTGCCAAAAAAACAAACAAAAAAAACCACCTGATTGGTCACCTTTGCAAGATACTAGGGAACACCCTCTTCATTCTGGAAGTGGTAAATAAGAGAATCAAGACTCAGTTTCATCTCAGAGATACAAAGAGTAGAAAGCAGTATTGTTCCCACACTTACAGCATGAAAAAAGCTTAAAAAATGCAAATAAGCAACTTTTCTTGAACTTTCAGAGAACTGAGGTCACAGGGCAAATAACTAACCTGAAATCTAGTGTTGAAGACAGAATGCACAAGACAATTAAGGAGATGATTATATTTAGACTATTGTAATAGAAGAACACCTTGGATTCAAAGATCAGAGTATCTCAGCAATGTGGTTTCATCCCGGACTTTTTAAGGAGAAGTAGATAAGTTACAGCTGGGGTGATTTACAGATGGTATCATTTTGCAATTAGGGGAAGTCTCAGTCATGTTGCTGAACTAGAGATGTTTATTTCTACCTCTGCCTGGTTTCGGGGAAACAAACAGTTCTAGCTTTAGCTACTCATTCCTAATGCTAGGGGTGAAAGGGAAAGGATCTATATCTGGCTTATCAACAGGTTCAAGCAAAAGGGGAAAAAAAAGATCTGTGTTTGACCTTGTCTCAGGTAAACACAAAAGTCTTATGCCAGTCATGACAAAGAGTGGACAGCAAGTTTTAGCTGAGTCATATTGGGAAGGGTGGTTCTTTGTGATGTCCTTTCCTGAAACACCAAATAATCGGAGAACTTCTTAACTATTGCTGTCTGCTGGGAGCACAAGACTCAGTAAATTTCAGCATTGTTCCTGGAGAGAGACAGGTGCCTACAGAGAGAAACAGGACCAGGACAGCTGCCTATCTGATGCAGAATACCAAACACCATGTAAGTGCATAAGAAGGTTCATATATAAACTTTTAAGGAATTCCTAAAGTCTGGATATGGGCTATAAGAGTGTTAATTTCTTGGGAGCCACAGAAACAGAGGTTTGCAAACTCTTACAGGTGTAATGTCTCTCAGGTGTTCAGCTTACTTTAGCTTTAGCCCCTGCTGAAACTTCAAGGAGACCCATCACCCCTTTCAAATAAAAGCGTTCATCTTCAGAAGGAAGCACAATAAAAACTGTAGCCTTAAGAAGCTGGAAGCAATTCATTGCAGCTGGGCCCGGAGAAAAGGAAAACATTTTCTATCCCTGAGAGAAAGGCAGGAACAGTACCAAGCCCAGCACGAGTCTGCAGGAGGGTAAGACCACACCCCCTTGAGACAGGTGCTCAGGGATTGTCCACGACTGAGGCTCAACCAGAAGATCAGAGAACATCGCCCTGCTTTGCACCAAGTGTTAAGAAAAAATAACAGTGGAATAAGATACGAGAAGCACAGGAAGTGGATTTTCTTTGGGGAGCAGGGCAAAGGGAAGACCCAGTGCCAAGCCAATATATCCAAAGCCAACGGGGGAGCAGACATTGAGAAAAACACTACAGCAGATTATCCTACATCCTGAAACAAGGTAGGCCTCTCCATGAGTAAAGTCATTTTTTCTTTAATCCTTATAAAATCTATTTTATTTATTTTTTGCCTTCTATTCTGCTTCATCATATAGCAATTAGCTTTCTTGTTATTACTTGCCTCATGTGTGCATTTCCATCCCTTTACTTCCAACTTTCCTATGTCACTTTATTTCAGATGTGCTTCTTGTAAAAGTACATCACTGTTTTTGATGTTTGTTGTGTTGCAATTTTATAATGGCCATTTTGAATCCCTTGATCAGAAATGTATCCTTGGAAGGTTTAGAGAGGATCATAACCTTGGCTAAAGCCACTTGCCCAGCGGCATGATGACCTGCTGCTACATTGCCTTTAACTTCCATACTGTCTTTTTACCTGGACTTCAATTTGATAAAAGCCACCTCTCTAGGAAGTAGGAATGCAACTAAATGTCTCTTAACTTGCTGTCCACTTTTGATGGAAGTTACAGGGAGGTGAGAGACGCTTTTTCTTTCCAAAGCATCCGAAAGTCACGTACTACTCTAGAGTAACCCTGCTATCTGTATATAAGTCTATTCTCTGGTCTTTGGCTAGTTGAAAAACTCTAGAAGGTGCAATAAATTCTGCCACCTGGGATGCCTTTTCCTCAGACAGAGGACTGTATTCTAAAGGAGAGCTGGGATTAGTGATGGAATATCTTGCTCGATAACCTCCAGATTCAGTTTTTGTTACAGTAAGTAGCTAGTCAGGTATAAGCAGGGCATAAAAGAGCTCCCCACCACCCAACACATACTCCAGTAGTGTCAGGTGACCATCCAGTGATGGTCAGGCAGTGTTAACTGTCTCTCTAAGGAAATAATTGATCCCAGCTGGCACTAGGGAAAGACAGTCTCATATTAGATAGAAAATACCTGAAACTGGTGATTTGCAGCTTCCCAATAAGATCTGAGGAGTTGAGAGAAGTGACACAAGACCCGGAAGTATGCCAACATATGAAACCCCAAGTCAAAAAGGTCAAACTGTGCACTTGTCTTTCAAGTTGGCCACTTGGCTCTCTTCCAAGTGTACTTTCCTTCCTTTCATTCCTGTTCTAAGGTTTTTAAATAAATGTTCTCTCCTGCTCTAAAACTTTCCCCAGTCTCTCCTTCTGCCTTAAGCCCCGAAGTCAAATACTTTCTTCTGAGGAGGCAAGAACTGAGGTTGCTGCAGACCAGTACCTATTTGCCACTATTAACATATTTTGGTGCCTTGTGACTCGGATACCTTCCACTACTAACATTTTGAGGTATGATCCATAACAAAGATTATGAGGTCGTGGTTCTCAATATGAGTCTCAGATAAATCTGATTGTGGTACCGAGGGTTCCCTAATTAAGAAAAGATAATTCTGAGGTTCAGCTCCCCATCTTCTTGCAGGGCAGGAGAGTGACAGTGTTTAGGTTTTGTTGTGGTGAATAACCCATGTGAGAGGCAGGGAGTAATAGCATCTCATAGGAGGTTAATCAGATGGCTGAGAAGTGCTGTGTGTCCTCAGTAATGTCTGCACTGTGTGAGGAACCTGAGGTCAAGTAGGGAGCCAAAACCAGTTCAGCAGAAACATCACCAAGTTTGCAGTAGCGGCTGTGGTTCTCAGACAAGGAGATGAACCTTTGCCCCTGGGTCTGCTGATGATGCACTTAAAACCCAAAGGGCTTGTCCCAATCACTCATATGCAAACAGATGAAATGTTTTTTGGTTTTTGTTGTTGGTGGTGGTGGTGTTTTAGTTAGAGATACCTAGATAAGGAGGCAATTGAAAAACCTTCAGGTTCCAGAAGTCCTGCTCCCATTTGGACTTTCAGAGCAGAAGTCTGTTCCTGAGGATTTATTCGTAAAAAGGTTTTGCAATCTCAGAAAAACTTAGAACCCATTGTCTGCAATATCCTCTTAAACCTACAGATCCTTTCTATTGTAGTTTGTAAGAGTTCTAGGGCATGTTTGAATAGCCTTCAGTCTAACAGTTTTTTCCCTCTTGTGCCCTATTCGATAAACTATTCAGGAAAAATTGTAATTTGTCTTTGGAACTTTAAGTCCATTTTCTAAGACTGAGAGCAAGTAAATGGAATCTTTTTAATAGTCTTGTTCTCAAAAAAGAGTAGGAGATCAACTACATAGCATATTAGAACTGAATCACAAGATAAATTTAGATCTTTTTTATTTTTTAATTTTTAAAATTATACTTGAAATTCTGGGATATATGTTTCAGAATGTACAGGTTTGTTACATAGATATACACGTGCCATGGTGCTTTGCGGCACCCATCAACCCATCATCTACATTAGGTATCTCTCCTAATGCTGTACCTCCCCCACCCCATGACAGGCCCTGGTGTGTGATGTTCTCCTCCGTGGATCCGTGTGTTCTCATTGTTTAACTCCCACTTATGAGTGAGAACATGTGGTGTTTGATTTTCTGTTCCTGTGTCAGTTTGCTGAGACTGATGATTTCCAGCTATATCCATGTCCCCGCAAAGGACATAAACTTGTCCTTTTTTATGGCTGCATAGTATTCCATTGTGTATATGTGCCACATTTTTCTTTTTTTTTAAATTACACTTTAAGTTTTAGCGTACAGGTGCACAACGTGCAGGTTTGTTACATATGTATACATGTGCCATGTTGGTGTGCTGCATCCATTAACTCATCATTTAGCATTAGGTATATCTCCTAATGCTATCCCTCCCCTCTCCCCCTACCCCACAACAGGCCCCGGTGTGTGATGTTCCCCTTCCTGTGTCCATGTGTTCCCATTGTTCAATTCCCACCTGTGAGTGAGAACATGTGGTGTTTGGTTTTTTGTCCTTGCGATAGTTTGCTGAGAATGATGGTTTCCAGCTTCATCCATGTCCCTACAGAGGACATGAACTCATCATTTTTTATGGCTGCATAGTATTCCATGGTGTATATGTGCCACATTTTCTTAATCCAGTCTATCATTGTTGGACATTTGGGTTGGTTCCAAGTCTTTGCTATTGTGAATAGTGCCGCAATAAACATATGTGTGCATGTGTCTTTATAGCAGCATGATTTATAATCCTTTGGGTATATACCCAGTAAAGGGATGGCTGGGTCAAATGGTATTACTAGTTCTAGATCCCTGAGGAATCGCCACACTGACTTCCACAATGGTCGAACTAGTTTACAGTCCCACCAACAGTGTAAAAGTGTTCCTATTTCTCCACATCCTCTCCAGCACCTGTTGTTTCCTGACTTTTTAATGATTGCCATTCTAACTGGTGTGAGATGGTATCTCATTGTGGTTTTGATTTGCATTTCTCTGATGGCCAGTGATGAGGAGCATTTTTTCATGTGTCTGTTGGCTGCATAAATGTATTCTTTTGAGAAGTGTCTGTTCATATCTTTCACGTTTTAGACATGAAGTCCTTGCCCATGCCTATGTCCTGAATGGTATTGCCTAGGTTTTCTTCTAGGGTTTTTATGGTTTTAGGTCTAACATTTAAGTCTTTAATCCATCTTGAATTAATTTTTGTATAAAGTGTAAGGAAGGGATCCAGTTTCAGCTTTCTACATATGGCTAGCCAGTTCTCCCAGCACCATTTATTAAATAGGGAATCCTTTCCCCATTGCTTGTTTTTGTCAAGTTTGTCAAAGATCAGATGGTTGTAGATGTGTGGTATTATTTCTGAGGGCTCTGTTCTGTTCCATTGATCTATATCTCTGTTTAGGTACCAGTACCATTCTGTTTTGGTTACTGTAGCCTTGTAGTATAGTTTGAAGTCAGGTAGCATGATGCCTCCAGCTTTGTTCTTTTGAGTTAGGATTGACTTGGCAATGCAGGCTCTTTTTTGGTTCCATATGAATTTTAAAGTAGTTTTTTCCAATTCTGTGAAGAAAGTCATTGGTAACTTGATGGGGATGGCATTGAATCTATAAATTACCTTGGGCAATATGGCCATTTTCATGATATTGATTCTTCCTACCTATGAGCATGGAATGCTCTTCCATTTGTTTGAATCCTCTTTTATTTCAATGAGAAGTGGTATGTAGTTCTCCTTGAAGAGGTCCTTCACGTCCCTTGTAAGTTGGATTCCTAGGTATTTTATTCTCTTTGAAGCAATTGTGAATGGGAGTTCACTCATGATTTGGCTCTCTGTTTGTCTATTATTGGTGTATAAGAATGCTTGTGATTTTTGTACGTTGATTTTGTATCCTGAGACTGCTGAAGTTGACTAGCAGCTTAAGGAGATTTTGGGCTGAGACAATGGGGTTTTCTAGATAGACAATCATGTCATCTGCAAACAGGGACAATTTGACTTCCTCTTTTCCTAATCGAATGCCCTTTATTTCCTTCTCCTGCCTGATTGCCCTGGCCAGAACTTCCAACACTATGTTGAATAGGAGTGGTGAGAGAGGGCATCCCTGTCTTGTGCCAGTTTTCAAAGGGAATGCTTCCAGTTTTTGCCCATTCAGTATGATATTGGCTGTGGGTTTGTCATAGATAGCTCTTATTATTTTGAGATACGTCCCATCAATACCTAATTTATTGAGAGTTTTTAGCATGAAGGGTTGTTGAATTTTGTCAAAGGCCTTTTCTGCATTATTGAGATAATCATGTGGTTTTTGTCGTTGGTTCTGTTTATATGCTGGATTATGTGTATTGATTTGTGTATATTGAACCAGCCTTGCATCCCAGGGATGAAGCCCACTTGATCATCGTGGATAAGCTTTTTGATGTGCTGCTGGATTCAGTGTGCCAGTATTCTATTGAGGATTTTTGCATTGATGTTCATCAGGGATATTGGTCTAAAATTCTCTTTTTTTGTTGTGTCTCTGCCAGGCTTTGGTATCAGGATGATGCTGGCTTCATCAAATGAGTTAGGAAGGATTCCCTCTTTTTCTATTGATTGGAATAGTTTCAGAAGGAATGGTACCAGCTCCTCCTTGTACCTCTGGTAGAATTTGGCTGTAAATCCATCTGGTCCTGGACTTTTTTTGGTTGGTAAGCTATTAATTATTGCCTCAATTTCAGATCCTGTTATTGGTCTATTCAGAGATTCAACTTCTTCCTGGTTTAGTCTTGGGAGGAGGGTGTGAGTGTCGAGGAATTTATCCGTTTCTTCTAGATTTTCTAGTTTATTTGTGTAGAGGTGTTTATAGTATTTTCTGATGGTAGTTTGTATTTCTGTGGGATCAGTGGTGATATCCTCTTTATCATTTTTTATTGCATCTATTTGATTCTTCTCTCTTTTCATCTCTTTTCTTCTTTATTGGTCTTGCTAGCGGTCTATCGATTTTGTTGATCATTTCAAAAAACCAGCTCCTGGATTCATTGATTTTTTGAAGGTTTTTTGTGTCTCTATCTCTTTCAGTTCTGCTCTGATCTTAGTTATTTCTTGCCTTCTGCTAGCTTTTGAATGTGTTTGCTCTTGCTTCTCTAGTTCTTTTAATTGTGATGTTAGGGTGTCAATTTTAGATCTTTCCTGCTTTCTTTTGTGGGCATTTAGTGCTATAAATTTCCCTCTACACACTGCTTTGAATGCGTCCCAGAGATTCTGGTATGTTGTGTCTTTGTTCTCATTGGTTTCAAAGAACCTCTTTATTTCTGCCTTCATTTTGTTATGTACCCAGTAGGCACTCAGGAGCAGGTTGTTCCTTTTCCACGTAGTTGAGCGGTTTTGAGTGAGTTTCTTAATCCGGAGTTCTAGTTTGATTTCACTGTGGTCTGAGAGACAGGTTGTTATAATTTCTGTTCTTTTACATTTCCTGAGGAGTGCTTTACTTCCAACTATGTGGTCAATTTTGGAATAGGTGTGGTGTGGTGCTGAAAAGAATGTATATTCTGTTGATTTGGGGTGGAGAGTTCTGTAGATGTGTATTAGGTCCTCTTGGTGCAGAGCTGAGTTCAATTCCTGGATATCCTTGTTAACTTTCTGTCTCGTTGATCTGTCTAATGTTGACAGTGGGGTGTTAAAGTCTCCCATTATTATTGTGTAGGAGCCTAAGTCTCTTTGTAAGTCTCTAAGGACTTGCTTTATGAATGTGGCTGCTCCTGTATTGGGTGCATATATATTTAGGATAGTTAGCTCTTCTTGTTGAATTGATCCCTTTACCATTATGTAATGGCCTTCTTTGTCTCTTTTGATCTTTGTTGGTTTAAAGTCTGTTTTATCAGAGACTAGGATTGCAACCTCTGCTTTTTTTTGTTTTCCATTTGTTTGGTAGATCTTCCTCCATCCCTTTATTTTGAGCCTATGTGTGTCTCTGCTCATGAGATGGATTTCCTAAATAGAGCACACTGATGGGTCTTGACTCTTTATCCAATTTGCCAGTCTGTGTCTTTTAATTGGAGCATTTAGCCCATTTACATTTAAGGTTAATATTGTTATGTGTGAATTTGATCCTGTTATTATGATGTTAGCTGGTTATTTTCCTCATTAGTTGATGCAGTTTCTTCCTAGCCTTGATGGTCTTTACAATTTGGCATGTTTTTGCAGTGTCTGGTATGGGTCGTTCCTTTCCATGTTTAGTGCTTCCTTCAGGAGCTCTTTTAGGGCAGGCCTGGTGGTGACAAAATCTCTCAGCATTTGCTTGTCTGTAAAGGATTTTATTTTTCCTTCACTTATGAAGCTTAGTTTGGCTGGATATGAAATTCTGGGTTGAAAATTCTTTTCTTTAAAAATGTTGAATATTGGCCCCCATTCTCTTCTGGCTTGTAGAGTTTCTGCCAAGAGATCCGCTGTTAGTCTGATGGGCTTCCCTTTGTCGGTAACCCGACCTTTCTCTCTGGCTGCCCTTAACATTTTTTCCTTCATTTCAACCTTGGTGAATCTGACAATTGTGTCTTAGAGTTGCTCTTCTCAGGGAGTATTTTTGTGGTGTTCTCTGTATTTCCTGAATTTGAATGTTGGCCTGCCTTGCTAGATTGGGGAAGTTCTCCTGGATAATATCCTGCAGAGTGTTTTCCAACTTGGTTCCATTCTCCATGTCACTTTCAGGTACACCAGTCAGACGTAGATTTGGTCTTTTCACATAGTCCCATATTTCTTGGAGGCTTTGTTCATTACTTTTTATTCTTTTTTCTCTGAACTTCTCTTCTCGCTTCATTTCATTCATTTGATCTTCCATCATTGATACCCTTTCTTCCAGTTGATCGTATCGGTTACTGAGGCTTGTGCATTTGTCACGTAGTTCTCGTGCCATGGTTTTCAGCTCCATCATGTCCTTTAAGGACTTCTCTGCATTGGTTATTCTAGTTAGCCATTCATCTAATTTTTTTTTCAAGGTTTTTAACTTCTTTGCCATGGGTTGGAACTTCCTCCTTTAGCTTGGAGTCATTTGATCGTCTGAAGCCTTCTTCTCTCAACTGGTCAAAGTCATTCTCCATCCAGCTTTGCTCCGTTGCTGGTGAGGAGCTGTGTTCCTTTGGAGGAGGAGAGGTGCTCTGCTTTTTAGAGTTTCCAGTTTTTGTTTTTTCCCCAGCTTTGTGGTTTTATCTACCTTTGGTCTTTGATTATGGTGATGAACAGATGGGTTTTTGGTGTGGATGTCCTTTCTGTTTGTTAGTTTTCCTTCTAACAGTCAGGACCCTCAGCTGCAGGTCTGTTGGAGTTTGCTGGAGGTCCACTCCAGACCCTGTTTGCCTGGGTATCAGTAGAGGAGGCTGCAGAACAGCGGATATTGGTGAACAGCACGTTACTGCCTGATCGTTCCTCTGGAAGTTTTGTCTCAGAGGAGTACATAGCCATGTGAGGTGTCAGTCTGCCCCTACTGGGGGGTGCCTCCCAGTTAGGCTACTTGGGTGTCAGGGACCCACTTGAGGAGGCAGTCTGTCCGTTCTCAGATCTCTCGTTGCATGCTGGGAGAACCACTACTCTCTTCAAAGCTGTCAGACAGGGACAGACAGGGACAGAGGTTTCTGCTGCTTTAGTTTGGCTATGCCCTGCCCCCAGAAGTGGAGTCTACAGGGGCAGGCAGGCCTCCTTGAGCTGCGGTGGGTTCCACCCAGTTCGAGCTTCCCAGCCGCTTTGTTTACCTACTGAAACCTAGGCAATGGCGGGCGCCCCTCCCCCAGCCTCACTGCCGCCTTGCAGTTTGATCTCAGA
Source organism: Homo sapiens (assembly GCF_000001405.40). Lineage (NCBI taxonomy): Eukaryota > Metazoa > Chordata > Mammalia > Primates > Hominidae > Homo > Homo sapiens. The sequence goes on from NC_000005.10 coordinate 136,947,179, forward strand.
CTGCTGTGCTACCAATGAGTGAGGCTCTGTGGGCATAGGACCCTCTGAGCAAGGCACGGGATATAATCTCCTGGTGTGCTGTTTGCTAAGACCGTTGGAAGAGTGCAGTATTAGGGTGGGAGTGACCTGATTTTCCAGGTGCTGTGTGTCACCCCTTTCTTTGACTAGGAAAGGGAATTCCCTGATCCCTTGCACTTCCCAGGTGAGGCGATGCCTCGCCATGCTTCAGCTCACACTGGGTGCACTGCACCCACTCTCCTACACCCACTGTCCCGCACTCCCCTGTGAGATGAACCTGGTACCTCATTTGGAAATGCAGAAATCACCCGTCTTCTGCATTGCTGACACTGGAAGCTGTAGACTGGAGCTGTTCCTATTTGGCCATCTTGGCTCCACCCCCCACATTTTCTTTATCCTATCTATCATTGATTGGCATTTGGATTGGTTCCAAGTCTTTGATATTGTGAATAGTGTGGGAATAAACATACATGTGCATGTATCTTTATAGTAGAATGATTTATAATGCTTTGGGTATATACCCAGTAATGGGATTGCTGGGTCAAATGGCATTTCTGGTTCTGGATCCTTGAGGAATCGCCACACTGTCTTCCACAATGGTTGAACTAATTTACACTCCCACCAATTATGTAAAAGCATTCCTATTACTCCACATCCTCTCCAGCATCTGTTGTTTCCTGACTTTTTAATGTTCACCATTTTAACTGGCATGAGAGGCTATCTCATTATGGTTTTGATTTGCATTTCTCTAGTGACCAGTGATGATGAGCTGTTTTTCATGTTTGTTGTTCACATAAATGTTGTCTTCTGAGAAGTTGTCTCTTCACATCCTTCACACACTTTTTGATGGGGTTGTTTTTTTCTTGTAAATTTGCTTAAGTTTTTTGTAGGTTCTGGATGTTAGCTGTTTGTCAAATGGATAGATTGCAAAAATTTTCTCCCATTCTGTAGGTTGCCTCTTCATGATGATGATAGTTTATTTTGCTGTGCAGAAGCTCTTTAGTTTAATTAGATCCCATTTGTCAATTTTGGCTTTTGTTGCAATTGCTTTTGGTGTTTTAGTCATGAAGTCTTTGCCCATGCCTATGTCTTGAATGGTATTGCCTAGGTTTTCTTCTAGGGTTTTTATGGTTTTAGGTCTTACATTTAAGTCTTTAATCCATCTTGAGTTAATTTTTGTATAAGGTGTAAGGAAGGGGTCCAGTTTTAGTGTTCTGCGTATGGCTAGCCAGTTTTCCCAACACTATTTATTAAATAGGGCATCCTTCCCTAATGTTTGTTTTTATTAGATTTGTCAAAGATCAGATGGTTGTAGATGTGTGGTGTTATCTCTGAGGCCTCTGTTCTGTGGTCTGTATATCTGTTTTGGTACCAGTAACATGCTGTTTTGATTACTGTAGGCTTGTAATATAGTTTGAAGTCAGGTAGCTTGATGCTTCCAGCTTTGTTCTTTTTGCTTAGGATTTTCTTGGCTATGTGGGCTCTTTTTTGGTTCCATGTGAAATTTAAAGTAGTTTTTTCTAATTCTGTGAAGAAAGTCAATGGTAGATGGATGGGAATAGCATTGAATCTATAAATTACTTCGGGCAGTATGGCCATTTTCATGATATTGATTCTTCCCATTCATGAGGATGGAATGTTTTTCCATTTGTTTGTGTCCTCTCTTATTTCGTTGAGCAGTGGTTTGTAGTTCTCCTTGAAGAGGTCCTTCACATCCCTTGTAAGTTGTATTCCTAGGTATTTTATTCTCTTTGTAGCAATTGTGAATGGGAGTTCACTCATGATTCGGCTGTTTGTCTATTACTGGTGTATAGAAATGCTTGTGATTTTTGCACATTGATTTTGTATCCTGAGACTTTGCTGAAGTTGCTTATCACCTTAAGGAGATCTGGGGCTGAGACAATGGGGTTTTCTAAATATACAATCACGTCATCTGCAAACAGACAATTTGACTTCCTCTCTTCCTATCTGAATACATTTTATTTCTTTCTCTTCCCTGATTGCCTGGCCAGAGCTTCCAATACTATATTGAATAGGAGTGGTGAGAGAGGGCATCCCTGTCTTGTGCCAGTGTTCAAAAGGAATGTTTCCAGTTTTTGCCCATTCTGTATGATATTGGCTGTGGGTTTGTCATAAATAGCTCTTATTATTTTGAGATCTGTTCTATCAATACCTAGTTTATTGAGAGGTTTTAGCATGAAGGGTGTTAAATTTTATCAAAGGTCTTTTCTGCATCTATTAAGATAATCATGTGGTTTTTGTCACTGGGTCTGTTTATGTGATGGATTACATTTATTAATTTGCATATGTTGAACCAGCCTTGCATCCCATGGATGAAGCCAACTTGATCATGGTGGATAAGCTCTTTGATGTGCTGCTGGATTCGGTTTGCCATTATTTTATTGAGGATTTTCACATCAATGTTCATTAAGGATATTGGCCTGAAATTTTCTTTTTTGGTTTGTCTCTGCCAGGTTTTGGTATCAGGATGATGCTGTCCTCATAAAATGAGTTAGGAAGGAGTCCCTCTTTTTCTATTGTTTGGAATAGTTTTAGAAGAAATGATACAAGCTCCTCTTTGTGCCTCTGGTAGAATTCAACTGTGAATCATCTGGTTCTGGACTTTTTTTGGTTGGTAGGCTATTAATTACTGCCTCAATTTCAGAACTTCTTTTTGTTATTCATGGATTCGACTTCCTCTTGGTTTAGACTTGGGAGGATGTATGTTTCCAGGAATTTATCATTTCTTCTAGATTTTCTAGTTTATTTGCATAGACGTGCTTATAGTATTCCCTGATGGTAGTTTGTATTTCTGTGGGATCAGTGGTAATATCCCCTTTATTATTTTTTGTTGCATCTATTTGATTCTTCTCTTTCTTCTTCTTTATTAGTCTGGCTAGCAGTCTATCTATTTTGTTGATCCTTCCAAAAAACCAGCTCCTGGATTCATTGTTTTTTTTTTTTTTTTTGAAGGGTTTTTGGTGTATTTATTTCCTTCAGTTCTGCTCTGGTCTTAGTTATTTCTTGTCTTCTGCTAGCTTTTGAATTTGTTTGCTCTTGCTTCTCTAATTCTTTGAATTGTGATGCTAGCATATCGATTTTAGAACTTTCTTGATTTGTCTTGTGGGAATTTAATGCTATAAATTTCCCTCTACATACTGCTTTAGCTATGTCCCAGAGATTCTGGTATATTGTGTCTTTGTTCTCATTGGTTTCAAACAACTTATTTATTTCTGCCTTAATTTCGTTATTTACCCAGTAGTTATTCAGAAGCAGGTTGTTCAGTTTCCATGTATTTGTGCAGTTTCTTAATCTTGAATTTTAATTTGATTGCACTGTGGTCTAAGAGACTGTTATGATTTCCGTTCTTTTGCATTTGCTGAGGAGTGTTTTACTTCCAATTATCTGGTCAATTTTAGAGTAAATGTGATGTAGTGCTGAGAAGAATGTATATTCTTTTGATTTGGGGTGGAGAGTTCTGTAGATGTCTAGTAGGTCTGCTTGTTCCAGAGCTGAGTTCAAGTCCTGGATATCCTTGTTAATTTTCTCATTGATCTGTCTAATATTGACAGTGGGGTATTAAAGTCTCCCACTATTATTGTGTGGGAGTCTAAGTCTCTTTGTAGGTCTCTAAGAACTTGCTTTATGAATCTGGTTCCTTCTGTATTGGGTGCATATATATTTAGGATAGTTAGTTCTTCTTGTTGCATTGATCCCTTTACCATTATGTAATGCCCTTCTTTGTCTCTTTTGATGTTTGTTGATTTAAAGTCTGTTTTATCAGAGACTAGGATAGCAACCTCTGCTTTTTTTTTTTTCTTTCCGTTTGCTCGGTAAATCTTCCTCTTTATTTTGACCCTATGTGTGTCTTTGCATGTGAAATGGGTCTCCTGAATACAGCACACCAATGGGTCTTGATTCTTTATCCAATTTGCCTGTCTGTGTCTTTTAGTTGGGGCATTAGCCCATTTACATTTAAGCCTAATATTGTTATGTGTGAATTTGATCCTATCATTATATGCTAGCTGGTTATTTTGCCCATTATTTCATGCAGTTTCTTCATAGTGTCAATGGTCTTTACAATTTTATATGTTTTTGCAGTTGCTGGTACCAATTGTTTCTTTCCATGTTTATTGCTTCTTGTAAGACAGGCCTGGTGGTGACAAAATCTCTCAGCATTTGCTTGTCTGTAAAGGATTTTATTTTTTCTTCACTTATGAAGCTTAGTTTGGCTGGATATGAAATTCTGGGTTGATTTGCATTTCTCTGATGGCCAGTGATGATAACCATTTTTTCATGTGTTTTTTGGCTGCATAAATGTCTTCTTTTGAGAAGTGTCTGTTCATATCCTTTGCCCACTTTTTGATTGGGTTGTTTGTTTTCTTCTTGTAATGCAAATCAAAACCACAATGAGACACCATCTCACACCAGTTAGAATGGCAATCATTAAAAAGTTAGGAAACAACAGGTGCTGGAGAGGATGTGGAGAAATAGGAACACTTTTACACTGTTGGTGGGACTGTAAACTAGTTCAACCATTGTGGAAGTCGGTGTGGCGATTCCTCAGGGATCTAGAACTAGTAATACCATTTGACCCAGCCATCCCTTTACTGGGTATATACCCAAAGGATTATAAATCATGCTGCTATAAAGACACATGCACACATATGTTTATTGCGGCACTATTCACAATAGCAAAGACTTGGAACCAACCCAAATGTCCAACAATGATAGACTGGATTAAGAAAATATGGCACATATGCACCATGGAATACTATGCAGCCATAAAAATGATGAGTTCATGTCCTCTGTAGGGACATGGATGAAGCTGGAAACCATCGTTCTCAGCAAACTATCACAAGGACAAAAAACCAAACACCGCATATTCTCACTCATACGTGGGAATTGAACAATGAGAACACATGGACACAGGAAGGGGAACATCACACCCTGGGGCCTGTTGTGGGGTGGGGGGAGGGGGGAGGGATAGCATTAAGAGATATACGTAATGCTAAATGATGAGTTAATGGGTGCAGCACACCAACATGGCACATGTATACATATGTAACAAACCTGCACGTTGTGCACATGTACCCTAAAACTTAAAATATAATAATAATAAAATTTAAAAAAAATTCTGGGTTGGAAATTCTTCTCTTTAAGAATGTTGAAGATTGGCCCCCACTCTCTTCTGGCATGTAGGGTTTCTGCAGAGAGATCCACCATTAGTCTGGTGGGCTTCCCTTTGTGGTTAACCTGACCTTTCTCTCTGGCTTCCCTTAACATTGTTTCCTTCATTTCATCCTCGGTGAATCTGACAATTATGTGTCTCTGGGTTGCTCTTCTTGAGGAGGATCTTTGTGGTGTTCTCTGTATTTCCTGAGTTTGAATGTTGGCCTGTCTTGATAGGTTGGGGAAGTTCTCCTGAATAATATCCTGAAGAGTGTTTTCCTCCTTGGTTCCATTCTTCTTGTCACTTTCAGGTACAACAATCAAATATAGGTTTGGTCTTTTCACATAGTCCCATATTTCTTGGAGGCTTTGTTCCTTCCTTTTCACTATTTTTTCTCTAATCTTGTCGTTATGCTTTATTTCATTAAGTTGATCTGCAATCTCTGATATTCTTTCTTCTGCTTGATTAATTCAGCTATTGATACTTGTGTATGCTTCGTGAGGTTCTTCTGCTGTGTTTTTCAGCTCCATCGGGTCATTAATGTTCTTCTCTAAACTGGTTATTCTAGTTAGCAATTCCTCTAACCTTTTTTCAAGGTTCTTAGCTTCCTTGCATTGGGTTAGAAGATGCTCCTTTAGCTGGGAGGAGTTTGTTATTATCCACCTTCTGAAGCCTACTTCTGTCAATTCATCAAACTCATTCTCTGTCCAGTTTTTTCCCTTGCTGGTGAGGAGTTGTGATCCTTTGGAGGAGAAGAGGTGTTCTGTGTTTTGCAATTTTCAGTCTTTTTGCACTGGTTTCTCCCCATCTTCGTGGATTTATGTACCTTTGGTGTTTGATGTTGGTGACCTTCAGATGGGGTTTTGGTGTGGACATCGTTTTTGTTGATGTTGATACTATTCCTTTCTGTTTGTTAGTTTTCCTTCTAATAGGCCCCTCTGCTGCAGGTCTGCTGCAGTTTGCCAGATGTCCACTCCAGACCCTGTTTGCCTAGGTATCACCAGTGGAGGCTGCAGAACAGCAAAGATTGCTGCCTGTTCCTTCCCCTGGAAGGTTCATTCCTGGGGAGCACCCGCTAGATGCCAGCTGGAGCACTCCTGCATGAGGTGTCTGTCAACCCCTGCTGTGTCTCCCAGTTGGGAGGCACGGGGGTCAGGGACCCACTTGAGGAGGCAGTCTGTCCGTGAGCAGAACTCCAGCACTGTGCCGGGAGATCTGCCACTCTCCTCAGAGCTGGCAGACAGGAGTATTTAATTCTGCTGAAGCTGCACCTATAGCCGCCCCTGCCCCCAGGTGCTCTGTCCCAGGGAGATGGGAGTTTTATCTATAAGCCCCTGACTGGGGCTGCTGCCTTTCTTTCAGCGATTCCCTGCCCCAAGAAGAGGAATCTAGAGAGGCAGTCTGGCTATAGCAGCTTTGCCAAGCTGCAGTGGGCTCCGCCCAGTTGGAACTTCCTTAAAGCTTTGTTTACACTGAGGGGAAAACCCCCTACTCAAGCCTCAGTAATGCCAGATGCCCCTCCCCTCACCAAGGTGGAGCATTCCAGGTCGACTTCAGACTGCTGTGCTAGCAGCAAGAATTACAAGCCAGTGGATCTTAGCTTGCTGGGCTCTGTGGGGGTGGGATCCACTGAGCTAGACCACTTGGCTCTCTGGCTTCAGCTCCCTTTCCAGGGGAGTGAATGGTTCTGTCTCACTGGCTTTCCAGTCACCACTGGGGTGTGAAAAGAAAATCCTGCACCTAGCTCAGTGTCTGCCCAAACGGCTGCCCAGTTCTGTGCTTTAAAACCAGTGCCCTTGTGGTGTAGGCACCGGAGGGAATCTCCTGGTCTGTGGGTTGCAAAGACCATAGGAAAAGCGTAGTATCTAGGCCAGAGTGCACTGTTCCTCATAGCACAGTCCCTCACAGCTTCCCTTGGCTAGGGGAGGGAGTTCTTCAACTGTTTGTGCTTCCTGGGTGAGGCAATGCCCCACCCTGCTTCTGCTCACCCTCCGTGGGCTGCACCCACTGTCTAACCAGTCCCAATGAGATGTGCCAGGTACTCCAGTTGGAAGTGCAGAAATCACCCGCCTTCTGCGTTGATCTTGCTGGGAGCTGCAGAGCAGAGCTTTTCCTATTTGGCCATCTTGCCAGCCACTCCCAGATCTTTTAAGTCTTGTTTGAGGACTTGGGAAAAGTAGGAAAGGGCTTCAGTAACCCTCTGAGGCATGACTTTCTAGATAGAATGTTGTCCTTCTCAGGAAAAAGCAAAAAGGTATTGACTCTTCTAGTCTAGAGGCACACTGAAAAAGGTAGAGCAAAGGCTCACTGCAGGTAAGCAAGTGGCTTCTGGAGGAGTTGTGTGGGTTGAGGTATTTCTGGAAAGTGAGGAATAACAATTTTGCCAATGGCCTTGAAGTCTTAAGCAAATTGACACTGTCATCTGTTTGGGTTCTTTACTCACAGGACAGAAGTGTTACAGGGCTAATGCAGGGTATGAGAAGACCTTGGGATACAAGGCTTGCAACTATAGGTTTGATCCCTTACCTGTGTCTGAGTTCAAGGAATATTAGGGAAGTTTATGTAATGGTTTGATAGACTCTATCTGTATTTTTTATAGGTTCTGCTCTGATTATTTTGCCTACATCAGTAAAATTTTTGCCCATATAGTGTCACTTTTCTGTGGTATGCATTAAATGTAATGGGAGAAGCAATGGCATATCTAGAGCAGACACATCTTGACCATGAACAGAGGAGTTCTCTGGAACCTCAAGAAATAGTCCTCCTGGCATGCTTTTAATCATTGCAGTTCCATTTGCAAAGTAACCATTCTATTAAATTTGCAGGGGTGGTATCACAGAGCAGGAAGGAATGTTTTTCAGTCAAAGACACAAGGGTTAGGTTAAGAATTGGGAGATGGGGAAAACCTGAGGGTTATGAAATACCTTCCACATATGTTGTAAGTTTACTCTGAGGAAGAAGTTAAGAAAGATAACAAGGTATAATGCACAAAAAGTGGCACACATGTCTTTTTTCGTATGAGTTGAACTAGGAATTGATTAGCATGACTGTATTCATAGTTAATTTACTGTGAGTGTTTGAGGGTATGGCAAGATATTGAATGCTTTTTCATTCCTTGGAATGCCTTCATTGATCCAAATTGAGGGATGTTTCTTTGTCTTGGTTTTTCTTTTATAAGATGGGTTCATCTATTTCCAGTGTTCCTTCTGTTAACAATTTCTACAAGTGTCCTTGTCAGCAGGTGGTTGGTTGGGGAATGGACTACCTAGCTGTTTAATCTATAGTCCCATCAATTTACTTTAGAGCTTTCTCACTTTTGTCCTAAAGCCCTGGCAAAATGTTCTGTCAGGTATTAGAGTTTAGCTAGTGGGGCTGTTTCCCATTCTAATGTCTACTTTCACATTAGGACTTTAACGTCAGGTTTAACTCCATCGACAAAGTGAGATGAAAGGGCTGCTATCACAACAGCACCTTCTTTATTCCCAAGAGATGTCAGAAAGTATTTCCTACTCTATCTTGAGCAATCTATAGTTTCATCTTTTGTGCCTATTTGCATGATTGAATTGTGGTCCTATCAATTTTTACTGTGAATGTTTCAGGAATGGCTTTTTATGAGACGTTGACCTAATTTTCTGGCCTGTTTTTGACCCTCAGGTTTGTTATGGAAAGAAGGATCCTATAGATTGCTTTCTGGGTCAGCCCAATTATCTTTTGCCATTTAGGATTTAGTATCTGAGGTTTGGACCAATGTGTGTACAGGCTGATATAGGTCAGGTAACCCTAGGTCATATGTACCCAAAATAATTCTAAATTCTTCTATGAATATTTGCTGGTCTTGTTTGAGTTTAGGGAAATCTTTAGTTGCAGCTCTTGAATGAGCTCAGGTCCAAGGCTTCAGTTCGACAGTTGCCTGCAGGACAGGCTCATGAGAGGAATGGGTCCTTATAGGCAACTGGCATTGGGGGGTTTTAGGAAAGTTGTTGGGAAAGGTAGGGAGGCTGGACAAAGGGAAGAAGAGGTAGGAGGTGCAGAGGGAGAAAGATCAGCAGCATAAGAGGAAGACTTTGAGGTCCCTTGAACTGTCTAACCCCCCTGACCTGAGGTTCTTATTGATTATCCTGGACCTAATTATTGTGCTGTCCCTAGCACCCAGTAGGTGCTTTGGAGAATTCATTTGGTCATAAGCTTGGGCGATGGGAAGGGAGGCAGTTTCTAGAAGAGCTAGCAATGGAGGATAAGGACTGGGGGGAGGATTTACTAGGGGAATAAGTCTAGTTCTTGCTTTAACTTTGTCAGGTTGCCCTTTAGCTTTAGCTGGAGGCTTTTTTAGTGATGCAATTTTTAATTCAGTTTTGTTTGGAGGTCCCTGAATACCAATCAAGAAATGCTACCCTTGCAGTAAGCCGAGATCGTGCCACTGCACTCCAGCCTGGGTGACAGAGCGAGACTGTCTCCAAAAAAAAAAGAAAGAAAGAAATGCTAACCATGGAGCTTGTAGAATCTTATTCCCTTTCTTTTCTTAGGTGCCTCTCCAACTATTTTATTCAAATTCAGTGTTCCCCAGAGTGGCACTGAAGACCTAAGTCATCTTCTGAAGTTATGCCATTTAGAGAGTGAGGCACAAGAATTAGGACTGTAATCAGATTACATATAAGAAGCAGGGATTTTTCCAGATACAGGAGAGAATTTAGACTTAGAGGACCCCATACGAGCTGGTGATAGTTGGTAGGAATGTAATGCTGTGCACTTCGTGTCTCAGGTCCACAACCTGACAGTTGGCGGCCTCCGAACATAGACCCAATAGTCTGTGCCCCTGGCAGGTGGAAAACCAGAAATAACATTGCCTCTGGGTCAAAGCCAAGCTCTCAGGAGCCAAATTCAGGATGGAAGAAGAACCTCATCTGGTTTCATTGGTGACCCACAGCAAAGTTTGTCCAATGGACACCAGTCCAACAAGATCTGAAAACTTCCCCGCCTGTGAGGCCAGCTTGAACAACAGGCCAATAAGGCCTTTGCCCATGTTCTGCCCTAGGATTCTCCTTCTTTTGACAAGTAACACTTTTAGACAGCACAACACAAAACAGTAGCACAAAAAATAGAAAAAAAAATAATGTGGGGAGGGATGAAAAGAGATGGCCTGATTCAAACAAGGGCGCCAAACAAATAGGAACCAATAACAAAGCCAGTGACTCACCTGAGAATAAATAGCCAAGAAACTCAACACAAAGAGAGTAGAGTTCATGCCCAGGGTGTGGCATCATAGGATTCATAAGCTATGAGTAGCAAGGCAAGAGGGGCCTTCGTGAATAGTGCACCTGTGTGAAGGCTGGAGTCTGTGCAGTGCACAGTGCAGATAGGGGCTCTGTGGAGCCTCCACAATAACTATGGAAATGAATGAAGACCAACCAGATGAGAATAACCAGGCATGGTTTATTCAGAGCCTGCCATAGCAAGGGAGTCAGCCACCATTATTTGTGCTTGGCAGAAGCTCAATGGCAGGCAGAGGAATGGTAAAGCTTTGTAGTGAAAAAAGGGAAGTCTTCAGGTATGCCCTATTGGAGGCTATTGGCATGGAGAAGCTGCAGGCAGGCTAACGAGAAACAGAGCATTCTATGTCGTTGGTTAGTGGTAAGTATTTGACTTTACCTAATTGGTCCTCTGTTGTACAAAAGTAGGTACAAAATTAGGAAAGCTGTCAGTTATTAATAAAGTCCTGCTTGGGGGTAATTATCACAGGTATTATTGTTTAGCTTCCTGGATTTTTGTTAGAAGTAGAGATCTGACACCCTACAAGTCTGACTTAGAAATAGCAGACTGGTTTCCTGGGCTGTTTACCACAGATTATGGGTTGACTTCCTGAGCTGGTTGCTGCAGATTGTGGGTCAGAGTTCTATTTTTATATATGGCCTGGCCATTCTCTGTTTGTATATCTAGTCTCTTGCATCAATCTGATTTATTCATGTGTAACTATTATGAGTTTCCAGCATATTTTAGAGTTTTACATGTATCGTTGACATTATCTTGCTTGACACTTAATGGTCTCTTAAACTGAAGACTTGTGCCCATCTTTAGTTCTTGGCTATTCTTTCTTCTCTCATTGCTATTCCTTCATTATCAATTCTCACTCACTCCAGAACTTCCGTTACAAACTTGTTAGTTTTTAGATCTCTCCTTTACATTTATTAACTTACTTTCTTTCTTTTCACCTGATTACTCCTTTGGCTGTATTTTGGAAAAATTCTTTACTCAATTTTCCAGCTAATTAATTTTTTCCTTTTAAGTGTTTATTTGATGTTTCAGTACATCTATTGAGAATTTTTCCCCTCTAAGTTATATTTTTCATTCTACGAAGGTAATATATTTTAAAGATTTTCTAAGTATGTAAATTATCTTTTTTAAAAATCATATTCTTATTTCTATTGCTAATTCTTTGTCTTTGGATATAAATTCTGCCATTGGTTGAGTTTGCTTCTTCCATGGTGTCAAATTTCCCCCTATATTTGATGATTTTTATATTGTGTGTTCACCTTGGTGCTTGAAATTTCCTGTTAAATTTTCCACTATCCAGTATTTCTACACTATGAGACCTTAGCAGTGTTACTATTTTGGATGAAATGTGTCTGGTGAGAATGGGCAAGGGTGGATTGAATGAGTTGAGTAGTAGCTGGCATTTGGTGCTTGAGCTCCCTATGTTTCTGCTGGCCCTGGAAGCAATGTCCTGCCTCTTTGATTTCAGCTCCCACCTGCAGAAACCAACCCTCCATCCCTACCCCCACCCCTATGGCTGCAGCCTGGGCCCTGAGGAGTGATACACAAGATTTTATCTCTCTAGAGTATCTCAACTTAGCACCCTATTTGTTGCTTCTGGATCACCTTCAGGTTCTGACATCCACCACCTCAATGCATGGGACTTTTAAAAATGAGATTTTTTCAATTGTTTATGATAGAATTCTCCTTCAAGGAATTTCCCTGTCCCCTGATGCACACATACCTAGTTTTCTTTTCTTTATGGGGGGTGGGGGAGGCAGGGTCTTACTCTGTTGCCTAAGTTGGAGTGTAGTGGCATGATCATGACTGACTGCAGCCTCAACCTCCTGGCCTCAAGTCGTCTTCTGCCTCATTCCTCCTAAAGTGCTGGGATTACAGGTATAAGCTACTGCATTCAGCCTATACTGAATTTTTTTTTGGTACAGCCATACATTTTTATTTTAATGTATTTTCTGTAACTTGTCTCAGTTTGGCGTAGGATGTAGAAGATTGGTACACATGTTTAGTTTGCAGTCTTGTAACTGGAAACTTTTTAGTGTAGTAATTGTTAAAGTGTGATCCAAGGACCCCTGGAGGCCGCAAAGACTCTTTTAGAGAGTCTAAAAGATTCTTCCTTCTTCAGCCTCACATCTATGTGAAGTTGAATTCTCTTTATATACTTCAACCAACACAACATATTGCAGCAGATTGAATGTACACATATGACAATCCAGCTGTCTTCTATTAAGTCGGACATAAAAGAGATTTGCACAAGTATAGAACATTGCTATTCTTCTCATTGTTTATTGTTTTGAAATATATACTTATTTTTATAAAGTATTACTGATATTAACATGTAATAGATATCTTATTTAATGAATTAAATATTAAAAGAAAAAATAAAGGTTCATATTTATTAAAATAAGTAAAGATTTTCTATTATCTTATTTTTTTATTTTCACAAATTCCTTTGGACTATTCTTTTCCTCTCATTCCATACATTCCCCTTAACTAATTTGGTGTTATACATTGTTACCATTGTTATAGTGAATGAAGTGAAATTTTTAATATTTACAATTTCATGAGTCTAAATGTAATAAATGTATTGTTTTTTCTCACACAAAATAAGAATCTGTTTTAAATCTGATCATTCCAATATTGATGTGTATGCTTTTGTATGCTACAGTGTTCATTCTAAATTAATTTTTACAGCCCTCCAGATTAGAAAGTAATGTTTTTGTTTTCCATAATTAATATTGGTTTAAATTTACCATTTTGCTTCCCTATTTCTTTTTCCATCTTGAATCTTCCTTCTGAAATAATTTTTCTTCCTCCTGAAGGACATATTCTTGAAGTTATTTCAGTGAAAGTCTTTTTTAAACTCTCAATTTTTGTCCAACAATATCTTTATTTTGCACATGTTCTTGAAAGATAGTTTGTTTTCCCATGTATCAATTCTAGATTGGCAGTGACATTTTTCACTTGGTACTTTACAGATAATGTCTTTTGTCATTCTAATGTCTTTCGTTTTCCAATATTGCTCTTTATAATGCAAATATCACTCTAATTCAGTGATTTTCAAAAGTGGTTCTTAGACCAGCAGCCTCAGTATCACTTTGGAGCTTTTTCAAAATGCAACTTTTAAAAATCTTATTCCAGATTTACTGAACCCAAACTTTGTAGTTGGGGTTCAGAAATGTGTTTTTAAAAGTCCTCCAAGTGATTCTACTGCCCACTTAAGTTTGAGAGCCAGCTATCTAATTGTTATTTCTGTAAAGGGTAAAGGTAATTCATCTTCTATTTCTGGCTGCTTTTAAGGATTTTTGTCTTTAATGTTCTACAGACTCTGATAGGTCTATAAATAAATTTACTTTTATTTATTTTAGTTGGAATTTATTGGGCTTCCTGGGTCTAAGGATTGGTGGCTTTCATTAATTCTGGAAAACTGTAACCCATTAGCTCTTTAAATATTGATTTTACCCTACTTCCTATATTCTTCGGAAACTTCAATTATACTTATATTGGAGCTTCTCACTTTACATTTCATATTTTAAAATTATTTCCTCATGTTTTCTATATCTTATGTTTACTATATTTGGGATCAGGTTTTCAGCTATTCCCCAGAGAAGATTTGTGTTTACTTCTGCTAGGGACACATTAAATTCAATTTTCTTCTTGGGTTTTTGGACCACATAGGTAATATAAATTCTTCCCTCAAACCCATATGAATGCAGATTGTGTTAAAAATTCTCATGGGTAATGTTTTTTCTTTATTTTTATTCTATTTTATATGGCACCAAGGCCAAGATCAGCATATCTACTCCTCTACCCCAATTTTCCTGTTTTTAAAAAAATTCATTCACTGAGGTCATTGCCTTTTGAAGGTCCTGGCTTTCCTGAAGTTTCTGAGCTTACCTGTATACTTACTTCCATGGCCTAGGCTTTGTCTACTATCTCCTGAACCCACAAACTATTAAAACAAAGACAGAAACCACCAAAAGATTAGCAGATACTCTGGGGCAAAAGCTAGCTCTAGAATTAGCTTAACCTTGTGGATTTTTGCTTGCTTGTTGTTTTTTTCCCTCTACTAATTGGGACATTTATATCTATATCTTGGTGGTTGAGCTATCAGTGAAGTGCATTAATTTTATTCAATATTTTGAAACATACTGAGCTTCTTGTCAGTTCTGTTACCAAACATTGAGGTCACTTGAATTATCTAACCCCCATGACCTCAGGTTCTTATCACTACCCATACTCCTCATTGAATATCCTGGACCTAGTGATTGTGCTGGCCCTAGCACCCAGTAGGTGCTTTGGAGAACTCACTTGGTCATAAGCTTGGGTGATGAGAAGGGAGGCAGGTTCAAATTCCCTGGGGAACCCACGGGAGTTTTGTCCATAAGAGTTTAGGCCTTATTCTGGCTCACTGGGAGTTTTCTGGCCTGAGATAACCTGAGAGCAACTTGGAGAGGGTGGGGTTTTGGAAGTCATGCCCCCCTTTTCCTTCAGTCTCAGCTCAGAAGGGGCAGGCCCAAGAGCCATCAGAGAACCTCAAAGGAGACAGGCTGCAGATCAGAACAATGAAGTAAAAGCAGCAATCCTGGTTTCCTGGATCTAGCAACTGCAGTACCCTCAGATGTGGACCCAGAATTGGGAAATTCTCTCTATTATGAATGTCACAGGTTGTAGGATGGGGGGAAACCCCATCAATGGATACAGTAAAGATAGGGGCAAAACAAATATTTGTTGAGTGGATGAGTTCACAGGAATTTTTCTGAGGCTTGGAATATTATTGGAGGTTCTAGTCCATGATTGATCCTGGGCTATTTCAGTTCTTTTCATTAAAAAAGAATTTTTATTGAGCATCCAAACCAGCCAAAAGGCCCAGGCTATGCTTTTGTGGGGTGTAGAGAAGTGGCCTTTTTCGATGATTGAGGGGGCCATATGGGATAGCTAACATATCACCTGGGAGATATCAGTGCTGATGCAAATGCTTCCACCAAGCACATGGCTTGAGATGGGGAAATAGAGGAGACATTCCAGAAACAGAGAAACGAATGTAGGATAAAAGTGAAGCAGATTGAGAAAAAATATTAACATGGAAAAGGAGGTCAAGGGTGATGGAGGTAGGCTTTGCATACACAGAGAAATTGTAGAGGGAGTTTATGTGTTATTTATGTGGCAAAAAGCCATGGGCTTTTGACCAAAAATGGGCCAGGATATTTCATGCTAACAAAGGCAGTCGACTGAATCCATAGACAGGCTGAGATTTTATGTTGGGGCAAGAGACTACAGGATATCCTTAGAGTTCTCTAGGAGTGATTGTTGTGGTTGGTTTCTAGGGCAGGTGGTGCTGTCTGGTGTCAATAATGACTGTCTCCTGTGGCCAGCTGGGTGTGACATTATGTATCCTTACATTAAATGTGATTCTGGAAAGTGGCTTCATTTCTATTGGTTAACGTTAGCCAGCTCCTAAATCCTAGTTTAATGCTCATCCAAAGTGCTAAGTTCCTTTGTTCATGAACTATTTGTTAAAGTATAAAATAACTTGGGAATTATTCTGCACGAAATGTCAAGCGGCAGAACAAATAACTATTCCCCTCATTAATCCCTATGGGCAGCATCTGTTTGAGAGCTTTGCTTTTCCATAATGAAAATATGTCAGCCCTGAATATATGTTTGTGCTATTGAGACTGAACAGTGAAATGAAATGAATTCTCCACTCAGCCACAGGTGAAATATGGCAGTTTGTGGTGAATGAGGCACTGAGCGCTGTAGGAAGTTGAGACTCGAACTTTGAGAAACCTTAGGGAGGCTAAAATCAGCGAGAGAGGGGAGGGCAGTGTGTGATTAAAGTGTAAAGCAATTCCCCAAACTAAATTCATCTTAATTCATTCTCATTTATAAGAGAAAGCTACTCCACATAGTACAGCTGGGTGTTTAAGAAATATGTGGGGCTTCGTTGTCCTCGAAGTCATGGAAATCAGGGGAAGCCCAGGGGTGAGGGTTTGATGTGCAGAAACGGTGTCATACAGAAAGGAAAGAGCACAGACTGTCAGTGAGCACAGAATCATAGGACCTCAGGGACAGCCCATCCATCTCACAGGTGAGGAATGTGAGGCCCAGAAAGGGAAGGAAATTGTCTAAGGAATCAGAGCCAGTGAAATTCTTACCCAACAGGGCCTATAATCAGACTAGCCTATTCACTCAACACTGTGTGCAGGATGCCTAGCTCTCTGTCCTCTGCTCTCTCCAGTGCAGAAATCAGTAATTCTTTAAGGGCAGGGTCTGATTTCTTCCTCAAATAGTGCTGGGTACCTGGTAAATGATAAATGTTGTGAATTGATATATTACTGGATTTTTCCTCGAGGTCCAGAGTGGTATGCTTTGTGTACAGATGGGTGGAGGGATGTGTATACGTAGTTAGCTTCTTTTTATTTATCTATATTTTATTTTTTTAATTATACTTTAAGTTCTTGGATACATGTGCGGAACGTGCAGGTTTGTTACATAGTTATACACATGCCATTGTGGTTTGCTTTTATTTTTTAAGTCAGATCACATAGCCCCACAACATAGCAGTTAAGAATGTCAGCTTTGGTGATTGCCCATGCAAGGTTCAAATCCTCACTCTGCCATTTATTAGCTGTGTGACTTTAGACAAGTTGCATAACTTATCTGTAAAGTGGAATGAGACATTGTATCTACCTATAGAACTGTGGTGAGACTTCTACAAGATAATGTAGTTGTAGGTAAGTAGTCCTGGCCTCTAATGATGGTTATAATGTTATTTCCCTTTCATCCTAACTCACTCCTGCACCAGTTCCCCCATGACAAACTCTATGCAGAGGCTGAACTACATCCACTTGTGACACAGTATTCTCATAGCATAGCTCTACATTAAGGCGTTGTTGCTTTTCCTAGCTTGCAAAGCTGCCTCCAATCAGTGTTCTTCTCCTTGGGAGAATAGTGTGAACCGCTAAATAGACTGTTAATGTTGATGTCTTCATTTGTTTTTGAAAATGGTCACAGATGATCAGGAGGTGAGTG
This sequence comes from Homo sapiens, assembly GCF_000001405.40. Taxonomy (NCBI): domain Eukaryota; kingdom Metazoa; phylum Chordata; class Mammalia; order Primates; family Hominidae; genus Homo; species Homo sapiens. Next base: position 136,964,670 of record NC_000005.10, read on the forward strand.
AAAGCTGCCTTGAGCCTCCAATCTACAAGACATGGAAACAGCATTACCAAGGTCCCTATTTTAAGAACTGGCCAGAATTTTCATAAAAATTAGACTTGGTTTTAATGAGTCTCATTGTTTTGCCAGAATGTGATTAGCTTTTTAAAATTAAGCTTCGATTTATAGGAATAGAGGTCAAATTTGAGAAAAATAAGTAGGAAGAAAATATTCTTGTTATGTATAATCAAATGGTCTCTAAGTCCTTTAAAAAAAAACAAAAACAAAAAGGAGCCCGGGTGCAGTGCCTCATGCCTGTAATCCCAGCACTTTGGGAGGCCGAGGCAGGAAGATCACGAGGTCAGGAGATCGAGACCATCCTGGCTAACATGGTAAAACCCTGTCTCTACTAAAAACACAAAAAATTAGCTGGGCGTGGTGGTGGGCGCCTGTAGTCCCAGCTACTTCGGAGGCTGACGCAGGAGAATGGCATGAGCCCGGGAGGCGGAGCTTGCAGTGAGCTGAGATAGCACCACTGCACTCCAGCCTGGGCAACAGAGCAAGACTCCGTCTCAAAACAAACAAACAAACAAAAACAAAAAAAAGAAACATTGAATAGTAAAACTAAGAATAGTGGAATAAAATAGTAAAAACAACTGGAATGTCAGGAAAAGAGAACCGCCCTCTGATTTGGAGAGCATGTGCTGTCAGTCGTTTAGAGTCTCAAGACCCATTGCTGAAAACCTTTGCAAATCATTATATGGCACCAGGATTACCATTCAAATTTGTGATATTTGAACTTTTGGACAGTAGAAGCTTGACATTGTAGATTTGTCATCGTGGATCTACATGAAGCCCACATGTAGTATGATTCTATTTTATGAAATGTTCAAAAAAGGGAAATCCATAGAGACAGAAAATAGTTTGACGGTTACCTGGGGCTCAGCATGGGAAAGGGAAAGGACTGGATAGCTGGGCATGAGGTTTCATTCTGGAGTAATGGAAATATTCTAACATTAGATGTGCTGTGGTTAACAACTCAGTAAATTTCAAAAAGGTCACACCTCAAATGGGTGGGCTTTATAGTAAATAAATTATTCCTCAGTAAAACTATTTATAAATTCAACTTGTGTGAACGATGAACAATTCAATCTGTGTAAAAGTATTGATCAAATGTCATTGTTTCTATGAAGTTTCTTTTTAAAAATATATCCAGGCAGAACTAATTGGTCAGTTTTCCTTGTTCCTGTTGCTATTTGCTATGTTCATTATTCACTCAACAGACAGTAATTGCTCATCTACCATGTGTTGAACACTGAGGAATAAGAGCAGGATTTTTTTTTTTTTTTTTTACTGTGGTAAAATATATTTAACAAAATTTTCTATTTTTATCATTTTAAATGTATGGTTCAGTGGGATTAAGTACATTCACATTTTTGTGCAACCATCACTGCTATCTTTCCCCTTATTATTCCAGATGGAATCTCTGTATCCATTAAATACTAACTCCCCATCTTCTGTTTTCCCCAACCCCTGGCAACTACTATTCTACTTTCTATCTCTGTGAATTTGACTACTCCAGTTACCTCATATAAGTGGAATCATACAGTATTTGTCCTTTGATGTTGGCTGATTTCATTTAGCATAATGTGTTCAAGCTTCATCTATGTTGTAGCCTATAACAGAATTTTCTTTTGAAGGCTGAAAAATATTTCATTGTACATACTGACCACATTTTCTTTATCCATTCACCCATTGATGAACATTTGGGTTACTATTTCTTGGCTACTGTGCATAATATTGCTAGGAATATTGGTGTACAAAATATTGCTATGAATATTGGTGCACAAGTATCTGTTCAAGTCTGTTTCCAGTTTCTCTGGATGAATAAGTAGGAGTGAAATTACTCAATCATGTGGAGATTTTACATTTACTTTTTTGAGGAACTGCTGTTCAGTCTTCTGCAATGGCTGTCCTGTTTTACATTCCTACCAGCAATCCACAAGATTTCCAGTTTCTCCACATCCTTGTTATTTATTTATTTGGAAATAGCCATCCTAAATGGTGTAAAGTGGTATCCCATCGTCGTTTGGATTTGTATTTCCCTAATGATTAGTGATGTTGAGGGTTTTTTGTGTGTGCTTAATGATCATTCATATATATTCTTTGGAAAAATGTCTATTCAAGCAAGTCTTTTGCCCATTTTAAAAATCAGGTTGCTTTTTTGTTGAGTTATAAGAGTTTTTAAAATATATTATTGATATTAATTCCTTACTAGATACAGTATTTGCATATATTTTTCCTCTTCTATGATTTGCATTTTCATTCTGTTCATAGTTTCTTTTGCACAAAAGTGTTTAATTTTCATTAAGTTCAATTTATCAATTTTTTTCTGTTGCCTGTGCTTTTTGATGTCAAATAGAAATCATTGCCAAATCCAATGTCTTGAAGTTTTTTTTTTTTCTCTTAAGAGTTTTATAGTTTTAGCTCTTACATTTAGGTCTTTGATCCTTTTTGGAGTTAATTTGTATATAGTATAAGGTAAGGGTCCAATTTCATTATTTTGCAAAGGATATCCAGTTTTTCCAAAACAATTAGTTTAAAAGACTATTCTTTCCTCATTGCATGGTCTTGGAACCCTCACTGAAAATCATCTGACCATATATATGAGAGTTCATTTCTTGGCTCTTTATTCCATTTATCTATATGTCTGTCTTTATGCCGTTACCACCCTTTTGATTACCATAGTTTTGTAGTAGGTTTTGAAATCAGGAAGTGTAAGGTCTTCAACTTTGTTCTTCTTTTCCAAGATAGTTTTGGCTATTCAGGGCCTCTTTAGATTCCATATGAATTTTGGGATGGTTTTTCTATTTCTGCAAATAATAAAAAATCATTGGAATATTTATAGGGATTTGTTTTGAAACTGTAAATCACTTTCAGAAACATCTTAATACTATGAAGTCTTCTATGAACACTGGATGTTTTTCCATTTATCTATGTCTTTAATTACTTTCAGCAATACTTCATAGTTTTCACTGTAAAAGTCTTTTGCTGCCTTTATTAAGTTTCTTCCTAAATATTTTGCTCTTTTTGTTGCTATAGTAAATGGAATTGTTTTCTTAATTCCATTTTTGGAGTTTCATCGTTCTTTAGAAATACAGCTGACTTTTGTCTGTCAATTTTGTATCCTGAAACTTTGCTGAATTCGTTTATTCTAAGTTTTTGTGTGTGTGAAATATTTAGGCTTTTATATATGTGAGATTATGCCATCTGCAAACAGAGTTAATTTTACTTTTTCCTTTCTAATATGGATGCTTTTATTTTTCTTGCCTAATTGCTCTGTCTAGAACTTCAAATACTATATTGAATAAGAGTAGTAAGAGCAGAATGCTTGTCTTGTTTTTATGATCATAAAAGAGAAGATTTCAGTCTTTTGAGTACGATGTTAGCTAAACGCTTTTCACACATAGCCTTTATTAAATAGTTTTCTTCTATTTCTAGAGTATTTTTGTCATGAAAAGGTGTCGAATTTGTCTAATCAGTTGAGATAATCATGTGTTATTGTTTATTCTTCACTGTAATTCCAGGTATGTTATACTATTGAGCTTTGTATGTTGAACAACCTGACATTCTGGGAATACATTCCACTTTGGCATGGTTTATAATTTTTTTAATATACTGCTGAATTTAGCTTGGTAGTATTGAAGATTTTTACAAGAATATTATTGATACTGGTCTGTAGTTTTCTTGTAGCATCTTTGGCTTTGGTTTCAGGGTAATATTGGCCTTATAAAATTACGTAGGAAGTATTCTGTGAAGAATTTGAGAAGGACTGGTGTTATTTCTTCTTTAATTGTTTGTTTGAATTCACTAGTGAAGCTTTCTGGTCTATAGAGTTTGTTTCTTGGAAAGTTTTTAACTACTGATTGCGTCTCCTTATTAGTTAGGAGTCTATTTTGATTTTCTGTTTCTTCATGATTCAGTCTTGGTAGGTTGTGTGTTTCTAGAAATTTTTTTCATTTTGTCTATTTACCTAGACTATCCAACTTGTTGGCATACAACTTTTCATAGCATTCTCTTATAATCCTTCTTATTTATATATAATCAGTAGCAATACCTCCCACTTTCTGTTTTGAGTAATGTAAGTCATCTCTTTTTTCTTAGTCAATTAATTAAAGCTTTGTCAATTTTGTGCATTTTTTCAAAAAATAAACTTTTGGTTTTGCTTATTTTTCTGTATTATTTCTCTATTCTCTATTTTATTTGTCTCTACATTAATCTATGTAATTTTCTTCCTTATGTTAGCTTTGGCTTTATTTTGTCCTTCTTTTTCTAGTTCCTTATGGTTTAAAGTTAGGTTGTTGATTTGAGATTGTTCTTCTTTTTCAATGTAAACATTCAGAGCTATAAGTTCCTCTCTCCTAGTACTGGTATTGCTGCACCCCACAAGTTTTGGTTTATTTATTTTCATTTTATTTATGTCAAGACATTCCCTAGTTTCCTTTGTGATTTCTTTTTTCACCTACCGGTTGTTTAGGAGTGTATTGTTTAATTTTCCCACACTTGTAAGTTTCCTCATCCAAGTACTAACTAGGCTCAACCCTGTTCAGCTTTGGAGATCAGATGAGATTTGGTGTGTTCAGGGTGGTATGGCTATAGGTTCACACATTTGTACATTTTCTAGTTTCCCTTTTGTTATTGATTTCTAATTTCATTCAACTGTGTTTAGAAAAAAATACTTTGTGTGATTTCTGTCTTTTTAAATATATACAATTTAACATCTTAATAAGACTTGTTTCATGACATAACATGTGGTCTATCTTAGAAAATGTTTCATAAACACTTGAGAAAAATGTATCTTCTACTATTGTTGAGAGAAGTGTTCTGTATATGTCTATTAGGTCCAATTGGTTTATAGTGTTGTTCAAGTCCTCTATTTCCTCACTGATCTTCTGTCTGGAAGTGGGGTTGAAGTCTCCAACTATTATTGTAGAGCTGTCTATTTCTCCATTCAAGTCTGTTTGTTTTGTGTGTTTTGGAGCTATGATTTTGGGTGCATGTATGTCTATAATTGTTATGTCTTCTTGGTGAATTGACCCTTTTAACATTATACAATGTCCTTCCTTGTCTCTTGTAATCATTTTTAATGTAAACTTCATTTTGTATAATAGTATATCCATCCCTGTTCTCTTTTGGTTAATAATAATATTTACATGGAATATCTTTTTCCATTCTTTCATCTTCAACCATTTGTGTCCTTAGATATAAAGCAGAGCTTCTTGTTGAGGGCATAGAGTTAGATCATATTTTATTTATCCATTCTACCAATCTATACCTTTTGACTAAAAAGTTTAGTCTATTTAAACTAATTATTAATAGGAAAAAATTTACTCTTGCCATCTTGTTATTTCTGTGTGCCTTACAGTTTTTTCCCCCCTCATTTCCTCCATTACTGCCTTCCTTTGGATGTGTGTGTGTGTGTGTGTGTGTGTGTGTGTGTGTGTGTGTGTGTGTGTTTGTGTTTTGGTCAGAGTCTTGCTATTGCCCAGGCTGGAGTGCAGTGGCAAGATCCCAGTTCACTGCAATATCCACCCCCTGGGTTCAAGCGATTCTCCTGCCTCAGCCTCCTGAGTAGCTGGGATTACAGGCATACACCACCATGCCCAGCTAATTTTTGTAATTTTAGTAGAGACTGGTTTCACCATGTTGGCCCTCCTGACCTCAGGGGATCCACCCATCTCAGCTTCCCAAAGTGCTGGGATTACAGGTGTGAGCCACCATGCCTGGCCAGATTTAGTTGATTTTTTTTGTAGTCACATGTCTTGATTCTCTTCTCATTTCCATTTGTGTATATTCTATAGATATTTTATTTGTGGTTACTATGAAAATTACTTCTTAAAGTTATAACAATCTATTTTAAATTGGTAATAACTTCAATTGCATACAAAAACTCTACTCCTTTACAGCTCCACCCCCTTCAAGTTTGTTATTGTTACAAATTACATATTTATATATTGTGTACACATTAACCTACATTTATAATTATTTTTTATTTATTTGTCTTTTAAATCTCACAGAAGCTGAAAACTGTTATGAACCAAAATTACAATAATATTGGTTTTTATATTTGACTATGTATTTACCTTTACCTTTAAGGAACTTATATCTTTGTATGGCTCTGAGTTCAGCATCCTTTCATTTCAACTCGAAGGACTCCATTTAGCATTTTTTATAGGGCAGGTCTAGTGGTACAGAAATCCATTAGCTTTTGTTTACCTAGGAATGTATTAATTTCTCCCTCATTTTTGAAGTACATTTGTACTGGGTAGAGTATTCTTGGCAGACAGATTTTTTTTTTTCTTTCAGCACTTCAAATATCATTTCATTCCTTTCTGGTCTCCAAGGTTTCTACTGAGAAATCAGCCTATAATTTATTGAGGATTCTTTGTATTTGATGAGTCACTTCTCCCTTGCTGCTTTCAAGATTCTCTCTTTGGCTTTGACTTTCAACAGTTTAATTATAATATGTTTTGGTGTGGCTCTCTTTGGGTTTATCTCACTTAAAGTTCACTGAGCTGTTTGGATTTGTAATGTTAGGTCTCTCCTCAAACTCGAGACATTTCCAGCTTTAATTTTTCACAAGTAATCCCTCTACACCCTTATCTCTTCTTCTTCTGGAATCTTCTTTTAATGTGCATATTGGTCCATCTTATGGTGTACCAGAAGTTCCTTAAGTTCTACTTGCTTTTCTTCTTTTTTCTTTCTGTTTCTTAGACCTGTTAATTTCTAGTGTCCTATCTACAAGTTTTCTGATTCTTTCCTCTACCTGCTCAAATATACTGTTAAACTCTTTTTGTGAATTCATAATTTCCGTTATTGTATTTTTCAGCTCCAGAATGTCTAATACTTCCTCTTTTTTTTTTTTTTTTTTTTTTTTGAGATGGAGTCTTGCACTTGTCACCCAGGCTGGAGTGCAGTGGTTCAATCTTGGCTCAGTGCAAACTCTGCCTCCCGGATTCAAGCAATTCTCCTGCCTCAGCCTCCTGAGTAGCTGGGATTACAAGAGTGCACCACCACACTCGGCTAATTTTATATTTTTAGTAGAGTTGGGGCTTCACCATGTTGGCCAGGCTGGTCTCGAACTCCTGACCTCAGGTAATCCACCCACCTTGGCCTCCCAAAGTGCTGGGATTACAGGCGTGAGCCACCGCACCTGGCCTACTTCCTTTTTGTAATTTACATCTCTTTGTTCATATTTTTATTTTATTCATATATCATTTTTCTTATTTCCTTGAGTTTTTGGTCCATGTTTTCCTCTAGCTTTTTTTTTTTTTTTTTTTTTTTTTGAGAAAAGGTCTCATTTTCACCCAGGCTGGAGAGCAGTGGTGATCAGGGCTCACTGCAGTTTCAAACTCCTGAGCTCAAGCAGTCCTCCCACCTCAGCCTCCCAAGTAGCTGAGAGTATAGGCATGTGCCTTCGTGCCTGGCTCCTTTAGCTCTTTGAGTGTGTATATATATACATGTACATATACATACATACATACATACGCACACATATATTAGACCCTAATCCTCTATCTCTTTTATGTCACCTATATATTTTTTAGTCTCTTGTTTATGTTATTAATTTTGATGGAGGCAAATTTTTTCATCTTCTCCATTTGGCTCATGTGTGCTAAGACTTAAGAAAAGCCTTGCTGACTCCTACTGTCATAAGTATATTTCTTATATACTTCATTCTGTCATTTGGATTTTTTAAAATTTGCAGTTGAGGTGTCAGTGAAAAATTCAAGTAGAATTATCTAAATGGCAGGGATTGTTTCAGAATGGAGCAGAAATCAAAACCTACACTTGACATACAGATTGAGGGCATCTCAAAATGGAGACTTTAAAACCGTAGACATAGATAAGACTGTCCAGAGAAAACATGTAAAGTTAGAAGTGGGACAGGGATGCAGATCTGAGGTACACTCATACTAACAGAACTGGTTGAACAAAACAATATACAGGAAACCTAAAAGGAATGTCCAGAGAGGCAGGAGGAAAGCCAGGGAATGATGGATAAAAAGAACCAAGTAAGGCAAGCTTTAACAAGGGTTGAGTAGCTACTGCCCTTGACATCAACCCGTTATGATTATGACAACTTCAACCCTTTTTTTTTTTTTTAGACAGGATCTCACTCTGTCACCCAGGCGGGAGTGCAGTGGTGCGATCATGGCTCAGTGCAGCCTTGACCTCCCAGGCTGAAGTGGTCCTTCCACCCCAGCTTCTGAGGTAGCTGGGACTACAGGCACGTGCCACTGCGCTCAGCTAGTTTTGTTTGGTTTTTGTTTTTTGTTTGTTTTGAGACAGAGTTTCACTCTGTTGCCCAGGCTGGAGTTCAGTGGCGTGATCCTGGCTCACTGCAACCTATGCCCCCTGGGTTTGAGCAATTTTTCTGCCTTGGCCTCCCAAGTAGCTGGGATTACAGGCGCCCACCACCACACCCAGCTAATTTTCATGTTTTTAGTGGAGATGGGGTTTCACCATGTTGCCCAGGCTGGTCTCAAACTCCTGAGCTTAAGAGATCTGCCCTCCCCAGCCTCCCAAAGTGCTGGGGTTACAGGTGTGAGCCACCACATCCAGCCTCAACCTATTTTTTAAAAAGAGGTATTGGCCAGGTGTGGTGGCTCACACCTGTAATCCCAGCACTTTGGGAGGCCGAGGCAGGCGGATCACAAGGTCAGGAGATCAAGACCATCCTGGCCAACATGGTGAAACCCCGTCTCTATTAAAAGTACAAAAATTAGCTAGGCGTAGTGGCACACGCAGGAGAATTGCTTGAACCCAGGAGGCAAAGGTTGCAGTGAGCCAGGATTGTGCCACTGCACTACAGTGTGGCGACAGAGCAAGACTCCATCTAAAAAAAAATGAATTATTTACGTTTGTCTTGTTCAAGGTGGTAATAACTTTTTCAAGCAGGTACCAGATCTTACTCACTTTCATATTCCTAGAACTGAATATGTTTCCTGCCCATGGTGCCATCCATCCATCCAACAGAGTGAAATCTATAAATCTACTAATTAACCTATAAAGGTTTGTTGAATGAATATTTTTTAAATCTTTCTTTCTTTAAGTCAATATATCAAAGCAAATCTTACCACTAAGAACTTTGAGAAAGTACTGTGACCTTTATGGCCAGCTCTATAACTAAAGCTGGAGAATTGGCTTCCAGTTCTTCCATTAGTCTTGGCCTTTAACATACTAACATGGCATCCATGAAGGTGCAACTTTAGGAGAAACGTGGGGTTTTACCTGCTGATTTGAGAAGAATTGGAAGTATGTTCGCAAACACCAACAACTCTTTAATGTACCCTTTAACTACCTTGGAGACTTTACATTGGTCCTTGTTCTCCTGACATTACTTATTTTGTGGATTTATTAAGCACCTTTTCTTGAACTGTCAATCTGTAAATTGTCTGTAAAATTTAGTCCAGAGGGTAAAGGAATGGAATTATTCATAAGATAGTTTCTACCTCAGCTCATGGCGAAATTACTCACTCAGGGTATAATTAAGTCGTAGACACACTGGCCCAAAAGTGGATAGAAGGGAAACGGAAATAATTCCTGTTCCAATTTGGGTGCTTTCTGATGTTTGACAAGTATCTAGTGTATTCTCAAAGATAGGGGACCCTAGGGTCCCCATAAAGGGAAGAGAGGTGAGTTGTGTTTTTTTGTTTTGTTTTGTTTTTTCAGAGAATTGGAGAATAACTGGCTGGGGAGGGGAGGGAAGGGATAAGCAGAGTTTAAAAACCTTAGGGTTGTAAACAGGATGACAAGAGTGAAATCTGATAGGTAAGGTGTAAAGTTGGAGCCTGAGCGAGGCAAAGGCAGCCAAAAGAAGGGCTCAGGTGAGTGGTTCTAGAGCAGTGGTCCCCAACCTTTTTGGCACCAGGGACGGGTTTCGTGGAAGACAATTTTTCCATGGATATAGGGGTGAGGGAGATGGTTTCAGGATGATTCAAGTGCATTACACTTATTGTGCACTTCATTTCTATTGTTATTACATTGTAATATATAATGAAATCATTATATAACTCACCATATTGTAGAATCAGTGGAAGCCCTGAGCTTGTTTTCCTGCAACTAGATAGTCCCATCTGGGGGTGATGGAAGACAGTGACACGTCATCAGGCATTAGATTCTCATAAGGAGCATGCAACCTATATATCTAGCATGTGCAGTTCACAATAGGGTTCTTACTCCTATGAGAATCTAATGCCACTGCTGATCTGACAGGAGGTAGAGCTCAGACGGTAATGCAAGTGATGGAGAGTGGCTGTAAATACAGGTGAAGCTTCACTCACTCACCCACTGCTCACCTCCTGCTATGCAGCCAGGTTCCTAAGAGGCCACAGACTGGTATTGGTCTGTGGCCCAGGGTTTGGGGACCCCTGTTCTAGACTGAGCAGGCACAGGGCATGCATGTGCCAGGGGTGCTGCAGGTGCCAGGCCAGACCACCGGCAGGCAGACCTCCCCACCACAATCAGAAGTCCTGACAGAGCTTTATTGGCTATCCCCTTTGTCTGCTCATACTATTCTGTAGTGATTGTGTGCGGGACATGGCCTGCTGAATGTACATTCCACCCAATGAAATACAAACACTCAGATATTGCAGACAAAGTAAAATTTATTGAGACAGACAGAAATGCACCTACTCAGGACTACAGTTAAGCATTTACTATTAACCAAAGAGTTGTGTTCACATTCCAGATAAGTCTACGTGGAAAAGCATTCAGAATTTACTAGGTTTTTGCTACATCACTATTTCATCTACAATAGGGACAACAAACTGACACTCAGGATTTGATGGGCTCTCATTACAATGCTATACATTTAACAGGAACAAACATCAGTGACTTTGAGAAAAAGTTATAAAAAGACCAAAACCACCCACTGTAGAATGGGCTCTTGGATGTTACTGTACAGCGTGGTCAAGGTAACAAGAAGAAAAAAATGTGAGTGGCATCCTGGGATGAGCAGGGGGACAGACCTGGACAGACACGTTGTCATTTGCTGCTGTGGGTAGGAAAATGGGCGTAAAGGAGGAGAAACAGATACAAAATCTCCAACTCAGTATTAAGGTATTCTCATGCCTAGAATATTGGTAGAAACAAGAATACATTCATATGGCAAATAACTAACCATGGTGGAACAAAATTCTGGGATTTAAGTTGGATACCAAGGAAATTGTATTAAAAGAGCTGTTCATGGAATAAGAATAAAACTGTTCATTAAGAACTTTTCAAAAGTGAATTAGTGAGGATTCAGCTTAATACCTGTATCAAATGAGGAAGTGGTTTATTACAATATTTTTATAATCAGTATTTTATGTGTACTTGGTCACTATACAAGTGACTTCTTGTCACTGGTACAAGTGGACTTTTTGGAGGACTATTTCCAAGAAGAAGAAAGCAAACATTCTACTTCTAAGGATAAGGTAACTCATTACAATCTTTAGTACTCATGGAAAGTATTAAAGATCTTTAAAAAAATCGAATGCTGTCATGTCAAAGTGAGGCATGAAAAGTATTATTAATGTGGCTCCATCGATTTGGGGGTTCCAATCTGAGGAGGGCTTTTTATTTAATGTTTTAATGAATCAAAATATCTTCTTAGAATGTCTCTGAAAATGGCATCTCATTACCTTACTGGGAACTGTCTATTGAGCACTCTTCTCCATCATTAAGTTAATGCTAAGGATCTTTAAGTGTCATCTTAATTTGATACTTGTCATAAGATAATTAGGCAAATTAAAATCAGTGGTTCACCCTGTTCCTAGAAGTTTTTCTAAGTGAAATCAATTTTTCAATTTTAATTTGTTCTCTTGTACATTTTCCTAAGCTCAAAGGAGATAGTAACAATGGTTTTCTTTGATGATCTAAAGTGAGATTTTACAATGTCGTGATTTTTAATATACTTCATAGTAATTTTATTGCAATTAAGCACCTGTTTTCTAAATTATCTCAGTTTTGTTCAAGAGAGAAAAAAAATATTGAAACAAAGGTGATGGAGTTGAGATCCCAAAACAGAGTTTGCCTATGGTCTGTCTTCCTATGGGGAAAGTAAGTACAAAACCTCAGGGTTATTTACGAAGCCAAAGGACTTTGCTATATCAAGTAGTTCATTTCTTATCTAAGACCAACTATAGGTATGATGCTACTGTATTCAGGCAATGCCGACTGGATTGGAACATGCTAATTTAAGGTGAGTTGGTACATCTAAATGGTCAATTTGGGATGGGGGATTGGTCAGCTGCCACTATAATCATGTTTTGGCTGAACATATTTCTTGCTTGAGTTTATGTGGCTTTTGTGTGGACAGGCTGAAGTTCATGGGGGAAGGCAAGAGATAGATATGTGGGCCAGAGAGGCTTGCTTGGGTGGCTGATTCTGATTAGGACACCCTGATAAATGAAAATCAGTGGCGGACAGTAGCTTATAGACTGGTACTGAAGGAAATGGGGGAACTTCAGAGACTACTGTTTGGTACTTGTATCTGGGCCAGCTTGATAGGGAGAGAAATCCTAAGGAATGTAGAGATGATGACCCTACCAAATTTGGAACTAGACTCCAATGAGTTTAGTTAAAACAAACACTATGGTGAAGAACTTTCTTCATTAGTATCTTGTCACTTGGGGGAGTGAGGGGGGGACAGAATTTGCTCTTAAAAACCCAGGGTTTGCTTCCATGTGTTATTACGATGTTCTTTGTAGGCCTCCATTTGGGATTGAGTGGTTAAAAAAAAAAATCTGTACAGCTTTTGTGCCCTTATCATGATTTGTCAGTAGAAAGGGAGTAAAAGCAAAACATTGAGTTCAGAATTAGAAATTTTCTTCTTTTAAGGAACACCATGGTACTCTCAGAGAACAGGAGATATGTGTGCATGCCTTAGAAAAAGCCCTTGAGTAGGTAAGGAAGGAAGAAACCTATGGCAGACAGGATTGCTGCAGCCAAGGGGCTTCAAGCAGAAATGAAAGAGATGGCTTGTGAAGCTGCCCGTGTCGTGTGGGAGTCGCATGGCTTCTGCGAGAAAAGTGATTTAGGCAGACGGAGGTTTTTTCTCAATCAGAGGCTTTCAGTAACTCTGCTGATGCACAGAGAAGAGACTTCCTCAGCCTGCAGGCTACAAGAGCCAACTGTTAGTGCAAAAAAGGACTTTAATACAAATTTCTTATTCCAGAAATTTTGTTCCAGGTCTGGACAAGCTGAGAAATTTATCATTGTTTTTCGAGTTTTTAAGATACCCAAACACTTTTTCTGAGAGGTATGGGTGTGTGTGCAAGGCACACACATACAGTCTTTCTGTACATGCATGCATATTTATGCATGTACAGGGAAGTATCCAGACACCAATTTTTAATAAAATGAATTCCCCAAAGGGAGTCTTGACTGAATTAAGGCTGTTGTTTATAGGAAGCCAGATATAATGATGTGAAAAAAACTAATTTTTAATAATAATCACCGGCAGTAACGGGGGCAGGGGGAAAAAGTACAGTGTGGTGTATTTTTTGTTTTTTTCTTTTTCACAACATCTACAGGACACAAGAGAAGCACTTAGACACTGTAAGGCTGGGAACCATGCTGTAATAACCACCAGTGTGGGTAATCAAAAAGGGTCTTTGACATTTAAGAGGGTTGGGGCTCCCTGCACTGTCAGAATTCCACGTAAATCACATGCTTGTTGGAAAAATCTCACAGAAAGGAAGGAGGCTCTAATTAAGCCAATGACTTCCCTATCCAAAAAATAAACAACAACAAAAAAAAAACACAACACCCTTTCTCCCATACAAACATATGCAAAATCAGAATCCTCTGGGAACAAGCAGTTGTCTTCCAAACCTTAGGTCGGGTATAGAGAGCAACAATGGAGAAGAGACCTTGGTGCCTTGGAGTCTTAGATACAAATGCAGGAATAGGAAGTGACTTGCAATTTTGTGCAAAACTTGTGTCCTCTTTCTTGTGGGCACTACCATATGTACCCGACCTCATCCTCTTTGTCATCATCCTCATCCTCATCATCCTCTGTCACGGCTCGGGTGTGCACCCTCAGCTTCCCCTCTTTGTCCTTTGGTCCCAGCTCCCGTTCATATTCTAGGTCATCCAGCAGGACCACGGACCCACCACTGCCAAAATCCCCTGAGGTTTCCTGCTCCTCTTCTGAAAGATTAAAAAAAGCATTGAGGTTAGTTTCCACTTATACCTCATGACCCACGTCAGGGGTTCCTTTGCCTGAATTGTAGGGTAAAACCAAGCAGTTTACTTTCTGAAAACAGAAACATCCCTGCCCCACTGAGGTGAGTCTTCAGGGCATACATTACAAACTTTGTTCTCGTAAGAGCCCTAGAATTCTTGAGATGCTCCTACCTTCCCAGGAGGTTTACAACCCTAAATGAGAAGTGAAGGCAGCCTAAGTCACCCTTTGTCTGCAGCAGTTCTGTCTCTCTTCTCTGGTCATAGTGAGTTCCTGCCACTTGCCAAGCTAGCTACACGGGAGCTCATGTGATTTCAGGGTTACTATGCCTCTATTATAAACTTAATGTATACTGGAGTTACCTCTCAACATTCTTCTGCAGAGATCCTTATGCAGTGAGGAACCACAGGCCACCCAGGTCATTGTGGGGCTCATGCAGGAGGCCTTACTCACCACAGCTCACAGCACCCTGTTTCCTGGAGCCAGCCAACTCATTCCCATATTTGTCCACACACCAGCACTGCCCCGTGCTGCCGTGGCACTGTGTGGCTTTGTAATAGCCCTCCTCATTACACCGAGGTATGAAGGCCCCTGGGGGAACAAAAGGTGCAACTTTAATCAGAGACATGCAGATGATACTCGGGGTTAATGCCCGTCAACACAGGGAAGAGGGCTCACATGTCAGAATATCTGCTGCAGGGTCAGCAGCAGAGGATGGGGATGGTTGGCTATTAGTCAAAATTACAGGGCCCTTAACCTTTAGAGGCCCAAACGCGATGAGCTCTAAGGATGTCAGTGTTTAAACGGGAATGATAATAGCTATCATGTATTGAATACTTCTATTCTGGGCACTGACCTAAATCGTGCTTACATATGTATGTGTATATATACATACATTTGCAGAATCTCTTATTCCCACAACTCTAAGAGATACATACCATCATTACCTTTTAATATGAAACTGATGTCTAGGAAAATTAAGTAATCTTCCCAAGGCATCTGCTAGTAAATATCAAGTCCAGCATTACCAATACTTTGCCCAACCACATAAAGTGACTCCGTGAAATTGTTATAAAACTTTCTATACGCATTAACTACTGCACTTGGTTCTGACTAGTAACAAATGTTCTATGAACAACACCAGTCTGTGGATCATATGGTTCCAAGCTATTCCTTGTCACTGTCTTCCAGCCTCTAAGAAAGAGGTAATTAATAATAGCTAAGTGCTTTACTTGCATTATTTCATCAAGCCATGCCAATATCACCATAAGGTGTTGCTATTACTATCTCCCTGTTTGCAGGCAAAAAAAAAAAAAAAAAGTGATAAACTGGAGTTAATTTGCCCAATGTTAAGCAAAATTCCTTCTTTGATTAGTTCTAATTTTTCACTTTAAATCTTGAATGGGTACTACTGATATTACATTTTTAATGTGAGAAAATCATATGGTTTTTATGCTTTATATACTTTTAACAAGATGGATTACTAGTGGCACAAATTTACAAGTATGTTACTAAGTGATTGATATGGTTTGGCTGTGTCCCCACCCAAATCTCATCTTGAATTGTAGCTCTCATAATTCCCACGTGTTGTGGGAGGGACCCTGTGGGAGGTAATTGAACAGGAGGTAATTGAATCATGGGGGCGAGTTTTTCCCATGCTGTTCTTATGATAGTGAATAAGTCTCACAAGATCTGATAGTTTTGTAAAGGGCAGTTCCTCTGCACACGCTCTCTTGCCTTCCGCCATGATTGTGAGGCCTCCCCAGCCATGTGGAACTGTGAGTCCATTAAACCTCTTTTTCTTTACCCAGTCTCAGGTCTATTTCTTCATAGCAGTGTGAAAATGGACTAATACAGTGATTGAGGCATATAATTTTGTTTTGGTGTTTTCTGCATTGTTTCTTTTGAAGTTCCTAATTCATAAAATGATTCAGATATGCTCTAGAGATTTTTTTATAAAATGAGAATCTCTTTTTTGAAGAATTTGCCCATAAAAATATCTTGAGCCTGGTGCTCATTTTGAGGGATGAAAGTAGCATTTTGATTAATTTCCTGGTTTTGATTTTGGTTTTGATTTACCTGGGTCTTCTGTTATCAAAATTTGGTAACTGATAGTATCCATTTCAACTAGGTTTTCATAATTGTTATAAATTGACTTATAGCAGTGGTTCTCAAAGTGAGGTTCCAGGACAAGCAGCAGTGGCACCACATGGAAAACCCTTAGAAATGCAAGTTCTTGGGCCCCACCTGAGACTTAGAGAGTGGGGCTGAGCAGTCTGTTCATTTATTTAATCCTCCAGCTAATTCTGGTATATACTAAAGTTTGAGAACCACAAGTTTACAGTATTCTTCTATAACTGAGCTTATATCCCACTTTTAAATTCATGACACTATTTGAGCCTTTTTACTTCTTCATATTGTCAAAGGTTTGTCTATTTCATTTGTTCAGAAAACTATCTCTGATATGGTATTTTAATATTTTTACTTCACTGTTGTCTGCTTTCATCTTATTCACTTTGTGTTGTTCCTATAGTTTAAGTTACATCTAGTTAATTTTATTTTGATCCTTTTTTATAAATGCATTTGACGCTATGAAGTTTCACTTAGTTGCTTCCCATGTATTTGGTACACCATGCTTTCATTTTCTTTCATTTCTAGATATTTTGTAGATTTTTCTTTCTTCATCTTTGATCAATTTTTATTCATGAAACCAAATGTATGGGGGTTTAGTAATCTCATATTTTACTTCTATTGGTATTGTGTTGTGGCCGGTAAGTTTGATCTGTGATCATTTATTTGAAATTTGTTTTCTTCTGTGGTACGGTCTGTGGCAGATGTTTGAAAGACTACATTCAATGCCTAGATTCAGGAATACATATATAAGCATGAATGCTAACAAATCTTAGTCTACTTGAACTGTAGGTTTCAGGAAGTGGTATGTCAAAGTTTCTGAAAACCACTGTGGCTATAATTCGCCCTTACAGTTCTATTCCATTTTAAGTTATGAGTATAGTCATGTGCCACATAATGATGTTTTAGTCAACAATAGACTGTATATGTGACAATGGTTCCATAACATTATAACACCATATTTTCACTAGCCTTTTCTATGTTTAGATATAAAAATAATTCCCATTGTGTTACAATTGCCTGTAGTATTCAGTACGATAAAATGGTGTACAGGTTTATACCTAGGAGCAATAGGCTATACCATCTAGGTCTGTGTGAGTATACTCTATGATGTTTACACAATGACAAAGTCACCTAATGACACATTTCTCAGAACCTATCCCTGTCATTAAGCAAGGCATGTCTATAGAGCAACTGATGGCATAATATGGTAAAAGGGATATTTCAGCGAGATGATTGCATTATAAAAAACAGATTTGCTTTGTCAGATATTAATGTTGTTTAAAAAAGAGTATTTACCCTCATTTAATTTCAACTTTCTGTGGAATTATTTTTGTATAACTCTCCTTTAAAATACTAATCAATAATAATAAATGTGTTTGACCTGTTCACATTTATTGTGATTACAGATATTGTGATTACAGAAATGCTTACTCTTATTTCTGCCACCATATCTGTTTCCTACTTACTAAGTTTTCTTTATACCTTGTCTTTTTTCCATAGGTTTAAAACATATATTCTAATATTCTTGTGGTTACTCATATTTTCCACAGGGGAACATAGTTTTTCCTAGTAAAATCTACAGTTAATCTATACAGATTTTTTTTTTCATGAACAAACTAGAAGCTTAACACATTCTTACCACCTTTTTCTCACTTCCCCCAATTGTCTGGAATTTTAATTCCAGGTTGCCATATAACTATTTTTATTGGTCTTAGCAGAATTGTCATTTCTTTTTCATTATTGCATCTGAATAGTTCTTTCTGGGATCATTTGTTTGGTAGAATAAATCCTTTAGTGATATTTAAGTGAGTCTGGGGTTAGTAAGCTGACTGAATCTTAGATGGTTTCAGAGTACCAGAGTACCTCTGTCATCACACTTGAATGATCACTGGGATAAATTTTAAATTGTAGGTTCATAATTATTTCCCCTTGGCACTTTGAAGATACTGATTCTCATTGTACTGTGGGTAATCTTTATTTATAATAGTTTTTAGTTTTGGTTTTCCTTACAGGGTAGGTGTGTTTCTTGATAGTGTGCATCTTCTATGGAAGAATTCTTCCTCTTTGTGTAACCTGGGTGGTAACACCATCTACATCAGCCTCCTGAAAACAGAGGTTCCTGCCTTCCACTGTAGCTTTCTATGCCCTAATTTAATTTCTGATTTTGTGAGCGTGCTTACATTTTCAAATTTGCCTTTTATTTAGTGGAACAATCCCAGAATAAAAGTGTGGCATGGGAGGGACAGATTTCTCCTATTTTGAACCAAGACTTCAACCCAGACCCAGGTGACTCTAGGGTCTAGTCTAGAACATGCTACTCACCAGGCTATACCAAGATGATCATATTCTCAGAGATTAAATGAGACCATGGAACACCATGTCTATCACTTAGGAAAGGCTGCTGATGCCACAGTTAGAAGCTTAGTGGTATCCACCCTCTCATTAAGGAGTGTACGCCATTGCATGCTATCAGTTTTCAAAGAACAGTAGATAGAAAAGAAGGAAAATGTAGATGCGGTCAGTAGCCCAAAAAGAGATTTGTGAACAGATTCTCAATCAAGGACTGCAGAGAAAGTGAACATGTAGAGAGCTGGCTCCTCCTTGGACCAAAAAAAAAAAAAAAATGGGCTGAGGCCCTGGGTTGGTAAGAAGCAGGTGCTGCTCTAAAACTACAATGCAATAATTATAGCTGATAATAATTTGTTGATTGTTTTATTTATTTGACTCTGTATACCCCTGACTACATAAAGAATTTGTAAGCAAATGGCATTTTTTCTGAGTCAGCTGGAGTAATCTCCATATGTGGGAAATGTGATAAAGCAAGCTTTAAAACAAAATGGGATTTATTTTAACAGAAAGGTAGGCATTTCATTCATGTGCACTGGGGTAAATGAGACATCTTATCACAGGTGACCCTTACCAATGAGGCAATGTATGTTTTAATAAACAGCAATGTACTAATTCTACAACTACCTGCAGATCATAGGTACGTCACTCAAAATAATATCCCACATGGAGAAATGAGATCAATAAACAAACACAAGTCTTTGCACTAGAAAATCCTATGGAGGAGGGATCCAGCCACTTTGCCTTCAGACCAGAAATATATCTTTATGTCCTTTTACTCAGCAGAAGAATGTAGGCCTAAAGAGTTCGAAATCCTGACAACTTTGGGGAAGTCTACATGCATTTTGAAATAACTCAAAAAATCCTAAGAGAAGAAAATCACCGGAATTCATAGACTGCCTACATTTGACAATCTGCAAGAAAACTTGCCCATTTCCTTCTCTATTCATTTCCTTCAAATGAATAGAGAAACTTCTGAAATGGCAGGCTGCTTGGGGAATGCATCTGCCTCTGAATGCTTCACGGGAATAATTCTGTATTACTGTGTTGCAGCTGACACCTCTTTTTTTAAAAGCAAGGAAAGCAAAGCAGGCTCCTCCTTTCTTCAGCAAACCAATGAGAATGGCCAGTGTTTCTATGACAAATGCCAGGACTTCCTCCACGTGCTGGAGAAAGGCAGGCTTGGAGCTAAAGGGGACACTTTGAGAGGACTGCAAGTTGTGCATGTTAGGGGAACACACATTCACTCAACCCACTTGCTTCCGTGGTGTCCAAACAGCCTGCATACTTTCCTGGAGGGATTAGGTGAAGGTAGAAATAGGCTTAAGCACATACATGTCGTTCAACCCTGTTTGATAAATTCTGAAGAGAGTACAGCCCATCTGCCTCCTTCAACAGACAATCCTATCCGGGGAATGGAGGAAATGCTATAATTTTTAGACCTTATAGTTTGAGCACTTGAGAGCACCATTCAATGATCTTACTTAGAAAAAGCCAAGATTTGTTTTAGCCTAAGATCAGGGAGGAGTTAGCAGTGGGGAAGGTGCTGGACTTCGGCCCTGGCTGACCTCTCTTCCTGCCGAAGGAACACACAGCAGTTTTCAACCAGCCAGTCCTCTGTTTATGTCCAGCTGCCTGGAAGAGCTCTGCCTGGGGTTAAAACAAGGCATTTCTTTCATGAAACACTAGCCCTAATTGAATAACCATTGCCATGCTGATCATTACAAGGGACATGGCTGGCTTAATTAGTTGTTTAAATGAGTGGCAAGAAATTGTACTTACCCAACAGGCTTTTCCCCTTACTCAGCTTCTGAATTCTGTTCATTTCATTCTGGCAAGGGAGACCTAAAAAATAATTTCTGAAAGTCAGCTTCCAGATGGTATGGAGTATAATCGCTAATGATTGACTTCACTCTTGATGTGAAATGTAGACAATGACACACCTGGGAGTGGAATTGTTCCATATGCTGTTACTATGCAAGAAAACAAATTCGGGCCATTAGTGTTACTAGTTAAAAAACAAACCTCATACCACAATGCACTTAAAATAGTATTTGGGGGCCACTTGCATTGCATAGAAATTTTTCTTTCTAGTACCAACTCAAGCAAATACCAAGTATCTAATAGGTGGTGTAATGGACTTTTTCCTTTCTATCAGGAAGCAAGTAATCAGCCAAGGCTTATTAGTGGGGAAGTGTTCTGAATCCACAGACGAACTAACCAGAGGTGACAAATACTTATATAGCCTAGGTTTTCCTGTAGGAAAGGATGGATAGGAATGGTTACTTCAGACCTCACCACCCCCAGGAAAGTAAAATAGGCTTTGAGGGACAACTATGAAGATACAGAAGAGATCTGGAGAAGCACTGATGAGACTTTGTATCTAGGCTCTGCCACCTCCTAGCTGAATTCACCTGTCCCAGCCTCTGGGTCCTCAGCGGCAAAATGCATGTCATAGAAAAGAAGTTAGTTTCATTCTAAGCAAAATGAAAAGTGACCTCATTCATTCTTCAGAGTTTTACCATGATTTGCCTTTGCAGACCTTGTGGCTCTGGGAGTTCTGCTATTTGTTCATGGTTCATCCTGTCCTTGGCAGAGGAGTTCTGGTTCTCTGAGTTCTTATCTTTGGCTGATACTGCCTCTTTCTGCAGGCCCCACACTTGCATATAAAGTATCTAAGCAACCATTTACAACTCTTACCCTGTAGACTGCACAATGCTACCTGGTCTTGCTGCTTGTTCCATGAGAGAAACTGCTTGTAAAATACATTTTGTTGACTTCTTGTTTTAAGATGCTTTCAGAGTAAAGGAGAAACAAATTTCATCTGGATTATAAAAGGTAGCATTTCCTGGATGCTGTGCCACAGGAAGGGGTTCTGGCTTTCAGCAACTGCAAGAGTAAGGGCAGTCTATCCAGAGATGTCCCATGTGGCCAGGTGACCAGCTCTGGCACTGTTACCTCCAGGCAAGCATTAACACATAGGCTCTGTGTTGTAAGGAAACCATGCTAAAAATCACATGTTACAATACGAACTCAAACCTAAAACTATCACTAGTCTTAATGCTGAGAATCACTACAAGTATTTACACTACTAAAATTTTTAAATGGCTATTATCTTAACATTGATTTTAGGTACTAACAGATGTAATTAGAAAAGAAAAATGAGGTATAAAAATTGAAAATGAAGAGAAAAATTATCACTATTTGCAGATGATATGATTGCACACCCGAAAAATCTAAGCAAACCAACCAGAATAACTTAGAAACAAAGCAAGATTTTAGTAAGGTGGTTGAGAACAAAATTAATGTTGAAACCACCAGGGAGGGAATATAGTGCAAAAAAACACCTATTTCAGTTACAATGGTAGCAATAATAAATACAAGGGAAGTATAATAATTGTTAGAACAAAATTTCAAAATTAACACCATGGGTTGATAGATCCTGTTCTAAAACAAAATGATTCCATATTATACAGCTATTGATTTTTATTTGATTAATTTTTCCTGA
The DNA here is from genome assembly GCF_000001405.40 of Homo sapiens. Taxonomy (NCBI): domain Eukaryota; kingdom Metazoa; phylum Chordata; class Mammalia; order Primates; family Hominidae; genus Homo; species Homo sapiens. The sequence goes on from NC_000005.10 coordinate 136,986,866, forward strand.
TACTTAAAAATTACCAATAGGAATTGTTTTTAATTGGATAAACTGATGCTAAAGTTCACACAGGGAAAGAAACATACTAATATCCAGGAAAATTCTAGAAAAACAGTAATGGCAGCAAAGGACAGTTCTACCAGGTAGTAAAACATATTGTAAAACAACTGTGATTTAAAAGTCTAAAACTGATTTATTTTATATATATATATATAGCAACTGGATGACCATCTCCAGGGAGGCTGGGAGCCTACTTGACTGTGTAATACACAATCTAGACTGATACAGAATTTAAGTGAACAGCAAAAAAGATAAAGTGAGAAATACCTTTCTAAGCTTTATGGCTTCTTAGAAGCCATAAAATACAGAGAAGCTTGGCTATCTTAAAATTTCTCCCTAACAAAAATGCATGAACTGTAATTTGGGAAAAAATATTTACAATACCTATGACCAGAAAAGTTCCAATTTCCTTAAAAAACAAACACACAAGAACCTGATAGAAAAAATATACAAAGAACATATAGACATTTCCAGAATGTTTCATTTGTACAGATGTTCAACCTAACTCATAAATCAAGAAGCTTGGTAACGCCATAGAGAATAGGTATTCTCATATATCTTTGGTGAAAGTAAAAATTGTTACCACCTCTTTGGAGGTGAGGTCAATTGCTCAAATTTTAAAAGGCACATGCCTTTTGACTAGTAATTTTAAGAACATATCTTGAAATCCCATACACACATACTTACCTTTCACTGAATACCCACGTTTTTTGTTGTGTGTGTATTGTCTATGCATACATAACTTAAATACTTTCATATTAGCAGCCATCCTCCTTTCCTGGCGGTGGGATATACCAGCTATGCCTGTAGTTGTATGTTCTCCCGATGTGGGCCTGTCTCTTCTGGTCCCATTAACTGTGACTGCCATACTCAGGTGCACCCCCCAGACAGAGGGAGGTAAAGTCAGGGCACCTGCCACTGGCTTCCTGTCCTTAATCTGAATCCCCCAGCAGGCCAACCTGTCTGACTTTGGGTTATATGAAATATCCTGGTATCTTTTCTTCTATTCCCCAAATCTTGCCTCTTTTTTTCATTAGCTGGAGTTTATTTATAACCAAAATATTCTTGTCTAGGACACTTAGTATAAATCTGAACTTATCCTAGAGAAACTGACAAGTGACTTTCTCAATGAGAATGATTTTCATTGTCTCTTACATTTTTAAGGTATTTTTTACATTGAGAGCTCACAGTGACCTTTGGATTATGTCATGAAGGTTTCTATACCCATTGTATAGATGAAAATACGGACAGTTGAGAGACTTCCCCAAAGGGAGGAACAGACAGAAGTAACTGACTACTTGATTTATACTCTTGGTTTTTCTAGTATACCACATTAAAAGCAGAAATAAACTGGAAGAAATGAGACTTTGGGCCTGGCATTAAATGGAATGAATTATTTATTCTCTGGCTGTGGCTCTCTGCCCAATTCATAGTCATACGCAGTCCTCCTCTGCTCCAGCAAGGCTGCCCTGGGCTAGGGACCCCAACCCTCCATCCCACCTTACCTCCAGGCTTCTGGAAGCAGTAGCACCACTCATTGTTAGAAAGCTTGCCATCCTTGAAGGAGTCACACGAGTTGAAAAGAGGCTTGATACAGGGCTCGTACTTATCCAGGTAGATGGCATTGATCTCTGAAGGGTCAAGCAGGAGGTCATAGTTCATGTCCAACTTGTTGAACATCCAGCCCAGGGAGTCCTTGCAGATGGGCAGGATGCTAGTGTCAAACCCTGCCAAACAAAAGGCATATCTCAGCTGCCACCAAGCCTGATGCTTTCCTCCCTGCTCACTCCCCAGCTTTCTGCCCCAAGAAGATGCCAAGGCCCACCTGACTCCCTTCCTGAGGCTGTTTCCTTCCCAGCATACAGATTTAGTGGTTCTCTAGAATATTTTGTGTTTTTTTGTTTTGTTTTTAAGTGAAATGGTTTAAAAGTCATCATTTGAGGAAAATATGTTCTAAAGGGGAAAAATCCCCAATGTTAACATATCTGTGATATAAATATGTGTTTTCATTTGCTTAAAATGGGGTGTGCCTGAAAGAAATAATAGAAACATGGTGAGTGAGAGGTATAGCTTATGGTACCAAAAACTATGCTTTCGTATTTCAAAAAATACTGGAAAACCAAAATAAAATATTTTTAAAAGGATAGCAGTGAAATGAAACAACATAGCATAATCCAGAAGCACCGCTTGCATCCCAGAGGACCTTTAAATCCAAGCAGTCTGAATGTTAATGGCAAAACAAGCCAGGTGCCTGCCTCTGTTCCCCACTCTTCTCTTCTGCAATCCCCTAAGGAGATCCATGAGATGGAATCCAAATCAACTCAGACAATAATTTCTTTCTTATTTCCCTGGGGGAGAAGAAGTTGTTTTCTTAAAGAATTATTTGTTTCCACAATGGAAAGTGTATGCACTAAAATAATAACACTTAGCTCAACACTCGGGATATTGAGTCTACTGTAGACATGTCCCAGATTTAAAACTCAACTTTTTTCAGAATCAAAGGTCCCGTGCAATCTCAGGTTATTCCATAAACTGGATTTCTAGGGCTAGTTGTATTTTTCTGGAATACCCCAATGATAAAAGTGAACGTCTGTTGCTATATAGAAAGCATGCTTCTAAGCACTTTGTACTTAATTTTCTCACTGAATCCTTGTAACAGTCCTATGAAATGGTGCTATATCATTCCCACTGTACAGATGAAAAAATAAGGCTCAAGGTCATACAATTGTAGAATGGAGATTCAGACCCCGGCAAGCTTAATCCAGAATCTACATATTCTCAATGACACCTCTGCTAGCCTTCTGCCTGACTTGATCTTCCTGTCCTGAGGCCATCCAGTTGGCCTAGAGTGTCACGTTTAGGGATGGGCAGTGCAAGGGGGGGCCTGATGGGGTCAGTTGCCCATCATTAAGCATTAATGACAGCCTGGTCATTAAGTTTCTATGTGAATCACTAGGAACCCTTTCTTAGTGAAATGTAGAATACAGCAAAATGTACCCACTCTTTTTTTTTGAGACAGAGTCTCACCCTGTTGCCCAAGCTGGAGTGCAGTGGCACCATCTCGGCTCACTGCAAGCTCTGCCTCCCGGGTTCGCACCATTCTCCTGCCTAGCCTCCTGAGTGGCTGGGACTACAGGTGCCCGCCACCATGCCCAGCTAATTTTTTTGTATTTTTAGTAGAGACAGGGTTTCACCGTGTTAGCCAGGATGGTCTCGATCTCCTGACCTCGTGATCCACCTGTCTTGGCCTCCCAAAGTACTGGGATTACAAGCTTGAGCCACCGCCCTCGGCCCTGTACCCACTCTTTAAAGCAGCATCTTTGCAGAAAAGTCTTCACTGTCTAGAAGCCAGTAAAATAAGTACAGCATCTCCTCCTCTGAGCTCTCTTATAACCCTATGCTTCCCCTCATTGTCCATGCTTGTTAATCAAACTATAGGCTCCCTGAGGGAAAAGACTGTCTTGTCCCCTTCAGCAGCCTCAGGCATGACAGGAATATAGTGCTCAATTAAAAAAAAAAAAAAATGTTGGGAGACGTTTTCTAGCTATTGTAAACTCTATTGCTTTAAAACATAAAATCTTTCCATTTTTAAATTTATTCAATATCTTAGAACACATTTTAAAATACCCACCCCCCTCTTTTTTTTTTTCCAGAAGAGAGGCTACGGGACATAACGTGGCCCCTTCTTTGATCGAATGTCATGATTGTCAATAGTCTTTGATGATGCTGTCCCTCAGGGGCTGCTGAATGAGAGATAATTTACTTTGGCACTACACAGCTCTATGCTTTTGTAAACAATATTTTACATACATCAATTTTATAGGATATCGATATTTTAATGCATAAGGCAAGAGGAGTTTACTGCTGACTGGTCGGCAAAAAGAAGTGCCAATCTGGTTGGGCAGTAGTCAAAAAGTCAAGCGCAGCCCACCCTACCACTACTAGAAAAGGAGTGCCTGCATCTTGACATCTGTGGTTGCCTGTCATGCAGGAGAAAGGAGAGCAGCCCTTCTAGTTGGCCCCAAGAGTGCAGGGACCAAGCAGGGTTCCAGGGCTTCCCCTTCAGAACTCCTAGACTCAAATGCCGCTCACTCCTCTGGCCTTCTGGGCTAACCAACATCATGCTTTAACATTCCCTTCACTCCAGTTGCTTCAGGATATCAAACCTAAAAGCCTCTTAGGGGACTCAATTTGCTTTTGGGCAAAGGCAGGTCTTCTGGAGAAATCTCCAGAGACTGGAGGCTGCAAGCAGCTGCTCTCCTCACATCAATCTGCTTTTGTTGATAGGTTGTTCAGAAAACCCAAGGGTCAGGCTGCTCCTAGAGGATCCAGGGGAAAAAAAATCTTATTTTGCTTTTCCAACAGACCCAACCACCAAGAACCCCACCAAGAACCACTTTGGAGACACTTAAATGCTATTTTTTTCTTAAGGTAAAAGATCCCAACTACTAAAATAATTGTCCCCTGGATTGATGTTCTCCACTGATATCTCTAGAAGGCTATGAGCAGCCAAAAATAACTAAAAATTAAGAAGATCATTTTTGTTTTGGCTGAAAACCAGATGCTAGTCAAACTCGGGATCTCAACAGTTGCTACTCTAACTAACTTCTTACCTACTGCATTCAATCCAGGAGCATTACTTTCAGAAATTCCAAACAAGCAGGGGATCAGGTGAAATGCTGTTTTAAATGATGTGTTTTTATATTTTGACCAAATAATATCAGAATGGCTACATAGAGAAGGCTGTGGCCAAACTACATATATCAAATAATTGTGTTTAGTAATCTATTCTGTGCTCATTGGCCACAGTGTGGAGAAGCCTATACCTAACTGCCTTTGAATTAAAGGCATCAAAGAGACTCCATTGATGTGCAAATGTGAGGACCCACTCTGAGTGTTCTCTGCAGCTTATGACAAAACTGAGTATGGTCTCTGCCAACTCAGCACCTGATGCTGGCGGGAGGCTCCTTGAGCAATCTGCATGTTATGGATGGGGAGAGGGGACACCTGTCTGGGAGTTTCTGTGGAAGACAATATGCAGTCTGACTATTGTACAAAAAGACATAGCACCAAAGATGTTTGCTACAGTGTTACTTCTATTAGCCTAACATTGGCAACAACCTCAATGTCCCAAAATAAAGATCAAATTAAGTAAACTGTTATCTCCATAAACTGGGATTCTGTGTAGCTATCAGAAAGCAGAATACTATTCACAACATGAAAAGATAGTCACATTTCTACATGGTAAAAGATCATAAAACAGTCTGGAAAGTATGATCCAAACTTTGTAATTATACACACACACGCTGTTTCATATATGACACCAGAAAAAACCTTAAAGTATGTACCACAGCATGCTTACGGTCATTAAAATGGTGAGATCATATATTTTTTTCAAAATGCCTATACTAAACATTTTTTAATCCAACTTTTTTTTGAGATTGGGACATATTTAAAGTCAAAGTATATATTTAATGTAATGGGTGTTTTTCACCCCCAAATGATATTGCTAACCCTAAATCAATGTCTAATAAATTGAGGAAATGTGATATTTAAAATGGTCTTACTGCCTTGGGCTGTGTTGGAGCTGGTGGGCTTGATGACTCTGTTCGCATCCTCGTGGAGAGCTCCAAACCAATCCTTCAGCCGGGAGGCAAGGTTCCGCAACTCCTTGTCTGTGCAGGCTAGAGAAAAGCAAACAGAACAGACAATGGGGCTGGGGGCTTTCTGCCTTCTGTGTGCAGGGCTACTGGCAAAGCCACGTTCAAAGCAAACCTTTCTATCCAACCACGATATAACTGTTACCTCACGTGGAAAACACCCCAAAGATGCTGTTAGTACAAACAAAGAGTGGGACAAAAAGAGAGCCTAGACCCCCAGGGCAAGCAGCCTTTGTTCAGAACTTGAATTTGGATGGCCTCTGTGCTGTGAAAGCAAGCTGCAGTGGTCTCACCGTTGTGTAGCATCCTCAGAAGACAGACAATCACAGATCACTTTTGCTAACCGCATAAAGCTTGCTCTTGCAGTTTTGCCAGAGGAGATTACATTTTCCACTAAACTCATGCCAAGAGATTAACACCCAGGCACAGCTAATGCTCTTAGAGAGAGGCTGCCTAGGACACCAAAAGATCCTATTAATAGCAGACTCCTAATTTTGTCTTAGCCCAAGGTTTGGATTTGGGGATTGGGCCTATTTTGCTAGCCTTCCAGTGGTCTCATTCTTGACTTTCCACTGTAAACAGATGGATGCCTTCTCCATGAAACAGTCCTTTCAGCCCATCTATAACTATTTAGTCATTTCTTAGGGTAAGACAGAATCACTGGGGCAGACAGATACTCCTGAGAACAAGAAAATCCAGACAGATGGATGGGTGGGCAGGTGAGTAGGTAGGTGCAAGCTATTTGAAGGTCTTGTAGAGTGCTAAAACTTGAGGAAAGAAATCCCAAAGGAATAAAAATGGTGCAGAGAAGGGAGTTGACTTTCCCTAGCCCCTCCCTCTTCCCTCAGGGCATACGCTAATTCTTGGTACTGAGAAAACCTGCAAAGGGTCCAAGCAGTAGGCTGCTACCAAGACCTAGAGAACCCAGCAATGCATTTGGGGTCTTTAGTATCTGGAGAGACAGAAATGAAAGATCTGAGGAGTCAAAATTCCAATGAGTAAAAGGGGGCAAAGAACAGAGCCCCACATCTGTAACTTCTCCCATATTCTAAAGCTACAGGAGCACACTGCTAAGGAGTTAAGCAGAAATGCTGTTACAAGGCACAGCCAAGTTCTGAATATCTCATGGTGCTGAAGAGACACAGATTAGGGCTCAGAACCTACCAGTGCAGAGGGAGCCTGGGGGAATCCCTGGGGTCTTCACTGGAAGCCATAGGGACAGTGATGAAAAAGGAGTAGACACAGCCTCACCAAAACTCCAAGCTAGCCTTCAACCAACGCAGGACCTGATTGAATTAAGGTGATCAGCCCCCATCGGCCTGCCTTGCAAAAGACTAGGTGAAACTTCTCCAGAAGAAAATACCATGCAGATCCTCTCCTCATTTTTATCATCCACATATGCTTATCAGGCAAGCCCATTTCTCACCCTAAGGCTTGATGGAGAACCGAGCTTCCCAGAGCTCAGGCAGAAAAGGTCTTTCCCCACCCTCCATATTAGAGGAGAGGTGACCAGGCCCTGACTGGGTCTCTGCAACCTGGGGACTCTCATTTACGACGCTGCCTTCTGTCCAGGTAGGATCCAGACTCTACACTCTGCAAAGCATGGAATGAATGCATGTCCAGTGTTTATACCCCAGTTTTTAATGACCTTAAAACACTGCCTTGCTTTTAATAATCAGGGTTTGGCTGTATTTTAAAACACCAGCCAGGAAACAACACTGAGAAATGTCTCGACAGGGAGCAAAGAATAACTTCTCAGGAGTCGCGCTGGCTGGAATGAATCCCAGCTTTGCCACTCACTGGCTGGGTGACCTGAGACAAGTCAGCCTCCAGCACCTCGGCTTCCTTATCTGTAAAACTTCGGATAATATGGTTATATAAGTATAAATCAGACAATGTATATAAAGTTCTTAGCAAAGTACATGATATATGGTAATTACTTAGTATGTGCCACCTATGATTTTGATTATTATTACTATTGCTATTTTTAAACTGAACATTTATAGGTAACATTAGGGCTAGCATCACAGCATTCAGAAAGCCAACAACAAATCCACCTACACACAACTGGCTTTAGCCACATAAAATAGTTGCTTGTGTTATCTAGTAAGCTGCAATTAGCCATATATGGCTATTTACATTAATTAAAATTTAGGCCAGGTGCGGTGGTTCACGCCTGTAATCCCAGCACTTTGAGAGGCAGTGGATCACCTGAGGTCAGAAGGTTGAGACCAGCCTGGCCAACATGGTGAAAACTTGTCTCTGCTCAAAATACAAAATTAGCCAGTCATGGTGGTGCATGCCTGTGATCCCAACTACTTGGAAGGCTGACACAGGAGAATCGCTTGAACCTGGGAGGCGGAGGTTGCGGTGAGCTGAGATTGTGCCAGTACACTCCAGCCTGGGCAAAAAGAGCAGAAACTCAGTCTCAAAAATCAAAATTTAAAAAATCTAATAGATAGTTCCTCAGTTGCACCACTGCATTCAACAGCCCCACACAGCTAGTGACCTCCACACTGGACAGCACAGACGCAGAATCTTCCCACCGCAGCAGGGTGTCGTGCTGGGCAGCACTGAATCAGGTTAGCGATCATTTTGGGCTAACTTTCTGGAGCATCATCATGATATTCTGCCATCCAAGTTTGTTCCCGTACTTCTCCCCTTCAACTGTTTAAGATGAGCTGAGAAAGAAGATAAGCCCCCACAAGCCAGGAACCAGCATCTCTTGCTAAGCCATGCTCCCAAATAGCAGGGAAGGTAGTTGTTTAGTTGTTATGAAGGTGGAGAATCCTGGCTTAGCCCAGGTGCCAAGGCAGATCCTCAGGAGCAGGCCCTCCCAACACACTTATTGGATCCAACTCAGAACCTCGGGGCCCTAGGTTTTCACTTTTCTGACACTGCCCTGCTCTAAGCAGGAGAGAATGTGGCCTGTTTTTCTGAGGAAAATAGGTTGTGCATTCCGTAGTCAATTTCACATTTGAAAATGGGAAACTAATAGCCTCTATTTTTTCTCTATTGCCATGCGCACCATCTATTCTAAATGTTCTCTGAACAGAGAAAATTGCCAAGTCAACATGCAGAGGAAATCTCATGCTTCAAGATGAATTAGTCAGTCGTGTTTAACTAAACCCTGACAGATGTGCAGGTAATCTGTATCTTTACAAGACTGCTAGATTTTCCACAGGCTCCCCAAAGTACACAAGTCTTGGATGTCTGATCGGATCAGGCACTGAAATCCTGAAAGAATGAATCTGTCACTCAGGGACAAGTCCACTAGCAGGGAGCCACTGGTGTGGGTCGAGAGAGATCAGAAACCCGAAATGGAAAGAGGAGGCTCTCAGTTACTGGGCCCTGTTCACTCACAAGGTCTTCAACCGAATGGTCTGTATGAGAAGAAAGTCAGGCACAGGTTGCCTGGAGCTTGATACATCCCAAAGAAGGAAATAATCAAAGGCAACAGCCTGCAGAGGGCTATTTGTTCAAATTTGGTATTCTAGCCACAACACACAGGCTGGTGATGGGAGAAAAGTGCCTGCCTTTTAAGGTGCTCATCATCGCCCCCAATAAAGGTGTGAACAGGGGACTGAAGCTTTCAGAAGTGGGGACCCAGAGGATACATCCCACACACTTAGTACATTCCTAGGGAAAAGTAATGTTCGTGGGGTGAAAAATATAGTCATATATCCCCCTACTATTCTGGTGCCATTCTGGCATTCTACCCTGTGGCAATCCCGGCAATTTCTGGAGAGGGGTCCTGGCGAGAGGAGCAGGGCACTTGGGCTACCAGCATCAGACTCTTCAGAGGAAAAGACGGTGCTTTCTTGGGAGAGGATTTGGATTAATCACGAAGACCAAGACCTGCTTTCTTGTGCTCTCCTCACCCTCCTGGATGGACACGTGCCAGCTAGCCCTCTAATTCTCCCATTTTCAATTACATTCCCTCCCGCCCTCCATCCTGGTTTCAGCTTGCTTTTCATTGCTCTTGTGCTCCCAGTTTTCTTCTCAGCATCCTACTGAGAGGTGAAGCCAGCTAGACTTCCTGGGTCGAGTGGGGACTCAGAGAACTTTTCTGTCTTACAAGAGGATTATAAAATGCACCAATCAGTGCTCTGTAAAAATGTACCAATCAGCACTCTGTAGCTAGCAAGAGGACTGTAAAATTACCAATTGGCAGGATCCTAAAAGTAGCCAATCACAGGGAGGATTGAAAAAAGGACACTCTGATAGGACAGAAATGGAACATGGGAGGGGACAAATAAAGGAATAAAAGCTGGCCACCCCAGCCAGCAGCGGCAACCCTCTCGGTTCCCCTTCCACACTGTGGAAACTTCGTTCTTTTGCTCTTAACAATAAATCTTGCTACCTCTTACTCTTTGGGTCTGTGCCATCTTTAAGAGCAGTAACACTCACTGCAAAGGTCCACGGCTTCATTCTTGAAGTCAGTGAGACCATGAGCCCACTGGAAAGAACCAACTCCAGACACACTACTTCTCAATGATGTTTCCCCATTTACCCTACTGTTTCTACACGTTATGACGTATCATTTTTACACAATCTCCATCTGCTCCAATGGGCTGGTGTGTGAGCCACGTCTCTGGGATCCACTCCCCAGCCTCATATCTGCTTCTTCCCATAGTCAGAAAATGGTACCAGCAAATACTCATATATTCTCAGGGCAAACACTTGGGAATTGTCCTGGTTCACAGTGAAAAAGTTCACTGCTTCTTATCTCCACTGCCTCTATTCTAGTCTCCAATGCCACCACTACCTCCCACCAGGACAACTGGAACAGGCTCCTAATTGGTCTCCCATCTTGCCCCCTCCCTCCCCCGCCATGTTCCCTTCTCCATCCAGCAGCCAAAGTGATATTTCCAAAACGGACATTTGATCAAGTCACTCTCCTGTTTGAGACACTTCAGAGGCTCCCAGTTATTCTGTAGGTTAAGTCTAAACTCCATAATGTGAGCTAAATGGCCTGCAGGACACACTCACTGAAAAACCAAATCTCTCTTCTGTATCTGCTCCTCCTCAACCTTCACGCTCTGGCCTTACTGCCCCTCCGACATGCTCTTCTATTGGGAAACAAACACCTCTTCCCACTGCCTTGCTAATGCCAATTCCTCCATCAGATCTTGGCTTTAAAGTGACATTTTCTTAGAGGACTTCCCTAATCCTCAAACTTGAGATTTCTCTTTTCTATGCTCCCAATGCCTTGTTTCTCTGATAGCATTCATAACACCCATCTCGTTCAGTGCCCATTTCTCCCCTAGATCATAGCAACATAAAACATGCCCTGACTCTGCCCAGCACTGGGGACCCAGCATCTAACCCAGTCAGTTCCTGGCATGAAGAAAGTTCTCAATACACACCTACTGACTGAATAGAATCACCCTTTTACTGCCTTTTGTAAACTTCAATTTTTCCATCTGCAAAATGGTGTAATAAAGCTTAGCTCATAGCATCACTACATGGAATAAGATGAGACAATATTAGTAAAACATAGCTCACAGCTACTGGCATATAGCAGGAACTCAATAAATTTATGTTCCCCTTCTCATATCCCAACTGTCTGCATAATATGTTAGAATTGTATTGTTGTGCGTTTTTTAAGCCTGAGGAGATGCTTGTGATATAAAGAATAACATCTCTCCTTATTTTATACATGGGTCAGTAGAAGTCCAAGAAATACAGGTTGCAATATCTGTCTGCTGTGGATAAGTTCCAGGATTGGGAGATTGGTCTGACTTCCCCACACCCGTATTCTTAGCACTTGCTCTAAGGTACTATGTAGTAGTTGTTCAAAAATATATTTATCACTAAGTATATTTTAAATGAATGAACAATAGATCACAGACTCCCAATGTCAAACAGCTATTAAGTGGAAGAGACAGGATTTGAATCAGGCTGTCATCCTGCTGGGCCATCCCCACGTGCAGGACTTACTTCCTGGATATATTGGTCTTGTGGGCAGCCAATACTAACCTAACAATTAATATACTTGGTCCATACTCTGGGTTGAAAAAAATCAAAATATCAGGCCTTGCCTTGCGTAGGAAACTCTGCCAATGATGCAGGTGAGGTAGCTAGCTGAGCAATATAGGATGGAGGGAGAGCAAGTAGGCTCTCACCTTTGTTAGCTTTGGTGTGAGAACAATGGTCTTTTGGAAGAACTGCGAACAGCCTGCTGCCTGTGTCACATGTGTGGCCACTGGGGCTTCATTAGAGAAAGGTATAGTGCCATTGCACATTACTCCAAAATGTGGAAAAAGACAGCTCTCTCCCCCAGGAAAGCACAGCACTCAGGCAGAGAAGGGCCCAGGTAATTTGGTGCTCTCCCAGTGGACTTTTCCTTTCTGTTTGGAAAATATGAACAAAATGCAAAGAGCAAGTGTAAATAAGGCACGTTCAGTCTCCATGGAAAGTACATAGCCCTGGGAAGAAAACGTGATCGCTCTCCACCTGGCCACCTTTGCCCCCTCCACCCAAGGCATGGAGCTTTATAGGGCTTTAAGCTAGACTGGATTTGAATGCAGACAGTGTTCAAACATAGCTTGGAGTGCAGCATGAGGAACGCAGCTGATGGGAGGGAGAAGGAGGCATTGTTGTCAATACTGTAGGACAGAGAAGCTGCTCCAGGGTTACCGCAGCCTTGGTGGGGTTGTAAGGGGGAAGGGGAGCTCTAAGTTATTAGTATTTGCTTATGTGGCAGTTAGACTCCCCGGGCAGTAGTCTTTGGAGGAAAGAAGGGTTGCTTCTTACCTAGATGAGTGTCAGTAGTCTGGCTCTGCCTGTACCCCGGGACCCCATTGTCCCCTTCTCCCTGGCCCCTGTGTCCTCCCTCAGACAAAACCAGGGGCTAGTGAAGAGCTGGTGAGGAAGTTTCAAAACAGGTAATGGTTTTGAAAGTGGAGAGGTAGGAGCTAGGAAATCCAAGCGTCTTTGAAAAATGCTCCCAAAGGCTATAACTGGTGTTCCACGCTGGTCTCAGCTCATTGATGACTTCAAGGGCTGAATGACAGTCTGAAAAGCCCTTTCTGAGGATTTGACAAAAACGGGGAAGAAAAGGAAACAATCAGTGGGATAAAAAACATTTGGGAGATGAGATAAAAAATGGAAAGGGAGACAGAGGATAGAAATCCTTTATTCAAAGCTATAGTGTTACTATCTAATAGAGTAAGAAGTGGCGAGCAAGTGTGAGTGAGCGTGTCTCTGTTAGAAATCCTAACTGAAGCCACATTTGAACACCCAATTGGGGATGTCCGAAAATGGCAAATCTGACACACAGGCATCACAGGATAGCTGTAAACCTCTGTTGGGGAACCAATTACTGGTATATTCTTGTAATGCATGAAATCTTTCAGCTAAAGAACCAAAGGATAAAAATAACCCTACCCTACTCCTCCCCTTCTGTCACAGGACCAGCCCCCCTCTCTCAGGCAAACCTCACCAATGCGATCTCAGGGCTCTAGCAGAAGCAAATATGAAAACAATCAGAATTTAGTTTAAACTTTAGTGCCTCCGAAGGTGATTAAGGAGTTGGGCGAGACTCAAGTTCTCTTTGGGAGCAAGCTCGGAGGCCTCTCAGAAATGGAGACCTGATGCTGATTCTTTCAAACTAATCTCCTTCAGCCCTCCTAGGTGCTGTTGTGAATAATTACTTAATCAGAGCAGCCCTGGATCAACGTGCTCAGAGTGTTTGCAATTAGTAGCTCCTGTAGAAGGTCCAGCTGAGCCTTCCTTAGAGCAGTGATGAGTTGAGATGAAATAACACTTTCCAGAGTCTGGGTTCAAGCAAACACAAGGGTGCCTTCCTGAACTGCCTTGCCTGGGTTGGGTCTCTTCCCTCCATCATGGCATTCTCAGGCTGCTGGAAGCCTTCAGCAGCAAGTGTCTGTCTCCCAGTACAGCATGGTAGGCTCCTCCTCACCAACAGGGACCATGTCCCTCCTGTCATTCAATATCTAAGCAAACAGAAGGTGCCCCAGTGCTGGAAAAATGTGTAGGAACACCAAGGAGAGGATGCTACATGCCATGGGAGCATGAATGTGGAGAAGGAGTGAGTCTACAATTCCCTTAGGAATGTGGAACCCAATAAACTTGAATGCAAACAGGTGAAGATTGATTCTGCTTAGCACAGTCATTCTGCCTTAAAAGCTTAAAAACAGGAGAGAGAAAGTAGGCTCTGGGCTGGGCATGGTGGCTCATGCCTGTAATCCCAGCATTTTGGGAGGCCAACTCACCTGAGGTCAGGAGTTTGAGACTAACCTGGCCAACATGGTGAAACCCCATCTCTACTAAAAATACAAAAATTATCTGGGCTTGGTGGCATGTGCCTGTAATCCCAGCTACTCTGGAGGCTGAGGTTCCAGTGAGCCGAGATCACGCCACTGCACTCTAGCCTAGAAGACAGAGTGAAACTCCGTCTCAAAAAATAAATAAATAAAAAATAAAAACAAAAAATAGGCTCTGGAGTCAGGGCTGAACGCAGATCCCAGTGGTGCCATCCTCGCTGAGACTACGGACAGGTTACTTTTTAATCTTCAGTTTCCTCATCTCTAGAATGAAGGTGATAACAGAACTAGTATTAGGACCACGAGGAGAATGAAACTATAATAGAATGCACTTAAGCACTCAGCTCCAGGCTTGCCATGTGGTAGCACCAGGCCACACTCAGTAGCTGTCGGCTGTGATCTGATTTGTGTTTGTGGACACAGAGCAGCATGGTGATCCACCAAATAGAAAAGTATAGGAATCAAGGTCATGCATGTGATGTTTTCACAGGAAATGACCACAGGAAGCCATCCAGCAAGATAGGAATCTCTTCTATTGCTTTTCAGAGAAGGTGGATGATATCTCCCAGGTCCTACGGATGGTAAACGGCAAAACTGAATTCAAGCCCAGCTCTCTCAACTAGAGTTTCACTCATCTGCTCATCTATGACAACCCCATTCTCCCCAAGAAAATACCTCCTCCACAAGATACAGACCATGCACTTGAGTGCAAGGTTGGGACCCACACTCCCTCAGACTTCCAGCTCTCACAACCCTCAGTGTACAAGTTGTTGCTCTTCACGCAAGCCCTTGCTCTTCTCTGATCCCCTGCTTTTTCATCTGTAAAATGGGAATAATGTTTGTGGTGAGGATTTTGCTTTCAAATACTGACAGGCAGCCACTATTTCTTCTCTTCCAAGGAGCTTCAGGGGCTGGGAGCACTTACCCTTGAGAGGCTAATAGATAATAAGCTCCTTGCCATAAGCAGTTTTGTAATAGAAAACACAATAGGAGCTTACTGAAGGGATTTAAAAAACATATACAAGGTGAATTGCCTTTCTAATTGGAGATCATCTAACAGAGATCTTTGAGCCAGGTTATGCCTGCTCAAATTAAATTGCATTATATGTAATTCCAGCTTTTACTTTTCACTGCCTAAAACATCAATATATATGCGTGTTCTCTTATCCTTAGAGAATGCGTCATTTTATGTAAAAACAGGCATGAGCAAAGGAATTAGGTGCCATTATTCAGGAACTTGCTAATAAAGTCTTTAAAAAGCAATCTTTGGAAGAGTTTAAAATACTGACATTAAACTTGGAATAAGATGAGTTATACTAATTAATGGTACAATCTACAAGCAAAGATGGATAAATTTCCCTATTAAACCCATTAAGACTATTCTAGGTAAGCTGATTTGAGGAGACTTTAATGTTTCCCTTGATTCTAATGATAATCTTTCATCTGGAAAAAGAAACATTTAGAACTTGCATAATAACATCTGTAAATGTGCATTAGTGGAGTAACGCTTATTTTTTTTTTCTCCCTGAATAATCTAGATCAGGGAAGTTAGCTAGATGAAATAAGCTTTTAAAGCTTCTGATAAAATCCACAGCCACTTTCACACTCTGGGGCCAAAAAAAAAAAAAATTATTGGATATGCAAAATATTGGTTTAAAATGCCAAGTCTGGCTTTAGCTGTGCTCCCTAGCCAGTGGGTCAGCATTTCCCTACATGGGAGACTTGAAATCGATTAGCAGCATCATACCCAGCAGTTTTACTGAAGGATTTCATGGCCAACCAGACTTTTTAGGCCCTCAACTAATAAAGACTAAGCTGCAGAAATGACAACTGCTGTTCTCACCTAAAATCAGCAATGGCAAATGCTCTGAGATGAGGGTGTAAAACAGGCTCAACCTGGACTACTGAGAGAGCCATGGGGGAAGGGGAAGGACAGAGTCCTGGGAAAGGGGCTAGGTGATAATGCCTAATTCCTTCATGGGCCATCCCACTGTGGAGAGCCAGACTGAGTGTCTGAGAGTCATTTTGCCTTTTGTTAATGTATGAGCTCAACTGGCCAACAGCAGTCAGTGAAGGCTTCCTGGAGGAGGCAAGAATTGAACTGAGGCTCATACGCAGGGAGGACTTAGAGACATTCTAGGCAGGCCTTAGAAATAATGAGGAGCCCACTTTGAATAAAGTGATTTATTTTTAATGCTCTGCTCAAATTATATATACCATTTCTAAATCATAAATGTATATAAAATCATAAGTTGGGGCCAGGTGCAGTGGCTCATGCCTGTAGTCCCAGCACTTTAGAAGGCCCAGGAGGGTGGATCACCTGAGGCCAGGAGTTCATATTAGCCTGGTCAACACGGTGAAACTGTCTCAAAATACAAAAAATTAGCCGGGCATGGTGGCACACGCCTGTAATCCCAGCTACTCAGGAGGCTGAGGCAGGAGAATCACTTGAACCTGGGAGGTGAAGGTTGCAGTGAGCCAAGGAGGCACCACTGCACTCCAGCCTGGGTGACAGAATGAGACTCTGTCTCATAAATAAATAAATCATAAGTTGTATAAATATGTATATTTGTTCTGCATATCTGTTTAATCTATTCCACTATATTACATAATATATATGCATATATACATCTCAAGGGATGACTTCTGACAAAGGTAGCACCGCTTGTTCCAGGGCCAATATATGAACTTTTATATCTGTAAGAGGTTGTTGACAGAAGATGTCTTTTTAGGGTATGTACAAGTCTCTATTTCTAATGAGCAATTTGTGTCCAGTTTGACCTGCTCAGATTCAACATCCAAATCTAGGTATTATTGAACAATTTTAATTTCTATATTTTTTCCATCCCAGAAGCATCAAAATATGCATGTATGTTTTTACACTTAAACATGAGGTAAACTTAAATTGTTATTTAATGGAGCAGAAAGCCACAAAGAATTGGTGGAGGACCAAGCCTGGGATTTGAGATCAGATCCTGAAGGTGATAGGAAGCTTAGGAGGTGTCCAGAACCTGGGAATGGCTCTTTTATTTGGGAGTGGGAGGAGAACACTGGTACACTTTCATTCACAGATTACATGGGGAGGATCAGGCATAGACTTAAAATGAATGCAGAGAACCATGAGCTCCTTTTAATTCCCCCCACTACTCCACCATTGCCCTGGTTTAGAGTGGATGGTGCCATGGGGATATGGGTTGATGGAAGGGTGGTAGCATTGACTCTTTCTTGCAACAAAGGTCCAGCAGCATCTCCAGGGGTGCCAGAGTCTAAGGTAAGATGGTGGACATCGAGCTGGAGTTGAAAATTCCCACTTGGAATTGAGGCCAGAACAGAATAATCCTGGAGATGCCTGGACCAGATGCAGCAGGACACCTGCATTATCATGCTTCCAGTGAACAAGCTGATGAAGGAGGAAGATAGATAAATGAGGGTCTAGAGACAAACTGCCTCCTGAAACCATAAAGGTGTTTTAGGCTATTCCAAATCCTGCTTGCTTGGGTGTACGACTTACTACTCTTCTCACTCTTCAGGTCATGCAAGTCTCTCAATCATCTCCCCTTCTCCTGAGGGCATGATTAGGTATAGTGACTTGGCATGAAAAGTAGCTGGCATTCAAGCCTCAAGTGACCTCCTCTGGGCTCAGAGAGGATCGTGTGACTGGCACAGTGATAAAATGTTTGCTATTATTATTATCTCTATTTCTAGTAAAACTGCTATATTTGATCTACATTTCCTATTTAGAGATCCAGTATCTAACAACACAGCATGACATAGCTAGTAATTTCTCTCTTCCCCTCCTGAATGTCATATATAAACAACAATGTACCCAGGAAAAAAAACCTAAATTTTATTTTCAGTAAAACTAGGAGATATATCCCCAGGCTTGAACAGTACAACAGAAGCCACCCAGATGGAAGTTAAAAGGTCCAGGTGGACCAATAAAAACACAATGACCCAGCAAAAATAGACTTCCTACAGGCAAAGAGCTCCTTCTGAAGTGATAGACTTCTTGTTCAGCAAGAACTAAGGGATCTGGAAGAAGGGAGAGTGCACAGATTAAACAGAAGCTGCACAGGAAAGTAAAATAAGGGAAGGAAGAAAAGAGCAAAATGGCCTAGAGGCAGCAGATCTCAGAGAGCATCTACAAAATTATTCTTCTTGTAGGCAAGAGGCTTGCCATAAAGTACCACTTGGGTCTGGCAAGAAAATTAGAGACAGAGTGAGCACAGCTGATAAGAGAAACCCTCTTAGACCTGATCTGTTTCATAGAAACAGAAAAGATAGGACCATACAGAGGAGCCATTTTTATAGGAGGCCATCTGTCACTGGTAAATCCCTGAAGCAAGTGCCTTTGGAGTGTGAATCTATAAAGATAGCCTGGTTCTTCCCCTTCCATCCACAAGGCTTCCTTTTGAATAGGTAGGCCAGTAACATCTAACTTATTCCAATAATAGCTTTTTTTTTTAAAGGGGCTGGCAAGTTGATTTTTAAAGTGAGTTACAAAAGAGCAGCATTGCATCTATGTTCTAGGTTTTGAAAAAAAAAGGAAAAGAGCAAAACTTACCACAGAACACTTAGCAGAAAGATGGAAAAGACGAACATGTAGACCAAGTATAAAACCATGGATTAAAATGAAACAATCACCTTTGTAAAGAAAGACAACAAAGCAGTATTCAAGAACTCAGGGGAGAGATAAGGAGTCAATGAGGAAATGGTATGGAAGCATTTAGAACCCAGGGGAAAATGAAGCCAAAGTGGAGAAGCACAAGGGAGAACAGCACAAGGGGAAAAATACAAGAGAGAAGGATGCCAGAAATGAGAAGAGTGAACAACATGAAGAGGAAATAAAGAAGGAATTACAGAAGGTTACAGAGTAACATATAGCTATAGAGAAGAGACAAAGGAAACCCTATATATGGATAACTGAAGCCTCTGAAGAAACAAAAGACAACAATGGAACATGACATAATTTAAAATACAATTCATTAAACCACTCCAGAAATAAGGGTGGAATTTACATGTTTAAAAGGCACAGCATAAGCTAGGAAAAAGGGACCGAGAACGGTCAATACTAAGATCTACCTAAATAAAGTTACTGGGTTTTAAAAGTAAAGAAATATCTGGTTTGTCAAAGATCAGATGGTTGTAGATGTGTGGTGTTATTTCTGAAGCCTCTGTTCTGTTCCATTGGTCTACATGTCTGTTCTGGTACCAGTAACATGCTGTTTTGGTTACTGAAGCCTTGTAGTATAGTTTGAAGTCAGGTAGCATGATGCTCCCAGCTTCGTTCTTTTTGCTTAGGATTGTCTTGGCTATACGGGCTCTTTTTTGGTACCATATGAAATTTAAAGTAGTTTTTTCTAATTCTGTGAAGAAAGTCAATGATAGCTTGATGGGAATAGCATTGAATCTATAAATTACTTTGGGCGGTATGGCCATTTTCACCATACTGATTCTTCCTATCCATGAGCATGGAATGTTTTCCCATTTGTTTGTGTCCTCTCTTATTTCCTTGAGCAGTGGTTTATAGTTCTCCTTGAAGAGATCCTTCACATCCCTTATAAGTTGTATTCCTAGGTATTTTATTCTCTTTGTAGCAATTGTGAATGGGAGTTTGCTCATGATTTGGTTCTCTATTATTGGTGTATATGAATGCTTGTGATTTTTGCACATTGATTTTGTATCCTGAGACTTTGCTGAAGTTGCTTATCAGCTTAAGGAGTTTTGGGGCTGAGATGATGGGGTTTTCTAAATATGCAGTCATGTCATCTACAAACAGAGATAATTTGACTTCTTCTCTTCCTATTTGAATACCTTTTATTTCTTTCTCTTGCCTAATTGCCCTGGCCAGAATTTCCAATACTATGTTGAATAGTAGTGGTGAGATAGGGCATCCTTGTCTTGTGCCAGTTTTCAAAGGGAATGCTTCCAGCTTTGCCCATTCAGTATGATATTTGCTGTGGGATTGTCATAAATACCTCTTATTATTTTGAGATATGTTCCATCAATACCTAGTTTATTGAGTGCTTTTAGCATGAAGCATTGTTGAATTTTGCCGAAGGCCTTTTTGGCGTCTATTGAGAAATCGTGGTTTTTGTCACTGGTTCTGTTTATGTGATGGATTATGTTTATTGATTTGCATATGTTGAACCACCAAAAACAAGCAGTGGGGAAAGGATTCCCTATTTAATAAATGGTGTTGGGAAAACTGGCTAGCCATATGCAGAAAACTGAAACTGGACCCCTTCCTTACACCTCATACAAAAATTAACTCGAAATGAATTAAAGATTTAAACATAAGACCTAAAACCATAAAAACCCTAGAATAAAACCTAGGCAATACCATTCAGGACATAGGCATAGGCAAAGACTTCATGACTAAAACACCAAAAGCAATTGCAACAAAAGCCAAAATTGACAAATGGGATGTAATTAAACTAAAGAGCTTCTGCTCAGCAAAGAAAAAAAAAACCTATCATCAGAGTGAACAGGAAATCTACAGAATGGGAGAAAATTTTTGCAATCATCAATCTGACAAAGGGCTAATATCCAGCAACTACAAGAAACTTAAATTTATGAGAAAAAAACAACCCCATTAAAAAGTTGGCAAAGGATATGAACAGACAGTTTTCAAAGGAAGACATTTATGTCGCCAAGCAACATATGAAAAAAGCTCATCATCACTGGTCATTAGAGAAATGCAAATCAAAACCACAATGAGATACCATCTCAGGCCAGTTAGAATGGCGCTCATTAAAAAGTCAGGAAACAAAAGATGCTGGAGAGGATGTGGAGAAATAGGAACACTTTTACACTGTGGGTGGGAGTGTAAATTAATTCAATGATTGTAGAAGACAATGTGGCGATTCCTCAAGGATTTAGAACTAGAAATACCATTTGACCCAGCAATCTCATTACTGAGTATATACCCAAAGGATTATAAATCATTCTACTATAAAGACACAGGCACACGTATGCTTATTGTGGCACTATTCACAATAGCAAAGACTTGGAACCAACCCAAATGCCCATCAATGATAGACTGGAAAAGAAAATGTGGCTCATATACACCACAGAATACTATGCAGCCATAAAAAAAGGATGAGTTCACGTCCTTTGCAGGGACATGGATGAAGCTGGAAACCATCATTCTCAGCAAACTAACACAGGAACAGAAAACCAAACACCGTATGTTCTCACTCATAAGTGGGAGTTGAAAAACGAGAACGTATGGGCACAGGGAGGGCAAAATCACACACTGGGGCCTGTCGGGGGGTGGGGGGCAAGGGGAAGAATAGCATTAGGAGAAATACCTAATGTAGACGACAGGTTGATGGGTGCAGCAAACCACCATGGCACATGTATACCTGTGTGACAAAACTGCATGTTCTGCATATGTATCCCAGAACTTAAAGTATAATAATAAATACACACACACACACACACACACACACACACACACAATCAACACAGTAGCAGAAAAGATACCCAAGTAACTTAGGAGAGGTAAAAGGAATAAGTCTGCCCTCAGATTTCAGCACGGCAATATTCAAAAGAGGAAGTCAATACAACAATATCCTTAAAACAGCCAAGAAAAGAAAGTTGAACCAAGGATTTTACATCAAACTGTGCTATCAATAATAAATACTTCAGGAAACCAGTTCTATACAGTTAACCAGGAACTACTGTTCTCATGAGCCCTTCCAAAGGAAATACTAGAGAATTGTAGACAACTGTGGTGACTGGAGTGACAGATAAGAAGGCAAATGCTACATACCCTGTCAATGAAGAAATGATACAAACAACAACAAAGAGGGGAAGGGAGGAAGAAGATGCAAAGTACAACAAGTTTACTGATGGCCTTAAACATAATAGTTGGAGTCAGATGACAGAATTAAAAGCTGAGTAATATAATATTGAACATATTTCACTGAACAAAGATTAAACCCTAAGAGGATAATTGTATCAACTATGATCAAGTGTCAGGAGAAATGAAGGGGAGGCTAAACTGGGGGAGAAGGGAAGAGAGAGAAGAATCATATTAATTTTATCACTGTTTTAAGTGAGAACATTCCTGAATATCAGAAGAATGATACACACACATGCCCTGCCACACAATATTAAAAAACGTAAAGGAAAATATGGAAAAATAACAGAGATGATAGTACTAAACATAACTTTTTACTTCGATAAGTCTAAATGAGTTAAAATTCACCTCTCAAAAGAATAAGATTTTATTTTCAGACCAGGTCACAAAGAGAAGCCTAACTCCATATTGATTTTTACAAGAAATATAACAATGGCAAAGTGATTCAGAGAGGTTGCTAGATATTTTGACCCCAAAATTTCACTTTGGGACTAACACCTACAGATAAGCATATAAATACATTTGAAGTAGCATGTATAAGGCTATCTATAACAGCATTATTTGAAATAGCAAAAGGCTGGAAACATTCAAATGTCCATGGTTAAATCAATTATAGTATATCCACCAATGGAAAAACTATAAAGCTACTCATATGAGATGCAAAGATCTCCAAGAGAGGTCAAATGAAAGTGCAGAATAGTGTATATTCTATACTATATATGTGTTAAAAGGTAGAGAGATAATCTGTATTTGCATTTGTTTCTATGTGCATCAAGAGCCTCTTCAAGCATACACAATATAAATACATATAAATGAGTGAGCAAAGGCAGTGCAGGGTAGTAGCCCTGAGGTGGGAGAAAGCTTGAGTGATATGAACATAAGAGACTTGTTAGCTATAACCCAAGACAGTTTGCACCAATCCATCTGTTCTCATGCTACACACTAACATTTTTCTTTTAAACCAAAAGGGAGAAAATAATTCCTAAATGCAGGATTTTTTAATCAACACAATCTGTGTGCTGTTCTCCATTCTGCCCTGTGACCTTGGGCAGGTCTAAATTCAATTCCAGCACTCCCTAAATCAGACACTCTGGGGGATACAAAGATGATTAAGACATAGCCCTTGCCTGGTGCTTGGTCTCCCCTCTCCTAATTTGTAAAAGGAGAATGCTTTCCCTCCACTGAGTTGGTGGAATTTTAACAAGGAAGACACAGACCCTCTCTCTCTCAGAATCCTCCTTCCTGAAGAATCAAGGTTTGCTTCAAATATGTGTTCACCTGGGGAATCTTCTCCCAACACCCATCCAAGAAGAGTCTACCTCCCCCTCCTTGGGGTGTCCCCAGGGCCCTATTCATGCAGTTCTACTTTTCCATGCCATATCACAACCTGCTGTCTCTTTTGGACTCTGAGGTCAGATGCAGTAAGAATTCTGCAGTAGTCACATCTATACTCGCCCGAGTTCCCTGCAGAGTGCCTGGCCAAAAGTCGGCATCAATATATGTTTACAGGAGGTGCAAAGGGAAGAATGTGAATACTTAAGTGAAAACGCTGCTCCAATTACCATAACAGCACCAAGAATAAACATGCCAAACAGGTCATGGCCAGCATGTACGTTTGAGGATGTTGTGGAGAGATAGAGCCACCATGGAGAGGGATAACTTCCAGCCAAACAGAAAATGGACTTGCGAGGAAGGGAGGGGCAGGGAGAAATGCATGTGTGTGGGACACTATGATGTAGCACAGATAAAAAGACACATATTGTCTCAGTGAAGCCTCAGGATGTCCTGGGAGGGTGACACTATCATCTCTACTACATACCTGAGAATACCAAGGTCCCTAAACAGGCTAGGGGGCTTGCTCACTCCAGCCTCCAGTTCCCTCACCAGCACACACATAAAGGCCAAAGTGAACATTTGACACCAGGACAAAATAACTCAAATCTGTGCTCTTAACTTCACCCATGCTGACTAATTTATGAAAAATATGGCCTAATTCTTCTACCACAGATATCACGCCAACATCCCTTGCCTGAGAACAGGAATTACCAGGTACCTACCACATGCCGAAATTGGGTCTCTGGGTTTATAGATTGTTGCTATCCCACCCTGATAACACCTCAGACCTTAGCTTAGCCTGGTAGCAGCCTGAGGTCCCTGGAATGTCATTTTCATGTTTCTTCGCATATTGTATTGAGGGATGCTAGAACGATTGTACACCTAGCTTGTTTTGCACTGGCTTCTCATTCCTGTCTGGATAGTTACCACTAAGTAATTTAGTTTATCTGTGTCTCCACAAGCTTATTTGAAAACCATGGAACGCTGCTTACAGAAAATTAAGCTTCATTTTCTTTAAGCATCCAGCCAATAGCGCAGGCAGGAGATGGTGATTTGGAGGTAACTGGCTTATGCATATGTAAACATGATGCATTTAGCAAATTATATAGACTTCGCACTTCAGAGCATTGAAGAAAACAAAGGTACCTTCCAAAGAAACTTTAGTGCAATTGAGTCATTCTGAAAGGAATACAGAATTACTGGTTTGTGAGAATAGTTGAGCTCAGATATGAATGGAAAATAATGGTGTGGAGCACAGGCATAGACAAGAATTTGAACAGGGTTAATTTTAGGTGGTATTACGGCATCTCTAAGGACTCCCAGGAATTATACCCCATAACGTGCCTTGAGATTGAATTCATGGTGTAATGAGGTTGTATGTTTCAGACTCAATTCCACTGTGACTCTTCATGCTTTCCACAATTTCCCAGCATGTTTTTCTCCCTAAGCCCAGAGACAGAATTCTAGACATGCCTTGTGTTCACAAAGGATTGCAATGGTTAAAACATCCCTGAAATTTATTACATACCTTTTCCATTCTCCACCAGGTCCTTTTGCCTCAGTCCCATCTACCACATCAGCAATAAATTGCACTGATAATGTAATTAAAAATATCACCCCAGAAGAGCAACCTTATAAGCCACTGTTATGGACTTTAGAACTCCTGGACAAGTCAAATTAGAGTACTTGGGTGTAAGTAGTTTCCAATTTGTAGCCCAAAGTCAAGATGGTTCATTTGTCTGCAGGTGCTGCACCTAAGGGGTCCACTAGCTTGCAGTGCTCAAACTGCCAACAGTTGACTGCAAGGGTCCAAGTGGCACCAGTGCAGTTCAACTTGTCATGTTCATCAACATCAACACCAGGAGTCCCGAGAGTTGCCATATATTAAACACCTACTCTTGCCAATACCCATGTTAGCACTTTGCCTTCATTTATTTCTTTTTTCATTTAATCCTGGAGAAAATCCACTGAAATTATTATTTCAAGTGACTTTTATCCAGCTGCCACTGACTGCTTGTTGTAGGACAGGCACTCTACACCCAAATGTGATCTCATTGACTCAGCACACGAACGTTCTGTGAGGCGAGGATTTTAATTCATATCCTTTTTCCAGACTGTGAACCTGAAGAAGTTACAAAACATGTCTAAGTCAAGGAGCTAATAAGTGGCAGAACTGGGAGTCACATTCAGGTCATGGCCACAGTCATGTCTGTCCTGTTGTATCCTGCATTCTCACCATTTAAAAAGAGGTTCTAATTGCCAGAAAATGAGGACGAGCTGGAGAAAGAAGCACTTTGGGCATGCAGAGGTTATGTTGGTCTCTGGTACATAATTCTTCCCTTTCTTCTCCCTGCCATCCTCCCACACACACACACATGCAATTCCAAGTGATAGATTCATTAATTCTCACAACTCTTTGAGGCAGGCACTATTTATCATTCCCATTTTACAGCTGTGGAGACTGAGGCTTGGGGAAGTGACATAACCAGTGAAATATATAATAGGGTCAAAGTTTGCCCCAAGGCTGTCTGATTCCAGGTCCCAAACTCTCAGCCAGAAGGTTCTATAATAGTTAATCTAATAATTAGAGGCATGTTTCTGATGGTCCAAGAGCTAATTCTAATTAGGGTTCTGCCTCAAGATGAGGGGCAAACACTGAAAATTATGACCTGTTAGATTTTCTGTAATACTTAAGTCGAAAAAGCACAGGTGGGTGCAAAGATGATGTTGTACTCTTACAACTATAAGGCTTATCATAGAAAAAATAACCTAGAAATAATGTCTAATATTAGGGGTTAAGTTGTGGTTCACAAATACGTTGGAAAACTGCGAAGGCATTAAAAATTTGCCAAAGAAGAATATTATGACATGGAAAATGTTTATGATACATTAAGTGAAAAAAAGCAGCTTACAAAAGCATCTATGATTTGACCCCACTTTTGTAACATGAAATGAATAATGTGGATGTGTGGAGTGAGTTGGAGGGAGAAAGAGAGACACAGAGAGAGAGACAGGGGAAGGTATATAATAAAAGGTTAACAGTGGTCTCTGACATGAGAAGAGCATGGTTCTTTTTCTCCTATTGCCTATAGATGTTTTCTAATTTTCTACAATTAACATTGTATCCATCATTTTGTGATTTCTTTTTAGGTTTTGTTTTGTTTTGTTTTGTTTTTTGGCCTAAGAACTTGAATGTATGTGGTATAAGACAAAAACACTCCGATGAGACTCAGAAAAGATTGCTGGAGATCAGAACAGACTATCTCAGAGTCTTGAGTTTGTGGATATTTCCTGAAAAGTCTTTCATGATAACATTCACTTGGCAAACTTTCTTTGTTGACTTGGACTGCAGCCTCGTGTTAAAGAGAGTTTATTTAAATTTGCTTAACCTGGAGGTTCCCCAATTTATATGACCACACAACATTTTTTATGTGCAGTATATAATTGGTATCTTGCAGCTCTGAGGAACCCAGTCTGGGAATCATTTGCCTAGAGAACATTTTTTATTCATATCTATGATCTATGTGTAGTCCGAATGCCAACCTCTCCCTCCAGAAATTCTCATTCTCTAACACCTGTAAAACTAATGAATTTTTCCTCTCTGCATCCCCCATAAATACTTTCAGAATTTAACTAAATGAAGCAGAAATATTTGTACTCCCTCTAGACATGGGATACCTGGATCTGTAGACATAAATTCCAGTCAAAATACTTTGTGAAATATGAGACACTTCTCTTTTTCACTGCATCTACTGCTAATATTGCTAAGAGTGTTATAAACAGGAGTTACAGTTTTTTTTAAGAGCTTGCCTTGGGAGCCGGGTCAGCAGAGATCTGCAGGTAGTGGAGACAGTGGGGGCGCATCGGGGTAGTAAAGATGGCTCTGACTATCTCCTTCCTTGTTGATATAGTTTGGATATTTGTCCTTGCCCAAATCTATGTTGAATTGCAATCCCCAGTGCTGACAATGGGGTCTGCTGGGAGGTGTTTGGATCATGGAGGTGGATCCCTCATGGCTTGGTGCTGTCTTCATGATATTGACTTCTTGCAAGATCTGGTCATTTAAAAGTGTGTGGCACCTCTCTTCTTCCTCCCCCTATGCCCCCACTTCTCTTGCTTTGTTCTGTTTTTGCCATGGGATATGCTTGATCCCACTTCACCTTCCTTCATGAGTAAAATGCTTTCTGAGGTCTCCCCAGAAGCACTTGCCAGCACTATGCTTCCTGTTCAGCCTGCAGAATCGTGAGCCAACTCAACCTCTTTCCTTATAAATTACCCAGTCTCAGAGGTATTTCTTTACAGCAATGCAAAAATGGCCTAAGACACTCACTGAGTCCATTTTCCTTGGCCATGTGGTCCCAAGTAGGGGTGTGGTCTAAAGACATTCAGGTTCACACATATATCCTTGCTAGTCCAAGAGTGGAAATCTTTCGGCATCAAGATTTGGAGTTTTATTCAAAAAGTGCCCTTAGACATAATTTACAAGCTAGTTAAGCCTGCTATGCCCAGATTGTAAGTATCCAGGATAGAGGAAGAAGAGAGAGACCCTCTTGGGTCTCTCAGATCTATCCACAAGAGGGACTTTCTGTGTCAATATACCTGAGCTTATCACCCATAATGGAATATGTACATAGCTAAGACTCATTAATCCAATTTTCTATCTCAAGGGATATTAGAATCCTGACAAGAACAAATTCCTGAGAGGGTCAGAATATCTTTTATTTAGTTTGTTTTGCTTTTTTAATCTTGTGTAATGATGTGAAAACCGCCAAGGACTCCAGCAGAAACCACCCATTTATCTGACAGTTATTCTGTACACGGTGGGGGTCTTGCTGAGAAAACTTGGCAGGGTGAACAGACAAAGGTCAAGCCCATTTGGAGGTGACTTCTCCAGAACAGATAGATTCTCTCCTGTGAAATTAAGCTGGAGCTAATTCAAAAAGTGTCTTTGGGTAAAAGCGAATTCTGAAACCTCATTTTTCTACTTTTGCCAAGAGGTGGCTTAAGTAGCTGTGGAGAAGAATTTGTAGCATGGTTATCACAGTAGTCTTGGGAAAGTAAAATTGGTCTGCTTTTTAAAGAACAGAGCAGGCCAGGCACGGTGGCCCATGCCTGTAATCCCAGGACTTTGGGAGGCCGAGGTGGGCAGATCACGAGGTCAGGAGATCGAGACCATCCTGGCTAACACAGTGAAACCCCATCTCTACTAAAAATACAAAAAAAAAAAAAAATTAGCCAGGCATGGTAGTGGGCACCTGTAGTCCCAGCTACTTGGGAGGCTGAGGCAGGAGAATGGCATGAACCTGGGAGGCAGAGCTTGCAGTGAGAAGAGATTGCGCCACTGCACTCTAGCCTGGACGACAGAGCAAGACTCTGTCTCAGAGAGATAGATAGCAAAGCAGAGATTCAGACACTAGTGCTGGTACCATTCACATTCACACTCACATTCAGGGCACATTTTCCCACAAGGTTCTCCTTCCCCAAATAGGAGCCTGAAGGAATCTGGGAAGCACAGTCAGAGCCCTAAAAGGTCCTGCTTTGGATGTTGTCACCCTTTGACAGTTCTCAGCATGGGAGAAAATGGGGTCTGTTTGTGTGCACACATGCATATGTAATAGACTGTAATAGACTACAGAGGGGGAAATCCCATCCTGCCCTTCTGCATGCAAATCCTCTCAAGGTGACAGATTTGTTCTGAGACATGTCTGTGGCCTGCCCCTCTGGAGGCATGGAGCAGATCCCAGGAAGTGGCCACAGAATGGGACTGCTTTTAACATCCCCCAAGTCAGGATACCATTTTAAAAGGCTCTAGCACCTAAGCACGTGACAATGAGCCCAGTGACAGATGGCTTTTAAGGGAACCTAGCCAGCGTAGAGAAGTGTGGAGGAAAGGAGGAGAGAAATCATTCCATATTGTGGTTCCAAGATTTGGAGTCTGAAGGATACTCCTACTGAAATGGCTAGAGTTAGGCAGGTCAACTTCACTGCAGAAGAAGGAGAAGGCCTAGGGGAGATAAGGGTGATGGAATCAGGGTGTCAATACCCCACTGGAAAAAAGGCCGCTTTTCATCGCAAAATCAGACCACTAACAAACCCCCGCACGTTCCTACCTCTGGACCTTTACAAACATGAACATCCCTCCCAAACTGCTATGCTCTCCTTGTGAGCTCTGAGATTTCACTCATGTGAATACTGGTAAAAATAATATTCCCACCTCACACATTGTCAGGCAGAATAAATGAAGGTCATGCAATACCGCAAGCACGAGCACAGCAGAAAGTGGGTATTTAACAAGCCGGACATCCATAGAACACTCATTCTCTGTCTTACGTACTTAGAACTCTTTGCAAGTGAGGAGCTGAATAGATAATACGTTCATAAGTTGAAATTCAAATGGCATTTCCCAAATAAGAAGACCTAGAAAATAAATCCTATACCAAACAATAAATTTTCTGTGGGAAACAGGCTTGTACTAAAAAACCCAGATTATAAGAACTTGGAAAAATCAAACAGGTCATCTTAACACCAACTGGTGTCTAACAGTGAAAACATGAAGAAGTCATCTAGTTCTTGCACAATTTTTATCACAGGGACGGGGTATATTTTTCTAGACTTCCGGAAGGAAACAAACAACCCAACTTAGAGTTTGAGTTAGGGTAGAGAAAGGCTGCCCAGGCATCAAATGAGGCTGTCTAGGACCAAAACTATTTGCTGTATTTTAAGAGAGCAAAACAATCAAAAACAGCAGCCTACTATGGCCTCACGTTCACAATGCTGTGAGATGGCCCTGCAGGTGGTCCAAGAAGTGGAACCTAGTGGGGAGTAAAGGAGAAACCAGGAACAATGGGGCTTTGTTTTGGGTACAGGTGTTGGGCCACTCCTATGTGCTCAAGCACATGTGGAGGCTGGAGCGCTGAGGCTCCTCCTTCTGACTGGGAAGTACTCGAGGCCCTGCAGCATGCTGTGGCCCCCACAGTTCTCCTCCCCTGTTCTTCTAGCTGGCCTCACACGACCTGCTGAGGCAGGAGCTCTCAAGGCTGCCTGCTGCTTATGTGAAGGGAGGACCTCAGCTACCACAGAGCGAGGAATTAAATAGTCAACTCAGCCACAGGAGGCAGCACATGTGGCTTCTGGATTTGAGTCTGCCTCCCTACAAGGCTTTGGCAACTACAGACAGCATTACATTTCTGTCTCTCTTATGGCAGTACCTTGATGTGGTAGGAGCTTCATACACAGTTGCTATTGGCTACCAATTAAGAAGCTGAGGCTGGTGTTCTTGCTTCTTTTCTGAGCCAAATTCCAAGGGGAAATTTAAATGACTTAAAAAGTCATAAAAGAAAACAAGAATAATAATTTTGGAATTACATTATTCT
This sequence comes from Homo sapiens, assembly GCF_000001405.40. Classification (NCBI taxonomy): domain Eukaryota; kingdom Metazoa; phylum Chordata; class Mammalia; order Primates; family Hominidae; genus Homo; species Homo sapiens. The sequence goes on from NC_000005.10 coordinate 137,017,443, forward strand.
CAACACCTAGCTATGTATATATGTAAACAAATAATATGTAAGTAGGGTCTTTGCTCTAATAATTAAAAACTATAATATTGCAAGATTCTTTAGACAGAACCACAAAACAATATATGACGCTGAAAAGGTAATAACACAATGAATGTCTTAAAGGACATCATAATAGAATTATCCAACCAGTGGCATCATTATATTTGTTATTTTAAAAGAAAAAAGTTGCAAAAAGTTAAAACTCCACCTCACAAAACACATCATTGTAAGTTTTACAGGGATTAAAGGATTAGGCTAAAAACAATTAACAGTACCAATTATTAAAAGATGAATAAAGAGGGGGTCTGTATATATCAAAGCCATAAAGGAAAAATTTTAAAAAATTCTAAAATCGAGTATAAAAATGAAAGGTTTATGTTCATTAAAAGACTCACTATAGCCCCACACCGTGGAAGACAGCCTATGGGCAACCAGCCACAATTACATCCAAGCAAATCAAGCCAGAAAATTCTCCAAATTACAATTCAATCTAAAAGTCCCCAAAGCTTAGAAGGAAACATCTAGCATTAATTGCCCTGTGTCAGCTTCAGCCTGGAACAGTGGTTCTCAACCAGGGCTAGTTTTGCCCCCGAGGGGACATTTGGTAATGTGTGGAGACACTTTTGTCCTTCATAACTGGAACAGTGCTACCAGCATCTTGTGGGTAGAGGCCAGGGATGTTGTTAACATCTTATAATGCACAGATCAGCCCCCAGCACAGAAAAATCATCCCACCCAAAACGGCAACAGTGCCCAGGTTGAAAAACCCTAGTGTAGAAGAGAAAAGGGGTTTATTCTGTGGAAGATATGACTAAGTGGGGACCAGTCAGGTGACCTGGAGGAAGAAGTGGACACAGGTCTAAACCTCAGGACTCTGGTCAACGTGGAACCATCACTGGGTTAATTCCTACTATAATACGTATAAATCATTACCCTGCATATATTAATAGTTGTAATTTGCTGAAGCCTTCCTTTCCCCTCACCTTGTCCCCTCCCTCAGGTATCTCATATAGTGACAATGAAGTGTTATAACCCTCAGGAGGTACATGATAACCATTGAAGATACTGATACGAAAGTATGGATATGTACATCCACAGAGGAATGACTGATGAGGCAAATCACCCCTTCCCCCCATTAGTTAAAAACTCTAGAAGAATGCTCTGCCCCTCTCCTTCTTAGAGGCGTATTTTATTTGCTTTTTCTCTCCTTATTATACAAATGCATATTAGGATTTTTTTTGAGTATATATTTTACCTTGCCTGTAATTATTCCTCTCTCTTTTTTCAAAATGTATACCTGAATCATTTTTAAAATTTTAAAAAAAGAAATAACTAAGTTACTATAAATGATGTTACAAGACAAGCTGGAAAACAGTTTGGAAAAAGGCAGAGTCAATATTCTTCATATATAAAAAGTTCTTTCAAATCAATAGCAAGACCATTAAGAATGTAATTGAAAAATCAACAAAGGCAACGAGCAAATGCTCTAGAGTGAGAAGAAATACAAATAGCCAATAAATACACACACATACACAAAAGTGTTTCACTTCAATAGTAATAAAAAAGTAAATGGAAATAATAAAATACTATAGTATGCTTACAAAATTGGCAGACATTAAAAATATAACTGCTACTTATACACTGCTGGGGTCAGATGTGAATGTAAATAATCCAATCTTCCTTAAAATCATTTTGATTATGGGAAATTTACAAAATAAATTACTGGTTTCTAATTATAAATGCTATACTTGCTTGTGCAGAAAGTTTATAAAATATCAAAAAGTATAAAAATGAAAATCAAATCACCTATCACTTCAACACCTGAGAAATAATTTTAACGTTTTGCTATACTTTTCCTAGTTTTATCTCAAGGTGTTTATGGGTATGTGTGTATCATGTTATACATACAGTTTAGTGCCTTGCTCTTTTTCACTTAGGATTGTATTGTGAGTGTATTCCTATACTATCACATTACCTTTTAAAACATAATTTATGGTTGTAAAATATGATGTCATATTTGTATAGCTAACCACTCCCCTATTGTCAAATATGTAGGTTTTTCACTGTGCTTTTGTTTTTGTCTTTCATAAACAATGCGGTAAACATCATCGTTGTGCCTCAATCTTTTCTGAATTTTCAATGATTGCTATTTGCCAAGATTTTACTTAGAATGACAGGAAAATGAAGACAGTGTGAGACAAACAAAAAATAGATATTTTGCAACAAACAGACCCTCATTACAGGAATTTCCATTAAAATATACTGTACTTCAGACAGAAGAAAAGTGCCCACAGACAGGACTTCTGAAGTGCAAAAAGGAATGATAGACAAAGGAAAAGGAAAATATGTAGGTAAAACCAAGCAAAACATAAACTATATAAAATAATAATATCTTGGAAGTTAGAAAATGTAACACACAAACCCATATCAATAATGCCATATAAGTTAGAGCTAAAGTATCCTAAACTTCTTCCTTGTATTGTCTGGGAGGAACACAGAGATACTGATTAAGTTTAGGCTCTGACAAGTAAAGTATGCATGCCAAAATCTCTGGATTACAAACTAAGAGAATAGAATAGGGTGGTTATCTTTAAGACTAATGAGCATAAAAAAATAGGAAAAAGAATCCAAAATTAGAAAAAAAGGAGAGATAAAAAGCAGAAAATATTAATAAGAGAGTAGAATTTCCATAACTCTATGTAGGTTAAATTATAACAGAATGAAAAAAAAACCCCATCTGATTGCTGTTACCAGACAACCAAGACAAAAAGGATAAAGAAATATTTAATATAAAAGGATAAAATTTTAAAAAGATATTCTAGGTACATACTAAGAGAGTGGCAGTAGCTATATTATCAGACTTTTAATATCAGAATTCTTAATTATCAAAATTCAAAAAAGACTACTGAAAACAGAATCAAAACACAATAAGAGGTTCACATCACCAGAAATGCAGTCTCCCTAAAATGTATGCACTTAATAATATAAAAGATATTCAGAAGAAAATAGAATATGTTTATGACTTCAAGGTCGGGAAGGATTTTCAAGTAAGGTAGGAAAGGATTTTTAAAGAAGGACCCAAAAGACTGCAAAATTGGATGGTATAAAATTAACAATTTCTTTGTATTAAAAGACACTACAAAGAGTAAAAAGAAGCAGCCCACAAACTGGGAGAGGATATTTGGAACACACAACTGAAAAAAGGTTAGTATCCAGAATAGAAGAATAATTCTATAAATAAATTTTTTAAAAGACAACCCAATACAAAAATCAAGAAGAGACATGAACAGGAACTTAATAAATGAGAAAGCCAGAATGACCAATAAATATAAGAAAAGATGCCCATAAATGCCAAAGAAAACCACGAAGATCCTATTTCATACACACCAGGTTGGCAAAAGTTAAAAACAACCTAAAAAAATAGAAAAGAAGTGTTGGTGAGGATGTGAAATAACCAGAACTTTCATGCACTCATGGTAGAAGCATCAGTGGAACAATGACTGTGGAATACTATTTGCCATTTCTTATAAAGTTGAAAATAAGCATTTATTATTCCTCAATAATTTCATTCCTAGGTATATGCCCTGCATAAAATCATTTGTACACATACACCCAGAGAAGTGTAAGAATGTTAATATCAGCATTGTTTATGATAGGGAAAACTGGAAAAAAGAAATGCCCATCAAAAGTATATGTTCTTGTTTACAATGTTGAATGCTACATAACAGCAAATGTGATTGAAATTTAGCTACATGCAGCAGCATAGATAAATTTTGGGAATGCAGCATTGAGTGAAGAATACGATATGATTCCATCTACAAAAATATTCTAAAGCAAGCAAAACTGAACAAAATATCATTAAGGGATGCAAATATGTGCCAAACTATAAAGAAAATTAATGTAGCAATAAACACAGAAGTCAATATGATAGTTAGCACGAAATAAGGAGGAGAGAGGATGGGGTTAGGAGGTGACACAAGGTAACTTGGAAATTAATGGCAATAATAAAGTTACTGGTGTTCTTTCTTTGTATTGTTACCGTTTATCCCTTACACACATTTCATAGATTTAAAAAATTACCTATTTTATATTAAATAAAATTCTAACAAATTAAAAATGAATATACTAGCTGTGTTTCATTAAGGTAGTTCTGAGCCTAACTGTATTCACAATAATCTGGCAGCCATGAGAGAACATCTTTCTGCGAACTAGAAAACTCCAAAATGGAATGCAGTTATTCTACAAATTATTCTGGTTGTTCAACATCCTTGGAACTACTCTAAATTATGCTTTGCTTGGGAAGAAGATGACAATATTTTCCATTGATTGGTACTGCTCAAGATGCAGTTGATTTTTTTAATACCCATATGTTTCACTGAGAAAAGAGATGATATCAATAATGAGTTTAAAGAGAAAGATCTATGCTGACAAAAATGTTTGCTTGATGCAGAAGTTTTAGCTCTAAAAGAAAACAAATTTTTGGAAAAAAACTGTGGCAGTTTATATTTTCAAAATATGCTCTTCTTTATAATGCGACCTTGGCACACTTGCTTAGAGAGATGGCATCTCTCTGTCCCCTCCTTTTACTTGGACAGAGCTTTGTGACCGACCTACAGAGTATGGAAGGACTGATGCATGATGACTTGCCAGCCTAGGTCATTAAAGGTGACAGAGCTTCCCCTCAACCCCACCTTCTCCCTTCCATACCACATTGCTAGCTCTGCCTGTCTCTGGACACTTGCCCTGGGAATCTAGCTGCCAAGTTCTGAGGAAGCCCAAGAGACCACAAGTGGGTGTTCCAGCCAACAGCCCCAATTCATGTACTAGCTGACAGCCAGTTTCAATGCCAAACATGGAAGAATGCTTTTAATACGACTCCAGTCCCAGGCACTATCTGCCTGCAACCACATAAGAGACCCCAAGTGCAAACCACCCCAGTTGACCTGAAGAACCACCATAGATACTGACGATCAGTAATTTGTTATTATCTTGTCACCAAGATCGGGGCAGTTTGTTACAGGGCAAGAAATAACTGAAACAAACTATGATTTTAAGCTCCTTTAAGGCAAGTAGAGGAAAGAGGATATAGAATATTACACTCATGCAAGACGCCCAGGATGTACAATGAAGCCCTGCTACTAAGTAGCTGCGTGCCTGGTTAAGCTCTGTGAGCTTCAATTTCCCTAAGCGAAAAAAAGTGTCGATTTATATCAATTTACATGTCTCAAGGTTTTTTAAGCATAGGATATATTGCATGAAAGTCAGATCATATACAGTAAACAACAAAGGGCAGCTATTGACATTAGTATTACTGTTGTTAGGGCTGGTATTTGGGTGGCCAGCGTTCTCTTCCAGACCTCTTCCATTCCTATATGGGCCATAGATAGAATTCTCCACTGCTCATTGGCTGAGAACACATCAATTGTGTCTGCAGCTCACACGAGGGACCAGTTAGTTTCACTTTTCTCTGAGTTTGCTCTTTCTTTCCTATTCCTTAATCTTGGTTCTGATTCCCAGGCAGCAAAGCCTAGCAAATAAGAGAGGCAGCACAGTGTAGTGGATACAGGCATAAATGCTGGAGCTGACTGCCTGAGTTTGGATCCTGGCTCTGCTTCTTGCTGTCTTTGTTACCTGGGACAACTTGTATGCTTTCTTTGCCTCAATGTCTTCATCTTAAGAATGGGACTAAGAATACTATCTATCTTACAGGGCTTTTAAGAGGATTCAAATAAATGAATTAACATATATAGTTCTTAGAACTTTGATATATAGTAAATTTCTTAGTAAGCATTGAGAGCACTTGTTCACTAAGTTGGATAAAGTGACTTATTTTGGTAATGTGAAAAATAGACCTCAATAGAAACAGAAGGGCTGGCTTCACTTCCAACCAGCTCCCCAGTAGAGAGTAGGGACTGGGTTTTGACTAGGGGATTGGGTACCCCTACAGTGACATCTTGAAGACACATTCTGGTAGCCATTGCTTGACAGGCACTAGGGACAGATTTGAAGGCAGGGTGTGATAGGCTAACTATTGCTGTACTTCTAAAATCTGAAACACATAAAACATGCTCCGAGAAAAGTGACATGAAAAGTGTGACTTATATACCAGACTGGGGCTAGAAGAATAGATGAGGAAATGAGAATCAAATTGTGCTACCGATGGACAGAAGGTGCCATGAGGAAGGCATCATTTCATCTGCAATGCGATGCCCAGACATGTTCGATACCCTAATTATCACGAGAGGAAATGCCAATTCTTTGTCAGCCTAAGTGATTTTCTTCCTCTGTCCCTTCCTTTATGCTCTCACAGAAATGAAGGAGAACCAAGCTGATTTGTCTCTTTCAAAAGACTGCTCCCACCAAAGACATTGAGTATCATTAGCAAGAACTGCTTCTATAGCACAATGCAAATAAAGGTAGTAAAATTCACATAACCATAGCAGACTACATGGTGAAATTGGATCTAATTAGCAAGTGTCAATATAGTATTTTTTTTTTTTTTTTTTGCTAACTTTAACACTTGCATCCTTTGCTATTTCAGGAAGTCTGCAGAAGATCTTCTTAGGCATGCAACCTAGAAGCTTGTACTTCCTGTTAAGTTACTTTATATTAATAAGGTAGCTTCTCTCTGAAATTCTAGTGCTAGGCAGTTCCTTAAATGACACAGAAGAAAACTTTGGCTTTTGAACAGCAAACCCAGCAGCACAGGTACTGCTACTCTGATAAGGTTAGCACAGAATGAGAGAGTGCGGCCGAGGGTGACGGGTGTAATTAAAATTATGTTCGGCTGCTGATCTGCCAGACAGATAAATTCCATAAGCACTAAATTGCACCAGTTTGAAGGGGGGGGGGTAGTTACAACTGACTGCTCATGTTTTGTTAAATACAACACTGATGTAAAGCTGGGATCCTTAAACTTTGCTGTGATTAATTAACATCTCACCAGGTTTTCAGAATAAAAGGAGCACCAACCTTTGACCTATTGAAATATTTAAAGTAATAATGCAGAACATGGGAGAAAATGACCTGCTTACTGCTATCTACCCCTCTGTGGCTCTAACATTTGAACATCTCAATCATTAAAAATAATTTCCTGCTGTATAGAGCAATTACTAGGAAGGGAGCCATCTGACATGTAAAAAAAAAAAAAAAGTAGAAGAACCACAAAGCTAGAAGGGGAAAATAAAAAAAATTGAATATCCACTGATCTCATGATATGTCAGTCATCTCTACCATGTAGTTAAGACTGGAGGCATCCACTATATGCTCCAGCAATTCCACTTCTGGGTATTTATCCAAAGGAACAGAAATCAGGATCTCAAAGAGACAACACTCCCATGTTCACTGCAGCACTGTTCACAAGATCCAAGATGTGGAAATAACCTAAATGCCCATGAAGAGATGAATGGAAAAATAAAATGTGGTATGTACATATAATGGATTATTATTCAGCCTTAAAAAGAAGGAAAACTCATAATGCAGCAATGTGGATGAATCTTGAGGACATTATGCGAAGGGATGTAAACCAGTCACAGAAGGATACATACTGCATGATTCCACTTATATGAGGTATCAAAAACTGTCAGTCAAATGGATATCATCAAAGAGTGGAACAGCAGTTGCCAGGGGGAAGAGAAAATGGGGCATTACTAATCAAAGGGCATGAAGTTTCAATTAAGTTAAGATGAATAAGCACTGGAGATCCATTGTACAACATTGTAATTATAGTCAACGATAATGTATTGAATACTTAAAAAGAAGGTAGACCTCATGTTAAGGTAGATCCCTTTTCCAGGCCTTATCTCACCTGTGATGCTGCCAGAGCACAATGAAATTTTTTCAAAAAAGACTGGCAGCATCACAGGTGAGATAAGTCCTGGAAATGGGACATTAACAGCAAGCCAGCAACAGTGGGAAATAATCCTACACTTGAAGCACCTGCTACATACATTACCTCTGCCCATATCACTCCCTTCTAATAAATTCATTTAACATTTAATAGACAGATATTTCATGAGCATCCACTGTATTCTAGCTATTCTATTTACACAATGGTAAATAAAACATAATTCCTGTCCTCAAAAACAAAGAAGCAGCTGGGTGTAGTGGCTCATGCCTGTAGTCCTAGGTACCGGGGAGCTGAAGTGGTTGAGGTGGGAGGATCACTTGATCTAGCTAACACAGCAGAACCTGTTTCTAAAAGCAAAACAAAACAAGGAAGGACAAAGAGATCAGGAGAAAAATCTAAAACTGAATGAAAAGTGATACAAAGGGTACCATGAAATAAACTAGCATACCATTTTACAGATGAGATAGGTGAGATTCTGAGAGGTCAGCCAGCAATAAAACCGAGGTTAAAATCTAAATCTGAGTCCAAACCTGTGATATTTCCAGTCCATCATGAGCCTCCTTCTAGCTGCAGGAAGGAGAAGAAACTAGTCAAGGCAGCTAGGGAGGTATTAACCCCACTCAGGAATACATTGCGAAGGAAAATTGGGCTTAAGGACTCATACAAACAAGTGAGGAGGCTGGCTTTGAGGAATGATGAAAACTATCATTAAATAGAAGGAAGGCATACAGAGAAACATGCCTGCAAGAGGCGAGATTCTATATACCTGAGGTCATCTAGCTCTCCATAGGGATGGAGGAGGACCAGGCTAGAGAAAGAACCAGACAAATAAAAACATTGGCTCAGTGTGGTCAGGAAATGGGTCTCCTTCAGTTGCAACTCATCACCACCAAGGGTAGGTAAAACAAGAATACCAGAGCAGTTAATTTTATGTGTCAATGTGGCTAGGCCACAGTATCCAGATGGTAAGTCAAACATTATTCTAGATGTTTCTCTGAAGGTATTTTTGTAGATGAGATTAACATTTAAGTCAGTAGACTGAGTAAAGCAGATGACTCTCCATAATGTCACTGGGCCTCATCCAATTACTCGAAGGCTTTAAAAGACTGACCTCCCCTGAAAAAGAGGGGGAATTCTGCCAGCAGATTGTCTTTGGGCTTGAAGTGCAGCATCAATTCTTCCCTGGGTCTCCAGCCTGCCAGCTCACCCTGCAGATGTTGGACTTTCCAGCTGCTATAACTGCATCAGCCAATTCCTTCAATACAATTTCCCTCTCCCTCTCCCTCTCCCTTTTTCTGTCCACACACACACCCTCTATTGGTTCTGTTTCTCTGGAGAACACTAACACAACCACATTAAAATACAGAACCGGCTTCAATATCCAGAAGAATCCAACCAAGCCTGGAGCACAGTCAATCCAAAGCTGCCTCCCAGGTGCTGGTCTGAGTTGCTGGGCCAAGGACCTCCACAACATTCACAGGAAACAAAAAGGAACAGCAGGCTGGATGGCTTGGTGGACTTGTTCTAGGGTGAGTAATTTATTCATTCGTTTGATAAATATTTATTGAATATCTATTATGTTCCAGGCCCTGTGTCAGGTGCTGGTGAATCTAGGCTCTGATTCACCTGAATCCTGGCACAGAGTAGTCATTCAGTAAATATCCTTTAAATGAATGAATAAAATCTTCATTCTAAAATAATTAAACTCATGTATTTTTATGATTGTTTTATTTTCTGAAAAACTCCACTGCTGATGACTAAATCAGGAACTTGGGTCAAAATACCTAGAGGACAAACATCACCTAAAGGACCAGGTGACAGTGGCAAGAATTCCTGTGAGAGACTGAGAGTTCTGGGACCCTGCTTCACAGGCCTGAGACTTTCTCAAGCTCTTTCCATGTTTTGAACTTGATTTTTTGTTAGGGGGAAGGAGAGATGACACACAGATAGTGCCTTCAGAGAAAAGTAGGCCCCAATTTATACAAATAATATAGCCATCATAAGCTGTTAGGTCAGTTTTATATGAATTCAATGCTTATAAAAATCTAGTGTTAATGGAATCCCAAAGTGGCTTCTTTTGTAGAGCCAGTAATCCCCTGCCCTGTCCCAGAGCAGTGCTATCCAATATAACTTTGGTGATGATAGAAATGCCCTATATCATAGTGTCTGATGTGGCAGCCATTAATCATGTGTGGGCTATTGAGTACTTGAAATGCGGCTAGTGTGACCAAGGAATTGAGCTTTTAGTTTTATTTAATTTTAATTCATTTTAATAGCCATAAACACTCAATATCCATATGTAGCTAGTAGCAGATACAGACTAACTGAAGGGTGTGGTAAAAGGGTGTTTTAACAGAGTAGGTCTCTCCAGGCATGGGGAGGCTTCTTCCATCAACCCCCTTGCAGAGCTTATCAGCAGTCAGTATGGCTGTAGTCCATCCTCCTGCCCCCATACACACCACCCCTTTTGCACCCCTCATTCTCTCTTGCACAAAAGCAGGCAGGAAGCCAAATCTCAGTAGAGACCTTGTAGCTGCACTGCTGAAAAGCCTGCTGGGCAAGGAACTGATGAGAACCACGGGGTGAACCATAAGGTGGGCAGCAGGGAGAGTGAGTGTCTATGAGGCTCTGTGGTCAGAATAAACTTACCACCCCCAAACTGCTGTGCCCTTCAGATTTCAGGAAGCCAACCTCTCCCATCCCCCCTCCAAACTGGTATAACTAAGAGGGAGGGCATTTTCCACCTTGGGGTACCCACACCTCTTGTGCTCCACTCTTTAAGTCAGGTGACTCTGACACACCAAAGCATCCAGCTGTCAGAGTGGTGAATCTCCTCTGTGGGAGGCAAGCTGCTTCCCCAGGGACACAGGTGAAGGGCTGAAGGAGTAGAAATTACAGTATGAGGACACATGCTCTCTGGCCACATGAAACAGAGTAGAAAAGTCACCTCAGCCAGGCTCTTACTGGGCAAAATGCTGTGTCCCAGAGGAAATGTAATTCATAGGACTACCACTTGCAGACTCTAAATGACAGAATACAGGATCTGGCAGAGAAGGTTCACTGGAAAAAGGTATTATCCAGCACAGCAACACAGGGCCAGTGGCTTTGAGCATGTTTACCAATATGTTCAGTGGCCTCTTGGAGCAGCAGGAGTTCCTTGAGCTTGCTGCCAGCATCCCAGAGACACTGAGAGAGAATGTATGTGTTGTTGGGGATGTTATCCCTGGGGGTGGGCTTCATATTCCAGATCACTGCTTAAGGTAGGAAGTTTACAGATGGGTCCTGGGGTAGAGAGATCAGTGAGGTCCAAACCTCCTACCTACCTACTCTAGGACTCTCTGGAAATGAGACTGCCTCAGAGAAGTGAATGACAGAACCAATGGGCAAGTGAACACATGTGAAATCTCTCCCCGAGACTCGACCCCAGAATGAGAGTGAGGCTTGGTGGGAACTAAGCCAGTTTCAAGACATTGACACATCCAGACAATGTGTCAAATAGGAAAAAAGAAAAAAGTGGTCATTATAGAACCAAGAAGAAAATGAGAGCTTGAGAGGCAAGCACTGGAAGCACCCTTTGAAGACCTCTCCCAAGGGGCTGGGACCTCAGTCCATGGATGGTCATGTGAGCAAGACTAAACCTAAAAGCAGCCAAGGTCATCAAGCTATTTTAGCCAGGGTGGTGGTGGGGGGCTGCCTGCTTATGGTCAACTGAGTCCCCTTGCTCTAATTCCCAGCTCACCTAACAAGCACGAATTATAATCTGGCTCTCAGAGAGCCATACCCAGAGAGTAAAACTGGCCCAGGATGTGAGTATTTTGGTCTCCATCTATTTAACAACTGTCCAGACTTGATAAGCTATCTTGGTTTTGGTTTATAGAACAGTCTTTTGAGAACTTGCTTCATGTGACCTCATCCCTGAGAGACTGAGCCACTCTCAATGTAAAACTAAAATCAAGTTTCAGATCTGTAAAACTAAGATCCAGACAGATCCAGGCTATAATAAATATGTCAAAGAAAAGGCCACCTTCTACAATCTTTTGTCATAACCAGCTAGACTTCCTTAATGATAAACTTATATGACTTGGTTAATAACAATAATTTAAATAATCATCTTGACTGATCCTTACAAAAACCCTTGTGCGGCAATTTATTTATCCATTTTAAATAATAGGGAACTGAGACCTAGAGAAGTTAAGTAAGGCACCCAAGACTTTTTAGTGGAAGAGCTGGGATTAGGCCCTGGGTCGGCTTGGCCTTAAAGTCCTCACACGTGCAACTCCAACAGTGATTATCAAACTTGGTTTGGCAAGGAAGCCAGAGATCATGCTAGGGTCATGGCAAAAGCCAAGAGGAAACCAAATTTATTAGCTTCTACAGAAAGGGTACTAGAGGGCTAGGTATGGTGGCTCATGCCTATAATCCCAGCCCTTTGTGGGGCTGAGGCAGAAGGATAGTTTAAGGCCAAGAGTTCATGACCAGCCTGGGTAACATAGTGAGATCCCTTCTGTATTTAACAATAATATGAAGAAGAAAGGGTACTAGAGGAGGTTCCGTTTTGTTTACTACAAACTGGATTTGATCATCTGTTTGTTGCTCAAATTTGCCTCCCCAAGGAAGCATGCAAGGAGAAAAGAGACACATGCCTTAGAAATCATGTGGGCTGGGAGGCTTCTGCTATTTCATGAAAGCATGAGCACTTTCTGTGGGTCAAAAATGTCCCCTCTTGGACTACTGTTCAAAAGGATTTCCTTTCATGAGTTCACACACTGTATTATAAACTCTTCTTTAGACCAGCATTCTTGAGAGCAGGAACTAAAGCCTAATACACAGCCTGGCACACTTAAAAATATATACCGGGTAGAGTGATGGATGAAGTAATGTCCTGCCACTCCTGGGGATAACAGCCATTAGCTCTTGGCCCTACGGCCATCCAAGTTACTGCTTTATGATTCATTTAGCATTTATCCAACAAACATTTATTTTTGGACAAATGAGCGGTTTAAAGGTCTGATCCAGGAGGACATAACACAGCTTAATGAACCATTAGTGACTACGCCATGGCAATTCGATGCAAGAGCAGAGGTATTAAACAAGGCCTCTAAGTACAAAGGACGCAAATGGCAATTTACAAAGGAAGGACTGCAGCTTGCCAAACAAAAAAGAAAAAATGTTCAACCTCACAAGTAATCAAAGCAATACAAATTAAAATAGGAATCAATTCTGGGGGGAGGTCTAGCAACTAAGAAACACTTAAAAAATTCTGTGTCTTTTTAACTAACAACTCAGGATTAGAAAAGATGTTGGCAAATGACCAGACCATGGGAGTATGAGTTGGTAGGGCACTTTTGGGCAGATATGTTGGTAGCATGGATGGATTAAAACACCTAAAGTTATCTATACTTTTGATGTGTAATTTCATTTTAGCCATTTATCCTATCAAAGATGTGGACAAACGCCTATCTGTAATAATGCTAACAAAATATTTTGAATAGCAAAAAAAAGTCAACTTAAACCTGGCAACTAGTTAAACACATCCTATGACAGAATGCTATGCAGCCCTTTAAAATCAATTCCTCAAAAAACTGATTCGAGGGGAGTTTGTGATATATCTTAAAGTCAGAAAAGTAGGTTCCAAGGCACTACCTATAAAATCATTCCTGTTTTGTTTTAAAAAGCCATAGTTTCTGTATTTTTCTTTTCTCTACATTAAAATAATTAATATTTCCCACATGTTCAATAATACATATTTTGTAATTTTTTTAAATAGCATTTAAGTCTCACAAATAAAACTAACAATAACCACTCAAATTTGCGTGGGACTCTGTACCATTTCCTAACTCTTTTTATTCCCCACATTATCCCTGACTTGGAAAGAGAAGAAACAATACATCCGATGCTTTCTACTTATTAAATACCACCTCACACCCAGGTCCCTCATTTCATTTCAAAGGCAGAATTCTTTCCATTAAACTAAAGTTAGGTCTGCCCTGAACCAGTGTCAATTTCCAAAATTCACCGGCTCTCATGTTGAATTTCTCTGAGTTAACATAATCCAGTGGACTTCAAAAACAGCAAATGTAATTATGCCATTTCTCTAGATGTAAATATCCCCCAATGGGAAAACCTAGCAGCTACTATATGTTTGTAATTCTAATTCTTCCCAAAGAGTTTTAAAAATTATAATATGTACAGTAAGGATGAGTTTTGTAAGTGTTTTCCCCCAGAATTATGAAAGCACATTCTTCCTTGTAAATTATACGTGGCATAACTACAGCAAGATGGGCCATGTTTTGGGTCTTGTTTCAAAGATATTCCATTTTAACACATTCCTTCTAACAAATACAAAACACTCACAGCCTGCACTGTGCAACTAACAGGAATTATCAGACCCTGTTTTTTAACGGTAGACACCATCCAGGGAATTAATACCAAGTCCTCAAAGCCTAAGCTTTATCTCAGAAAAACTCTTTTTATCATAATCAAGAATTAAGTGGGTGGCGAAAATGACAGTGGCAAGAATGATTAACAAATGTATGGTGTACATACAGTTCTAGCTTGTGGGTGAACTATCAAAGAGGAGTTTACAATATAGATACATACACACACATACATACATATGTGTGTGTATATTATATATATGCATGTGTGTGTATATATACACACACGCATATACATAATATATAATAAAAAGAAATATATATATATTCCCCATATATATATAATATATAATAAAAATAAATATATAATATATACATATTCCCCAGCCAGGAATGCCATTTCTTTTTTGGCATTCTCTACATCTGTCCATCTCCTCAAACTCACTAGAAACTTCTGAACAGCAAGCTACATGTCAGGAGCTCAGTACACGTTTGCTGACTCACTGGGAGTACCAATGAGAAAGATCCTCCCCACAAACAAACAGATAAACATGTCTCATCCCAGAGGAGGAATCCCAGTAGGTTAGCGTGGCTTCATGAGTTGACAAAGAAAAGAGGATTCTCAGGTTTGGGAACAGCATAGGCAAAAGTCTAATCATTTTCACAGGACAATGAGAATGAGCCTGGTTATACCAAAAGGGAAGAATGACTATTCCATTAATCTTTTAAAAGATTAATTTGGGGCTGGGGAACAGGGGAGTGGGAAGGAGAAAAGAACAGGCAAGAAAGCTTGTGAGCAGGCAGTGCAGCGGGGAAGCTGAGAGATGATGGTGCCAGAAAAAGGCACGAGGTAGCGTAAGTGAATAGAAGTGTGGGCTCCTGCAATGTGGAAAATGACGGTACTCACGAGAAAACCAAGGGTGAGGAAGCCCAGCAATCAGCTAAGGCAAAAGGAGAAGAGTTTGCGGAAGGAAGGAGGTGGTCAACATCCCCAAAATCTATGGAGAGAAAGTAGCTGAGGATTTAGCCATCAGGGTTGCTGTGGTGGGGGCAGGTGATGAGAAAAGGGAGGCAGTCGGTATGTTCTTCACGATGAACTCAGAAGCATGGTGGTAACGAGGTGTTCAAGACAGGAGAGACCCTAATGGACTTGAAGGCTGAGGATGGAACAGGCAGAGAAGGAGGGGGCAACAGGAAAAAGGAAGGTGGTTCACCAGGTGTAAAGGGATTCTTCTGTTCCTGTTCCTGAGAAGAAGAGATGCACAAGAACTCGGCCCTCACAGCCTCAGTGCAGCTAAATCAGGAAGAAGTGGGCCCGCTAAATGGCTGGGGATGGGCAGAGAGGCAGGTCTAGGTCTGGACTTGGCAGGGCTGCTTCAGGGTCAGGAAGTGAGCTCAGCTCGGCTATGATGCAGCTGAATGAGAGCCCAGTGGGGGTCAGGGGAGATGAACTCCCTCGTGGCGGCCGAAGGCCTGGGTGAGGGTGGAGCAGCTGGCGATCTGCAAGAGGAGACTGGAGTCCCGGTGTGCTGCAGCCTGCAGTGTGGGAAGCATGGAAGCCTGGATGCTATGGAGCCACAATGTCAGTAAGGGCTGAACTCCACAGGAGAGGACAATGGTCTCTGAACATGCTACGTGCCTTCGAATTTGCATGCCTTTGCATTTGCTGACAAGCCTGCCTCCCTACCAAACCCCTATTCCTTTTTTCCTTTCTATTGAAATGCCCCACGTCTGTGAAGCCCAGCCCCCAAGGAAATGCAGGGCTGTTTCCTCACTGCTCTTCCTGCATGTTCATGCCATCCTTCCCTTGTCCCCGGGACTCACCTTGCACGCTATCTGAAAGCCACTCAAATGCATGAAGGGGTCTCCCCACTGGTAGCTCTGTCTACCCCTCTCCCTCACCTCATTCACACTTACAAATCCTTCCAGCCTCAGATCAGGTGTCATTTCCTAATGGAAGCCCTTCTTCCCTGCTCCCACCCAAATGAGGTCAACTTCAACCACTCTTCTCTTTCATGGTACCTTGTACTTGTTCTTCAGGGCTTCTCTATGTTGTTATTAATTTTCATTTATTTTTTATTTTTTGTAGAGATGAGGGTCTCACTTTGTTGCCCAGGCTGGTCTTGAACTCCTGGCTTCAAGTGATCCTCTTGCTTGGCCTCCCAAAGTGCTGAGATTACAGGCATGAGCCACTGCTCCCCACCAGGGCTACTCCTAACACACTTAGCATATTCCTAATCACACACTGTGTTTTATAATAGTATCATCACAGTCCATGTCTCCCACTAAACTGTAAGCTCCATGAGAGCAGAACCCTTTTCTTTTTTACCATTACACTCTACCTTGTAGCACAGTGGCTGACCTCGAGTAGGCACTCAGGAAGTCCCTGTCAAATAACCAGCAGGTGAATGACTTGGACTCCAATAGCCATGTGCTGCATTCTCTCCTGCCCTGGAGGACAGGCTGCTCAGGGTCTACCATGCAGTAAGTCCCTGCCCTCAAGGAGCCCTTGACCTAGGGAGAGAGACAAATGAAACCAAGCTTTTCAACAGAGAGTGAAGAATGCTGTGCGAGTACCATGTACAGTGCCGAGGGGAAATCTCCACCCACTTATTGGTGGGGTCCTACCAGGTGCCAAAGTTGCTGGAGACACTTCACCAAGATGACCTCATGCAGCTCCTCATAATACCCCTACAGTGAGCCAAGGGATGGCATTCTCCGAGGCAGAGCTGTAAATCCCTACAGGCAGCTGTTGGTGGTGAGAACCCCTTGCACCCATTGCTGTGATGATGGCAGATGGCATGACGGTGCACTCACTGTATTCCAAGCCCTATATAAAATATTTCACAGACATCATCTCCTGGCTTTGTCACACTCCATGGGCTCAGCATTATCAATAAGCCTGTTTTATAGCACAGAAAACTCGGGTTGTCTCAGAGAGGTTAAATGATTTGTCCATCCTGAGGCTAGGAGGTAGCAGAACTAGGAATGAAACCTAGGTGTGCGGAGTTCCAGAGTGAACTATGAGGCTGTGGTTAAGGAAATATTCAGTCCAAACAGGAGCCATGTGGTGATGACAGATCCACAGTTGAGAAAGGGCACTAGGATGTGGCACTGGGGCCAGGCTGGTGTGGACAGTGGCACGGATTACAGCAGCTGCATTTTCCAACTGACAAAGCGTGTCTAGGAGGAAAATTGGAGAACACAAAAGGGCACATGCGGGCGGCCCAGAGGGGTCCAGGTGTAGGCCTGCCCAGCCTTGGTGGGGGTGGGAGGGGGCATTGGCTACCTCCAGAGTGGGTTCTACTGCTGGGGTTGGCTGTGGCTGAGTTCTTCCATCAGATGCATGCCTTCCCTGTGAGTGAGGCCACAAGCAACTCCTCAGGCCCTGAGCCTGACATTCACAGGACTGCCACAAGTTAGCACCTGAATTTAAATCAGGCCAAATTAGTGCTATTTCTACAGGTGTCTGTGCTGCTTCTTTTTTCTCTCCCTCTGCCTGAAGGAGGAGAGGGAGAAAGCAGGCAGCCAAGGAGCACAGCCAGCCGTATCAGGACCGGAGTGGTGGCTGTCAGCCCCTGCGGCTCCCCCAGCGGATGGCAGCTGTCAGTCTGAATCACAGAACCCCTGGGGAAGATACAGGGTCTTCACTGCTTTCAGGAAGCCATTTCTGGGCAGAGACTCCGATTTGCAAGGCAAAGGCACAGACACTGTACCTCTCTGCAAGGTGGCTATTTTTCCAAAGGAAGGGTAGATGGAAAGAAGGACGGCAAAGCTGGAAGAGGGTGAATTAGGAAGGGAGAGGAGGAGATGCAAGCTATAACCAGGGGGAATGCTCACCTGGGGCTGCTGGCTGCTGCCCTTCAAGGATGGCCTGTCTGCCAGACCATCCCTCAGGGTGGGGCTTCCAGTCTGAGACTCCTTGGAGAAGAAGCATGATCCTGAGGTCACTGTGTGCTCATGCCCTCCCCCTTGTCACAAGAATGAATCATAGCCAGCCTTTGCTGGGACTGTGCCTAACCCAAGCTGGAGCTGTGGTGGGGAGCATGTGTCTGCTAGCAAGTCCTCACCCCACGGTGCCCAGGAGACTACTCAACTTGCCTTCTCTCTTAGCTAAGCTGAACAAAGGCAGTGGGGAAAGGAGAGACCAATGCCAAGATAGGAGCAGGGTTGCATTGTCTCTCTGTTCAGACTCCTTCTATGTGTCAGCCCAGTGCTCCATGCTGGGGATTAACCAGGGATTGAGGCAGAGATGGAGCTGCCCTCATGGAGCTCCCCACAAGGATGAGAGTGAGGAGAGGGAGACTAGCAGAAAAGGGGAGGTGTCCTCAGAACAACTGCAGGGGAGGCAGGAGAGAGCTGGGCTTGCATAGGAAATCATATGTCCCTGACAGCAAAAAAGGACTAAGCAACACTCAAGGATGGTGGGTTAAAGGGTAGTGCATCTGTTTTCTTGAAGAGGAAAGAAGCTAATACCTGCTGGGTACCAGCTCTGGCAAATATTAATTATTTTTCTAATTAACCCTTATCCATCTAGTAACTCTGAGCAGGGAGGTTGATCACATAGTTCTGGATTTCTCTGCCTTGCCCATTTTTTTTTTTCTTTAACAATCAGCAGCTCTTGGAGAAGGTTTGCAGGTAAGGAATAGTCAATGGCAAGACATATGAAGACTTCTCTTCCATCCAGGAAGCCCTCTCTGATGATCCCATCTGCTCCTGTGTCCTCCTCCCTAAGCTCTCTCTACTTTCCTTCCTTCTTGTTGTACAATATAAAACTATCAACCTGTTTGTTTATCTGCCCTGCAAACAGGAAGCTGAGGGCAGGGATGGCATGTCCAGCACTGAACACAGGGCTCAGAATTTGTGTCATGGAATAAATGAGTAAATCAATGAATGAATGAGTGATTGCCATTCTCTCAGACCCTCACAAGCATGCCGACTAATTTCCAGTTCAAAGAGCCCAGGCACTGAGGCAGTCATTTTACAGGACGGTAAGGCCGGAATGTGATGGGAGGGAGGCCCCTCCACCTCTGAGGCTTTTCCTGCTCCAGGCAGTTCCTGCTGCCCTGAGCACTGCCCCCAGGCTAAGCCCTTGGGAACCTGCTTCATAAACACTTACTTAGCAAGACATTTAAAGTGCTATTGATTTCTCTCCTCAGAAGGAAAGGTGAGACAGTGATAGACACGGTGAGCAGTTAGCAACAATGAGTCCCATTCACCCCCCAACCAGAAGTCATTTCCCTCTCAGATTACCAGCCCGGCAGCCCTGGGAGAGAGAGAGAGTGGCTGCACGCTAATGTAGGCAGTGCTAGAACCAGCAGGTGCTCTCGCTCCGATAGTGGCAATTAGAGCTTAAGCTCCTTTTTCTATGAGACAATGAAAAATAAAGCTAATTTCAGATGGCATATTCTGTATACCTGAATCCAAGGCACCCTTCTCCCCTACTTAGGAAGAAAGACAGGAGCCCATGCCTCCCCAAGAACCAGAAGGAGATGCCTCTGATCCAAGTCATGGTATCGTCAACAATATTTTCAAGCACTTACTAGATGCTAGACAGAGATCTTACTAGACGGGAATAGGTACTGGGAAATGGAGGCACATAACAATGTAGCCCTCATCCCCTGTGCCTAGCCTATGATGGACAGAACACATGTGTACCACACATACTAGATAGATGGATTAAGTGCTGCCCTGCAATTCTAGCTCCATGAGAGCAAACCTTCCTCTGTAGTCCACCTTGTTAGGCTCCCAAATTTCCAGAACACTTGTCTCATAGCAGGTGCTCAACAAACACTGTTTGAATTCATTTTGTATTTTGTTAAGGTAACAGCAGCTGCTATAATAAATGCCTAACATCTAAGTGGTTTAGGATAAGAAAGTGTATAATCACCACTGTCCTCTCCAACTAAGATCAGGGAGGAGCAAGATCAGCATACATATACTCCCTTAGCCTCACTTGCAGATTTCTCTGGGGTGAGCTGTATTCCTTGAACTCATGGGAGTCGCTAACCTAAAAAAAAGTTTCCTGATACATAAATACGCGTTGGGAATAACAGACCTAGAAATGAAGTTTCAGAAACTCCAGTTGCTTACCCCTGATGTTTGAGGCTGTGGCACAGCTGAGCAGGGAGAGGTGACCCAGGGGTGCTGGTCTCATTCACGTGGGTGGAATGCAGCCAGTAGCTGCATTTACATACTTTAATGATCACATAAATGGGAGTTGGTGGCAGAGGCCATATCAGATTTGTCATAGAATAGAAAAATCCCTTTGGGAAACTAGGTATTAGGGAACAACAACAGACCTTTCTACCTAACTGCAAGAGGGGTTGAGATGTATGCCCTTGCCTGAGGGTGGAGCTGTCTCTCCCGTAAGTCTGTTGTGGGGGAACATGAAGCAAAAGCCTCATGGATTGAAGAAAGAAATGCCACTGAATGATTCCTCTCCTCTGCTGACATAGAGGGCAAGACAGTTTAAGAAGCTATGTAGATCCATGCTTTTGTCACCAAAGTCTGAGACTCATGAAAGACCTTACTGGATGTCAAATTACTCTGTCTTAGGGGAAACCAGACCTCTGAGCACTCCCTCTACCCCTTCACCCCAGTGAAGCTTCCCTGCATACAGGATGCTGGTATCTGGCAGGTAAGGAGCAGGTACCTGACAATGCCCAGAACCAGGCCTGGGAAGGGATGAAGATCCCAGTAGACATCTTCTGCCCCTTTCCTCTTCCTCCTGTAGAAATATTTTAAGTGCCAAGGTTTCAACTGACTGAGTGGTTTGAAAGTGAAGAAGAGAGGTATGGAATGGAGGGATTTAAGAGAGAAAAGGAAGAAGGCAGGGAAGGGCAAAGGGAATAACTACTTAATGCCAGAACAACAACAAAAAATTGGTGAGGAGCTTTGCAGTGGCTTTAATTTACTTTCCTGTCCTCTCTGGCTCTCATTACTTTTTATAGAAATATATTTTTTGTGTCACAGATTGACAATGACATGAGCCAAGGAAAGAACTTATGGGTCAGGGCTGTTTGAAATCAGATGGATGCCATTACTTGGTTTTCTAAGCAATTAATAATCACAAATTGCATTGCTTATTTTTATATTTATTAATGAAATTTAATAAATTTATCAAGTTTCACCCCTAGAAGGTATAAGCTCTATGAGAGCAGAAACTGCGTATGCATGTCTGTATTCATCAGTATGTCCTACTATATGTCCGGCATATAGTAGGAAACAAAAACGGTTCTCTGACTTTTATTTAATGCAGAGAGCTGATGACAGAGGGTGGAAAGAATGTTGTTACACAGACCTTCCTATTGCTAATAACAGTGTAGATGATGATGATCGTGGTGGTGGTAATAATGTCACTTATTATAAGCTGGATCCCATTCCAAGTGCTTTATTTTGATCATTTCATTAAAACCTCAAAACAACTCCACGAGGAGGTATTGTTATTCTTATTTCCATTCTTCCAATGAAGGCATGAATTCAACAGGTAAAGGATTTGTTAAAAGTGATTTAACTAGTAGATGCTGAATCTAGAAAGACTTTATCACTCTGCCTTTCTGCCTGCCACACTTTTTTTTTTTTTTTTTTTTTTTTTTTTGTTGTTGCAACGGGGACATTCTGCCTATACCCGGAGCCCTAGGAGAACAGAGGTGAACTTGAGACGTGTAGACAAAATAAATTATGGATCTTGATCCTTGAGGACCTCAATGCCCATGTTCATGCTAATGATCCATTGAGTACTTGAATTTCAGTTACTACTTTTCCTCAGTATTATTCCACCCTGTATGCTGACCTTTGCAGAAGACTCAAGTTGGAAGATGCAAATTCAGATTACAAGCTACCTCACCTGCTACCTGCCACCTCTCTGGCTCTCCTACAAACCAGATCATCCATGCAACAGGTCCCACGCCCCCATGGGCAGGGCCCACACCATCAGTAGGAAAGGCTTTGCTAATGATGGCCTAGAGGGAGGAGTAGCCCTGGCATCAGAGCCCTGTGTATGATTTAGCCTATAAACCCAAAGCTGTTATTAGCTTCTACTAAGCCACCACATTGGGCAGGTCCTGAAAGAGAAGAACAGAGCAGCCCCATCAAAGGGAACCTTCTATGCACCCAGAGCAATGCTGGGTATTCACAGGTATACAGGTGCCTGGCTCTTCACCTGAACAACAGCTTCCCTCCATGGTAGCTTTCCTAAGGTTAGGTTATGACCAAATATCCCTGCAGGCAACCCATTCATTGCTCCTATACTTTGAATAATAACAGAACCGGCTGCTGGCTGGAGTCTGCCAAGGTTACCTCCCAGGAGAGCTTCTCTGAAGGTTAATGCGGAGCTGTCATGCACAGCCAGATTTTCACTTAGGCCTTTGTTGTTCCTCCTGCACTTGCTTCCCTGCTCTGGCTGTGTCCAGCAGCTTCCCAGTGCCCACTAGGTGGTGATGCCCGCAGAGACTGGGCTCTGAGCCTGGAGCAAAAGGACCATCAGTATGAATTAGTTTCCAGCTGAAGTGGGCCCACCCAGCAATCCGAAGAGGTGGGAAGGATGGTGTTAACAGCAAGCTAGCACTTCATGAGGGCTTGGATTACTGTTCAATGCATTCTGATGAGCACCATCTGCTGCCAATCCACACTGGGCATATGTCTTTTCGCCCAAGCACTGCACTGTGGCTACAAATTCATCACAAAGCATGCATAGGCCTTGCAGAGAAGAGATAAGTGCTGGAGACAATCTCCAAACATATCTGGGAGCAAGGGAAGACAGGTGGAAAAACACTGTAAATACAGGCCCACAAAATACATAAGGGACAAATACTGCCTGAGACGTTTAGCAATACCCAATTTGCCATATGACAGACCATAGAAGTGACCAGAGAAGTTTCTGCACCAGCTGAAGCCTTAGCTAAATCTGTTGCTTAAACTGCTTCTTTTGTTTCTGTATGGTATGTTTGATGTTCTAATTCCCATTCAACTATGAGATCCAGTTCATCCTAAAACTTTTTTGTTGTTGTTGTTAAAAACAATCAATTTCACATCTCTCTGTATTAATCATCAGCACTAGGAATCAGTTTTCTTTTGGGAACCATAAGTGTCTGTCACCCCATGAGAGATGATGAGGCATAATGGCTCATCAAGATGGTCATGCCCAACCATCTGCTGAACTCACTGGCCAAGGAAATTGTTCCTACTGTCCTTCTAAGCAGTCAGCAAGTGATAAAGGAGGGCCTACTGTGTACTTGGCCAGCACTAGATTGCCCAGACAATGTACATGTATCAGGCAAAAAGGCTAGGAACCATACATATTTCTTTAAAAAAATTTTTAATTACATTTTTTTAAAAAGAGCATTGTAATACTGAAGAAGAGAAACAAAGTATGAAGTCTCATATTACTAGATTTCACGACTTACTATAAGGTTACAATAATAAAGGCAGCATGGTTGTGGTGGAAAAAAAATAAACAGATTAATGGAACAGAAGAGAGGAATGAGATATAGCCAACTGATTTTTTTTAAAGGCACAAAAGCAAGGAAAGGATAGTCATTTCAATAAACTGTGCTGGAATAATTAGATATTCAAATGCAAAAGAATGAACCTAGTCAGAGACCTTCTACCTTACAGAAAAATTAACTCAAAATGGATGATAGGTCTAACTGTAAATTACTAAACTATAAAACATCTAGAAGAAAACATGGGGAAAAAAATCTATGTGATCTTGAGTTTGGTGCTGAACCAAAATCACAACCTATAAAAGAAAAAATAGATAAGTTGGACTTTATTAAAATTAAAAACTTATACTCTGTGAATGACACTGTTAAGAGAACCAAAAAGCAAGCCACAACCTCAATAAAAATATTTGCAAAACACATAGCTGATAAAAGACTTGTATCCAAAATACAAACGCTCTTAAAATTCAACAAGAACATAAACAACCCAACTTTAAAAGTGTACAAAACATGGGAACAAACACTTTGCCATATGTGATAGAAAATAACCATATGAAAAGCTTATGAACATCATTTTTCATAGGGAAATACAAATTCAAACAATAATACCATATCACCATGTACCTATTATAGTGTCTAAAATCCAAAACAACTCACAATACCAATTGCTGGCAATCATGCAAAGCAACAGAAACTTTCATTTATTGCTGCTGGAAATGCAAAATGCTGCAGTCACTTTGCAAGACAGTTTTTCCATTTCTTATAAAACTAAATATCTTATAAACAAGTTAGTAACAGCACTCCTAAGTATTTACCCAACTGATTTGAAAAATTATGGTAACACAAAAAGTTGAACTCAAATGTTTATATCACCTTTATTCATAAACACCAAAACTGGAAGCAACCAAGATGCCCTTCAATATGTGAATGGATAAACAAACTATGAAACATCCATACAATGGACTACTATTCAGTGATAAAAAAATAAATGAGCTATCAAACTACAAAAAGACCTAGATGAATCTTAAATGAATATTGTCAAGTGAAAGAAGCCAGCATAAAAAGGCTATGTAATGCACAGTTCCATTTATATGACATTCTGGAAAAGGCAAAACTGTAGAGCAGGTAAACAGATCAGTGGTTCCCAGGGTTTTGAGGTAGGGAAAAAGGAGTAGTTGAAAAGATGAAGCACAGAGAATATTTTTAGAGTAATAAAACTATTTGTTATGATACAATAAGGGCAGATACATGACATTAGGAATTAGTGAGAACCTACAGAACTTTACAGCGTAGAGTGAACCTTAATGTATGCAAATTTTTAAAAAATCATTTAGGAGGCCAGGGGATCCTAGGATGTAATGCAGAATGTGACACAGTAATCTGAATGTATTATAAAGGTGCTGACCTGTGTAGTTTTGGAAATGAGTGGAGATTATAAGCAAACAGCCTATACATAAGCACTCTACTCTAGTTGATAAAGTTGTTTCCCATGGAAATAGAGGCTAATAATTTTGATACTGGGATTAAAGAATTAAGTAAATGGATAGTGGATGGTGGGAGCCAAGTTTCCTACTGTTGGAGTGGAGAATTACAGATAAGCAAGGGGAGGAAGCTATAACGACATGGTAATGAGTTGGATACATTAGCATAAACTTGTATTTAGCTTAATATAGATACATATAGAATAATTTATAAATGTATGTACATACATTTATATACACACACATGCACACACACATATGGATTAGTATACACATATATATTCCCTTGCTGTCAAATGAGAGTGCAGAACAACAACATTCCCGAAGTAGTGAGCACAATGAGTGCTAGGATCTTGGTTTCTAATTCCATTCTACAATAAAAAGAACCAGGTCTGTTTGTGGAAGTTGCTGATTCTATGGCTGGGATACTAAATACACAAGATGAGCCTGGATATTTTATTTCTGCCAGAAATTACAGAAGTGTTCAAGAGTAGGTAAATAAAATACACCACAGTGGGGGTATGTCAAAGGGACACAAGACCAACAGAAGGAGTGCCAAATGACCAAAGCTGGAACAATTTGAAATGTAAAATCTTAGTATTGGATTAATAGTTAGTATTGGATTATAACCTCAAGCACAAAATATATATCCATGAGTCCACATTATATAAATATTAATACATGCTTTAAGAAACAAATAAATGGGGTAAAAGAGATAAATCTCTCATGTAAAATATTTCAAATAATTTATGTAGACACTCTACCCTGAAGCATCTACATAAGGAGATGGAACATTAAATACCTACTCTTTAAGTGTAGGCTATGCGTAGTAACTTCTTCCAAAGAGTATGGTGTAGAAATGGGGTAAAATGAGTACCTTTGCAGTAGAGAAGCCTGACAAACACTACCTCAGCCAGGTGATCAAGGTTTGCATCAATGGTGATAAGTCATATAGATAAGCATGTAATTATGACTTCATAGGATGACAATGACACTTGTGCTGATTCCTCTGTGGATCTTGGGGGTTCTTCCCCAAAACTCATAACCCTACTCTAATCATTAGACCAACATGGAACAAATCCTAATTGAGGGACATTTTAGAAAATACCTGACCAGTACTCAGAACTTTCAAGGTCATCCAAAATGAGGAAAATGTTAGCAAAGCCTAAGAAGACCTGATGACTAAATGCAATGTGGTATCCTGGATGAGATCCTGGAACAGAAAAACGAAATTAGGTAAAAGCTAAGGAAATATGAATTAAAACATGGACTTTAGCTGATTATAATGTATTGATATTTGTTAATTGTGACAAATGTACCATGCCAATGTAAGACAATAATAGAGAAACATGGGTGCAGGGTATCTGGGAACTCTCTACTATCTTTGCAATATTTCTATAAATCTAAAAATTTTCTAAAATAAAGAGTTTATGTGAAAAAATTAACATTAAATTAATGACTTTGGGATATAGTAGAGCTTTATTGGACACCAGTTGCTGAACAGAAGGGGAACACAGTGTTCTAAGCATAAAGAATGACCAAGAATTGATCAAGCCAAGAAAGTGAGGAGAGTTGTCTCTAAGTGACGCATCAGGAGTTCACCAGACCAATCTTAGAAGGATGGTGTGTGCAAAGGCCTTCACAGCCTTGATTCCCATTTATGCCCCAGCAACATCGGAAATTACCATAGCAGGGACTTCTTAGCAAAGTATTATTCACTTTATCGTGAAAGTTTTAACCAAAGCATTAAGACACACACACAAAAGAAATGTAACATACATATAGAAAATAGAATGAAGTACTTAAACGCCCAGGTGGAAGAGTAAGAATAATCTGAGTTCAAATCTTGGCTCTGCCATTTGCCAGATGGAAGAATTTGAATTTTAAAAGGCGTATTTTTTTGTATTTAAGATGGAGATCATAGTCCCTCCCAACACTGGGCTTTCAGGACTATTACATGGAAACATACATAAGGTACAGAGTGTTTAGCAACAGTGAGACATAAATAAATGACTATTTCTTTTTTTTTTATTATTATACTTTAAGTTTTAGGGTACATGTGCACATTGTGCAGGTTAGTTACATATGTATACATGTGCCATGCTGGTGCGCTGCGCCCACTAACTCGTCATCTAGCATTAGGTATATCTCCCAATGCTATCCCTCCCCCCTCCCCCGACCCCACCACAGTCCCCAGAGTGTGATATTCCCCTTCCTGTGTCCATGTGATCTCATTGTTCAATTCCCGCCTATGAGTGAGAATATGCGGTGTTTGGTTTTTTGTTCTTGCGATAGTTTACTGAGAATGATGGTTTCCAATTTCATCCATGTCCCTACAAAGGACATGAACTCATCATTTTTTATGGCTGCATAGTATTCCATGGTGTATATGTGCCACATTTTCTTAATCCAGTCTATCATTGTTGGACATTTGGGTTGGTTCCAAGTCTTTGCTATTGTGAATAATGCCGCAATAAACATACGTGTGCATGTGTCTTTATAGCAGCATGATTTATAATCTTTTAGGTATATACCCAGTAATGGGATGGCTGGGTCAAATGGTATTTCTAGTTCTAGATCCCTGAGGAATCGCCACACTGACTTCCACAATGGTTGAACTAGTTTACAGTCCCACCAACAGTGTAAAAGTGTTCCTATTTCTCCACATCCTCTCCAGCACCTGTTGTTTCCTGACTTTTTAATGATTGCCATTCTAACTGGTGTGAGATGATATCTCATAGTGGTTTTGATTTGCATTTCTCTGATGGCCAGTGATGATGAGCATTTTTTCATGTGTTTTTTGGCTGCATAAATGTCTTCTTTTGAGAAGTGTCTGTTCATGTCCTTCGCCCACTTTTTGATGGGGTTGTTTGTTTTTTTCTTGTAAATTTGTTTGAGTTCATTGTAGATTCTGGATATTAGCCCTTTGTCAGATGAGTAGGTTGCGAAAATTTTCTCCCATGTTGTAGGTTGCCTGTTCACTCTGATGGTAGTTTCTTTTGCTGTGCAGAAGCTCTTTAGTTTAATTAGATCCCATTTGTCAATTTTGGCTTTCGTTGCCATTGCTTTTGGTGTTTTGGACATGAAGTCCTTGCCCACGCCTATGTCCTGAATGGTAATGCCTAGGTTTTCTTCTAGGGTTTTTATGGTTTTAGGTCTAACGTTTAAATCTTTAATCCATCTTGAATTGATTTTTGTATAAGGTGTAAGGAAGGGATCCAGTTTCAGCTTTCTACATATGGCTAGCCAGTTTTCCCAGCACCATTTATTAAATAGGGAATCCTTTCCCCATTGCTTGTTTTTCTCAGGTTTGTCAAAGATCAGATAGTTGTAGATATGCGGCATTATTTCTGAGGGCTCTGTTCTGTTCCATTGATCTATATCTCTGTTTTGGTACCAGTACCATGCTGTTTTGGTTACTGTAGCCTTGTAGTATAGTTTGAAGTCAGGTAGTGTGATGCCTCCAGCTTTGTTCTTTTGGCTTAGGATTGACTTGGCGATGCGGGCTCTTTTTTGGTTCCATATGAACTTTAAAGTAGTTTTTTCCAATTCTGTGAAGAAAGTCATTGGTAGCTTGATGGGGATGGCATTGAATCTGTAAATTACGTTGGGCAGTATGGCCATTTTCACGATATTGATTCTTCCTACCCATGAGCATGGAATGTTCTTCCATTTGTTTGTGTCCTCTTTTATTTCCTTGAGCAGTGGTTTGTAGTTCTCCTTGAAGAGGTCCTTCACATCCCTTGTAAGTTGGATTCCTAAGTATTTTATTCTCTTTGAAGCAATTGTGAATGGGAGTTCACTCATGATTTGGCTCTCCTGTTATTGGTGTATAAGAATGCTTGTGATTTTTGTACATTGGTTTTGTATCCTGAGACTTTGCTGAAGTTGCTTATCAGCTTAAGGAGATTTTGGGCTGAGACAATGGGGTTTTCTAGATAAACAATCATGTCGTCTGCAAACAGGGACAATTTGACTTCCTCTTTTCCTAATTGAATACCCTTTATTTCCTTCTCCTGCCTGATTGCCCTGGCCAGAACTTCCAACACTATGTTGAATAGGAGTGGTGAGAGAGGGCATCCCTGTCTTGTGCCAGTTTTCAAAGGGAATGCTTCCAGTTTTTGCCCATTCAGTATGATATTGGCTGTGGGTTTGTCATAGATAGCTCTTATTATTTTGAAATACGTCCCATCAATACCTAATTTATTGACAGTTTTTAGCATGAAGCGTTGTTGAATTTTGTCAAAGGCTTTTTCTGCATCTATTGAGATAATCATGTGGTTTTTGTCTTTGGCTCTGTTTATATGCTGGATTACATTTATTGATTTGCATATATTGAACCAGCCTTGCATCCCAGGGATGAAGCCCACTTGATCATGGTGGATAAGCTTTTTGATGTGCTGCTGGATTCGGTTTGCCAGTATTTTATTGAGGATTTTTGCATCAATGTTCATCAAGGATATTGGTCTAAAATTCCCTTTTTTGGTTGTGTCTCTGCCTGGCTTTGGTATCAGAATGATGCTGGCCTCATAAAATGAGTTAGGGAGGATTCCCTCTTTTTCTATTGATTGGAATAGTTTCAGAAGGAATGGTACCAGTTCCTCCTTGTACCTCTGGTAGAATTCGGCTGTGAATCCATCTGGTCCTGGACTCTTTTTGGTTGGTAAACTATTGATTATTGCCACAATTTCAGAGCCTGTTATTGGTCTATTCAGAGATTCAACTTCTTCCTGGTTTAGTCTTGGGAGAGTGTATGTGTTGAGGAATTTATCCATTTCTTCTAGATTTTCTAGTTTATTTGCGTAGAGGTGTTTGTAGTATTCTCTGATGGTAGTTTGTATTTCTGTGGGATCGGTGGTGATATCCCCTTTATCATTTTTTATTGTGTCTATTTGATTCTTCTCTCTTTTTTTCTTTATTAGTCTTGCTAGCGGTCTATCAATTTTGTTGATCCTTTCAAAAAACCAGCTCCTGGATTCATTGATTTTTTGAAGGGTTTTTTGTGTCTCTATTTCCTTCAGTTCTGCTCTGATTTTAGTTATTTCTTGCCTTCTGCTAGCTTTTGAATGTGTTTGCTCTTGCTTTTCTAGTTCTTTTAATTGTGATGTTAGGGTGTCAATTTTGGATCTTTCCTGCTTTCTCTTGTAGGCATTTAGTGCTATAAATTTCCCTCTACACACTGCTTTGAATGCGTCCCAGAGATTCTGGTATGTGGTGTCTTTGTTCTCGTTGGTTTCAAAGAACATCTTTATTTCTGCCTTCATTTTGTTATGTACCCAGTAGTCATTCAGGAGCAGGTTGTTCAGTTTCCATGTAGTTGAGCAGCTTTGAGTGAGATTCTTAATCCTGAGTTCTAGTTTGATTGCACTGTGGTCTGAGAGATAGTTTGTTATAATTTCTGTTCTTTTACATTTGCTGAGGAGAGCTTTACTTCCAACTATGTGGTCAATTTTGGAATAGGTGTGGTGTGGTGCTGAAAAAAATGTATATTCTGTTGATTTGGGGTGGAGAGTTCTGTAGATGTCTATTAGGTCCGCTTGGTGCAGAGCTGAGTTCAATTCCTGGGTATCCTTGTTGACTTTCTGTCTCATGGATCTGTCTAATGTTGACAGTGGGGTGTTAAAGTCTCCCATTATTAATGTGTGGGAGTCTAAGTCTCTTTGTAGGTCACTCAGGACTTGCTTTATGAATCTGGCTGCTCCTGTATTGGGTGCATAAATATTTAGGATAGTTAGCTCCTCTTGTTGAATTGATCCCTTTACCATTATGTAATGGCCTTCTTTGTCTCTTTTGATCTTTGTTGGTTTAAAGTCTGTTTTATCAGAGACTAGGATTGCAACCCCTGCCTTTTTTTGTTTTCCATTTGCTTGGTAGATCTTCCTCCATCCTTTTATTTTGAGCCTATGTGTGTCTCTGCACGTGAGATGGGTTTCCTGAATACAGCACACTGATGGGTCTTGACTCTTTATCCAACTTGCCAGTCTGTGTCTTTTAATTGCAGAATTTAGTCCATTTATATTTAAAGTTAATATTGTTATGTGTGAATTTGATCCTGTCATTATGATGTTAGCTGGTGATTTTGCTCGTTAGTTGATGCAGTTTCTTCCTAGTCTCGATGGTCTTTACATTTTGGCATGATTTTGCAGCGGCTGGTATCGGTTGTTCCTTTCCATGTTTAGCGCTTCCTTCAGGAGCTCTTTTAGGGCAGGCCTGGTGGTGACAAAATCTCTCAGCATTTGCTTGTCTATAAAGTATTTTATTTCTCCTTCACTTATGAAGCTTAGTTTGGCTGGATATGAAATTCTGGGTTGAAAATTCTTTTCTTTAAGAATGTTGAATATTGGCCCCCATTCTCTTCTGGCTTGTAGGGTTTCTGCCGAGAGATCCGCTGTTAGTCTGATGGGCTTTCCTTTGAGGGTAACCCGACCTTTCTCTCTGGCTGCCCTTAACATTTTTTCCTTCGTTTCAACTTTGGTGAATCTGACAATTATGTGTCTTGGAGTTGCTCTTCTCGAGGAGTATCTTTGTGGCGTTCTCTGTATTTCCTGAATCTGAACGTTGGCCTGCCTTGCTAGATTGGGAAAGTTCTCCTGGATAATATCCTGCAGAGTGTTTTCCAACTTGGTTCCATTCTCCACATCACTTTCAGGTACACCAGTCAGACGTAGATTTGGTCTTTTCACATAGTCCCATATTTCTTGGAGGCTTTGCTCATTTCTTTTTATTCTGTTTTCTCTAAACTTCCCTTCTCGCTTCATTTCATTCATTTCATCTTCCATTGCTGATACCCTTTCTTCCAGTTGATCGCATCGGCTCCTGAGGCTTCTGCATTCTTCACGTAGTTCTCAAGCCTTGGTTTTCAGCTCCATCAGCTCCTTTAAGCACTTCTCTGTATTGGTTATTCTAGTTATACATTCTTCTAAATTTTTTTCAAAGTTTTCAACTTCTTTGCCTTTGGTTTGAATGTCCTCCCGTAGCTCAGAGTAATTTGATCGTCTGAAGCCTTCTTCTCTCAGCTCGTCAAAATCATTCTCTATCCAGCTTTGTTCCGTTGCTGGTGAGGAACTGCGTTCCTTTGGAGGAGGAGAGGCGCTCTGCGTTTTAGAGTTTCCAGTTTTTCTGTTCTGTTTTTTCCCCATCTTTGTGGTTTTATCTACTTTTGGTCTTTGATGATGGTGATGTACAGATGGGTTTTCGGTGTAGATGTCCTTTCTGGTTGTTAGTTTTCCTTCTAACAGACAGGACCCTCAGCTGCAGGTCTGTTGGAATACCCTGCCGTGTGAGGTGTCAGTGTGCCCCTGCTGGGGGGTGCCTCCCAGTTAGGCTGCTCGGGGGTCAGGGGTCAGGGACCCACTTGAGGAGGCAGTCTGCCCGTTCTCAGATCTCCAGCTGCGTGCTGGGAGAACCACTGCTCTCTTCAAAGCTGTCAGACAGGGACACTTAAGTCTGCAGAGGTTACTGCTGTCTTTTTGTTTGTCTGTGCCCTGCCCCCAGAGGTGGAGCCTACAGAGGCAGGCAGGCCTCCTTGAGCTGTGGTGGGCTCCACCCAGTTCGAGCTTCCCGGCTGCTTTGTTTACCTAAGCAAGCCTGGGCAATGGCGGGCGCCCCTCCCCCAGCCTCGTTGCTGCCTTGCAGTTTGATCTCAGACTGCTGTGCTAGCAATCAGCGAGATTCCGTGGGCGTAGGACCCTCTGAGCCAGGTGTGGGATATAGTCTCGTGGTGCGCCGTTTTTTAAGCCGGTCTGAAAAGCGCAATATTCGGGTGGGAGTGACCCGATTTTCCAGGTGCGTCCGTCACCCCTTTCTTTGACTCGGAAAGGGAACTCCCTGACCCCTTGGGCTTCCCAGGTGAGGCAATGCCTCGCCCTGCTTCGGCTCGCGCACGGTGCGCGCACCCACTGGCCTGCGCCCACTGTCTGGCACTCCCTAGTGAGATGAACCCGGTACCTCAGATGGAAATGCAGAAATCACCCGTCTTCTGCGTCGCTCACGCTGGGAGCTGTAGACCGGAGCTGTTCCTATTCGGCCATCTTGATAAATGACTATTTCTTAAAATTTACTTTAGAGAGGAAGATAAAAATGCCCATTATCTGCAGATGATATCATTTTCTAAAGAAAATCCAAAATGATAAACTAAAAACTGTCAGAATCAAGATTTCCTATTTGAAAGAAATAGTCATTTTAACAAAAATGGAAAACAGATTTCATTCACAAAAAGCAATCTCAAACATTGACTCTCTAGTCATAAATGTAATGAGAAATACTCCCGTATTCTGAAAGAAAACTGCAGACGTTTTCCAAGGAGGCTTGGAGAGATGTGTGCCACATTTCCAGATGGAACAACAACTTAACTCTAAAGTTATCAATTCTTCTCCAATTACTTTGTAAATCCAATCTAAATATCATTTCTTTAAAGTTTTCAAAATGATTTTGAATATCGTCGGAGAGAATAGATAAGAATACCCATGAAAAAATATGAAAAAGCGGATAACTTGTTAGGTGAAAAATGAATTATTGAGTAAAAGTCATTTTTTGAACTGGCTATTTAAAACACACACACAAAATACAGTTTCAGTTTTCCTATTATACCCCAAAAAGTATGAGACTGATTATTAGTAGTACTTTTCCAACTACGAGTTGCAATCTACGAATGGGTCCTCAAAAAATCTTTCCCAAACATGAGGTATGATAGCAGAGAAAAGAAAACAGGGCATGTCTTACAGAGTAAGGGCGCTGCCTGGTGAAAGCTTTGGGTATTGGCTTACTGTAGAAATGATTTCTTCCTGTTTGAATGCCACTGGCCTTATGCATCAAACATGAAAAATTCAAGCCATGACAGAACAAAATAGAAACATAGGTGAAATTTTATCTGGTCTCAGAGTAAGACAGAGATTTATAAACACATATCAATGCCAGAAATTCTAAACAAAAAGAATGATGGACCTGACTGGATAAAAACCTCAAAATCTTAGTTCATCAGAAACCACTGTTAAAAACAAATGACATATTGGGGGAAAAGTGAACTACATATGAAGAATTCATATCAAATTAAGGATATAAAAGAATAACCTGAGAAACTATTGAGAAAAAAAATCAGCATCCTAAAAGGGAAATCATAAAGGATATAGGGCATTTTAAAAATAATTACAAATAGCATACACGCACACATACACACCTTTAACCTCCAGTATGATCAAAGAAGTAAGAAATCAAAATGTGTAGGAGTCAGATAATTGTCTCCCAAGACCCATTCTTCTGCCTAGTAATGAGAACCTTGATTTTCTGCTGGCTTACTGCTTTTGACCTGAAAACTCTGTACTCCCCAGCATCTAGGTAGGACCATGCGTGACTGTACTCAGACTAAATTCAGACTGAGATGGCCATTGAGATGTAAGCAGAACTGTATCCAAATTCACAGAGGTCTGCTCAAAAGAAAGGGGTGCCCTTCTTTGCTCTTCAATTTTTCCCACTGACTGGACTAAAGCTGGAATGGCTGGAGCTCTAGCAGACATCTTGGACCATGAGGCAGACTTGTTTGAGCAACAAGAGTGGAGCCTGGTTCCCTTATGATTGAGGTTGCCTCATACAAGCCCTGGACTTCCTACCACTTGACTCATTTTATGTGAAAATGAAATACACCCTCTTTTGTTTAAACCACTGTTATTTAGGTTCAGGAGTGTCAGTCACCTACCGTTAAACTAAATCCCTGCTAAGAAAGCTACCTTTTTCTTAACCCACAAAGTGGAAAAATTCTTTTAAAAATTATAGTATCCAAAAATGACAGTGGTCCTCTGACTAGGCATTCCTACACATCACTTGTGGCACATCTTTTCTGAAAGAATTTCTGCTAGTATGTAACAGAAGACTTACAGTATACAAGCCATTTTACCCAGAAATTCTACTTCTAAAAATGCATCCTATGAAAATAATTAAGGTGTGTGCAAAATTAATATACATTGTTGTTCATAAAATCAGTATTTATAACTATAAATTAGAGAAGCTAAATGTTCAATAATAAAGGACTAGTTACAATAATTATAGTACTTTTATAGAATTGAACACCATGCAGCCATTAAAAATCAGTTTTTAAAAGAATAATTGATGATATGGGAATATAATTAAGTATTATTAAGCTAATAGTAAAGATTTTTAAATAGTATTTTATTATATTCAGTTTGGGAGGCTGGGTAATTTTAAAAATTTATTCTTTGTATTTTGCAGTATTTTTAAGTGTTCTATAATAAATATGTATAACTCCTATTTTTTTTTAATGCTCATTTTAAATGAGCCTATGTCTCCTGTCTTCCATCACATAACTGTCTTCTCCAGTTAGGTGGTTTCTTCTGTCCAACTGCAGGCACAGGGTGTTCTGGTCCAGCATGCCTTGTTGGCTGGTACCATGGGACAATTTTTCTGCTCCCTTTTCTGTCTTTCCAAGGCATGAGGAACACATGATTTATAACCATAGGTCAAATATTCCCTCTCCAGGACATTCTAAGCCCTTTAGCTAATTCTAGGAACTACATGCTCCTGAGACAAGAAGCATGACCTCTGAGCCACACTGTGATGTCCCTTAGCTGCTGCTCAGGGACAAGGAGGCAACAAACCAAGGTGCACAGGGCGCCAGAGGGCAAAGTAGTCAGTTGTGGTTATCACAGAAAGCCAATAAGGAAAGCCACCCAGAGAGTGTAGAGGCCAACTTGCATCAGAAGTCTTGGAGTAAACCAGAGATGGCTCCTGAGGCCATCTCTGGTCTCCTCCTCCCCTAGATACCAAGTTGCCATTGTTCCTGGCACCTTGACAACTTCTGACCTTGCACCAATATTGCCTGTAAAAAGGATGTGCTCTATCTCCATTAGAAAATGTGTTTAGCTGCAAATAAGAAAGCTTAGTTAACAGTGGCATAAATTCATGGGGATTTACTTTGTGACACAAGAAATCAGAAGAAAGGCAGTCACAATGTTGCTTCAGCTACTCCATAGTGCCACTGGGGACCCAGGTTCTTTCTGGGCTTCGGCTCAGTCATCCTTAATGGGTGGGGGGTGGGTCTGAAGCTTTAGGCTTGGCATCTTGTGGCTACAAAAGGGCTGCTGCAGCTCCACTCACACCTCTGCAAGGATAAAACACAGCACAAGCTCTGCCTGTCCCTGTTTGTTATAAAAGCAAAAGCTTTCTTAGAAATCTCTAGAAGACTTTACTTGCATTTCACGGGCCAGAACTGAATCACAGGGCCACATCCTCAGCTGGAAGAGACTGGGAAAATAAGAATGCAGGTGAGCTTATTCTTCCTCAAAGAAAACCAGAATCAAATGGCTATGGGCTAGACAACTAACAGTGTCTCTGCTACATGTCTACAAGACTAATTCTAGAATTCCAAGGTCTTTTGGAAGGCTGGTATTGTCAAATTGTACAAAGAGCAGATCCATGTCTGTGTGTATGTGTGTGTGCATGCGCATGCACACACATTAAAAAAGGAAGGAAAATGGTATACATTGAGCACCTTTTAGAACCAGCCACTTTCATAATTATCTCAATTAATTTGTTTCATTCTAATAACCTCACAAGATAGGCCTATCTATCTGTTTTTACAGATGAGAAAACTGAGACTCAGAGAAGTTAAGTAGCTTGCCCAAAGCCACATAGCTAGCAAGTTCTGGGGCTAGAATTCAACTTTACAATTGCCTGGTTCCACAGGCAATGCATTTTCTAGTGTATAAGACTCCCTCTCAACAAGTCTTATCATATATAATTGAAGGCAAATAATAGACAAGTGCAAACAAGTTTGCCTAAACCTTGAAGATACAGAGTTAGGCTCATGGAAGGTCAGGGGGACAGGAGTCTTCCTGTACAAGACAGAAAGCAAAGGCAGCACATGTGGCAGAGGCCACACTGTGATGTCCCTTAGCTGCTGCTCATGGGACAAGGAGGCAACAAACCAGGTGCACAGGGCCCCAGAGGACAAAGGAGTCAGTGTGGTTATCACAGAACGCCAACAAGGAAAGCCACCCAGAGAATTTAGAGGCCAACTTGAATCAGAAGTCTTGGAGTAAACCAAGAAGGAGGTCAGTCTCTGCCATATGGAGAATAAACAACTCATAATAGGAAGCAGAAATGCACTAATTTAATCTAGATATTTATTAAGTATTGCTCTAATTAAATTTGTAACAGACATATTACAAATTAATATTTACACTTAGTGGTGACCATACATTCGACAGATCCTATGCTGGGGATATAAAGATAAATTAGACATAATCCCTGCTTTCTAGAAGGTCACAATCTAATGAGTTTACAGTGCCAGTACATAAGGTCCAAAATGTAATAGAATCACTTGTATTTTTAAATAGGTTTCCTTGTTTCAACCACATGAAATGAAACCTAGTTCTTCTGACCACAGAGACCACAATGGTAGTATGTCAAAATTATAGAAACGTACTCAGCAATAAAAATTATTGGAGTCCTGGACTTATAAACTCTGCTCTATAAAGACATGGAAAACAGCTCAGCTCGACACAATTATTACCCTGAGACATAAGTGAGCTCCATATGCAGACCCATGAGCAACACACTGTGGTTGTATCTGGTCCTAAGAGTTCTTGTTATCCCACTTAAGGGAGAAAGAGCATAGGACCTGGGCACAGAACAGGCACTTAATAAATGCCAGCTGGCTGGATGGACAGCTGAATGGATGAAGATACATTACTCATTACCAACAGACCCAGTCACTGTCCTCAATTTTAGGGCAAAAAAAACCCTCTGGGGGTATTGTTTTAAGCTTTAAATTTTAAATATAGCTCAGAGGCCTTGAGAAGCAAGGTACACGAAGTAACAGATCTGTGTTATTTTAACTCACTATGCTTTCCCCAAGTAGGCAAGTTTCCTCTTGGGCACAATGGTAATCAGATATTAAGCCAACTATTTCACAACACAGAACTATGTATAATTCTTATAACAGGAGCTCTTCACTCAAAAGAGAACAAATGCTTGTAATCTCCAGATACTCCCTCCTCTGGCTATAAATGTTCTGTGTTCTCACAAGGGCACAAGGAAACACTAAACAGAATGTTCTATACCACAGGATGCTACACCTCTGTCATCAAGGCAAAAATACTTGCTTCTTGAGACACCTTGAGCCCTTCTCTCTAGTCAGGGAGGTGGGCTGTAGGGAAAGAACAGACTGCCTGAGCTTGCTTCTGATGATGGCATCTTCCCAGTGCAGAGGAGCCAGAAACGCACAGCAGTTACCTGTTAGCCTGAGGTCGTGCCCCAGAATGACCCATGTAGGGAAGTACATAGACAAGTACCTTCAGGTGGAGGAACCTGCCTCTTTGACTTCGGGACCTAAGTCACCTACAAAACCCAACTTTTCCAAGGGCTGGGACCACCAAAATCTCAAGTACATAAATGTGCCTGGAAAACAGTAAGACCCTATACATTTCCTCAGTTACTTCATTCCACAAATGATTGAAGTCAGTCTAATCTGTGCCATGCACTGTCCTGGGCATGGTACACACAGCAGCCAACAGGCTGTAGGAAAAGCTGGAGCTGAAGACCCTGGTGGACAAGACAGGCTGGCAGGTGTGAATCACAGACAGAAGTCTGGCAGGTGAGGGGACGCTGTTGCAGCTACACAACCATGTGGGGGTGGGGGACAGGGGGTCTATGGGAAGTACAGATGCCAGATCCTGGAGGCTGGGGAGAACCAGCAGTATCCTACCCTAAAGGAACCAGGTCATAGACTGAGATCTGGATTTAGATGAGGTCAAGGGAGTAAGGGGACATGATGCCGTCCACTCCAAGCTACTGTCCTGGAGTGCAAAAACTCCCTGGTGACTGGCCTGGCTTAGGATATAATATCCTAAATTCTAAGATTTTGGGAGATACAGGGAGAGAGATTTAGGCCTCTTCAGCCTCTGTAATACTTCTCAGGGGTAGTTCCATAGGATTAGTAGCCCTCATAAAAAAGGACTTTTATTTTTTTTTTTAACTTAGTTTTTTTGCAAGTCATTTTCCGGAGTATTTCTTGGCTGCGGCTATGATCACATCTGTTTTTGAGTGAAGCCCAGGAGATCTACTTGGTTGACAGCCTCACTCCACTTCCACACATGACTTGGTGGCAACAGCCATTTAGCAGACTCAAGCTTGGACCAAACATAGTAAGGCCAAGGAGTCCAGAGTAAATTGGTGCTCTCTTGGCTAGGATGAGAGGAGACAGGCACATGTAACTACCTTCTTGAGACCCTCCCCCCACCACCGACTGCTATGCAACAGGTGGGCTAGGTTTGTTCATTCAAGATCCTTCTACATGGTAAAATTTACGCAAGTATGAAGGACCTGCCTCCAGGAAGACCTGCTACTACATCACTGGGAAACTTGAAAGCAGGGCTTCCCACATTATGCAGACCCTATGGTCTCCTCTCTACTAATATCACTGTTCCTCACCCTCCCAGTACTTCCCCTAAATTGTTCTGAAGTTATTGCTGCTTTAAGCTCATTCTAAGCCTTGAAATAATAAGATTCATAACCAGATCTCCTACTGTGTCAGCAGGTCTTTTCTCTTGCCATAGAGCGCTGCTCACTCTTTTCAAGCAGGAGGGCCTTAGAGGTGACCTTTCTGGGACTAGGAGAGGAACACAGGGTTTTACTCTAATTACTTCTTTGTGATTTGAACACATCTCAGTTCCCTCTTTTACTTCAGTCTCTTCAGAATAAGGAGAGAGCTGGATGGTTGTTTGTGTTTTGGTTGCAGCTCTAACCAACCTGAACATCTATCACTATACATTCAACCAACTATTGATTCTGAGCTTTATCTGGCATCATTATATATTCCTCAAGTTAAATTATCAAAGTGACATTCCTGCTTTATATGTAATTGCCACTTTGGGTTTTCAAACAGAGAATCATCATCATTGATATGACAATGATGATAAAAGTTATATTTTGTGAACTGTAACTCTACTTTTATAGCTAAAATTGAGCTCATTTGATTCTTACTACACCTGTTGGACTGGGGCCACACCTTTCTTTGCTCTCTGCCCTGTCAAAGGCCTAGCTCCCAATACACCACTTGGATCTAGGAAAGAGGCCTACCAACATTTCACTAAGCAGTCTGCTTTGTGGGGTGGAAGCCACTTACTTTCGTCTGGTGATAATTTCAATTTATTTTTTATTGTAATGCTGTCTTTTCTTTTCACAGTAATGGATAGCAGGGCAATGGAAGAACAGTCAACCTCAGGACAGATTACAAATGAATTTTTATCTTTAAGAGCTAGGTTGGAAACTTGTAGCTATCAGAAAAGCATAATATGGTGATGAACAATGAGCCCATGCCAGTGTTTTGATAAACTTCAGAGAGCTAAGCCTGCTTGAGAAAAAGACAGGAGAAAATGTGTGAGGACATTAATTCTTTCACTTTGGAAAAATCCCATCAGTGAAGGCTGTGATCTCGTAAAGGGCTATATTCTCTGAGTACCGAAAGCATGGGAAAATTTAGCTTAAAGTGTGCGGATGGACACGTGTGGAAGAGTGGGGTGTGCACTTTTTCTTTTTTCAAAGGAAGCC
This sequence comes from Homo sapiens, assembly GCF_000001405.40. Taxonomy (NCBI): domain Eukaryota; kingdom Metazoa; phylum Chordata; class Mammalia; order Primates; family Hominidae; genus Homo; species Homo sapiens. Next base: position 137,058,184 of record NC_000005.10, read on the forward strand.
CGACCTTTCAGTGGACATTGAATTTAGGTTAAGAACACAGTATAATGTAAGGGTAAGAGCACAAGTTCCAGAAAAGGTTTCAGATCCCTGTTCTGTCATCTATTATCTGTGTGGCCTTAGGCAAGGTACTGAACAGATCCAAATCTCAAATTTTCTCACCAGCAAAGGAGATAACATTATTTGGCTGTTAGGGGGATTAAACATATGTATAAAGTGCTTAGCACAATTCACAAATTAAGCACTTTATACAGACTATCTTGTGCCATAAATCATCTGTTTACTATTTTAAACATTGTATATTATGGTACATATGTACAATGGACAACATTTTAAAAAGAATGAAGTAGATTCATTTGACATTTGTCAGTCATTGAAAATCTAGACAAAAAGACTTCCTGTAACTTCCATTCTACTTGGGCAAGATAGACAATAAAGAAAAAAGGTAAGCAAACGAATATATTAGAAGGTGATAAATGATACAGAGAAAAATAAATAGGAGAAGGTAGGTAGGAAGTTCAGGGGAAGGTTTCCTGAGAAGGTGACATTTGTGCAAAGATTTAAAGAGGTGGTTGACGGAGTGGCCCCATGGATGTCTGGGGAAGAGGGTCCTGGCCTAGGAGATGGTCAGTGCCAAGCCCTGAGGCAGTGGTGAGAAGGGCACATTTGAGGAGCTCCAGGGAGACCTGTGTGCCTGGAGCTGAGCACACAAGGATCAGAGCAGCAAAAGATGGGGACAGACACGTAACAGAGGACCAGAGCATGTTGCCTTGCAGGTCACTGAAAGGACTTTAACTTTTCCTCTTAATCTTAACAAGATGGAGTGTCTTGAACAGGGGACTACATAATCTGATTTACATTTTACAGAATCAGCTGGACTACCATGTGCAAAAAAAAGAAGGTAAGGACCAGGAGATCAATTAGGAAGCTATTATAATACAAGACAAGGATGTCTTAAAGTTTGATTTTAGACATTAAGCTTGATATGCCTAGGGGCATCCAAGTGGAAATGCTAAGTAGTCATTACATATTTAAGTCTGGAGTTCAAGGAAGCAGGCAGGTTAGCTGGTGACAGACAGGCAAATACACACATATCTAGATAGGTCTACATGTACTTACGTGAAAATATATGTATGATATATAAAAGGCAGGGTGCAAAACATTATGTAGAATATAATCCCAATTATGGATGAGTAAAGTTAAAAAATTATTATATGCATATAGAAATAATTGAAGGTAAATGCAAAATAAATAAATAACCAAACTGGGATGATGGATTAAAGACTTAAATGCGAAACCTAAAACTATAAAACCTCTTCAAGAAAACCTAGGAAATGCCATTCTAGACATAGACCTTGGCAAAGATTTTATGACAAAGATGCCAAAAGCAATTGCAACAAAAACAAAAATTGACAAATGGGACCTCATTAAACTAAAGAGCTTCTGCATAGCAAAAGAGAGTAAATAGACATCAACAGAGTAAATACACAACCCACAGAATGGGAGAAAATATTTGCAAATTATGCATCTGACAAAGGTCTGATAGCCAGAATCTATAAGGAACTTAAATTAACAAGTAAAAAACAAACAACTCCCTTAAAAAGTGGGCAAGGGACATGAACATTTTTCAAAAGAAAACATATACATGGCCAACAAGCATATGAAAAAATGCTCAACATCACTAATCATTAGAGAAACATATCAAAACGACAATGAAATAGCATCTCACATGATTCAGAATGGCTATTATTAAAAAGTCAAAAAATAACAGATGCTGGCAAGGCTGCAGAGAAAAGGGAACACTTATATACTGCTGATGGGACTGTAAATTAGTTCAGCCACTGTGGAAAGCTATTTGGCAATTTCTCAAAGGATTTAAAAGAGAACTACCATTTGACCCAACAATCCCATTATTGGGTATTTACCCAAAGGAATATAAATTGTTCTACCATAAAGACACCTGCATACGTCTGTTCATCACAGCACTATTCACAATAGCAAAGACATGCAATCAACCTAAAAGCCCATCAGTGGTAAACTGCATAAATAAAATGTGGTACACATGTACCATAGAATACTACATAGCCATAAAAAAGAGTGAGATCATATCCTTTGCAGCAACATGGATGGAGCTGGAGGCCATTATCCTAAGCAAACTCATGCAAGAACAGAAAACCAAACACTGCATCATCCTACTTATAAATGGGAGCTAAACACTGAGTATACATGGACACAAAGAAGGGAACACTAGATACCAGGGCCTACCTGAGGGTTGAGTGTGGGAGGAGGGTGAGGATCAAAAAATTACCGATTGGGTATGCTTATTATCTGGGAAATGAAATAATCTGTACACCAAACCCTCATGACATGCAATTTATCTATAGAACCAACCTGCACTTATACCCCTAAAACTAAAAGTTAAAATAAAAAGAATGTATGTTAATTTTGTACATAAAAAAAAAAACAGTAAGTGCAGGATAAGAGTGCTGTCTGGGCAAACTATCAAAGCCATTAATTTCTAGCACAAACCTCTATCCCGTTCACTGAACTCTGGTTCCGACCGCAGCTACCCTTTGCCTCAGCTTATCCTTCTTTCTCTGTTCACCTTTAGCTTTCCCCAATCACTTGCTATCAAATAGACTTCAGAGGACCAGGAAAACCTGTGGTGCACTTTCCCAGAGTTGAACTCACAGAAGAGGAAGAATCTGAGATCAAAGTCAAAGTCAGCAGTTACCTCAGAGTCCTGACAAATGAATTTTTCTTCTTTGATGCAGTTGCCAATTTAATTCTCAAGCATTTTTTTAAGGTCATGACATTTAGAATAACAAGGCCCTAAAAAATATTCCTTTATGTGCTTAATTTCTGACCCAAATGTAGTACTGAATGACAAGTGAATGAAGCTGAATATGTATCGAAAGGTTAGTATAAACTGCTTTTAAATTCCAAGTTTGCAAGCCCAAGGCTTTCACTCTCTTACACAACGGGCATTAAACAAAAATGTTCTTTCCTGGATGCAAAGATAAATCTCTATTTTTCTAGGAGCCTCTGCAGCAGGATTCTTTCAGGAATTTTCCATTGAGACATTACAGCTAGGAGGAACTCCTTACCCCATTCCCTTTTTCACCGCCTCCTGTTCCCTTTTATCCACGTTTCCAGCTCCACTTGTGATAAGTAATGGAATTGGACAACCGTCTGTCAACCCAAGACAGTTTCCCCCAGAATCTAGCCCTCGGGTTGAAAACACCGTTTGAGAAAAGAAAATCACTGTAGACTATTTTTCTACTGTTCTAAATAGCTCAGCTGGAGGGAAGTTGTTATTTCCTCTTTAGCATGCCCTGTTGGAAAAACTTGCAGTTCTCTTTCCTCCCCTCCTGCACCAAACCTGCCCCCATCCTGCTCCTACCTCCCAGCTCATGTCAGGCCAGGAAGTGGGTAACAGTTCCACAGCCTTCTCCATAATTTCTTAGGCTGGAGCCACATCCCTTCTGATCTAATCTGTGCCAACAGAAGAAAAGAAGGAGCTGTCCTTGGAGAATGTTCTGTTTCCTCTTCTAGAGATAGAGTGGAGGGGGCGGGTGGGAGGGCGTCTGTAGGATGCCATTCTAAACCTTGCTGGTTTGGGAGTGTGGTGACATTCTCTGCCTGATGGTTAATACTGTAAGATGTGGGCAAGTGACTTCAGACCCAGGAGAAATTAAATTTAACTCCCATCATACAGACCTGCCACCATCTTCAGGCTAAAGATGCTGCTGACTGTGACTGAGGATGTACCCACACGTGATAGGAACAAACTCACTAGACCCAGGGTCAGGTGAGCTGTCAGCTGATGGCACGCAAGGATCTTTTCTCAGTGAGCCTCCAGGGTTCTCTTCTGGTGAATGTGGACTGAATAAAGACCAGTGGTGGTCAAACTCTTCCCACAGGTGTAATCTAAGTGGTAACGTGTAAGAATGGAGTCACTCTGGAGGAGATCTGAGGCCCCACCCATTTGGCCTTCCCCTGGTCCGTATGGGGAAAGCTGTGGCACCTTGGAGGAACAGAGAAGACTCCTCAACATGGTGTGGATAAGTGAGACTCTTCTTGATCCAAAATCCTACAACCCTGCCAAGTCCTCACCTCGGGGAAGGGGAAGCTCCAAATCCCTTCTCAGATGAGGTGCAGGGAATGGGGCTGCTATGCTCAGGCCAGAAGGGAGTGGTTTATGTCCCTGAAACAGGGGAAGTAGGGCAGAGCAGGCAGATGCTCAGGTTCAGAAGGGGTGGAGTATGGGCTAGCTGAAAAATCTACCTTAAAGCCTCCACTTTTGAGAGACCTCTATTTCCTCTTGAGATTTTCAAGCATTATAAATAATAATAATAATAATAATAATAATAATAATAAAGACAGCACCTCAGACTTTCCTCATGGTTTTCACCGAGTACTGAAGAAAAAGCATCAGCAATGCCCTGGAGCTGAAGAATTCAGGTCAGAGCTAAAAAGTGACTTTGCTGACGGGGCTGACTGTTGGGTCCTAAAAAATACCAAGAGAAACTGGGAGAGACCTTTCCTGAAAAAAACAAAAAAATGCACAGAACCCCAGCCCAACGCAGAGATTTCAATTTCATCTCCCTCTTTTTAACTGTGTTTTCCTTTATTTGTTTTTTGTTTTTGTGGATAACCATTGCTTCATACTCTTGAGGCTGGACTGGCTTTATGGAGATGAGAGAGATAAGGCAATGAAGTCACCTGCCCTTGTCAGGAGGTAATTTAGAGATGTAGTAAGAAATATTCAGGGCCGGGCGCGGTGGCTCACGCCTGTAATCCCAGCACTTTGGGAGGCCGAGGCGGGTGGATCATGAGGTCAGGAGATCGAGACCATCCTGGCTAACAAGGTGAAACCCGTCTCTACTAAAAATACAAAAAATTAGCCGGGCGCGGTGGCGGGCGCCTGTAGTCCCAGCTACTCGGGAGGCTGAGGCAGGAGAATGGCGTGAACCCGGGAAGCGGAGCTTGCAGTGAGCCGAGATTGCGCCACTGCAGTCCGCAGTCCGGCCTGGGCGACAGAGCGAGACTCCATCTCAAAAAAAAAAAAAAAAAAGAAAGAAATATTCGGAAATTTTAAAAGATGGTCCCACCTTCCACCATCTCTTCAGGTTCCACCATCTCTTCAGGGGACATGCCAAAGGAGAGATGCCAGATAAACAAAGAGAACAACAACAACAAAAAAATCTTGGCTTTGACTTCTGAAAAAAAAAAAAAACAGATGAAACTTAAAGGTGAGACAAGAGAGTTCTGATTTGCCAGAGCTGAAGATGTTATAACTCAAAAGACCAAAGGCTGGAAGAGGCAGAGAAGCAGAGCACACTAGGAGATTGGAAGAGAGTGAGTTAGACCTGCCTCATACATCCTCCACACTGACATCCAGTGTTGACCAAAGTGGGGCTATAAGAAGTAAACCTCTGAAAAGGAGAAGACCATGCAGGTGAGTGTTGGATTCTCCTCTCCATAATTCTCCCCATCTCTCACCCAGTTCTGGACCCTAGGTTGGGAAGAGGTGATTCTGAAACCTGAGACAGGTGGGGAGCCCTGGCAGTAAAGAGGACCTGTGTTTGGCTACCAGCTTGAAAGCCAATTTGAGGCAAGCCTCATAAAACTGTACTCTGCATTGAATAGAAACGGTTGCCAGGCACCTCTAAAAGAACCTAATGCATATCTTGGTCTAACAGAACAGATCCATGAAGAGAAGGCTTGGGATAGCAACCTCACTACAGTCTTTTTTGATGCCAGAAAACCACGGAAGGGCCTCCTCAAGTTTTCTGTGCCCCTGAACAGGGCCAAGAAGAAGCTGAGAGGGCTAGTAAACCCAGAGAAATCTAACAGAGAAGAAAGAGGATTCACCGTGACCTTAGTGGACAAGGTGAGTACAGGTCTCTCGGTAGATGCAGTGAGAATGAACACCACTGGCCTAACTGAAGATGTTAAGAACTCCATCCAAGGGGATGGATCCCAAAGAAAAAGAAAACACCAGGAAAAGCCTCCCACCAATACTGTAGCTCATAAGCCCTCAGCCCACTTCTACTTCCTGGAATTCAGGTACAGCCCTGCATTAACAGAATTGACCTGGGAGTGACTTTATGTTTCACCTCAGAAATGAGGTTCAGAATAGAGGTAAGGTTGAAAATAAAATATCACCACAACAGTTTGTGTGTGTGTATGTGTGCGTGTGTGTGCGTGTGTGTATTGCCACAGTTTTTACAGACCTGCATTTATAAGACTGTAAACTCTCATTTCTGCAATAGGCACAGAAATAAGACAGCTCCTCCTACGGTCCAGAGCCACAATGTGTCTCAGAGGCCAGGACTGCCTGTGGACACCATGCCCACTGCCTGCAGCTTCTGGAAGGGGCTGCTGACAGGTAAGGGGAGGTGGACTGCATGCTCAGCTCTTCTTCCTCCCTCTGTCCACGGCTAAGTTGCCAACTCAAAGTTTCCTTTTATTTCACCTCTGACCTCTCCCTTGTACCCATGCCCTCCTCTTCATTTGAACTGCCACCACCTCAGGTCAGCCCTGTTGCCTGTCATAAATTATTGTGAGAGCTGCATGGAAAGAGGTGTCAAATCAAAGGAAAAGGTCAGCCTTCTCTTGCTCAATTTTGTCCAGGTAAAGCATTATTACTTAAATGTTTCATTTCAAAGAATGACTCTGGGGATTTATCAATGCCCTCACTCCCCCAAATGTGTTCTTATCCTGTAGGAAAACACTGATCAAATCCATATTAGATAGTTTGGCCAGGCCTAGTAGCTCACATCTGTAATCCCAGCACTTTGGGAGGCCGAGGCAGGAGGACTGCTTGAGGCCAGGAGTTCAAGACCAGCCTGAGCAACATGGCGAAACCTTGTCTCTACTAAAAATACAAAAATCAGCTAGGCGTGGTGGTGCACGCCTCTACTCCCAGCTACTAGGGAGGATGAGGCAGGGGAATTGCTTGAACCCAGGAGGCAGAGGTTGCAGTGAGCTGAGATCGCACCACTGCACTCCAGCACGGGTGACAGAGCGAGATTTCATCTCAAAAAAAAAAAAAAAAAGAATCCATATTAGATAGTTAAACATGTACCCTAATAGGTGATTATTTTCTCCTGCATTAGGATACTGTTGGTACTGTCATAAATTAACTACCACCAACAGGTAGCTTCTGCTTCCCCTCATGCTTACGTGAAAACTTTGCTGTAAGTCAGAGCCTAGAAATGAGGTCTTTAACAATGAAGGACAGTCTTAGAACCTCATGGAAAGAATCGTACCAAGTTTGAACTACTGACACTTCAATTAACAGACTCATTGGTGCAGGCTTCCAAGGTGGTATTTCTTAGATAATTTCCAAAGGGTGTTCATAAAAGCAAACTGTTGACCCAAGATCTGGTGGAGCAAAAATAATTATATTGGACTAAAGGAACTGATGAGGAAATAGAATTTTAGTTGTTTTATAATATTGTTGGTATTATTTTTAATGTTCTATTTTCTGATATCACAGAGTGTTTTCTGTTTTTTCCTGATCTCTCACCATTAACTTAGTAGTCTGTGCTTTTGTAAACATTTTGAAATGAAAGATTTTTAAATGGTAATCTTGTTCTCACTGGCCTTTCAGAATTCAGGAACAACACTTTGTCTGAGTCTCTTTACTTTTAATGGCAATGGGGTTACTTGTATAGATTCAGTAAGAATCTGTTCTCATTTTTACTCGTAAATAATTGAACAAATAGATGGCACAGTCAAGGCCACACCTGGAGTGTCAGTCTCATCTGCTTAAATATGAAGCCCATCATTAAGAAACAAGGGTTGTTTTTTATTTGCAAAATCATGAGGCCCTCCCAGAAACCTGGACTGTTACCTTATAATGGCAGACTTGGAGGCCATCTCTCTTAAGGAGAGATGCATTCACCCTCATTTGTAGATGCTACAGGCAAAATAGTGGCAATGACTTTATTTTATTTTTTATTTTTGAGATGGAGTCTCACTCTATTGCTCAGGTTGAAGTACAGTGGCGCAATCTTGACTCACTGCAACCTCCACCTCCCGAGTTCAAGCAATTCTCCTGCCTCAGCCCCCTGAGTAGCTGGGATTACAGGCACCAGCCACCACACCTGACTGATTTTTGTATTTTTGGTAGAGATGGGTTTTCGTCATGTTGGCCAGGCTGGCCTTGAACTCCTGACCTCCAGCTATCCACTCACCTTGGTCTCCCAAAGTGCTGGGATTACAGGTGTGAGCCACCACACCCGGCTGGCAACATGGCAATGTCTAGCCTCAGAATAAAAGCAATAAACAATATACCTAGAATAAGAGAGGCTTCTGAAATTTCCTAAGATTTTTAAGAAATCTCCAGACAGAAGTTAATTTTCTGGGCTACGTAGTTGCTTAACACCACATGGCTTTAGATTTTCTGACCAGACTACAAAGAGGCTTATGTATATTAGTTAACTTTTCTTACTGCATTTATAACTAAATGAATCAGGCCTAACTGCAATGAGATTAGCTTTTTAGAAATCAAGAATAATAACTGGAGATTATTTGTAATCACAGTGTTTCATGGTTTACAACGTCCTTCCACATCCTGACTTAAACCTCCTAAAGAGCCTTTAAACACAATATTCCTGAAGTCACCATGATCACATTTAGATTTGAAATCTTCATCATTTATTTGCCCTGGAAAAGACAACATAGCTTATAAAGAGCCAGATAGATAAACGCTCATACCCCATTCATTCCACTCCATTACAAATCACTCCTAGATTTTAAAACATAAGCATACACACACACACACACACACACACAGAGAGAGAGAGAGAGAGAGAGAAATGCAACAATTTCCAAGAAAAGCCAACTACAGCTGAGAAAGCTGAATTCCACAGAAGGCAAATTCAAACGTCTATCTTGGGTCTCACCAAGGAAGGCTCAAAAAGAGGCTGAGACCAGTGGGACAACATTACTTTCTCCATCATGAAAACATCCAAATGAGCCCAAGCTTTCCTGGCCCTCTCAGCCACAGAAGAGAAACAGTTACCCTTAGGGAGGTATTCTCTTTCATCTGTCCCCTGGCTCTGTGCTGCCTTACAAGCAGAATATATTAATAAAGAAATACTTTAGGGGAGAACTCTCTCCACTGTTGTGACATCTCTGCAGTCTCTGTTTTGATATTTGGCCTTGAGAAGTTCAAAGGATTCAAAAGATTAGAGTTCAAGAAAGACTAAGATGTACCCCAGGGCAGGTCCGGTCTTAGATGCTGAAAAACAGCTCCTCCCACACCATAGCGAATATGACCTCTAAAAGAACCTAGTGGATATCCTGGTCTAACAGGATTATTTTCAAAGGCTCTTGTTCATCTTTTTAATGGTAGTTGAAGGCAATTCGGTTTAGGGTCCCTAAATCTGGAGTACTTACCTGTCATGTCTGCTCATTTCTCCAGTTTGTTCCTAGTGCCTGGGACAGAGCTCGGCCACATCAACCCTCTGTGACCCCCCATTCCTGCCCACGAATTCTCTGAAGGAAACCCTCACTCACCACTCCTTTCTGCCTTGTGCTTTGGTGGCTCAGGCTCTGGGAGACAGGGACAGGGCCCATCACAGAGGGTGGCGAGGCTTTTGCCAGTAGAACAAGCATGGAACTCCAATTTGCACTGCAAAAGAGAGACACAACAGGTCTTAAGAATGCAGCCATAACAGACCCCTACCCCGCCTCCTAAGAAACAGCAGTGCCCTTTGCTTCACAAAAGCAAAGACAAAGCAGGGAGAGGTCGACCTCAGGTAGAGGTCTCAATTACAGAATACTAAATAAGAAATGGCCTTTTATATTTTACCAAATGCAGAGGATAACTTCTAAAAACACTGTGGAAGCCCTAGAAGACTTCCTTTAATGATGGTAAACCCTACTGTCACTATTTCTAAAATAAAATTATTAATATGAAACTTAACATCTGTAGAGTCCTATCTGGTCCAGGAACCCCCTCCATTCACTTTGAGGCATCTTCTCCACACTCCTCCCGTGTGGAGGTAACACCGCTGGAATACCACTCCTGGTCCCTCTCAGCCTGCTCACATGCTCTTCCTGGGAGGGAAGAGTAACAATCCCTTTAGTAAGTCTGTATGGTAATCTGAGGCTCAGCCCCTTCCCCTTGGGAGCAATGAAGAATGAATGCTCTTGCTTCCGTTGTCCAAAACCTAAGTTTACACGGGTCTTCCCCCATCAGAGGATGCCTGTGGTCTAACTAGCTTGTGACTCCGTGGAAATGTTTACCTAATTCTAGGATTAAATATTAGAAGCCCATAATCCACATCCTCTTGTCAACCCTTTATCAGTAGCAATGGTAATATTTTAGTCATTTTTCTGTCAGCTCTTTACTCTAAAGTCTCAATGAATTCTCAGAACACAGGCAGGAGAGAGGAATGTTATTAATAGGTGCAAAAGACCACAACAATTATCAGCATTTGTATTATTCTTGCATTATGGAAGAGGAAATTAAGACTCAGGTTAAGTAACTTGCAAAAGATCACAAAGCTCAGGGCCAAGCACTTAATGCATTCCACAACACTGTGTATATGGGGCTTCGGAATACAGACATCCCATACTGAACTGTGTGTGGCTAATTATGCAACTTTGCTATTGGCCTGGATCTGTGTTGTCTGAGACTTTACTCCTTTTTTGTCTGTAAATTTCTCAAGATCAAGACCGGTGTGTAATCAGTCCTCTGCAAAGACCCACGGGCCCAGGACCACATGCATATCTGGTGGAGGTTCAAAGGAAGAAGAGATAGGTGAAATTTAACAAGCACCCACTGTGCATGCAGCTCTTATCAGGTGCCATGGGGAATCTTTTAAATGAAAGAAAAGAGGAGATACAGTCCTTGCCCTTGGAAAACACAAATGCATACCTTTGAAAAAAGTCCACTAGCATTTGCAAAGCCACACACGAGTGCAGATAAATACTGGCTCATTGTAAGAGGACAAGCTATTCAGTCCCTATACCGATTAGAAACGGAGGGAAAGAATACTTTAAACCTGGTTCTAATGTACTGAAGTCACTCCTGTGTCACTCCAATGATCACCCATACAGTCACCGGCTGCCCATTCAGGGAGAGGGCAACAGAGCAAACCTACAGAATGCTGGCTCCCTCTTGATACAAAACTTCCTCTTGTGCATATTTGTTCAGTGCCTAGTACGTGCCCAGCATGGCAGCAGGCATTGTGGGGGCTACACAAAAATAAGCCATTGCCCACGTCTCACACATCAACTGAGCTGATGAAGCAAAAAAGAGTGTGTCCTTGTAAAGCCATGTGGATGTGACTATGAGGTGAGGCAGGACACATGTCTCCATAGGGATGGGGCACGAAAGAGGACCTCAGGTATGGGATGTGCTACAGAGAGCACGTGGACTGAAGGTGAGCCGAGTGGAACGCCGGGAAGGCAGCAGGCAGGTCACTAGCATGAGGAGCTTCCTTTCATTCAGCACAGCGTGTGTGCACGTGCCCAGAGCCGGACACAGCTGCCATGACCGGGCTGCCTCCTCCGCCTCTTCTGGGCTAGTTCTCTGGAACAATCCTCTGTTTCAGACTAGTGGTTCTCTGGCTTATTAAAAGAATCCTTAAAGCTAATTTAGGGGAACAAATATATTTTTATGTGTCCATTTGTTTCATAAAGTCAAAATTATTACCTTTGTTTATCATAAAGCCTTATCATGCTATTGCTGTTACTGCCCGATTGTATCTGTGATAGACTGTGAGACTCCCCCTCTCCAACCCATTCTCTTCTCTCTCTGAGAGAGGAATCCACACTTCTGCTCCAGGCCCCATGTCTTGCAGCAGCACCTCCCTGTAGGAGGGTCAACTTTCCCACCAGGTCTAGCCACATGCTCACTCCAACCAGTGGTGGTTAGTAGGAGGGATGCAAGCCAGGTTTGAGCAGACATGTCAAGAATCACTGGTTTCATCACCTCTGTTGCTCTTCTCTACCATGAAAATGATGTGCCAGATAAGGGCTGTTCCCTTCTGCCCAGGACCCAGAAGGCAGAGAACATGGAACAGAGCTGAAGTGTTCTGAACAGAGCCACAGCTAACGCACAATGTGAACACGGAAATAGGGTTTATCATAATAAGCCAATGATGTTTGGGGATTATTTGTTATTACAGCATAACTTAGCAAAAGCTGACCAACAGAATGACTTCCTTCCTGCTAGACCATGAAGGCCTTAACAGCAAGAAAAGGTTTTAGTTAGTGTTTTATCCCTGGCATGATATGACATACACAGAGCCCTGGCATAGAGTAGGTGTTCAATAAACAGCTGCTGAATGACAAAGGCAGAAAGAAGGGAGCCACAATTCACTTTGCTGCTCTGGACCTCTGTTCCAGTCCCTGGGTGCTTACCAATCTGCCTGCACAAGGAAGGAAGTGCTGGAGCTCAGTACTCACCACATTCATCCTAAACCATCCTTTACCCATGTCTACTCCCTGAGACGCCTCTTTGAGCTCCACATTGAGTACTCTGCCCCTCAGCCTGCCTGCTCACCCCAGCCTATCATTGGAGTATGAGCCTCTCTGGGTGGCCTTGCCATGACTGTGGGCCCTGTGGACTGTAATTCCTGGAATCCACTTTCTCGGCTGGCCTGCAGCATCCCCTCTCCTGTCCAGCCCTGGTGGCCATCTCTGCAGGCAGCTCAGTCTCCTCCCTAGCTACAGAAAGACACCACCAGAGAAAACAGTACTTATCTCTTATCTGTATCAGTGAAAATCCAAGTTCAAGGGCACAGATCTGTTTTTTTACCTTTCAGGACAATATGTGGCATTTCATATATGTAGCTCAAAAGGCCAATTTCTTTTTTTTTTTTTTTTTTAAAGAGACAGGGTCTCACTCTGTCACCCTGGCTAGAGTGCAGTGGCATAATCATAGCTCACTGCAGTCTTGAACTCCTGAGCTCAAGCAATTCTCCTGCCTCAGCCTCATGAGTAGCTGGGACTACAGACATGTTTTGTAGAGATAGGGTCTCACTACATTGCCCAGGCTGGTCTCAAACTCCTGGGCTCAAGCCATCCTCCCACCCCAGCCTCCCGAAATGCTAGAATTACAGGCAAGAGCCATCATATCCAGCCATAATTCCATTTTTTATAAAGCTTAAAACAGGCTATTTAGAGATACAGATACATGTGGTAAAAGCTCCTTTAAAAACTGGCAGGGGAGGGGACCATGACAAATACCAGGAAGATAGGGGTCACCTCCCCAGGGAAGGCAGCAGGACTGGTCAGACAGGAGCCCAAGGGAAGCGTCACAAACATTGATGATGTTTTATTTTATAAAGTAAGCATTAGATTCTGAGGCTTTTGTTCTGTTACTAAGCTTGACAACTTCTATAAATAATATATACATTTTTATGTATCAAAGACTTTATGATAAAATATAAAACAATGTTTATAGGCTCCTATGGAGGTGACAACGAAGCTAGAACCACACCTCCCAGAAAACTCCATGAGCAAGTGCGGGTAGAGCCCTCCAGGAAGGGTTGAGAGTGTGAAGCTCTGCTCCTGAGCCCACGGCCTCCCACAGATGTTCTCTTCCCACAACACTTCTCTAATTCTCACCCTTGAAGTTACCCTCCCAATCACTTTCCCTCATCCTCCCTCCTCCCTTCTCCCAGGTTCTTTCTAGGGAAGAACAGATACAGAAGCCAAAACCTGATCACCATTCCAGCTTTACACTAAGGACTCTATGTAAAGACTATAAATCTCTGTTGTTGAAGCACCCAGTTAGTGGCGCTTTGTTACAGTAGCACTAACAAATTAATATTCTTTCCATCCAGATTTTTTAAAAAGAGAGAGACTCTAAGGAATGAAGACACTTTGTCTTAGGTTTATAAAGCACAGATCTTTGTGCCAAGATGGCTCAGCTCTGCTGGAAAGAAACAAAACAAAAACTATGAAACAGCAGCCTCAGGATATGAGCAGTTGGACCTAAAGAACTTGGCCAAGTTGTATCAGTTGTGACGCATGCCCAGAAAAGAGGAAATATTAAAAATTCAAACCTTTATATTGATTTTATGATGAAGCAGTCAAATAAATAATTAACTCTAACTCTCTAAAGGAGGAGAGTTGAGAAACTAGGAAATAAGTTAAGGACTTTTAAACATTATACTAGAACCCATACTCATACACAACATATTATTATAAATACAAACCCCTGGGGATTCTAGACCCTCGACCTGCTAAAACAGAGATGCCTGCCTGCCCTTATCACTGCAGACAGAAAAAGAAGCAAGAGCCAATGACGACATGAACAGGCAGATACACTCAAAATGTTGACCTACTTAAAAATAAATGTGCTAGCAGATTTCCCAACCAATCTTTCCTTCCATTTTGCATAACACTCTAATACATTGGTTGGAATGAGTGAATATTTTCCGTAAATGGTCAGTAAATCTTTCTCTTTTATGATTTGTAAAGCACAGCTAACAACCTCTTTCTGGTTCATTGCTCACACAGGTCTCAACCGAGTACATTTCTCTACCACACCACACTCTGCTTTGCCTCTCATGCTTTGGGTATTATTTTTAACATTTTATTCAAATTGCTTTCTCCACTGTATTTCATCAACCTATCATCCATTTTTTAAGCCAGACTGTTGACAGTTCACAGTTGACAATTTTGTTCACAGTTGATGAATTCTGATTTGTTTTTATTCACCCAAAATCATGTCACAGTAGGTGGAGGGGAGCAATCCTGAGGCTTTGCCGGCTTTAATAATTGGGCAGGAAGTGAGCGGCTGCTGACTGCACCAGTCAGATGCCAACATGCTGTTCCTGGCTGACGGGAGAATAACCACCCATTTCTGCACAGAGCTTGAGTGGCTCAGTGTTCATCTGGAAGAAGCTATGCACAGAAACAAGGGAAGGTCTTTGGTCTCATTTAGAACCTTATTGAACATCCATAAATACATGTGTTCCTTTCTGCATTTAACACATATTCACTGAGCATCTACTATGGGCCAGACCCTGGTCTAGGTGTAGAACCAATGGGACAAAGGCCTGTTTCCATGAAGTTCACATGGCAGGCATTGATGGGAGTCAGGGAATTAAGCAAGAGAGAGAAAGAGACAGAGAATAAAGGAGAGGGAATGATGTATGGTGTGATCAGTAAATCTTCTGGAAAGATGACATCTGAGCAGAGAACAGAATAAAGTGAGTCATGCAGCTCTCTGGGGAAGGAGGGTCAAGGAAAAAGGAAGCACAAAGGCCCAGGGTAGAAGATTTTGACTACACTTGAGAAACAGTGAGGAAGCTAGAGAGGGATGAGGAGAGCGGGAAGGACCATCTTAGTGGAACCGATGGTTGGCCTGTGTGTGACCCACGGCACAGTCTTTTATTCTCCCTCTCTCCCTCTGTGTGGTACACACACATTTCTATGAGTTAAGGCTTCCAAATAAGTCAGAGCCTTAAACTTCTTGAAGACCAAGCTGTTAAAAATGTAAAAGAGGAAAATGCTTTTTTTTTTTACAAGAGAATAGCAGCTACAAAATTTAAAAGAAAGGCTAGAGTTAGAAAGTCACCATTTTGAAACTCCTCATGTAATTAATTGAGTCAGAAAAGGACCATTTAATATTTGCTAAAAATTTTGGGTGAAAGTTATTAGAGAATGAAACATTCACACAGTCTTAAAATGTCTCCTTATAGTGTTATTATTACACAAAGAAGAAAATGCACACTTTCAATAAAACAAACGGCAGTCACCCCTTAACAAAGGGACCAAGGGTCCAAGCTAATACCACTGGCGGCGGGACAGGCTGGCATGTGCCTCCTAATATGCAACAAAAGAAAATACACAGTAGCACCTGTGAGGCACTGTATTAAAAAGGTTGAACCCGACTCTATGCATTAGGAAACAGACAAATCCAAAATTGAGGACATTTTATAACAGTCTGAACTCTAAAAGCAAACCAAACAAACCTGGGGCAGGTGGATTATCATACTAGAGTAATCATTTCTAATTAAAATAAATTAAAAATCGGAAACAAATGAAATGAGTGAAAGTTAACAGAACCTTGACTAATAATTATTATACAAAACACATTATTATACAAACATTTGGGGAAGAATTTCTGTGATGTTAATGTGAACTATATGCTAGGTGATATTATGGAATGTTCTTACAGGCATAATACCTACTAAGGTTAAGGTGGTTATATAAGAGAACACCCCTTTTCTTAGGGGTGAGGTGTCACAATGCTGCAAATTACTTCTAACTAGTTCAGGGGAAAGTACGTATGTATATACAGAAAGCAAGAGTACACAAATGTGCCAAAATACTAACGACTGCCAAATCTTTTTGTTTTGTTTGTGTTTTGAGACTGAGTTTCGCTCTTATTGCCCAGGCTGGAGTGCAGTGACATGATTTCAGCTCACTGCAACCTCCGCCTCCCAGGTTCAAGCAATTCTCCTGCCTCAGCCTCCCTAGTAGCTGGGATTACAGGCACCTGCCACCATGCCCTGCTAATTTTTGTATTTTGTTGTTGTTGTTGTTGTTGTTGTTGTTGAGATGGAGTCTCGCTCTGTCACCCAGGCTGGAGTGCAGTGGCGCAAACTCGGCTCACTGCAAGCTCCACCTCCCAGGTTCAGGCCATTCTCCTTTCTCAGCCTCCCGAGTAGCTGGGACTACAGGCACCCGCCACCACGCCCGACTAATTTTTGTATTTTTAGTAGAGACGGGGTTTCACCGTGTTAGCCAGGATGGTCTCGATCTCCTGACCTCGTGATCAGCCCACCTCGGCCTCCCAAAGTGCTGGGATTACAGGCGTGAGTCACCGCGCCCGACCTAATTTTTGTATTTTTAGTACAGACCGGGTTTCACCATGTTGGCCAGGCTGTTTTCGAACTCCTGACCTCAATAGATCTGCCCGCCTCATCCTCCCAAAGTGCTGGGATTACAGGTGTGAGCCACTGCAACAACTGTCAAATCTTAATGACGGGTATACAGCATTCATTGCATTATTCTTTAAATGCTCTGTACATTGAATAATTATTAAACTAATAGCCAGGGGAAGAAAATTTAACTTGCTTTGCCCAGTGGTGCTAGGAGAACTCTTCCCAGAAACCACTCCTCTTTTCCCTCCCTAAGCTCCTCCCTCCCCAGTGGCTTGCCACTCTCAGGTGTTGCAGTTACTGTCCCTCCTGCAGCTCCCGCTAGAGGGCGGCTCTCGGGGCAGGGACTGGATCCTATTTCCTGCTGTATCCAGGCTGGCTTACACCTGGTAAAGAGCTGACCTTCAGTAAGGATTTGTTAAAGGGCCAAGTGATCCAGGTTTTCCAGAAGCACAAAATTCTCTTGATTGATATCAGCAATTAGCTTTGCTCATTTTCTTACCTTGTTTATCTTGTCAGTGATTTAGCACACCCTTTTCTAGTGAGTGAGGAGGTAAGTTTCAGTCCAGTTCATGTACAGATTGTCACAGGCTTGGTTTTAGAGGCAAGGCTGAATAGTTTCTCTAAACTGTGTGACGAAACCAGTGGAGAGTCTTGCTGTCCTCCAGGCAATGCAACCAAGAGTGGCCGGCACCGTGGAGAGGAGTGCAGCCCTGACCTGCACGTGCAGGCCCACCCCCAGCAGGCTCCTGGCCCCTGCTTTAAGCTCCCAAACTGCACACAAGGGGAACTGCCTTGGCTCACCTCCACTGTTCTCACTTCTGGACATTTTCCCTGTTATCTCCTCTGCCTGGGATTTTGTTAGGACTGGACACTATTTTGACATTTTAAATTTCTGTGGGATTTTTTACTTAACTGGGATTTCGGAGAATAGTGCAGATGAGGAAGGACTTGAAGTTCCTGGGCCTGTCATCCTCTCTAGGAGATGGCTGGCCCCATGGAGGGAGGACAACCTGCTGTACATCAGAGAGGTGGGACCATGCACAGCCTCACCATGCAAGGCCTGGATGCAGCAGAGAGCCCAGACCCGAAGGGCTCTCAGTGAAGGCCCACAGTTGGGCCAGCTGCAGCCCTCCCCTCTTCCGAACGGGGCTCCAGTGCCTTTCCTCCAGGAAAGCTTTTCTGAGGCTCCTGCCTCTGTGCCCCAGGACAATTCTCTCATTGCACTCACCACTGGACAGTGCTTATCTGTTTACATATCTACTTCTTGAAGGAAATAGTATCTTTGACTAGAGCCTAGCATATCACAAGTACAGGTGCTCCTGAACTTACTATGGGGTTACATTTCAATAAACCCATCTTAAGGTAAAAATAATCAGAGATTGAAAGTGCATTTAATATGTCTAACCAACAAACATCATAGCTTAGCCTAGCCTACCTTCAGTGTACTCAGAACACTCACATTAGTCTACAGTGGGGCAAAATTATCTAAGATAAAGCCTATTTAATAATAAAAAGTAGGATATCTCATGTAATTTATTGAATACTGGACTGAAAGTAAAAAAAAAAAAAAAAAAAAAGAATGGTTGACGGGTAGCCAAAGTACAGTTTCTAGTAAATTCATATCTCCTTTGCACCATCTTAAAGTCATACCATTTTCAGTTGAACCATTGTAAGTCAGGGACCATCTGTGTCTTATACATTTTTTGTTTATTTATGGGATATATCTTATGTAACCCTATGTGAGAGCAGGTGTTAATACATTCATTCTATAGATTAAGAGCAGGTGTTAATACATTCATTCTATAGATGAAGAAACTGAAACTAGAGAAAGCAAATAACTGCCTCGGGGACACAAGGTGAGTAAGTAGCAGATTTAAAATTTTTTTTTTTGAGACAGAGTCTCGCTCTGTTGCCCAGGCTGGAGTGCAGTGGCATGATCTCAGCTCACTGCAAGCTCCGCCTCCTGGGTTCATGCCATTCTCCTGCCTCACCCTCCTAAGTAGCTGGGACTACAGGCGCCCACCACCACGCCTGGCTAATTTTTTTGTATTTTTAGTAGAGACGGGGTTTCACCGTGTTAGCCAGGATGGTCTCGATCTCCTGACCTCGTGATCCACCCGCCTCGTCCTCCCAAAGTGCTGGGATTACAGGCGTGAGCCACCGCGCCCGGCCCCCGCAGATTTAATTTTTAATTCAACCCCTTCACTTCTCCCTAGTCCAGTGCTATGTGTAATGACTCACAGACTTCTACAACAGTGAGGGGTTTGGCAAAGCCTTTACAGGAATCCTAGGAGGACAGAGAGGAGACAGAAATTATGCCAGAGCTCGGGAAAGGGAGAGAGAACAGGAGGTGCCCTGCTGGCGGCTGTGTGGTGCTGACCGGCAGGGAAGAAATGGAGTCAGCCAAATACAACCCTTGCTTGTCAACTGTGACTTGTCACTAGTGATAGTGATGTTAGTCAAAGCCACTTTAACATGTTGCAATTAGCTAAGCCAACTTACAGAAGTGAAGCTGATCAGCTCACAGACCTGAATCAGGTGATGTGGCCACCTTCTGTGTTCCAGAAGCTGACAGCAGCCAGACTTAGCCTCTCCTGGAGGCATAAAGGCCTGCAGCTATTCCTAGCTAACAGATTAACTGTGAAGTGTGATCATCAGAGCTCTCCCAAGCAGTCCAGAGCGGCCCAGCCAGGGCCTCAGAAGACAGTTCTGTTCATAGGATCTGGTCTCCGAACTTGACTCCCACCTGATGCAAGCTCCTAGAGAGAGCTGTCCATGCTCATACACCCTAGGGCCACATATAAGCTGTACCTTGAAAGTGGACAGGAAGAGGTTGCTGAAATAAATTCATCATCTTCCCAGAAACTCTAGGAAGTTGGAGACTATCACTTTCATTTTACAGATGAGAAGGAAAAGGGTAAGAAAGGAAAGAACACAAATAAGAATGAAAGAAGGAGAGAGCAAGAAAAGAAAGCTGTAGAGGAGGCATGGCAGAGGAGAGGAGGGAAGAAAAGAGAGAAGAAATACAAGGAGGAGAACAGAGGAGATGCTTCAAGTATAGAAAAAAGCACAAAACATCCCAGAGAGACTTGGGAGATGCAAGAGGCAATGTGGGAGCAGAGACCTCGTTCACATGTCTCTCGCCCAGCCTGGATATGTGGGCTCAGGCAGCGCTAGGAGAAAGGAAGAGGATGTTCTGAGGTGCTGGCACCTGCTTAAAATTAAAATGTCTCTGCAGCTATAAATGCCCTCGAGATGCCTGTCTCTCCAGCTGTCCTGGTTTCCTTGCAGGGGACCCAGCCCACACTAAGCCTCCTCTCCATGCTGCCTGTTCCCCACTGGCTCGGGCAGTTTACTCCACAGACAGAATTCACCGGAGGTGGAGGGCAAGTTGAGGTGGCACCTGATTCTATCATGACTCACACCTCTCCAGCTGTGATGGTGGGTAGGGAGAAACTCTCTGCCCAGGATCTGTCTGCATCTCTCATTACAAACCTAGTAGGGAATCTGACACCCAGGGCGCCACTGCTTACTGGGGTTAAAGGCAGGTCAATTTACATAACCTGTCCAAGTCTTCATTTCCTCCTCACTAAAGATAATCCCTACTTCCTGCAGCCATCCTGGAAGTAGAAAGGATAACTAATGATCTCTAGATCTCTAGTGCCTGGCAGCATTCCTGGCACATGGTAGACAATTAATCTTTGCTCCTTCCTCCATACCCCAAAGCCCACATTCATTCTCTTCTTCCTCCAATAGCTTCTCCATGCCGGACTGATCTCTGTAAAATGCAAATGTGTTTGTGACACCCTACCCCAGCTTACAACCATTCCTTGTATCCTGCTATCCTCAGACAAAAAGTAAAGACTTTTAGCCCAGCAGAAAAGGTCCCCAGAGATCTGTACCCCACATATCTCTCCACTCACATCTCTTATGTCTCTCCAAACACATGCTTACTGTGACCCAGCTTGCAGACCACGCTTACTCCCCCTCGGTCTCCTCGGCCATGTCCCTTGAGGCTTCCTCTTGGATGCTTTGCTTTGTCTACAGCTCCCCCAGGAGCCTGCAGTAGGCATCCCTAGGTACTTCTAGCACCTGCCCACCTCTAACACTCTGTCTCTTGCCCTGTACTTCAATGACAGCTTTCTTGCCTGTCTCTCTTATGAGTTCCATGAGGACTAGGTTTTAATTCACTTGGTTAGCCCCAGTGCCTGGAAAAGAATCTAAAAAAGAGTATGTACTAAATAAATGTTGGACAGCTATATAGATGCATGGGCAGGAGGATGGAGGGACAGCCCCACCCATCTAACCACCTGCTGAACAATCGACACAGCTCTGTTGTCATCTCCAATGCACTTGGCCAAATGAAGTCATCTCTATCCATCTCCAGGCTTTGATACTCCTTAGGTCCATGAATGGTATCTGGACTGTCACAGTCCAACAGATGGAAAGCTTTGACTGTCTCTCCTACCATCCCATCTGATTCCCCCCCCCCCCGACTTAGTGAAATGTCGTACCAAAGATCCCAAACTAACATTTTGCTCTCAAGCCCTGATCAAAACTCAAGTCCTCCCTTTTGATGCTGGTCACCATCTGGTACTGATGCTGCTTCTTCAACAACACTGCTCTGACTCTTCAACAACATGCAACAATTCCTTAATAGCTGTCTTCTTCCTCCTCCCCGTCCCTGCTTCACTCTGATGTTGCCTCATCTGAATACCTCTTTCTTTTCCCATCCCAAACCTTCCCCACCCAGGCGTGTCCTCCTCTGGACATGACCCTGACCACTCCTACTCCTGCAGACCCCCCTTAGCTCCAGTGACATTTCCAGCCCACCCCACTCAACAACACACCGTCCCATGCCTGCTCTTCTGGTTTCCTCTTACCCTCTAATATTTTATAATTTAGCTGCTAGACTTCAGGATATTTGTGTCATATGTCTATGTATTCTTCATAATACAGATACGAGCACTAAGTATATTTCTATTCTTCACAGTGCTGGTAGAAATGGCTTCTAATTCTTCATAATGTATACAAGGTTTAATATAACTAATCATGAACCTGGCATTGTGCTAAAAGTTTTACCTATATTTTCTCCTTTAATTTTCACCCCAGCCCCTATATGATAAAAATGATAACAACATACATCTTACACATGAAGAAATGGAGGCTCACAGATGTCGTTTGGCCAATGAAAGCCAGCTCTAACCTTGCGAAGCCTGAGTCCAAATCCAGGCTATCTGATTCTAAAGTCTGTGCTCTTAAGAGGTTAATTATGTGGTCTCAAGTCAAAATGTTTTCTGATGTTTGCTCAGGTCACATGTTTTCACAGTGTTCAGGGCTGTGCTGACAATGGTCTTCTCTGTCAGTTCATGGTACCTGCAGGAACCATTATCTTCCAAACAAAGCCAAGTCACACAAATGGTAAGGAATTCTCTGAGAACTGTACCAAGGTAGTGCACACTCAGAGTTACAGTGTCCCTCCCGGATGTCTCTATAGAACCCCTGCCATGATCTCACTGAAACAAGGGCTCCACCAGGGGTGGAGATCTTGGTCTTTTCATTCCCAGATGTATCCCAGGCACACAGAACACAGCCAGCACACAGTAGGTGTCCTTTAATTATTCCTTGAGTAAAAGAATGAATGAATGAATGAGATAGAAAGCAAGCCCCACAAAGCCCTGCCACAACTATCACCAAAGAAAGAACAAGTTTCTTGGTGAAATGAGTGAAGAAAACTACAGAAAATCTAAGTGGCTGTATCAGAGAGAGCACTTCACAGCCACCAGAAGGCACGGGTGAGATGACCACGTCACTAATAAAAAGGAAGGTCAGAGCGAACAGAGGTCTACATCAGATCTATAACTGCTACAAAGCAGCCCAGTAATGGCCTCTTTTGCAACTTCAAACCAATTCTGAACTGATTCTGAACTCCCGAGGGTGCAGGCTTCATAAGTACTTTATCATTCAGAGTTCAGACAATCAACAGCTCCTCTGTTCTGATCCCTCAGCAGGGGGGCTGTGCCTCCTGTCCCTGGACATCTCTGCAGATCAGCCTTCTGAGGGGCATTCCAGGCCTGGGGTCTGCCCTCCTCATGCTGTCTGTGTTTCTTTGTCATAACTAACACACTGTAGAGGGCAGGCTCCTGAGCCTTAGTTTCTGAAGCAGTGACCTCTCTTAGACTCTCTGCATAAAAACACCTCTCCTCGCTTACCTACAGAGACTTCACAGATCAGGGAGAAGAAATGCAGACGGAGAAAGAATAACAGCAGATTTTTAAAGTGATAGAGAGGCAGTATTCCATCCCTGGTTGCCCCCAGTGTACTCTGAAAATGGAAAAACAGATACTAGCTAAGCACATCCACCAATTTCTGTCCAAAGCTGACACTGTCCAAGGTCAAAAAAAGCCATTAAGATCTCACCTTGGGCTGACATAAGACACCCATCACCAACCATTCAGCCTGCTTTACTTCTGCACTTCAGCCCAATTTCTTCCTTTCTCCCCTATCACTTGCTCTAGAAAATAAACCCCAAATATCTTTCTGAATAAAGCCTGCGTATGTCCATAAGAGCCAACAGAAACGAAACCACAGATAAAGGTGACCAAAAATGCCAAAGCAGACTTTTAACCAAATGCAACAAGATTAAAGTGATATTTTTTAAATGAAACAGTAACTTAAACTTTGAATTACTGCCTGATTTTACTGCTTAGAGATGAAAGATGCTGTAGTGCTGAACGAAAAAGCCATATAACTCAAAGAGGATTTTCTTTGCTTGGCATCACCTCTGTGAAAAATACGTTTAAGTAACAAAATGCCCTTGCAAGAGTCGATTCTCTGATGATGGAGCTGAGGTGTGAAAATGGTCAAGGGCTGGACAAAGACTGTCATTTTTCCTTTCTTTTGATTACACAGTTTTTCTGCAACATGTCTGATCTCATTTCTCCCAGAGCCTGATGAAAGGAGAGCTGGCTAGGCCAGGTGCCCCAACAGGCCTGCCTTGGTGACCATTCTGCCCTGCGAGGCAAGTTGTGTGCTGATTGCTCCCACCACTTGCTCCATGGCCAGAAACGCCCAAGTCACATGGTCCATGCAGACCCCACTCTCCTTTTCTATTTACTTTTGAGGCCAGAACTACAGCCCCAGTGATCCTGAGATAGTCATGATTTGAGCAGACAAACTCACAAGGCTAGGTGGGATGCAGACATCTGATGTGGGAAGGCAAATATCTGGGTAACTTCTTGGTGTGCACAGAAAGAAGCAGATCTAGAACCAGGAGGCCAGCCCATGGGGACAAAGGGAGGAGAGACATGTCAGCTACTTGCAACAAGCTATTGGGATAAGATGCCACAAGCCTAACCAGGTGGGTGGGGATGCTTATGGAGAAAGATCCACAGAGAAGCAGGTGGCATGGGTGCAGTCAAGAGGGGTGAGAACACAAACCCTGTGATACAGACGCAGGCATTCAGGGACAAGACACCTCTGGAAGTCCTTGTGAAGATTTCAGGGAATGGTGACATTGGATGAGGATGCATAACAAGCATCCAGGTTTTTAGGAAAAGAGATACAAGAGAAGCAGTTGGCACAACTTTTGAGGGTCAATCAGCCTTAGATTTCCATCCTGGCTGTATGCTTGGGCATGGAACAGAGCCAAGAAAGCCCCAGAGTCTGAGCTGGGCCTCGGCCCACAGAGGCCTAAGCAAAGTGGGGCAGCTTCAAAGACCCAAGAGCTCATTACATATTCAGTCCTCAGTTCCAAGCTTTGTACGAGCCTTCTCTTCCGCTGATTTCAAAGTTAGAAAGTTCAAACTAGTCTCCTCCCCCTCCTACTAAGTTTCCACTTGCATATTTTGATGTCAGTCCGAATCCTGTGTTAATCAGGCCAAAATTCATTAACGAAGGCCAACTGTGATCTCCAGGAAGCTAGCTGCTCTCCATCTAACATAATCTGTGTTTCATACAGCTAAGTGGTTTCTCAAACACTCTAACACCAAGCTCTGAGGGGGGACCCTGTGAACAAAATAGAACGGCTCCTGTCTCATGGTGCCTGTTGCAATATGTGTGCTCCCGTTTTGGGGAATTCTGCACTGCAAAGTAATAACGAGCAGTCACATTGTGGCGCCCTCATCATGTCATTGCCACAGATAATTAAGCTTATCAATTATCTCCTTTCCTTCACTGCCTTAAGAGGATGTCACTGTGAGCTCACAGGGAAGCCAATACATCAGCTACTCAAATCCTCGGGAGCCACATTGCTGACTCCCCAGAGCAGCAGAGTGGCGGAAGCAGAGGCTCTAAACAAATGAACCTGGGTTCAAATCTTCCCTGGCTCCAGCCTTACAAGCTCTGAGGAACTTAATTAACCCTCCTGTGCCTTAGCTTTCTGATTTGTAAAATGGGGGAAACCATGATGCCTCCCTCAATGGGCAGCGGCACTCCATTTATTCAACTGATATTTGTTGACCACCTATTATGGGCTAGGCAGTGCTCTGGTTGCTAGGGATACGATGGTAAACAAAACAGGCAAGGCTGCTGTCAGCTTGGGGCTTACATTCTAGTGATGAAAGCCAGGTATTAGAAAAAAATTAAATAAAACAATGTGTGTGAAGTACTTAACACAATGCCAGACACTGAATACTTGCTATGGGAGAGCCGAAAACTGAATACTTGCTATGTGAGAGCTATGTTACATTTGGGACACACATCGCCCCCAATACCCAGCCTATGGAGGGAATGGGCATTCCTAAAGCCTTGAGCTTGGGGAAGTTTGCCAGGCTCCTGTCCCTCCAGTGTGACAGGAGTGAGCTACAATGCAGTAAGAATCCTCCTGGGCTCTGGAGCAAGACAATATCACCGAGAGGAAAGAATCTGGAGGCAGACAAACCTGCTCTCAAATCCCAGCTCTTGCTTGCCCACTCCATGACCTTCAGCCTGTCACTTACAGCTTTGAGACTTAGTTTTTACATCTGTAAAATGGGGATAATAAAGGCACCTGCCTCTTTGTGTTACCAGGATTAGCCAGGATTATGATGAGAGTTCAGCTCAGTGCCCAGTGCAGAGTAAGTGCTCATCCCCCTCTGCCAGCCCCACCTCCACCCCATGCAGACTCAGGAAGCTATGGCTGTTATGTTGCCTCCATCCCACTTCTGAAACTGTGCCCAGAGTACCTCAGTCATTTCACTTATTGCCCACAAAGATGCAGTAAATTCCATCCCCACAAGCTGGCCCTGCCTCCTTCTGCTTGCTAAGGGTATCCCTGAGCAGCAGGACACACCTCAGAAGCTGCAGAGTGGTGTGGGAATTGCAAGGCCAGGGCAGTGCACTGCCTATAACTTCCCATTCAACCTGGGGCCATGGCATGGATAACGTCTTTCTTCTCCCCTGCCAGACTGAGCTCCAGGAGGGCAGAGACTCGAGCACCAGTGCCAGCCAGGGGCATTTCTAGGGCACAGGAAACACACAAGGGATGGAAATGAGGCCAAGTAGAATCAGTGTGGCAGGGGCACTGGGAAACCCCTATTAGAGAGGGATGCATCTAATACTCTTTGATTCCCTCACCAAAAGTCCTAAGGCACATTAGTGAAAAAGGAATGCTCTGTTAAAGATTTCATAGAGCCACAGAGGAGAAGGTTAAACCACAGCGCCTTACCAAGCCTAAAAAAACCCAAAAAACAAAAAACAGAAAAGAAAAGAGAAGAGAAAAGAAACTCTATTAGATCCTTTAATCTCCACTGAAAGTCCTCTCAGCTGCCACTGACCCAGGGCTGCCTTTACCTTTCCATGCCAACCTCACTACACCACTCCAAATGCTTTTCCTCGGGGTCCTTACACCCATATCCCTCTAAGGAAGCAAAGCACTTGCTTTGGGATCCATCCTCATCAGAAGGCAAGAGATTTATACAAAGCAAAAAAAAAAAAAAAAAAGAATTGCACCATCACACACATTGTTTGGGTTTATAATCAGAACAAAGCAATAAAACATGTTAAAATTGAAAAAGAAAAATGTCCCATGTATCTAGAAGACAACTAAATACGTGATTCTAAAGGAAAGAACCTTCAGTGCTGAGAGTAACAAGCCACATGAGGAGGTGGCAAGGCACCTCAGGGTCGGAGGGTTCCCTAAGTGGCACTACTGGGGCTGTCTGGAGATGCCCCACCTGGCCCACCCTACGCTCACAGGGCCAGTGACAAGGACAGCACAGCATGAAGCAGGCGTGAGGGTAGCGGTCAGAAAGGACCTCTATGTTACTAGAAAGGAAAAGCCATGATTTAAATTTAGGGCCATCACCAACCACAGCTCTGAGGCATTTGTGAGGCAAGAGCAGAAAGTGACATTTCCCCAAGCAGCAGCTCAGCCCCAGTGAGATGATCCCACTCACCATCTGCACAGAGAGCTTCTGGCCATGCCTCTTCCAGAAGGAAGCGGGGACTGATAGAGAGGCCTGTGGGGAGATGGCTTTAGAGAAAGAGACCAGTGTCCTGGAAAACACAGAACAGTTTGGGTCTCCACACTGGGGAGGAAGAACACTCACCTTTTGCAAGGGAATGAAGGAAGATCAAGCCAGGTCTACACCCATAACAAAGGAAAAGCCCAGCTCCACTCCCGGTCAGTCATTCCTGAAGTGAATGCCTAACGGTGATGACGATGACAGAAACTGAGTAATAAGTACTAAAGTTGAGCTTTGCATCCATTAGCTCATCTGATCTTCTTGATAAACCTCTAAGGTAAGCATGCTTGGTTCTTAAACTACTTGCCAGTTTGATGGGTGGAAAGCTGTATCTCACCATTGTTTGTTTACCTCCTCACCCAAGGCAAAAAGCCCTTCCTCCCTGCCCCAATAGTGTTATTCCAGGCTGGAGTCATGGGCTCTGCAGTGACAGAGTGACAGACCTACAGTGTTTTCTGCAACATCATAGTTGAGTCCTCGTTCTCCCATCTATAGACTAGAGGTAATAGTACCTATTTCAAATGCTGTTTTAAGGCAAATGAAATTTAAAATGCTCATAGAGTATTTAGCGCAGGGACTCCCCATCTGACCCATCTCCCTTTTCTCACTGGGTTAATTTGATGCTTGGAGGCAAAGCACACCTGACCCTCACTAAGGAGCCAGACCTTCTGCCTGAGCTCTGGGGCTCCTTCCTTCTACCCCTCCCTGCATCTCTCACTGCATCTCACACTGCTCAGTTACCAAATTTCACTTAGGGACAAAGTTAGCCACCCCACAGGCTACAAGATATAAAGGGCTTACCTTCCACGTTCCAGTTCCCAGCTAGATGGGGCTAGAAACTGGACAAGGACAGTAGCAGCATCTCTGCTGGGAAGACACCGCACCCAGGCCACAAAGGCAGCCCAGGGCTGAGCAGCACTCAGCAGCCCTCAGGGAGGAGGTCACAAAAGAAAGTCTCAAACATGAGGGCACAGGCTCTTTGTTTACTCTGAGTGTGGGCAAAATCATCCTCTAGGAGGCAGAGCATCGTGTACAGAACCCAAATTGAATAAAGGCCTTCTCGGGAGGTGGCTGGCTGGGGTTCTGTATGCCGGGTTGGAATGACCATGCATAAGGCATTCACTCCCTCCACCATTCCTGCATCCACTGAGTAGGTCATGCAAGCAATGTCTGTGCAGCCCCTGTCACGTGCCTGATGTCACTAGTCACTGAAGCTACCAGCTGAGCAGGATTATGGCAGACCTAATTCCTGATCCCAGAAAGTTTAAATTTTAATGGGCATGTTTCGAGTTAATAATAGGGAAAAGAAACACTTAGCTTTCTACTACACCTTATTCTTAGTAAAGTGCCCTCCCTTCTACTAAGTTTTTTACTGTGCAGCAAGTTTTTAAGGGACCTAGGAAGCCAGCTGCGTCTGATGGATGGAGAAACTGAGACTCACAGAAGTCACAGGATTTGCCCAAGGTCACCGGGATAATACAAGATAGAGCTGAGACTTGACTAATGTTTTCTGAGTTCCAATCAACTGCTCTTGTTATGTAACAAGCTGTCATTTCCCCAGCAACTAGAGAAATCCTTGTAGATATTTGCTGAAATTAATCAAATCGATACAACAAAAAGCCACCAGAAAAGCTTCCTACCGGGAATGGTGAAGGGAGCCAGGCACAGTCTTTTTTTCTTTCCCTCCCATCTGATGAACTGCAGCAGGGAGGTGTCACTAGGTGGGCTCCCTTCCTCTCTCAAGGTGAAAGCCACATGTGCAGCTGCATCTGGAAGGGCTGACTGCTGGAGGAATAGGTCTGGGCATGGGCTCAGCTGCATGAACTCAAACAAGGCAGTATATCTCTCTGCGCTTCAACATCTTGCTCTAAAGAGAGAACTAGTACCACTGACATCTTTGGGGTTGTACTAAGTGAGATCACAGAAGTAAAGTGCTTAGCACTGGGCAGCACTCAATATACAGAAGCCATTTTATTGCTATTATCACCATCATTAATACTGTTATTCTTGTCATCAAGTTCTTCACTAAAAGAGCTACCTCCACGAGGTCTCTCACTCTCAAAAATCCTGCAACCTGGGGCCTCTGCATGGCAGGGAGGGCTGGAGACTTGGCCTCTCTGTGAAGCAGCCGCTGGCAGCACCTCTTCCAGTGAATACTGCCATGTGTGTCCCAGGGCAGGGCCCTGGAGAGCACCAGGACCTTGGTGTGCAGGATACACTGAGGTAAGGGGCCCAGCCTCCGCTGGATCTTTCAGAGGTTTTAGGAAAGGTTTTCCAAGCCCCACGAGAGGGAGAACATTGAGAAGGTTCAGAAAGGAGGTCAGGAAGCAGGGAGGAAGAAACAGAAAAAAGTGTGTAAACCAAGGGAAACACAGGGGTGGGCTGTATCTAGGAGCCTCCCACCCAGGATTTCTGCAACAAAGAGCTGACGACACTACATGCTTTCTCTAAGCCTGTTGGTGCCCAGAAGCATCTACCACTTTCTCGTGTAAAGCTCTTAGGTGGAAGTGGGGAGACTTTGGTTGCAGTCTGTGCTTAGACAATAACCCAGCTTGTCAGGTCTAGATTCCATGTGTGTGAAGATTGCTGGGGGTCAGGGAGTAGGGACCACAGGAGGCTGGACTAGATGAGCTCTAGGCTCCCCTCCAGACCTTCATCAGCCACCAGAACATCCTGCCTCAAGGACTAATCTGGGTCCCTCTCCAGGGAGAGGTTACAGCTTCTGTTCCTACAAACCTCTCACAGAATGTGACTGAAGTCTCAGAGCAGTGTCATGGACTTGAAGTCACATCCTTCTCCTGCATATTTGTCGGGTAAACCTGAACTTCGTAACCACATTGGTTTTATCAATGTGAGCTGGTTGTATGTTTTCCTTTGCTCAGCAATTTCTCACATACTTGAAAGACGAACGATGTCTATCTCCCATATGGGTTTGTTTCTACTTTTGGATACAAATCACCTGATCGGCCTGCTTCCAGGCACTTGTAAAGAAAGATAAAAAAGAACATTATCAGGATGCCAAATCTATCAATCT
The DNA here is from genome assembly GCF_000001405.40 of Homo sapiens. Taxonomy (NCBI): domain Eukaryota; kingdom Metazoa; phylum Chordata; class Mammalia; order Primates; family Hominidae; genus Homo; species Homo sapiens. The sequence goes on from NC_000005.10 coordinate 137,088,531, forward strand.
CTGAGAGAAAGTTTGCTAATCCTCCTGCCCCTCGTCTCACCCACCTTCACCCCCAGTCCTCCAGATATCATTAGCTTTTCATGCCAGTCATCTTTGTGTTGCAGGAGTAGGTATTTTGAGAAATACACAAAAAAGGTAGTAAGGTCAGAGTCCCTGCCCTTAAAGAGATTTGAGGTAGATCAACAAATGGATCAATTAGCATATGATACCACATCGGTCACAATCCCATGGTGAACCATGGCAAGGGAACTTAAGTACCATGGGGGTTGAAAGATGGAAAGCCATTGTAGGGAGAATCTTCCAGGTGGATGTGCAACTTGGTGCAAGATTCTGAAAAATTTGGAAAGAATGATGTATGGGGGAGATCAGGAGCAAAAAGGTTAAGAAACAGGTTTAGAATCTAATTTGGTGTCTGGTCTTGTGAGAAGCAAGAAGCTTCTACTGTGGGTTCTCAAGCAAAGGAGAAGCATAGTCAACATGCCGAGAGAGGAGGCCAGGAGAGCACTGGGACTATTGCAAGGGGGCTGAGCAGGAGAATGGAGGAGGGACTAGAACGGGGAGCTAGCACAGACATGCAGGTGCAAGGGGAGGAGGAGGGGGCTTGTGCCTGGTGGGGCCTACACAGTGCCACCTTCCTGGCTTCCCATCCCCCTCTTTGTCCCTGCTCATGAGTGTCAAAGTCTTTGACACTGCCTGTGAATTAAACTGAAACAAAACAAAACGACAACAACAACAAAACTTCAGAAGCCACTGTGTCTCAACAGCATTTTCTAATTTTCTGGTTAGTCCTTCTAGGGAAGGTGCTCCCAGACTCAAAATTGTGGTGACAGCTCCCATCTCATATGGAATATAGCAGCTGTCATGGCCAACATACTAACTCACAGGAAGTGGCCACCCTCCTCCTCCTCCCACACCAGCTACAACATGATAGCAGAGGGCCTTGGAGCCAGTGACCTGAGGGCAGTGGGGCACCAGCAAGCTCTTCTCTGTACCTAGGACCTGGGGAACTGTGCTGCTGCCCCTCAGCATCTCCTCAGTGACCTAGTGCAGCCACACCTGCCAGTGCCTGAGGTCATCAAGAGGCTGCTGTTCAGAAGCCACATAAAGCAGATGAAACTTTAATAAACTTTAATGTCTCTACTAAAATCATAGGTCCCCTCAACTCCAAAGTCCCATCAGATGCATCATCTCATGATGAAACAGAAACGCCAAATCTACACTGATTTTGAGTAACAAAATTGGAAATGTATTCTCAATTGAGAATACATTTTTAGAAATTCACATTTCTAAACACATTTTGTGAAGCCCTAGGTTAGAGGCCTTTATAACTATCAAAGATAACTGCACAGTTTGACCTGGAATAAAGAAAAGGGCCTCTTCTGAAATACACCAGGAGATGAGCCAGGAAGGCCACAGAGGCCACTGGCAGGCTACAGCATTTCCCTCCTCAAATAACCATGCCAGGTGTAAGCACTAGGATCTAACACTAGATACTTGGCATTTTTGCTTGCTGATTTGGTTGGGACTACATGGAGATACGGAATCAACTTGGAGATGGCCCATCACTTAGAACAACAGAAATGGAAGCAATACTTTCTCTAACAAAAAGCAAATCCCACGCAAGGCAAGCTGCTAGTTTAAGGTTGTATTTCAATGAAGAAGGGTTGAGCCTGCCTCAGGAACAAACAAGTAATTTTTAGCAAAACAGCAACTTGGAGTTCATCCTTTTGTCAACAAAACTGCTACGTAATTTCTAAACTTCCCACCAAGAGGCAATCAGCCAACAGACACATCTGTGAATACCAGAACACCTCTCTTTTGTTGTGTAAGACAGAATTTTACCCTGGGCTCTGCCTCTGGCCATATCCAGGCCTTCCTCCCTCTGCAGATCACAGGCATCTGGCACACAAGCATAGACTGTTCAGGGAACAACCAACCTTCCACTGGAGTGGTGCTCACTGCCCAGCCAGCATAAGTTAAGAGATAGCTAGGATTGTCAACTCCTTGAGGACAAGGCTATGTCCAGCCATCTCCACACCCCTCACCTCACAGCCAGGCATGGGGACCCAGCAGGCACCTTTGCTGGCTGAAGTTAATGGAAGGGCAGAATTCGGTCGAGCTTGATTGTGATGTAAAGTTGTATCCCTGAAGTATGAAATACCTCTCAAATATCCCACAATCCCAAGCTTCAGGAGGAAAAAGGGTCATGGCACAAACAGAATGGGCAGATTCTGTAAAAGGAAAATCTCTTTGTTCCCCTGGGTTTTTCAAGCAAGGGGCTTTGACAAGATACAACTTGATTCTCCTGAGACGCTCAGGCACCTGCAGTCATGAAGTGTTTTCTCTTTCTTTCAGTATTCTCTGGCTCAGTTTCAAATTCCAGTCTAAAGCCCTCTCCTCCCCACCCCCATCTCTTTACATACTAATTCAGCCATGGAACTGAGCCAGGACCCAGGAAAAAAAGGTAGCACAAGAGAAATGAAAATGGGGCCACAGGATCCTCTGTGTTCAATGGCCAGGAGGCAAAGGGGAGCTGAGGAGGATGAAGACACGAGCATAGGAGAGTTGGCTAAAGAGGGTGCAAAGATGTGTGTCACAAATCAGCCAGTTTCTGCACAAGCATGGGGACTCTGCTTTCAATCTGGGCAGCCAGTAGGTCATTTCTCCTATCCTCCCAAGGACTATCTCTTCCCTGCTCCATCCCACCCTTCCACCAACATTTACTGAGCACCTACTAGCTGCTAAGCACAGTAGTAGGTGCTGTGAATATAAAGTAAAGGCTCTAGCAAAACACACCCAAGCCAGGATAAGAAGACAACCCCAAGGGTTATGCTAGCCAAATAAAACCCTCGCTGTAGATGAAGCTGAGACACTATCCTTCATCATGATATCAATGCCAGGCAGCATTCCCTGGGATGTATTTGGAGAAGGCCTGTGTTCATGTCTACTGAGAGTGGTGCCCACTGGCAGCCTTTACATTTATGTTTTGGTTTCTAGGTAAGGACAAATAAAAATAACAGTTCCCTTGACAGCCACATTTAATTTAATTGCCACTCCCCTTGGCTCTCAGGCTCTCAGAGCCTCCCACAGCTTCAGCAGTTCAAATTTCCTCACTGTCAGTCTGTTGGAGGATCACAGACTGGCCCTCCCCTTCAAACAGAGAGCGCCTCCAGGCAGGGGAGCTTGAATTATTCATCTCAGGCATTCCCAGAGCTGGGCACAAAGCCTGGAACCAAGGTACACAGAGGACACTGGATGGTGAATTGAAGTTTATTAGCCCCTCTTTCCAGGACTGAAAACTCTTTGCATATGGGAGCTCATCTGCTCTTACAGATTCTTTATAATATTTACTCATGAAGCTATTTCATCCACCAAGACTAGAAAGAATCCCCAAAGTGCTCAATTATGTCAGTTCCTTATAAACACGATAAACTCACATTTCCATTATTTTCCCGTCAAGTCCCTCAGTGGGCGACAGAGACCTTCCTGATCTGGCCCCTGCTCACCTCTCCAGCCCTATCTACCCCCATACTCCCTGCCACTCCATCCACCTTCCAATACCCAAGTGTCCATTAAGTAATTTCTCTGTGTCAGGCATTGTACAAGATTCTGAGGATAAAGCAGTAAGCCACAAACAAACATGGTTTGTATTCCATGTTCATAGTTTACTGGAGTATACAGACATTAAATAATCTTACAAATACAAAATTAATCTATAACTATGGCAAATGCTAAGAAAAAAAAGATACATGGTGCTGTTGAGATGTGTAACGAGAGGCCCTGAGCTGGTTCGCCCTCAGGGAAGGCATTCCTGAGGAAGCGACCGAGGGGCTGAGATTTACAGGAGGAAGAGTGTGCCACAAGTGTGTGAAGGGGAGGGCAGGGTGTCCAAGGCTGGCCCCACTTGGCGCTTCTGCCAGAGGCCCTTCTTGACACTTCTCTTATGTAACTCTGTCATTACCTCCTCAAGAGGCCCTCCCTGATACCCAGGTGAGGTCAGACGTTCTCTTACTGTGTGCCCACCTGATACACACCCACTTTTCTCAAACCATTCAATACATCTCCCCTTCTGAACTGGGAATTCCATGAGGACAGAGACGTTGCCTAGTACATTTTTGTATATCCTGTGCCTAGAGAGGAACAAGCACCCAGTCCTTTCCTGATGAATAGGAGAAAAGATCAATCGATGAATGGATGGATGGATGAGCACAGTGCCTCTTTCCAGCACTCACACTTGCACACATCAGTGTTTGGGCAACTGTAGTAGTCCATTTGCTGTTGCTGAAACTGGGTAATTTATAAAGGAAAGGAATTTACTTCTCACAGTCACGGAGGCTGAGAAGTCCTGGGTTGAGGGGGCTTATCTGCTGTGAGCCTTTTTGCCGGTGGGGGCTCTGTCTAGGGTATCGCATGGCCAAGGGCCTGAGCACATTAATGGGTCAGCTCAAGTCTCTCTTCCTCTTCTTATAAAGCCACTAGTTCCCCTCCCATGATGACTCATTAATCCATTAACCCATTAAAACATTAACCCATTAAAATATTCATTAGGGCAGAGTCTTGATGATCCAGTCACCTCTTAAAGGCCCCACCTCTCAATATCTGCCACATTGGGGATTAAGTTTCAATATGTGTTTTAGAGGGGACATTCAAATCATAGCAGCAGTTATCAGGATTTCTGTATTAACCATCATGATCCTGTGCTCTCTTTGTCTCCCTGAGATCCTGAAAGAGCAATTAGAAGAGGCTAGCATCCTCACTGGGGGCTGAAGAAGGGCAGGGTCTCTCTCAGCCCTGGAGAGATTCTGGACTAAAATAAATCCAATGGTCCATCCAGCAGCTTTCCTGGCACATTATGAGAACTATAGCACTTTAATCATTTAATTTTTTATTCACAGTGTTTACTGAGAATCTACCATATGCTAGGCCCCATTCTAGAAATTCAGACGGAAATAAGATAGACATGGACTCTGCCTTTATGGAGCATACAGTCTTGAGTAGCAAGTGAAATAAGAGATTTCAGATGCAGGTAATTGGTATGAAGAAAGCAGAGCAATAGGCCAGAAAGTAATGAGGGGAAGACAGCTCTGTTGTGTGGTGGTCAGAGAGGGTCTCTCTGAGGAGATAACCTTCCAGCTAAGATGGGGATGCGGAGAAGGAGCCAGTCCCATGACAGTCTAGGGAAACAGCATGCAGGCAGAGGGAACGGGATGTTCAAAACGCTGATATGAAACGAGCTCAGCACATTGGAAGCAGAAAAGCCACCCAAGTGACTGGAGCAGAGTCATGATGAGAAAAACATGGTAAGACAGAGGTCAGATCATAGAGAACCTGGGGGAGCAGGGTGAGGACACCACTTGTAAGTGAGGGGAAAGGAATAGGCTGTTTCAATGATCACTCAGCTGCTCTGTGAAGAACAGACTACAGGCAAACACTGATGGAAACAGAGACCAGTAATGAGACCATGCAATGTCCCTGGGGCTCTCACCAGTGTTTAAGGAGTAGCAATGGGGATAAGTGGCCAAAATCAGGATATAGTTTAGAGTGAAGAAGACAAGGCTTGCTAAGGATTGGTTGAACAAAATGAGAGAAAATCAACAAAGATGACTCCAGAGATTTGGCCTGAGTCACTGGGCACAGAATAGAGTCATTAGCAGATTGGGGGAAACACTGGGGCCCAAGGAAAATCAGGAGCTCTGTTTTGGACACATTGAATGTGAGATGCCAACCAGACATCAGGGTGGATGGTTCAAGTAGGCCACTCAAAAGCTACTCTACATATGCACCATGCTATTCCTATTCACCACTATTAAACCAGGAGAGTTTAGTACTTCATAAAATTCAAGTACAGGCAAACTTCAGAAGTATTGTGGGTTCATTCCCAGACAACCACAATAAAGCAAATATTACAATAAAGTGAGTTACTCAAATTTTTTGGCTTCCTGGTACATATAAAAGTTATGTTTATACTATAGTATAGTCTATTAAGGATGCAATAGCACTAGGTCTAAAAATAATGTACATGCCTTGATTTAAAAATATTTTACTACTAAAAAATGCTAACCATCACCTGAGCCTTCAGAAAGTCATGACCTTTTTGCTGGTGGAGGGTCTTGCCCTGATATTGATGACTGCTGACTGATAAGGGTGGTGGCTGCTGAAGATTAAGGTGGCTGTAATTCCTGAAAATAAGACAATAAAGTTTGCTGAATTGATGGACTCTTCCTTTCACAAAAATTTCTCAGTAGCAATGTGATGCTACTTGATAGCATTTTAATTTCCTCCAATAACTTTTCATTTGCACTTACAACTTGGCTTGGCACAAGAGGCCTGGCTTTGGCCTATCTCATCTTTCAATATGCCTTTGTCGCTAAGCACGATCATTTCTAACTTTTGATTTAAAGTGACAGACATGTCACTCTTCCTTTCGCCTGAACACTTAGAGGCCACTACAGTGTTATTAATTAGCTTAATTTCAATATTGTTGTGTCATAAGGAACAGGGATGCCCATGGAGAGGGAGAGAGACAAGGGAACGGCTGGTTAGTGGAGCAGTCAGAACACATACCAGATTTATCAATTAATTTCATCATCTTATGTTGGAGTGGTTTATGATGCCCCAGAACAATTTCAATAACAACATAAAAAATCAGTGATCCCAGATCACCATAACAAATATAATAATAATTTGTAAAGTTTGAAATATTGCAAGAATTACCAAAATGTGACACAGGGACATGAAGTGAGCACCCATTGTTGAAAAATTGGTACCAACAGACTTGTTTAATGTGGGTCTGCCACAAACCTCCAATTTGTAAAAAAAACCTTAGTATCTGCAAAGCACAATAAAAGAACATTCATTAAAATGACGTATGCCTTTATTAACCAAAGACCAAAACTGTTTGGGCTCAGCTAAGTCTAGGTTCAGATTCTATTTCTGTCATTGATGGTTGTGTTATCTTAGGCAAGGAACAACCTTTTTGTGAGTGTTGGTTACCTCTTCTGTAAAAATGAAAACAGAATTGTGCATCCCAAGGTGGCTGTGAGGACCAGATATAATGGTGAGCAGCAAACTCCCAGAGTAGCACCTGGCACAGAGTACACACTGCACACAGGCCCACCAGCACTGCTCCTATGACAGCCAGGCTGGCAAGCAGCTCAGTAAAGCCAGCTGTGGTTCTCCATTCTTATCATTAGCCAGTATTATCCCTAGGTTGATGGAAACCTTAGGAAGGAAAAAAGTCTTAGAAATTCCAAAGCAATAAAGTAATACTGTTCTGAGTGACTGAAATAGCAGGTCAAAAATATGACAGCTACAGGGATAAAAATGTGGATCTACAAAACATGCAATCAAGAAAACCTGTGAGCTGTGAAAACCAAGTAACCTCAGGAACCCTCATTCCCTCCCCACAGCACCAGCTTCTAATAGCACAGAAGAATCTGGGTAGATGGGTGGGTGGGCAGGGGGAAGGAGGGAGCCTCCCTCATTGATGGGGTGGGGTCATCAAGGAGAATAGATTTTGGGAGACTGACAGCACTGAAGGCGAGTGACAGAAGCACTTTGTTTGTAGGATATGATAATGGGGTGGTATACACAGTGGCCTCCCTGAGAGATGCCATGTGGTTCACCCCATCCTCAGCCCCCCAAGTATAGCATACTGCTGGAGCCATCTCTGAAATTGCTCAGCAGTATGCTATACTCATCTGCCATAGCTGGGCACTCCACTCTTTCCAGGTAGTTGTAATAAAACAGTGACCCTTCCCAAGACAAAAAAGAAAAAAAAAAAAGAACCCAAATGGGTTTCCATGACAACCACTTCTGAGTGAGGTACTTGGGAGATGGTACCATGCAGAGAGGCAGCACCAATGGGGTCAGTTATGGTCTATGGAGCCCAGCCCTCCACCTCATCCCACCAACACTTAGACCCCTCTGCTCAGTGAAATGCCATCCTGGGCTGGGCTTGTGATCATAAAATCAGGAGTTTGGGAAAGAAACGGTCCACTCAAAGGGAGAAATTAACGCAGGCATAACTGCAATAGGAACATCTCAACTACTCAGGAAAAGAGGCTGCTTGTGATACTTGAAAATGAATCATCACAGCACATAGTTGTATCCAAGAAATCGATGAGCCAACCCAAGCCATCGTTTGCACTCATTTGCCAAGGCAGTATTAACAGACCCTCAGTCTGTAGTCATAGTATCTTTTTAAAAAAATTTTTTAAAGAATTATGTAAACATATTTAAAATCCAGTCTTCTTACCATTGTTAACTGAACCCAACCCCTCCCAGGTTAGTGTGAATTGGTGTAGTTCTGTCATAGTGGCTTTTGCAGTGTGGAGGACGCTTGGCTGTCTGGACTCTATGAGTCAGGGTGATGTGTTGAAGCCTGGCTCCTCCACCTATGGGCCAAGGGAGCACAGGAGCATTAATAATAACTGAGTCTCCCTCTCTGCATTATCTGAAGAAGAGGTTTTTCAGTAGCACCCATCTTTCGAGACTGGCATGAGAATTATGTAATGTCATGTTATGTGCATAGTATGGCAGGTGGCACACAGCAGACAGTAATGTAGTACTAGTACTAGTGTTCACGCAAATCACACCTACTTACACACAGGGAGGAGCTGGAGTATGATGCCCAGGTCAAGGGAAGTGAAGCTGGCCACTGGGGGGTAGACTCTGGTCTCTGGCCTTGTGAATAGAGGGGCTGCTTTTGCTTAATTTATTAGGGAGGGGGACTTGCCCAGCAAAAGCAGTTCTAAGCCCAGTTTTCTGACTCCCTTGCACATTTGGCAGACCTGAGAAGGTTCCAGTACAGTCATCCCAGCAACCAAAGTTGCTGCTCGCTTAGTCTTCCAACATAACCCTGTCTCAGAGAGATGTGAGCCGTGGCTTAGAAATTCGAGCAAAGCCTGATAACTATTCCCAAGCTCTAGCAAATGCAGCCAGCTCAATTCACCTGCCTCAGCATCCTGTACACAGACTGAGCATGTCAGAGGAGCTGAGCAAGCATTGGACAAATGGATATATGGTGGAATGGGGATAAGGGGATGTCATAGAGAGCCAGGAGAACAACTGAGTGTGCAAAAACATTCCCCCTTGCAATGCTGGGCAGGCTTTTATTCACTTCCTATTGGAGCCTCACAGTCTATGTAAGAGTCTTCTGATTTCACTAACAAAAACTAACCCGAACCTGCTGTGGCCTAATGCTCACTACATGTTGGCAAAATGAATGAAAACGGACCCAAATACCACTGCATCTGCCACATTGGGTGCTGCCACGGGATTAATAATGAGTAAGAAAAGCCAGGCCCCAGCCAGTGCCTGCTAAAGAGTCTGCCCTCAACCAGAGGTGCCTGCTGCCGTTACCACCACCATCGGGCAGAACATGGTGCAATCCCACCTACCCGAGAGCAGAAGGCAGAGAAGGCTTTCTGAAGCAAATGGAAGGTGTAATGTAAAAGCTGGGCCAATGGAGCTAGGGGGAGGACTGGTGTGCTACAAAAGATCCTTCAGACTTCCTTGGGGAGGGGGTAATTAGTAATAAATGAGTACTGATAGATGGCTTATCAATGTGACACATACTGTTCGATGAATTTAATATGTAATAACTCAATTCTCACAAAAACTCTTCCAGACAAGTGTTATTATGTCCATTTCATGGACAAGGAAACTGGAGAGCATAGGAAGATTAGGTAATTTGCTCAAGGTCACATACCTAACAAGCCAAGGACAAGCTCTTAACTCGGACACTGCTGCACCCAGCCCTCCTCTTCCCCACAGTACCTCACCCTGGCTCTACTTCCAGCACTCCCCTCACCTGGCTGACCTGTGAAACTATCTACATTTACATATGTGTCTTCCTCAGAACCAGGCAGCAACCTGAGCTCAGGACCAGTGGCCCAGCAGGGGCCTGGCAAAGGGTGGGTGTGTTAGATGACTTTAAAGAGACCACCCTGGAAGAGGATCCCAAAGCAGGTGCCAGAAAAGTCTGTGACCTCATCCAACTCTATGGACTAAAGGTCTGAGCATGGAATTAGTGGATGGAGCCTGAACACCTGCAGTCAGAAGACAAAGTGGCCCCTCCCAACACATAACTTTCACAGGTACAACCTCTCTTGTTCCCATCACCTACATGGCTGAAAGCTTTGTCACATCAGTCTCAGAGGCCATGTCAAGAACACATTGCTCTTCCCTCACCTGCACTGACCATCAATTTTTGCCTCCCAGATACTTAGAGACTTTGCATCGTTTATTCTTGCCATACCATGAGCCTTAACTCTCCCTCCCACCAAAGCAGATTTTCTCTGAAATGCCACCGGGTCCACAGGCTCCACGGGCCACCTCAGGAGACCTGCTCTGCAACCTCAGCCACCTCCTGGTTGGCTCCTCCGGCTGCTGCTCAGTCCCCCAAGACCTCTTCTCAAAGAGGGGGAAGAAGGGCAACACCAACAAATGAGAGCAGGCTTTGTTCCCAAAGGGATGTTAAAATCCAGGACATGCTTCAAGTACAGACTTTCTTCAGGAAAGGAGAGTCCAGAGTGATTGAGTGTTCGGGGTGCCCACACCTTTTTTATCTTTCAATTTTTCACTGGAAAAACATTTGAAAAGTGTCACCTCCATTTTCTGACATTCCTCAGCCTAGATGAGAGAGCAAAGCAGGATCTTTCTCAGTGAGGGAGGGTACCAGCATCAAAAATGAGAAACACAGAAACAAACGTGGGTGACTGGAAGAATGTGCTGATCTCTGGACACCCTCCACAGGTCTCATTTTTAACATACATACTTTTTAAACGGCTCTATTGAGGTATAATGGGTTGGGGCAAAAGTAATTGCAGTTTTTGCCACTACTTTTTCTGATTGGTTTATGTCTGTGTCCTATATATGTCTTTAAATATTTTGTGTAAAACCTTTGCCCTGAATGAATGCACGTTCTCTGTTATAAAAGTTTCACCAGGGATCTTTTCTCTCTCTAACCAGAGTCCAAGCTGAAACAGGCAAGTGTTCTTTTGCCCTGTTTTACTAACAGATTTAAAAAAATATATATGTGTGTGTATATATATATATATGTACACATATATATACACACACATATGTATATATATGTATATGTACATGTGTGTGTATGTGTATGTATATGTACATGTGTATATATATATCTCCCACCCTTTAACTCAGGGTGAACCCACTGAAGGTCTTGGATTTATGTTTGTGGTTTCAGCTCCAACTTCTCACTATGTTAGGACTTAAGGCATTGTATCCAGTCAACGGAAAGGAGCCAGTCAAGCTAATCAAGAGGTTTTGGGGCAACAGCTGCATATTATTGCATTGAAGCATGCAGCTGTTACCTTAAAATCTCTTGAGCTTCCCTACCTCCCCACCCCCCGGAGTCATGGTCAGGATTCTGTCTGGATTTCAGTGCTCCTCTCTCCCTACAACCAGGGATTTCCCTTACATCTTGCAAGCTCAACTATTAAAATAATGTCTGCATTATAACTAGGAGTTCGGTATCAGAGAGTTTTCAGGGACTCTAGTCTATCATACGGCTGGATTTCCACGTGTACAACAACATTTCCAATGTGATGGAATCAGTGCTCCAACAGGGGAGTTTACAGGAAAGAAATGGTCTAGTTTGGCACAAAGGGCTCAGGAGGGTTCACTGAGGAGATGGTGCTTATGATAAGCCTTACAGTTAAAATCCCAGGAAAATGGTTCCTCCTTTTTTGTAGGGCTAGATGTGGGTGAGGGATCATCACAGTGCATTAAATTGCCAAAAACAATTGATGCATTCTCTCCATTCCACCTCTCCTTGTCCCTTGTTTGGTGCCAGGGAGTTGGGTTGTGCATTGGTTTATTATAAAGAGAAGCCAGGTGGCTGGACTAGATAGCTTCCAGCAGAAAATGGTAGAAGACAACGTGCATGATGTAGTGAATCTTGATTAGAGACACCTTTGGGGCATCCCACCCTCACTGATACATATCATCTTTTGGCCTCTCCACTGGAGAAGAGAAAGCAAAGAAATACTTCTAATGAGCTCAATCTGACCAAACTGTTTGGGGTCACCAGCTTCCTATAGCATCCAAGTTTCTTACCTGCCTGCCATTGTACAGCCTGACTTTGGGGAGGTTTGGATTCAAAAGCTGTCCTTACTGCTTTTGGATGAGAACTTGGGAAAACTCGCTTATTTGGACACAGGGCCTTTCCTGCTACTGGAGGTTTGCTGTTCTGAGCACCTTCCTGGACAGAATCTAGCAGCTCAAGAAGGACACCCTTGTTCAGAGGAAGAAGCATTTCTGTTCTGTTCATGGTATACAAAGATTCCCAAATGTTTCATTTGTTTCCGAAAGGGGAAAAAAAAAAAAAGAAAACTTGCTTTGGTAAAAATAAGAGCATCATTAAAGCCCATTTCCTTCAATACACAATTATGGCAACAACTCATGGTAAGTCCCAACCCAGTTAATATTCCTTAATTTCCCCATATAACACACAGGTCTCAGCCTAGGGCTTATAAAGTAAGATCAGCTTCACTGAGCCCTACCTACATCTTGGCGCTGAAATGTTCTCTTGAAAAATATGAAGAAGTCTGACCATACTCATTAGAGCAGAATGTCAGCAAGGGAATATTCTGTTTGTCTCCTTTAAAGAAAAACAAAAGCGACATGATCATGAACTTCATTAAAGTTGTTTGCAGTGATTTAATTAGGCTTATAGCACTGTGTCTATTCATTCTGGCCAGGGACCTTTCTGTCTTTTAAAGGATTGGTAGGCAGAGATATCATGTGCTGTGCAATTTTACCTAATCCTTAATTTCATCTCCTGATGAAGTGAGGCCAAGCATCTTCGTGTTCAGGTAATTGCTTTATCAAATGGCTTAATTGTGCATTCAACAGAACTGACAACAAGAAGGTATTCTTCCTAATGTGTTTTTAACAAAAGCACTAACTAATTACATGGCATTCTACTCAGGGCATTTGAGAAGAAGAAATGAAAACCTATTCTTCAAATCTTGGTTAAATGCATGTTTGCATACAGAACATAGAAATAAGTGGTAAAATAATTAGTTGAATTGCTTCCTTCTGCTCTAACTTCATGACTAATCTGCATGCTTAAGTAGTCTGTGTAAATTCTGTGGATGTATTTTCACAATGGACGATGTCTGAACATCTGTGCTTTCTGAAAATGTCACAATAACCATTTTGCCTGAAAGTTTATCTTCAGGAGCCAAAAAGACTGTGTTATCTTGGCATGTTCTAAGAAGAAATAAATGCTGGGAGAACTAAGGACAGATGTGTCCCACGATCAGAAGAAAGTATTAAAGCATTAAGCCAAATGGTTTAAAAACATCCTGAATTAAAATGACACTAGATCACATTCCCATAGATGAACTTCCTCTTCAGCTAAACAACATGTCTGGGATAAAAACTTGCCTTGCATGCCCCTCTATGCCCATCATTCCTAGAAACACAATATGCCTTAATACATTCTTACCAGCTCAAACCAGGCTCATGCGGCCATAGCATTTAATGAGGCTAACATAGTTAATATTTTAAAATGTGACTGGGTGGTATACTACTTATTAAATTTTATTCATGCAGTATAAACTCTTTTCCTCCCACTTCTTCTGCTGAAAAAAAATCTTAACTCTTATTCATAGCGAAGGTTGGGATGAAGAGGTTCATGTGACCAGAGCAGGCCAACCATAGGGCCATATCAGCCTGGATATAAGATTTCATTAAGGGAAGGGCACATGATTCAAAATGAGCTAGTTGGAATCTTTTGCCAGGATTAAAACATGAGTAAATTTGTTTGGTGTTTCTAGGCTGGGAGCAAGTGAATCTGGGGCTATTAAAATCCCTATTCTCTGCTGAGGGAAGAAAGCCTCTTTGCAGAATAAATACAAGTAGAAGCAAACAAAGACGAGAGATGGAAAGAAACGGAGTGGTGGCAACACTGAAGGTTTCCTTCTTTCTCTAAGGCCTGGCTACCCCAATATGCTTTCTAGTCTTTTATGCCAGTAACTGTCCTTTTTTGGGTTGAGTCATGTTTCTGTCATTAAAATCAAAAGCATTCTGATATTACAACTAGTATTTTACATTACTTTTCAGATGGTTTTTCACTCGTGGAAGTAAAAATTGCAGCTCTTGAGTCAGACAGACCAGGGTTCAAATATCTACTCTGCTACTTACTAGCGATATTGACCTGAAAAAAGTTGTATAGCTTCAGTTTTCTCATTTTCAATTTAGGACTGACAATAGTACCTACCTTACAGGTTTACTGTGAGAGCTAGATGAAATAATACAGAAAGTAAAATAAAGAATACTGCAGCACTTAGCACAATGTGATAGTGCTTAATATGCTCAATAATTACTGTTTTTCTGTCGTTATTATTATTTATTATTTAAATATCACTGTGGTAGTGATTGCTGGATAACCCCAATATCTACTCTGCTTTTTGGGTTTTTTTTGTTTTGTTTTGTTTTTTAAAGATAGAATCTTGCTCTGTTGCCCAGGCTAGAGTGCAATGGTGTGATCTCCACTCACTGCAACCTCTGCCTCCCAGGTTCAAGAGATTCTCCTGCCTCAGCCTCCAGAGTAGCTGAGATTACAGGTGCCTACCACCACGCCCGGCTGACTTTTGTATTTTTAGTAGAGACAGAGTTGCACCATGTTGAGCAGACTCAAATTCCTGACCTCAGGTTATCCACCCACCTTGGCCTCCCAAAGTGCTGGGATTACAAGTATGAGCCACCACGCCGGCTTTGTTCTTCTTTTAATAATGTAACTTTCCTATTTTGGCTGGATACATTGCTGCCTGTAATAAAAACGACATTCCCCAGCCTCCCTTGAAGCTTGCAGTGGCCTTATGATTAAGTTCTGGCAAGTGGGATGTAAACAGAAGTAACACTAGTGGCTTCGCAATTGTGCCCCCTTTCTTTTCCTCTATCCTACTGGCTGGATGTAGCAGCCATCCTGGACCCAGAGACAGAAGCTCAGCAATTCTAATCACTGAGAATGACAGCAGACTAAAAGGATCCTGGTCATTGCCAGTCTGGAGGCTGCACATCAGCCTTGGGCTGCTTACCTTGGTAAATGTTTACAGGAGCAAGAGATAAAATGTAATCCCGTTATAAGCCTCTGTTTAATTTGGGTTTTTGTTATAGCAGCTACAACCTATATCCTAACTAACACACAATTAATATTTTAAATATTATTCTGACTTTCTCCTTCCAAAAGCCCTGAAAATCAGAAAAGAGGATAATTCTAACAAAACTAGTACATGAACTCTATTTAAACTAATAGTTGAGGATTTTCACATAATGTAAACTAGCTCTTTTTATTAAATGATATTTGGCTAAGGAAAGAAGGTTGAAAATGAGCAAGGACTGGGTGGAAAAGGCAAAATTCAGTCATCTGACACTGAGTGTTTGTCCCCAACCTTCAAACTGTTGAATGTATACAGCAAAATCACGTGGAGTTGGTTAGATGCCACTGAGTACTTCTCCAAACACATACAACTTCATTTGTTGGCTTTTTCTAAGCAGCAGTGATATGGTTTGGATCTGTGTTCCCACCCAAATCTCCTGTTGAATTGTAATCCCCAGTGTTGGAGGTGGGGCTGGTGGGAGGTAATTGGACCATAGGGGCTGATCCCCACTTTGGTGCCATTTTCGTGATAAGAGTTCTCAGGAGATCTGTTTGTTCAAAAGTGTGTGGCATCTTCCTCATCTCTCTCTCTTCCTCCTGCTCCTGCCATGTAAGATGGGCCTGCTTCCACTTCAACTTCCACCATGATTATAAATTTCCTGAGGCCTCCCCAGAAGCAGAAGCTTGTACAGCCTACAGAACCATAAGTCAATTAAACCTCTTTTTTAAAAATAAATTACCCAGTCTCAGGTATTTCTTTATAGCAGTGAGATAATGGACTAATACAAACAAAATCAAAATAATAAAATCTACCACCCAAATGCCTTATCGCAGGGTCCCCATCCCCAAGGCCATGGACTGCTACTGGTCTGTGGTCTGTTAGGAACCGGCCCACAGCAGGAAATAAGCAGTGGGCAAGCGAGCATTACTGCCTGAGCTCCGCTTCGTGTCACATCAGCGGTGGCATTAGATTCTCATAGGAGTGCGAATCCTACTGTGAACTACACATGCAAGGGATCTAGGTTGCATGCTCTTTATGAGAATCTAATGCCTGATGATCTGTCACTATCTCCCATCATCCCCATCTAGTTGTAGGAAAACAAGCTCGGGGCTCCCGCTGATGCTACACTATGGTGAGTTGTATAATTATTTCATTACAACAAAATAATTATACAACATTGTGTATTATTATGTAATAATAATAGAAATAAAGTGCACAATAAATGTGATGTGTTTGAATCATCCAAAAACTATCCCTGACATGGCCCAGGGAAAAAATGTCTTCCACAAAACTGGTCCCTGTGCCAAAAAAGTTGGGGACCGCTGCCTTATTGGACTGTTGGTGTCCACTGTGGTCTATCTGCACAAGACTCTTTTCCCCACTACCATCCAAGAGTAGGCATGGATGAAATCAGAATTTTAACTTCTCATCTCCCCTCAGTGCTGCACAGATGGGAACATCCAGTGACTTGCCTAATTGCTGCTGCTGCTGCTCTCATCCTTAACGCCATTGCTATTGCCATTGTGTTCCAGCCTGTGGATGCACAACATGTGCAAGTGCCATCTTCTGCCTTCAGTTTCCAATAATTTTATTTTCTGCTTAGTCAGAAGCAAGGCCCTCACCAATAAGCCATTTGCAAGTAAAGCCAATTTTCAACCCACGGGTCTGGTGGGAGCAGGACTATCCAAAAAATACTCCTGAAAACACCAACAGTCTCAACTCTGCTTAAAAGAAAAGTAGCCACACATAAAAACCTCCTATGCCTGACATGGTCACAAGGTCATAAAAGCCTTGGGAGACAGAGAAGTCATGCTGAGCTTAAAGCCATCTTGAGAAGTCTTACACATGCACAACCCTGATTTGCTCCGACCCTGAGAATAGCCTGTTGTTAGGCAATGTCGGCCAATACAGACTCTACTTGCCAAGAACTTCAAACATGACCTTTACAAGGTAGCAATTGTTGGAAACTATTAAGATGCCTCTGAAAAAATAATATAATCTGCAGCGACAATATGCTGAAAGAAATGCCAACCCTGTAAAGCAAGTGCTCTCTCGCCTCCCTCACACGTGCTCAGGCAGAAGGGAAGAGAAACATTTTCCTCCACAGCAGTTCTTAACTCTGCGTCTCTCTTCTGTGTCGAGACATAATTGAGCCATTTGCTAATTGTTTAACAGCAATTAAGGAAGAGAATGTCAGGGGGAGGGGAGTGACAGCAGACGGGTGTTTGCCTGCTTGGTCGCCGATTACCAGCAGCCAAGCTGATGCCAGTGAACAGTGCTGGCTCTCAAGACTCACAGTGGTGGCGCTTAGTGGGCCCTCTCCTCAAAGACAAGGCCCAGTGCTGGGAAGTGAGCAGTCAGCCCTGACATCTGAGCTTCAGTCAGGTGGGCCCAGATGACTGAAGTCCATAAAGTCCTATCAAAGGAGGCCTGGCAATTAGACACCCCCACCCCCCACCACAACCAGAGCCAGGACCTGGAGCAGTAGCAACCTCCTCCTCTGCTCCTTTCTGAGCTCCCAGGAGCCCAGTTCCTCACCAGATCTCCTCCCATTTTCTAAAGCAGCTCTCTCCTCCAGAGTGAGAAAGCCTGAGACTGCCCACTTGGGTGAAGCCTGGGCTGCCCAGGGTCCAGTCAGCAGCATCAGTGCTTCTCTTCCAGCAGACAGAATTAAAAGCTGGCAATCAGGCCCCCAGCAAGCTTTACTCTTTCTATGCTGATAACAGAAAAGAAAGGAAAGGATTCCAGAAGTGCTGGGCTCCCAGATGGTCCAGGACAAAACCACAAAGCGGCAGGCAGGAGGACTTGCAAGTCCCGCCAAGCTGAAGACGGTGAAGAAGTCCTCCTGGGCTCGGAGCTGTAATGACTCTATATCTGAAATTCGAATCATTGCTAAGACCAGCTGTAGCTTCCCAAATACCTTTTTAGATGGTTTTCTATCCATCCCTGCACCCTCTCTGCAAATCCAGGCCTCCCTCACACCAGGCCCAGATGATTCCAGGAGGCTTCTCACAGTCACCCTGCCTCCAATCCTGCCCCAACCATGCCCACCCTGCAGCCAGTGTAAGCATACTCAAAAATATAAACCTTTGGTAGGTTCCCCAATACTCTTCAGGCAAAGTCCAAACCCCTTCATGTGGCCCCTGCAAAATGTGGCCCTTGGTGACTTTTCTAGCCTCATTTCTACAGCTAGTGAACCCCTTTCCCTACCTCACATGTGACCCAGCCACACTGACAGTCACCAGTTCCTTCAAGGTGCCATGCTTTCTCTCACCTCTTCGACCCCCTCCTCCCTGACTGAATGAGCTCCTGTGCCCCCAGCTCTTACTCTGGTTGACTCTTTCCAGCCTTAAGATCTCACCTGAACCATCGCTTCCCCAAGAAGACTGCTTACACCTCCAAACTGGTTGAGGTGGCCTTGCTCTGTGTTCCTGCAGCTTCCCAAATGTCCCTTATCTAAACATCTATTCTAACGAAAGGAGACTGCTTTTCAATTTGTCTACCTTCCTTGTAAGTTCCATGAAAACTGGGGCTTTGTCTATTTTGTCTTTTGCCATATCCCTAGTATTTAACACAGTGTATGGTACAGAGTAGGAAATAACTCAATACATATTTATTGAATTTCTGAATTCAATAAAGTCAGAAATTTACTTCAGTCTTCCTTGCCATAAAAATGCAGTATCAAGAGTAGTTAAGAAATTACTACGGCGATCCTTACTGCCTGGAAGCCAAGCGAAGGGTCAGAGTCTATATCACACTCTCAAACCAGCTGCACTGTTGGCCTTCCATTTGTCAATTCCCTGTAGTACCCTTCTGTTCCTTATCTTTTATGGATTATGCTTTATAGTGTCTGAATAAACATTTATTGCCATGTAACATCTTACATCCCTTCATCTCAAGACTCTGTGCCTTTCTGTGCACTTTATCTTTGATCCTGGGGGAGTCACACAGCTCTGAGTGGTGTCCCTGGTATCAGGGCATTAGAAGAGGCCTGCTGTAGACAAAGACTCCACAATGCATCCACCACTTCTAGGAACCTCTGACTATTGGGGGCCCGGAAGCAGAAGGAAAGCTTGTTTGATGAAACCCAAGGACAGATACCAGCATCAAGAACAGGAAGATGCTCAGGTTTCTTCTTCCAGCTGCCCCGGTGATGCTCACACAGCCATGGAACCCATCTTGAAGGAGTAAACAATTCACCTGGAAAAATGTGATTATGTATTATGGAGTGTGGGTTTCCCTGATGATGATGGGACAGGGACAGTAATATATTTTTGCCAAAACTAATTTTTATGATTTTGACTTAATGACATTGAATCACCTCCAACTACACATGCGTCATGGTCTCATCTGTCCTTTGTTTCCTGACACCGATGATCCAAAAAAGGTTCTAACTCCATGGGATGGGAAGTCATTTGCTCCTTTACAGTTAACTAATTCACTCTTACTAATTGAGCATCTACTGGTGGTCTCCAACAGGTTTGTCTCTGAGACTAAATCATCTTTTTGAACCTCAATAAATAAGTGGCCAGGTATTTAGGAGCAATGTCTAAAACACTCCAGTAGTAAATCCAACCAGACTGAAATAGCCCCCTTGGAAGGAAGCCTCATAGAATGCCACAGGGGTCTAGAATTGTCCTCTGCTTCAGAAGTCTTCAGCAATCAAAACACAGCTTCAGATTAAGTAATATTTGCCCCACTATGTTAAGAAAGAGAAAACACAAACTTCTAGATGTTCACATAAGACAGAAGACTAGCACACTAATGCCAAGAACCAACACCCATGCCATTTCCCACTGCAGCAGTGCCCCTCCCACCACTCTTTTCCCTTTATCTTCCAATAGAAGTGAACAGATCACAGATACCCAGGCAGGAGACCATGGGCGTAAAACTCCCACTATCCTTGTCTTTTGGGGCTTCGGTATATCCTACACGGAATATGGGAGAAGAATATTACAACCTTTGGTAAGATGGCTTTAGACATCTTCTTCTGCCCCAGGAAAAGGGTTAAGCAGGTCTGGGAAACTGAGAAGCTGGTCAGGCTGGTGCAGGAATTCAAAGACACTAAAGGAATATCAGGATGCTGTTTGGGAAGGTCTGAGGGCCAGGCCCAGCAGTATGTATATGCCACTCCTCTTATGAAGAATCCGAAGTCATTGCAAAGGGGTCTCCCCAATCCTTCTCAAACCAGCTATTAAGTACTTCTAAGCAGGCAACCTTCCCATATCCAAAAAGTCAACTTTCCTGCCCAAACTACCAAGAGGCTTTGACCAGCAAACATTTCCAGAGCTATTTCCCGGGCAACTGACAGCATTTCAGCCATGTCTGACAGGTTACCACTGCTCTTTGCAGCTCAAGGTTCACAGGGAGCTGGCATTTTAAGCTCCTCCTGCGAATGAGTGGCAGAGGTGAGTGAGCAGGTTTTTGCTGGGGTTTGATGTACAATACGCCACTTGCCCAAACAGTCCTGAGTACTCAGACATCTCATGGCTCATCTCCAGTCTCAGGCTGAGGATCAGACAGTTTGCTCCAGAGCTGGAAGGAATAATTAGAACAGCACAAACAGGATCTTCACAAAGAGAGAAACATTGCAAGGAGCTGCTAAGTCTCTGCCAGAGCCCCAGGTTGGGTGTTCAGCTAAGCAGCTTGGCCCAGGATAGGGATGGCTTGTTTTTTTCTATTGCAAAGCTCTCTGCACCCCATTGACTCAAATCCAAGTTGAGTTATGCGGACTGGAATCTCCCCACTCCTTCTCAGCTAGACTCTTTTTTGGCTCCTCTCTTGGTAATGATGTTTTCTGAGCAGCCACTATCTACTACACCCCATGCCTGAGCAGCCACTATAAACGGTCTCTGCCTCTGGGATCTCACATTCTTAAGGCAATTATAATACCGAGTATCCCTCCAGCCTGGAATTGCCAGATCATCTTCTCACCTTCCAAGCTGGCTAAGTGTCCCTGCTTAGACGGTTTCAATATCCTCCCTCTCCTTCTTATCTCATGTTTCTCCACAGGGGCATCCTCATGGTTCTTCAAACACCTCACACTGACTTACTGCACTGGCCCATGCTATTTTCTCTATCTGGAACATTCTACTCCTCCACTCTCAGTTTAAAGGACACCCCCTCAGAGACACCTTCCCGGATCACCATTCCCTATAAAACAAGTCTCTCTCCAACCCTCTCTTTCAGAACTATGCTTCATAGTACTTACTAAAATTTGAAATTACATATTTATATGCTTGGTTACCTGTTTATTTCTGTGTTCCCTACCAGATGGTAACTTCCAAGTGAGTAGGAATGGTGCCTGTCTTATTTGCCACCGCCCTCACCCCATGTTTTGCACAGTGCATACAACAACTGCAAGTGTTCAATAAGAGCTGCTGAACAAATGAATGAAAGATTCTTTCTACGGTGAGTGACCTGGAGCAAAAGGGGGCAGGCTCTGGAGGGCCCCATTAGTAACGATAGTGGCAAGGGAGAGCTAGCTGAGCATTTTTAGCAGAGGAGACACACAGACTTTTATTACAAAAATTCTCCTTCTTCGGATATGTGGAAATTGACTTTGGGGTAGCAGAAGGGGCAGACTGGAGGCAGGGAGACCTATTAGAAGGGTTCTATAAACACTGATATCCTTGCTACTAAAAGTGTGGTCTGTGGACCAGCAGCTTGGTCATCACCTGGGAAACTGCTAGAAGTACAGAATGTCAGACCTGTCATCTCAGAATCTGCATTTTAACAGCATCTCCAGATGATTGTTTACACACCTAGGATCTGGGCCTTAAGTGAAAGACAATGATGGCCTGATCTGCCTTTGGGAATGGGGGATAGAAATGACTCATCAGTGTCCCCTTTAAATCCACCACTCCAGACATGGCTAGGGTGTCAAAAGCAAGTCCTGTTACTATAAACTATCAAAAATGTTGAATCTATTAGGGGCTAAAAAGAGTAAGGGGATGGGGAAGTGTGGGTTTAGTTGAGCTGAGATGGGCTATGGCTATTGAGAAAGGCTATAATCTTGGACAAAGAATTTCTAACTCACAGAACAGGTCTGGAGTTAGAGTTAAGGATTCCTGAGTCTGGCCATGAAGAAGAGCCAACTCTTTTATTCCCATTATGTTATAAATTTTCCCAGCACCTAGCACAGTGCCTGGCACTAGAAATGGATCAAATGATAACCTGTTGAATGAACCAAGGAACCAATCAAGCAATGATATGCTATTGAATCCTAAAGCAGATCCCATGGGTCTGAGTACAAGCCAGACATATGTACCTTTCCACTTTCCTGTTTGTAAGAAGCACATTTTTCTTCTCCTTTGTTAGAAAAATGTGAACATCTGGGAGGATAAAACTCAACTATTAGTGGACAAAATCATAAGGATATATGACCCGTGCATCACAAAATCGATAGGGAAAAGTGGTCACAGCCTCTAAATAACCCTGATAAGTCTCTGAGGACAGCAAGCAGTGAGGATCATCGTGAGCCTGTGACATCTCCATGGTGTGAGGGTCAAGGTGGTGAGGGGATCACAGAGAACAGAAGTGGCCAATTGTCTGTGCAGTGGGAGCATGACAAGAAGGAGGTCCCAGCAGAAAGGCCCAAGAACCATGCAGCAGTGTGGCCAGGAGTCACCAAGATGTCCCCTACAGCAACTCTTTAGTCATGGGCTCCACTCTGCAAGTTAAACCTTACACAGAAAAACAGGAAGACAGATGAAAATGGTGTAGCTCTGGCTGGAGGAGATGGGGAGGGCAAGAGCTCTACTCCCACCCACCATGTCTTACAGAAAACCCTGACACACGCACCCATACACTGGCTCCTTTGTGTCTAGCAATGTTAGTCTAGCAATGTTAGATCCTCAGGGGATGGTTGTCGGATATGAAAATGAAGAAGCAAACTCCTATCAATTCTATGATTTCCCTTTAGTTCATTATCCTGGTGAAACGTACCCATTCTCAATCACAAATGGCCATACTTCACCCAAGGAGAGTTCCAAGAACAAATTATCACCTCCTTTCTCTACTTCCATAACCCCTGCCTCCCTGCCTGTAAATCCTATTATTAGAGCTTAGGTGAAATGCCCCTCTAGAAGAGGCTTTTCCTCATCTTTCCAATAGAAATAAAGCCTTCCCTCATCCCTCCAATAAATATAAATAGACATATTTTATCCCAGCCCCTTTTTCTGTGAAACAATTTTCTTGTTGTTGGTTTGAGTTAAAATGACCTGTCACACACTTGTCCCTACCCCCATTCATCTGTGAATCCCTGAGGCACCCCCAGAAAAGAACAGTGCCTTATTTGGGGCCTGTGCAGGGCCAGATGCATTCTAGATGTGCAGTAAGTGTGAATTAGGTGTGCACTGATGTCACACCCCTTCCTTCCACTGCACTGGCACAAGGCAGCATCACGACCCCCCCTTACTGGTTTGCTCCCCATCAGTTGAGCTATATGACTTGCCTCTTTTGAACAGCTGGCTATCCCACCTTCTCCAGGAAGCTTGTCTAGATTAACTTCAGGATCACATGCCATTCTCAGAACCATCCCTTCTTCTTCCCCTCCAACCAGCCCAGTTACACAGGATAGAATATTTTTATTTTGCTTGTCTCCATGGCCAGAGAACATCTCTGAGTCTGCTAATGCAGCAGCTTCTCAAGGGCAAGGCCTGGAGCCCACCACGCTTCCCAAGCCCCAGTTTTGGCATAGAGAAGTGTTAGAACAAGCCGACATGAAGTATTTTTGATAACATAAAAAGACAAGAAAACCAACCTTGGATGTGTAGGAGTGGCCATCTGAGCCGCAGACCATGGCTGACTGTGCCACGGGACAGGGCTTGCACTTGACCAAATTCGAAGGTCCAACCCAGTGTTTCTGGGCCACGTTCCCCTTCTTTTGCCTAAAGATGAGAAAAAAGGGGATAAATTAGTTGAAGCTCCAGACCCTATGAGTCTTTCCTCTAAGTTCCCAGAATAAAAGGCCAAATAAATAAAGGACTATCCAACCAGGCCAAGGGATCCTGAGGGCCTTAGCCAGCACTTCCATTTGCTCCAACTCATTGATAGGAAGCAGAGGATTTTGTCCCAGAAGCATAGATTCAACAAACCAGATGGACTGAGGAAAACAATGTAGCCATTGAAAACATGACTACTGACATGGGAAGATTTTTACAACACACAGAAAAAAAAAGAAAAAAAACGGTGAGGGAATATGGCTTAATCAGCCCCAATACCGTATGTGGCATATCACGGGTGCCCAGAGAACAGCACCCCAAAGTCTGAGACTCTCCTGGGACTCACAGGCAGCCTTTTGTGTGGAGGACGCACGGGCAACTCAATGAGCGCTTTAGACAAAAGCACACCTCTGAACACAACTGAAAGACTTTATCACAGCTGTAGAAAACTATCTCTGGATATATTTTAAAGTAATTTCAGTCCAGCTTCCAATCTGCCATTTGATAGAGGCTCTGAGGTGATGTCACTTTCAACTGTTAAAATAATCAGAATTCTACTCTTTCATTCCAGCTCAAGTTTTTCCCCATTCTAACCTTTGTCATAATGATAAATGTCGCTATTAGGATGACTTACGTCCACGGAAGGAACCCCATCACTATATCATAAACCACTGAAATAAAGGCCTGCAGTTACTGCCACCCTTCCTCTCTTAGCCAAAGCTGTTCTCCAAGCAAACCGCTTGGAGCGACTCCCAGGGCCCTGGGGCTGAGTTCTGGTTGAAGGCTACCCGTCTCTGGATAGCCCATCAATCAGGCAATTACTGTGCCTTTGAAATGTTTGGCACTGGCCTTCCTGCATGATGATTAGTGCTTGGGCTCTGGAGTCAGAAAGTACAAGTTCAAATCTCAGCTCTGTCATTCACTCACAGTGCGACCTTGGCAAGGTATTTAATGGTACAAATCTCAGTTTCTTCATTAGTAAAATGGAGGAAAATAGAATTGACTTCAAGTGGATATTATGAAGATTAAATGAGCGGATGTATCTGAAGTACTCAGCAGAGTGCCTGCAAAATAGGAAGCAGTAAAAATGGTAGCCATTATTACAATTATTACTTGCCCCCACAGGTGGGGGTATGGAGGATGAAATTACCATAACCATAGAAATGTGATTAATCCTCAGTCCCCAGGCTTGGAATGGCATTTAATTTTCAAAATAATTCATGGAAGCAGAAGACGGAAATATTTTCTACCAGGTGTGGAATGAATCTCCAGTCCTCAGGAATTCAGGTTTGGTATCTAGGGTAACCTACCCTCTTCCAAATGAAGGAAAGTGAGCAAGAAAGAAAGATGCATAAAGCCAAGAGGACCGTTAATTTGGTTCTTATTCTACCTCAAACCTACTCTAGCAATTTGGGGGAGGTGGTAGGAGGAAAAAGGTCTGTTTGGGGAACAACCTTTGAGGGTGACATCAGAGAGGATCAACAGGTACCCACAGCACAGCACATGGGGCCCTCAGAGATCCTAGGCTGGGCAGGCCACAGGGCTGAGCCTGTCTAACCACAGAACCAGAGAAGAAAGTCTTATGAGTGTCCCCTGAAATCACCTTGCTTGTTCAACTTGCTTGTCTTACTAGCGGGGAAAACTGAAACTCAATGAGAGCCAGAGTCTTACCTAAAGTCGTGGAGCTGATCAGTAACTAGATTTCAGATGGCATGCACACAGCTGTAGAGAGTGTCCAGGGATGTGTCTCTCTTCTTTAGCCCATCTCAGCCCAACCTAGATTACCAGCTTGAAAATTCTTTGAGGGCACCCATATGTGTGTCATTTGGGGTCTTCTCTCCAACACTTCACTGCTTTCATAGCTGCTGCTCACCTTGGCTTTGCCCTCTGGATTTTTTAAAGTCTATTATTTGCATTTATAAATTACATGGGCATGAGGCCTCCTATTATCCTTCATCAAACATACGGTACTCTTTCAGGATTTGTTCTAGGATACTGATAAAGGGATGGTGGGTGGGACTCCTTGTGGTGAAAGAGGGGGCTGTCAGCATGGGGTTAATCTTAGGGTACGTGATTCCTTCAGCAGAACACTAGACTTAATCATCATTTACACAGCAGATTGTCTGACACTGATAATGAATCAGCAAATGCAGGAAGTAGTTCTGGCATTTAGCAGCCCTGCTCCTGGGTCAGTCCCCAGTCTGCATATCTACAGCTGAAGCAATTCTTGTTATGAGTTCCCAGAAAGGGGCTATAAAGTCCAAAGAGTGGGCAGCTTTGCTGGAGCAGACATAACCATGTAAAATGATGACCTAGAGGAAAAAAGCCTAAGGGAGCTTAGCCAAAGTCAAGGGAGGGAGACGTAAGCACTGAACCAATGGCTTTGAAGAAAAGATGGAATCAGCTATCAATCACCAGTTAATGACAAATCATCTCTATCACTGGACCTGAACTTCACCATTAAAGTAAGTTCATTAAAGGGAAGCAACGAGGTGAGGCTGACTGGTGCCTATCAGAGGGCCTGGTGCATCCTGGACGCTAAAGATATCCCTGTAGGGTGGCGGGGTCGGTGGGGGGAGTCCCTATGTGCTGACCACTGCAGTGGTATCTCAGCAGTTAATCACAAAATCACAGAATGTCAGAACGAGAAAACACCTTAAAACTACTCTACTTCAATAACTTTATTTTCTAGGTGAGAAACTAGAGACACAGAGAGGAAGTGACTTTCCCAGTGTCACCGAGAAATATGGCAAAGTTACATCATCTAAAATTGTTGAACGGAAGTTGTTCAGGAAACCAGCATCAATCTGGGACTATTTTCATCCCCTGTTTTGGCATATGTACTTTCATTACCAACCTTCAGTTTTATAAATAATAGTCTTCTGAAACATTGTTCCTGGCTCTATACCTGCAGAGCAGCAAGCTGGACATACTTGATATCAGGTGGTTATGAATTATGCTCAGGTAAAATCACCTTTGACTTCTCCTAGGACACGTTGGGGGCTCTGGGCACAAAGGGCAAGCCATTCTGAATGCTCTCAATTCTAATGAAACAAGAATACCTGTTAGATGGGGGCAAACTCAGCTGTTGCTTACCTCCACAAGGTAGGACTCTAGTGGAGATAGCACATGATTCTGAAGTCTCTTTCCAGAGGCCAAGTATGTAAAGTTATGTACAAGTATATGTGAGCCCAGGGAAGCATAACTTCCCTGGCTATTGTATATTTTAATCTCCACAATTCAGTGCAAATCATAAAAAAATAACTAACCCAGTCAAGGCAAGGGACTAAAATTTTTAATCAAGATATTTCTTCATTTCTCTTGAGTCAATGAAGAGTGAAATCCAATGAAGGTATCTTGATGGGATTGTTATGCCCAATGTCACAGATATTTGTCAACTGGGGTGACACAACAATTTAGTCTGAGAGCAGGTTCTGTCAGCCTTCTCTCATTGGCCAGCGAGCCCTAAATCCACCCCAGCCCAGCTGGTGCCAAGGGGCAGCCACATCTCCTGCAGGCTGATGGCACCACACACAAAATCCCAACCCTCAAGCCATCCACGATGGCAAGAAGACAGATAATCAACAGATCACTGGCATTTCCTATTCCTTTTTGTTCAACTGTATATTCTCCATCTTTTTTTAAAAAGTATAATCAAATTCCCAGCATTATGTTTGTGAAGCAAAGGAATGATTTTTAGGTGCAAATCCGATCATGTGATTCTCCTGCTTAAAACCTCTATCTTCAGCTGGGTGCTGTGGCTCAACGCCTAAAATCCCAGCACTTTGGGAGGCTGAGGCGGGTGGATCACCTGAGGTCAGGAGTTCGAGACCAGCCTGGCCAACATAGCGAAACCCCGTCTCTACTAAAAATACAAAAAATTAGCTGGCTGTGGTGGCGGGCACCTGTAATCCCAGCTACTTGGGAGGCTGAGGCAGGAGAATCACTTGAACACGGCAGGCGGAGGTTACAGTGAGCCGAGATCATACCACTGCACTCCAGCCTGGGCAACAAAAACAAAACTCTGTCTAAAAAAAAAAAACTTCTATCTTCTCCCTACCTCCTAGGGCATAGTCTATACTCCAAGCTTGAGAATTAAACTGTCCCAGCCTACCTTCACAGGCTCCCTGTCTACCTGCTCCCCTCCCCAACACACACATGCACACTGACCACGACCAACATCAATTTTTGCTCCAGCCACTCTCAGCCGTTTCCCAGAGCCAGCTCTTTCCCATGTGCCATCATGTGGGTTTTCCTTGACCCACATTTCTCCCCTCCATCCACCTTTCTCTGTGGCCTGGCTAAAATATCAGTTCCCCAGGAAGCCTCCTAGGTCCCTCCAAAGGCAGTCAGGCTGCACTCCCACTCCACCATAGCCTAGTGACCACTTCTGGTTGGGTTCTCTGACTAATTTCCAAGCAAGCACCTTGATTTAACTTGACAAAAGGTTAAGAGGTTATTATTCCAACAGGACATGGGGCACACCCAGGCTAAAAGCCTGGGAAGCCCATGCTGGACACCTCCATCTTCCTGCTCATACCAGTTTTCCCTGCCATGCAGTCCTATTAAGTTCTATCTCCAGCCAGCCATATCTACCACTTAAGTGTCTCTTCCACGTGTCATGCAAATTCAAGTCTATAGGACTGGACAATTATTTTCCATCTGCATAACAATGTCTATTCCTTGTTCAAGCTTCAAATCCATTGCTTTCTGTGAAGTCTTGCTGACCCTGTAAACTTCATCCCAAGTAGTTAACCATGACATTGTTTATTCAAGCATTATAACCTGTTCAGTCCCAACTGTGGCATTCACTACAATGTGAAAGTTCTTTTTGTGTCTATCTTCCTCAATATACTATGTACTCCTTAAGAGAGGTGACTGGGCCTTAATCATGTTTGTGCTTCTGGTACTTAGAAATAGGGGAACACTTGGCACATGATCCTACTCAGTCCATAAGTGAACATATTAATTTGGACCTTTAGAATTTTCTCCTTTTATTTCTGGAAAATGTTAGCACTATGGTGAAGACAAAAATGGTGTGTTGTTTTAAGCAACAAGAATTCAACAGGCTCTTGTTTCCAGAAATCCTAATTCAGACTATGAAAAAAAAAAACCATTTAGCAAAAAATCCCACAAAACTCTAGAAACAACTGAGAAGTGGGTGGAGGGAGCTCCCCTGTGCATCAGCGGGCTAAGGATTCCCATACTCTAGAAGTCAGACAGTTTCCAAAGCTGCATGAGGGCCTCTGATGATGTGGTTCCAAACTGTCAGCAGATATTAATCTTCAGGATTCAGGAATGATAAATCAGAATGCTGAAATAATGTTTTTCTATATTTATCACAATATTTTATGTGTTTTTTTAAATAAGCAAGAAATATTAAGTTTAGTAGTATTTATAAAGACATGCAGCCTAGAGCAAAAATTCAAACACTGTGAACTGTCATCCAACATTATTGGGTAGTACTCAATTAACATAACATTTGGATCTTCTAACAAGTTAACAGTACTGCCCAGAATCACATGTTGATATTATCAAATTGAAGACTTACTTTGCTATAAAACAATTCTTTGGAACCCCACTCAGAGGATTTTTATAAAATATAGTATTGAAACAAATCTATTCACATTCATCTTATTTACAAGAACAACTCTCCATGAGTGGCTGACAGGACTATAAGCACAATCTTTTAAGATGGCAACAGCTACAAGCAAGATGGACTGCCCAGGTCATAACCCCTCTCTTCAAGGTGCTCCTGTCCTGGTTCCTGGGAATGTCAACCTTAACCTTCAACTCCGCACGTCAGTGTTTCCCACTCTTGCTTTAGACAGGACCCCACTAAGATATCCCCACCCTCACCAACCCATACCCTGTGACCTCCCCCACAGGGGACACCAAGGGAGTCCTTGAAGACATCAATGTGACCCAGCATTTCACTTGACCATGGCATAATGGGGCCATAGCCAGGGCCGACAGCAAGCAGGTGGCAAGACAGAGTAATTTTATTTTAGCAATAAATACATGTACAGGTGTAAATTTCCTGACATAATCCTGCTGAATGAAATTCAACAATCTGTGTCAAAAATATTTTAATAATGGGGAAAGTAGCTGCTAAAAACGTGTAGAATTGCTGACTTTTTCTTTCAGTCACTGAAGGAGGGCCATTCATTTTACTCAGTACACTCTGCCATCTACCATGTTTGTATAACTTTAGATAAAACTGTTTTCGCTCTGCATATGAACAGCTGCTGAAGGAGTAAAGCAATTCCAGATAATGAAGACCAGCAGCAGCAGTCAACTTGTTTCGTGTGGCTACTACATGCCGGTCTAATTGCCCTGAACGCATCTCCCTGATTCCTCACACATAGCAACTACTCTGAGGGTAAATGCTATTAATAAACCCATTTTACAGATCGAAAAAATAAGGCATACATAACCAGTCCTAGTAACTGGACCTTCTTTTCTGTCCTGTCTTTGTTCTCTTATCACATCTCTAAGACAGAGACCTGTCAGCTCAAAGGGATGAAGAATCCACCAGAGAATGATCCCTCTCCAATAATAAGAGTCTTTGTTTCCTGGCACAGAAGGATTACATGCATTTTACTTTCATGTTACTATCAAATCGCCTATTCAAAAATAATGAATTTGTTTGCCAAATCAAAACTAATTGCTTCTAAAGCAGATAGTTAACATAGTGGCTATTTTGAACCAGAGACAAAATAATGAATGTTAATTGAAATGAAAAACATGTTAACCATTGAAATAATCTGTCATGTAAAACGATGCTATAATTCCTCTGTTGTTAGGGTTATTTGAGTCATTATACTAAGTCATAAAATTACACAGGAAGAGCATAATGGCCTGTGTCATTTACAAAAGCAGCTCTGATGAAAGAGACTCCCACGAGAGAGATTTTCCATCGTGGGGTATGTGGGCTCACGTGTCTCCCTCCTGTTCCAAATGAAGAAGATCCCAGACGTGAAAGCATGTCCAAAGAGTCCAGTTTTCCTAACAAGGCAAAGAGAACTGAAGAGAGTGACTCCTGTGTGCCTGAGGGTGTCCCAAGCACTACTGGGCACGCAATGGTGCAAAAGACTTGCTGTTTACAGAAGCTGAAATTTAAAAGGACAAATATGTAATAATAACAATAACAGCAGCTAAACATTTACTGAGCTGCCTTATAAGCGGCCTTATTATGCCACTGCTGCTACTACTGCTGTTACTACTACCCATAATAGCTCACATGTGTCCAGCTCCTTTAACATACCAGGCATTGTTTCAAGCCCTTTATTTGATCTGTCCATCTCCTCCTCTCAACATTCCCAAGAGGAAGAAAAGTCAAGGAAGAGCAAGAGAATCTGTTAGGGAGGTGGTGAGTTGGGGAGATTTCATGGGAAAGCAGACGTGGGGCAATGGGAAGGACCCATACCCACAAGATAAGCCCTCAGCATCAGGGTGGAGGGCATCCATTGATTCAAGCTGGGAGGTCAACCACAGGAATACCAGCACCTTTATGTGCTTCACCCCGTCTTGCTTGGCCCAGATAACGAGAGCCAGGGTCACCACACATCCAGGTCAAGACTTGCTCATATCAGGAGAGACAAGCAGGCCCCAGAAGAAGTAGAGAGCCATCATCCCAGGGCATGCTTTCCAAACCAGCCCCAAGCCAGGTTTCTTAAGCACCTTCAAAACTCCTAGGAAAAGTGCATATTTAAAAAGTCTTAGAGCATAATCAGGCCCACCAGAAGGATATGTGTCTGGTATGCATGCAATTCCAAAAGCATGAACATCTCTCTGGTGTACCCGAATGTTGAACTCTAGACTGTGGTTCATTTCAACTTGGGACTCCACGATGTACCTCTCACCTGGACTGCACAATGGCCAAGGCAGCTGAGGAGAATCTATTCTTCATAGATGAGAGGATTGAACAGCCTCAAATGAGAATTTCCAAAAACACTGCATGAGTAGGTGCAAATAAATTGAAAATGAGTAAAGAGGCACACACCAAATGTGTAACACACCCTCAAGAAAAGTAGGATTGAGGACATGAAACAGAACTGCTGCTTTGTTACTCTATATGCCTTTCTATTGCTCAATTCTCTTGCGACCATGTATCACTGATCTAAATTGTTCAAAATCTAAAAAGGAAATGCATTTTCAAAATTTCTAAAGAAATACATGCTGCTGGACTCACACCTGCCCGCCAGTCTCGCATTTCTACAGCAATGCTTAAAGAAACCAAAGTTGTCACAGTCAGAGAAAGATCTCCCAAGTGCAGGAAGGAGGCTGAAGAAAGGAGTTACCTAGATAAAATCTTCCTGACCAGTCCTCAAAAGTTCAGTGGAGATGAAGAGGTGAGATCAATCCTATCTGAATTAAATTTCCACCTTAATATTTTGAGGGCCTGTTTAAGCTAAGCTATCAAAGCTGAAGGTATAAACATTCCAAATGTGTTAGGATTCTACAGTCTTTACTTTTTCAACAAACACTTATTAATTACCTAGAATGAGCCAGAAATTGAGCAACAAATTCAAAGATACTGCTAGCACTGCATTAAATGTACGTCCCATAACATACATTAAATGGGATGATTATTAAACATAATGATCATATTTAATTTCTCTGAACAGCTAAATTTATTCAGAAAAGATGTTACCTTAACTGTTTTTGCTCTTATTCTTATTTTGAGACATTAAAGATCCACAGACTGATAACTTTTCCAACAAAATATTTATGTGGCAAGACATTTGCTATTAATTTCAGGAATCCCATGAGCCAGGCTATATTTAAATATGCCAGGAGCAAATTATGTGGCCAATGGGAAAACAGTAAGAAGAAAATGAACTTGCCAGATCACAATCCATATCTCTGGTGATTCACACACTTTGGAACATTACTTGAATCAACGTTTCCCTGTAAGTGAAACCAAATTTATATATAATATATTTAAATATATAATTTGTATTATTATATATTATATATAATATATTCTATATTACATAGAACATTATTCTTTATTACATATAGTGACATTAATTATATATAATATATAAAATTATATATTATATATTTGGTTTCCATATATATTTATAAAACAGGGATACCAGTATTCCTGGACATCATATAAGTGTGTGTGTATGTATTTTATATACATATATAAAATAGGGATACTAATATCCTTATTATCCCTATTAGTAGTATCCTTATTATCCCTATTATTATATTTTATAAATATTTGGTTTTAAATATATAATATATAATTATATATAATTATTAGTATATGTTATTATATGTCATAAATAATACTGTTATTATATAACAGTATTATATATGATTATATATATATATATGATGTCCAAGGATACTAGTCAAACCTACTTCCAGCATTAAACTCACAATATCCTCCATGTTTCCTGACCAGATCATGAAGACTAATAGGATGACGTGACCACGTAAAGTCTACTAACTGGTATGAGACTGCAGTCTGCACTTTCCATTAAGAGAGTGACAGAGCACACCCAGTAACACTAAGGGTATCTGTGAGGCAGACACCAGTGGGGTTTTACCTCAAAGTTCAGTTGTTGAACAAGCAAGGCCCCTGAGGCCTGCATGCAAAAGCAGTTATACACACACACACACACGCACACACACACACACACACACACAGAGGCACTCTCAGGCTCTGACTAAAATTCTGCTTTGCCAAGGAAAAGTGCCAAGCAGCAGTGTAATTGCAAGCTATTAGGGAAATGTAAACGAACAGTTGAGCTTTTTTTATTCCCTTAGGATAATAGTTAGTGATGCGCTCTGTTTTAAAAATCCATTTCTTACTAACAAGGGTCAGAAAAGAAATTGTTCCTTTTGTCCACTGACCTTTGGCATTTTGGTTTGATTTATTGTTTTGCTACTTTACTTTTTTCATTGGCCCATTAAAGAGAGGTCCATCTCTATCCCTGAGACCTTAGAGGAAATCTTTAGCAATGGACACACCAATTGGAAAAAAGCAAATACTCATCAAGCAAACCCACGGCTGAGAACTTCATTTGGTATCTCCTGCCTGAGCATTCATAATCCTCCTTCTTCACAGGAGGGGCCAGAGCAGCTGGGAAAGCACAGATTCCAGCTAATTGTAGGCTCAGGTGTGCATACAAAGGTTGGCACAAGCACATGTCATTCCACCATCAGCTTCGCTGTTCTAATCTTGGAAAACACTTGCTTACATTCCTTGAGGGCAATTAATTATCATGGGATGTGCCCATGGGAAAGAAAACACCTGTAATTGTTTTCTGGTCACCAGCAGCAAAGCCCCCTGTTCTGGGAGGGCTGGGTGTGATTGCCATTAAGAAGGAGCAAGTCAGTAAAATGAAGCAGAAGTGGCTTCAGGGACATGATGCCAGGACAGACACAGAGACAGGCTAGATCCTGATTGAGACATGGCATGTGAGGAGCTTAGGCTGAACACCATTCCCCATAAGACATTAGTGGTGGGTCATTCACAAAAGCGCTACAGGAGGCTGGTACAGCCAGATCCGCACCATTACTTATCCCCTGCTCAAGAAGTTTCTTCACAGTCAGTGTTGGAGGAGAGGAGACGGAGCCCCAGAGAAGCTCCTTCTCTCCTATGTGGCCCTGACTGGTAGGACATTTTCTGGATTGGTAGTCAAGAACTCTGGCTAGCTCCCCAGGCCTTGTGTTTTCTCCAGCACTTGTCTTCTGCTGGTATGCCCCATCCGTTCCCAAAGGTGAGCTCAAGTAGCAGCCCTCTCTGAGAAGGTCTCAGATAGCCTCCACCTCCACACACATTTGCCCCGTGTTCCCAGCCACTCAAACATAGCTGTTTATCACTGGCCACTTTGGGCAATACAGTTGGTACTCAACTGCCCCTCTTGTACAGACAAGATGCTCAAAATTGTGTCAGCACAGGGAGTAGTAAGCCAATGTGTCCCAATGCTATTCCACAGCAGAACCAGACAGAACCTATTCTACCTAGACCGTGTTGAAGTTATCAAGAAAAAGCCTTTTGACTCAACCTAAGGAAGATAACCCAAACATGACATAAGAGCTGTCCACACAGGAAAGCTACCTCAGAAAGTTGGTAGGCAGGCTCGCAATACTGCAAGAGTTCAAGCAGAAATCACCTAGAGGAAGGGGATGTTTCCATTTATTTAACCTTGTCATCACTGAACATCCTGAATCACACTGAACATCCCTGTATATAAACCTGTATGTGAATGTCTATTTACTTCCATGAGATAGATCCACAAAAATGGAATCAAAGAATCAAGGGGGTCAAAATACCCACCAGAAATGTTGCACCAATTTGTACCCCCAATGCCAGCACCCTGAAGGAGCACAACTTCATCACCCCAAGCCTCTGCTCTGCCTATTTCTACCAGGTATTGCTCTGAGAACCGCTCTGATGCAAAGGATTTGGAACCACCACCGAAGAACTGTAGGTAATCACAGAGCCATAAAGAACAACAAGCCAACTTTCCACGTACCACAAGACGAAGAAAATGGTGCAAGGAGAAACTGCTCAAGTTGGAGACCAGGTAGACTGGCAGGAAATCACATATTTCAATTAGTTTGCAGCATATTTCAATTAGTTTGCAGGTGTATCCTGGGCTCCCACATGGCAGAGAGCAGCAGCTGCAGGCCTGAGCCCCTCTCAGGGTTGAGCAGCTCACCACCCAGCCCCTCTTCTCTGTGCTTCTCCCCAGGACATAAAGCGAACCCCTGAGGATGCTGCCTGCTGCCTCCCCAGGCTTATTTCTGGCTGAGTGCGCAACACAGGCCTCAGGCAGCCCTGTTGCCTCCTATTCTGAAGGGCAACATGGGTGAATCCTGTGGACCAAGGGGAGAGGAATCAGACCTTAGAGAGAAGAGATTCTGGAGCCTACAAGCCTCATGGCTGAGGCAGTCCTTAAGGATAAACCTAGGCCAGGCATGGAAGAGCCTCAGGGCTCAGGACCAGTGAAGAGCCATGCAGGCCCTCATCGAGACAGTCAGCAGTGTGCACACTCAATACCTGTCTCTCTCCTTTTTTACTTCCTTAAGGCAGATCCAAGGCCATTCTGCAGCACTCTGAAGAACACAGAACTGCAGGTCTGAGAGACTCCTGGGGCCACTGGGATGGATGACATCCTCTCACCACCAAGGCCAAGCCTGCAGCTGCAGAGGAGAGCTGACTTTAGATGTGTGTAGTCACTTTGCACAAAGAGAGGAAGACAAAGAGAGAAGGCCCTAAATAAGCAGGCTACCAGGTCGGGCAGGGTGCAGAGTCTAGTTATGTTGCTCTTTCTCAAGAACAGGGCCACTTTCACAGCAGATTGACACATTACCTCCAGTTTCCCTGGGGAGTTTCATAGACACATTCTGAGTATTTTCTGTGTATCCAGGAATGTGGTAGGTTCTATGCAGCAAACAAAAGGAAATGGAATATACTCACTTCCCTCATGGTATTAATAGCACTAACTCTTACTGTAAGCATCACTTTGCAACTCGGCTGACCTAACACAGCTTCCATTAAGTGCACCAGCTTGGCCCTGTACCCCCAGCTCCTTTCTTGATTTAACTGATTCATTCATCCATTAAACGTGCCATGAACACCTGCAGTGTGCCAAGGCCTGAGCTAGGCACAAGGGATACAAGAGTGAACTAGTCATGCCCGCCTATGGCTGACACTCCAGAGGGAATCTGGGCATTGCAAGTGAGTGGTAAGAGCAAAACAAGCAGTGGAGTGTTCATTCAGCCAGTAGAGAAAGCAACAACTGCTGTAGATCAAATGTCTGTGTCTCCCCAAAAATCCATATATCAAAATCTTAACCTCTAAGATGATGGTATTAGGAGGTGGGGCCTTTGGCAGGGGTAATTAGGTCATTAACTCACCTCTCAAAGGGATTAGTGCCCTTATAAAAGAGACCACAGAGAGCTGGCTAGCTGTTCCCACAATGTGAGGACACAATGAAAAAATGTCCTAGTGAAAAGGGACTCTCACCAGACAGAGTCTGCCAGTGCCTTGACCTGGAACTTCCTAGCCTTCAGAACTATGAGAAATACATTTCTGTTGTTTATCAGGCAGTTTATGGTATTTTTGCATAGCAGCCCCAAACACGATAAGATGGAAAATTGGTACTGAGAAGTGGGGTGCTGCAGTGACAAGTACCTAAAAATGTAAAAGCAGCTTTGAAACAGGGCAATGGACAGAGGCTGGACGAGTCTGAATGTGCATGCTGGCAAGAGCCTAGATTGTCATGAAAGGATCTTTATGGCTATTCTGGTGAGCACCCAGAAAGAAAAGGAGAGAGCTATAGAGAAAGCTTTGATCGCCTTAGAGAATACCTAAGTAATCCTGAACACAATATTGGTAGAAATTGGATAGTAATATAGTTGGAATATCTGTCCCCTCCAAATCTCAAGTTTGATCCCCAGTGTTGCAGGTGGAGCCTAATGTAAGCTGTTTGGGTCATGGAGCAAATCCCTCATGAATGGCTGGCTGGGTGCCATTCTCACTGTAATAATTGAGTGTTGAGTTCTTGCTCTTTTCATGTCCATGAGAAATAATTGTTAAAAAGAGCCTGGGACCTCCCTCCTCTTTCTCTCTTGCTTTCACCCTTGCCATGTGATGCTGCTCCTCTTTGCCTTCCACCATGAGTGGATGCTTCCTGAAGTCCTCATCAGAAGCAGATGCTGCACCATGCTTCTTGTACAGCCTGCAGAACCATGAGCCAAATATATATCTTTTCTTTATAAATTACCCAGCCTCAGGTGTTCCTTCATAGCAACACAAACATATTAAGATAGCAAAGGCCATTCTGATGAGGACTCAGACATAAATGAGGAATATATTATTAGAAACTACAGGAGATCAGGCACAGTTGCTCACACCTATAATCCCAGCACTTTGGGAGGCCAAAGCGGGTGGATCACCTGAGGTCAGGAGTTCGAGACCAGCCTGTACAACATGGAGAAACTCCATCTCTACTAAAAATACAAAATTAGCCAGGCATGGTGGTGCATGCCTGTAATCCAAGCTACTCGGGAGGCTGAGGCAGGGGAATCACTTGAACCCAGGAGGCGGAGGCTGCAGTGAGCTGAGATCACACCAGTCTGGGCAACAAGAACGAAACTCCATCTCAAAAAATAAAGAAACTAGAGGAAAGGCCACTTTTGTTAGAAAGTTGTAAGAAAGAAACTTGGCTGAATTGTGTTCATGTCCTAGTGTCTGTGGAAGGTAGAACTTGCAAACAACTAAACTGGATATTTGGCTGAGGAAATATCAAAGCACAGTGTTCAAGAAGTGGCCTGGCTCCTCCTGATTGCTTACAGTAAAATGACTCAAAGATGAGATTGTTCATCAACAGGGAGGCAGAACTTAAGGATTTAGAAAGTTCTCAGCCTATTCATATTGTAAAGAATGAGAAAACATGATCTAGAGAGAATGCCAAGGGTGTGGTAAAGTGACAATGTATAAAGGAGATTAGTATGGGTCAGCCATCGCAACAGAAGCCAGGTGCTATTCAAGACAATGGTGAGATTAGTCAGTGACCTAAACAAAAGCCAAGAGCTATCATCAAAGACAAGGAAAGAGCAATTCAGAAATCATCAGGGCTGCTCTACCCATCACAGGCCCAGAGTACAAGAGCCACAGTGAGTACTATGAGGCCACCACAGAAAGACCACATTAGGGCAATGCCCACCTACTCCAGCAGCTCCATACCAGCAGAGCTACCAGTGTATGATTCCAGCCCAAGAGAGCTATGGTTGCAAGAACCAGAGACACTGTAGGGGGACAGGGCTGCCTGGAGCCATCAGGGGCCCAAACCCTGCTAGGCAAAGCCGTGGGGGCAACACAGCCATCTCAATGGGTCCAGAAGGTGAGACTCTCACTCCAGTGGGTCTGGCAGGCAGTACCCCTACCCCAGTGGGTCTGGAAGGGAGTAGCTCTGCCCAGTGGGCCTGAAGGGCAGAATATAAAGTCACAAAAGATTATTCTTGAATGTTAAAGTTTACTACTATTTGCCGTTTTGAAGTTTTGACTTACTTGGGGCCTGTTATCCCTTTCTTCTTTCCTATTTCTCTCTTTTGGGATGGGAATCCTATACCTATCCCACAATTATATTTTGGAACCACATAACATGTTGGTTTCACAGGTTCACAGCTGGAGAGCAATTTGCCTCAGGATGAACAGTATCTTGAATCTCATTCCTACTGGATTTAGATGATATTTAGATGAGAGTTTGGACTTAAGACTTTAAAGTTGATGTTGGAATGAATTAAGACGTTTATGGCTATTGAGATAGAATGAGTGTATTTTGCATATGAAAAGGACATGAATTTAATGGGCGTCAGAGGAAGAATGCTATGGACAATGTTTGTGTCTCCCCAAAATTACTATGTTGAAACCTAATCCCCAATGTGAGGGTATTTGGAGGTGAAGCCTTTGGACAGTAATTAGGTCATGAAAGTGGAGACCTCATGAATGGAATTGGTGACCTCATAAAAGAAGGCCCGTAGATATTCCTGGCTGCTTCTGCCATGTGAAAACACAGCAAAAAGACAGCTGTCTATGAAACAGGAAGTAGGTCCTCACCAGACACAGAATCTGCCAGTACCCTGACCTTGGATTTTCGAGCCTCCAGAACTGTAAGAAATAAATTTGTTTATAAGCTGCCCAGTCTATAGTATCGTCTTATAGCAACCCAAATGGACTAAGATAACAACTGACATTAAACCCAGAACATTAAAAATAGCAGGACGCTTTGCACATATGATCCTGAAAACCTCTGTGAGATTAGCAAGGATTGTTCCCCCATCTGATTGTTCCCTGAGGAACTAGAGGCTCAGATGAAAGACTAAATTTATTGAGTGCCTACTATGTACTGGTACTAAGCTCACTGCTTTCCTTATAAAAATACCATAATGTGGGGTTTAAAGTAATCATTTTAGAAGGAAATGGAGATTCGGTGCAGGAAGCAGCTTGAGGGCAGAGTGGCTCTTACACAGAAGATGGGTTTGGGGCAGCACTGCCCTGGTCCCCCAGCTGTGCCATTTAACAGGTGTCAACATTAAGCATGTCCCAATGGGTCTGAGCCAGTGTCCTCATATGCTCTTAAACACTAGTAAATACTAATAAACACTACTAAGTAATGCTCCTTATCTGAGTTCAACCCTCCCCCAACCCCAACTGTAGCTGGAAGTGCTTTCTTCCTTCTTAGAGCTTCCACTTTATTTCATGGGATTTTCTATCTTCTAGATTAGATTATACACATTCACATTCTTAACCTCCTCTACTAGTCTACAAGCTCAATGAGGATATCGTTAGGATTTCTAATGCACACAGAACCCTCTAGATTCTCTCAAGTGGTACAAAAGTCTGCTTTAAAGAACAAGAATTTAAGGAAATACAGTCCACCCTAAACCACACAATTCTATCACTCTCCAACTGAAAGCCACACAAAACATCCCATCATACCTGGTCTGAGAGCTGCGCATGTCCTCATGGTCTTCAGGGTGTTGCAGAATCTAGCCCTGCCTTTCTTTCCAGCCTCATGTATCCATACTCCTTCTTTCCTGAAGCACAGGCCTCCCCTTTCTCATTTTCTTTTGGACACCGAGCTCCTTCTCTTCTTCCCCGACATAGGGCCTTTGCAGAGGCTGTTCCCTCCACTGAGAACACTTCCTCTCCTCTCTGCCTTGCTGGTACCTACACCTTTGTAATTGCCTGATAGGTTCTTCTTGCCCGCTACACAGAGAAAACCAATTCACCAAGACTGTGATATTATAGTAGAAAAAGAGTTTAATGCGGAGCTAGCCAAGTGGTCAGACAGGAGTTTTCTTGCTCAAATCAGCCTCCCTGAGAATTCAGAGGCTAGGGATTTTATGGATAATTGGGTGGTCAGGGGCCTAAGGAATGGGTGCCACTGATTGGTGGGGGATAAAATCATAGGGCTGTGAAAAAGGGTCCTCATGTACTCAGTCCTCCTCTGGGTAGGGGCCACAGGACTGGTTGAGTTGTGAGTCCCAGGTCCAAGTGGAGTCAGTCAGGGGCTTGATGTGCAGGTCTGAAGATATCTCAAAAGATCAATCTTAGGTTCTACAATAGTGATGTTATCTATAGGAGCAATAGATAGAATAGGGAAAGTCACAAATCTTGTTACCTCTGGTCACATGACTCCTGAGCAGCAAGGAATCAGAGAAAGGCAAGCTGGTAGACAATGGCTGGTTATTGTTTAGCTACACCTACATTTTAGCCGAATTCAGACCCCTCCCATAATCCTAATCTTGTGGCTTTTCATTAGACTCACAAAGGTGGTTTTGGTCCCTGAGCAAGGAAAGGGATCATTTTAAAGAGGGAACTTCCCCTCCTTTCTTCCCCCCTCATCCTTCTTTCAAAGTTTAACTATAAACTAAGTTCTTCCCGTAGTTGGTTTGACCTGGGTCCAGGAATGAGTGAAGACAGCCAGCCTGTGAAGCTAGAGGCAAGATGGAGTCACCCATGCTAGACTTCCCTCGCTGTCATAACCTTTACAAAGGTGGTTTTACCTTTGCCCCCTGCAAAGGCCTTCACTGTTCAACCAATCTAAAGTGATTCTTAAACCACTCCACTCTTATCCTTCTTAATCTTACCACAGTTTATTAGATACTTATTTTTTTTCATCTGTCTCTTTCAATAGACTTTAATCTCCACAAGGGTAGACTATGCCCACTCATCATAAAACTCCAAACATATAACACAGTGTCTGGCAAATGGAAGGCACCCATAAGTATTTGTTGAATAAAGAAATTATCACAAACTCCAACTTAGTGGGATCTGAATTAATGATCCATAACCCACAATCACCAAAGCATGCACATGAGCAGTTTTCTGAGCTAGTCCTGCTGAAGCAACTACAGGAAGGACTCAAGCTCTAAAGCATTTCATCACTGTCACCATATTCAGAGATGGCCTCCCTGGTGCCTGCCAAGAGAAGGTATCTAGCTCCAGGCCACAGGGCCCCTTGTCACTTTGCTGTCTACTTGGGAATTCCTCACAGTGATGGAAAGTTTGAGCTGGGTCTCCTCCTTTCCTTCAGGTCAATGTCACTGTTCCGAAGCTAGACTTGCAGTTCACTGGGAAGCATGACACCACAGCACCTCCAGCTGTGGACGCATCATGGACAAGCCAGGCTGAGAGGAGAACTTCTCATTACTTGCAGCACAGCAACATTGGGTTCAATGTATGCCCATGAAAAACCTCATTTAAGAGAATGCCTTGGAAAGGTGCCAAGGTCCCCAAACTAATTAACTTTCATCTCTCCTGGCCCTCTGCACCCTCTCTCCATGAGGAACATTAAACATAGAACATCAGCTTGAGAACACTCTATTTAAAGCAAAAGTCCTTCTAAAGATAGCCTTGAACGTCCATCTAAATCATCCTAAGTCCATTTTCTGGCCCAGAATCCACAAGGCCAGCGCCCCCGATGGGCCCTACTATGGTGGCTTATATCCATAAAGAATGTCTTTCACGGTTCATTGGTTGGATTAATCTGATATAAAGTGTCTAAACTGAAAACCTCTGGGTTCGGATCTTGATGAGTTTTGGCAGAACAGCAAGTAAGTGACAGTAGATTTATTAAATAACAAAGGAAAAGGAAAGTGATTAAAGAAAAATTAAAATGAAGTAAAAGTGGGAAAGTTCAATCTCATAACTTTTATAAAAGAAGATTATATCGGCCAGGCGTGGCGGCTCACGCCTGTAATCCCAGCACTGTGGGAGGCTGAGATGGGCAGATCACAAGGTCAGGAGATTGAGACCATCCTGGCTAACATGGTGAAACCTTGCTTCTGCTAAGAATACAAAAATTAGCCAGGCATGGTGGCACATGCCTGTAGTTCCAGCTACTCAGGAGGCTGAGGCAGGAGAATCGCTTGAACCCGGGAGGTGGAAGTTGCAGTGAGCAGAGATCATGCCACTGCACTCCAGCCTGGGCAACAGAGTGAGACTCCATCTCAAAAAAATAAAAAAAAGATGACGACATCTTTGTGAGGAGGCCACACAGGCTCTGGTCTACCTGAATACTAAAAAATATCTCCCCCCCGGGTGTGGTAGCTCACGCCTGTAATCCCAGTACTTTGGGAGGCCAAGATGGGCGGATCACGAGGTCAAGAGATCGAGACCATCCTGGCTAACAGGGTGAAACCCCGTCTCTACTAAAAATACAAAAAATTAGCCGGGTGTAGGGGCGGGCGCCTGTAGTCCCAGCTACTCGGGAGGCTGAGGCAGGAGAATGGCGTGAACCCGGGAGGCGGAGCTTGCAGTGAGCCGAGATCGCGCCACTGCACTCCAGCCTGGGCGACAGAGCGAGACTCCGTCTCAAAAAAAAAAAAAAAAAAATATATATATATATATATATATATATATATAAAAAATTAGCTGGGCATGGTGGCAAGTGCCTGTAGTCCCAGCTACTCAGGAGGCTGAGGCAGGAAAATGGCGTGAACCAGGGAGGTGGAGCTCGCAGTGAGCAGATATAGTGCCACTGCACTCCAGCCTGGGCAACAGAACAAGACTCTGTCTCAAAAAAAAAAAAAAAAAAAAAATCTCCAGAACTTGCTAGGAATTTTGTACTCAAGATGGGCAATTTAACATCTTCAGTGAATTGCAGGGGGGCTCAGGTTTGTCATTTTCTCAATGTTTAGGGAGAGATGTGCTCTAGCAATTCACACCTGAGTG
Source organism: Homo sapiens (assembly GCF_000001405.40). Lineage (NCBI taxonomy): Eukaryota > Metazoa > Chordata > Mammalia > Primates > Hominidae > Homo > Homo sapiens. The sequence continues at coordinate 137,132,330 of NC_000005.10, forward strand.
CTGCCCAGCAAGATCTGATCCCTAATGGAAATCACACCTAGTAATTATCTATTCAAAATAGGCACACCTACCTCAACCTCCTCTTTCTAATCCACTGAAATCCGATGTAGGAAATATACCAATATGTACATTCCTTAATAAGCAAGGATACCAATAAATACAGCAACTGCAGCCCCATTATTCTGGGCAGAACTGCAGAGAAGGGCAGTACACTTAATGCCATTTTACTGGAAATGGAAGCAGGAAATCGGAGGGCATTGCTAATCAATCCCTGGCCCTACCATTCCCAGCTTCGCAGACGCTTGACTTATTAGCATCTGAGCATGTGCACATCCTGGGAATTCAACCATAAAACATTCTCCATCTCCTACAGATAAAACATGGCTCAAAAAAAAGATGGTGATCCAGTGCTTTGGGGTCAATGGAAAATATGAACTGCCCCCTCTGGAAGCGCTTTTTTTGTTGTTTTTTGTTGTTGTTGTTGTTTTTCTTCAGCAAGTGCAGCCTGGAGGGGAGATGCCAAGCTCCCAGGGCAGAGGCTCTGGTTCTTGAGGGCACATCTAGAAACTACCAGGCCAGGCAGGAGGTAGGAGTCTCACTGGTTGACCTTGCCAGGTAAACCTGCCCCACTCACCCCCATCTTCAGATGGTACTGAAAGCAAGGCTTAAATGAAAAATGGGAAAACAAGGCAGAACAAGATGAGTGTGACACATTTTACTGGCAGTCTTCTTTTGTTATTTTTAAAAATGTATTCGTAGGCCAGGTGTGGTGGCTCACACTTGTAATCCCAGCACTTTAGGAGGCTGAGGCAGGCAGATCACAAGGTCAGGTGATACAGACCATCCTGGCTAACACAGCGAAACCCCACCTCTACTAAAAATACAAAAAAATTAGCTAGGCATGGTGGCATGCACCTGTAGTCCCAGCTACTCGGGAGGCTGAGGCAGAAAAATTGCTCAAACCCAGGAGGCGGAGGTTGCAGTGAGCCAAGATTGCACCACTGCACTCCAGCCTGGGTGACAGAGTGAGACTCCATCTCAAAAAAAAAAAAAAAAATTGTATTTGTAAAGGGGGACCCCCAGCCTAGCGAATTTGCCTGACAATGTGCAATATCTGCCTCTCATTCTGTTCCTTAATCCAAGGGACTAAAAATTCCACATAATTATTCACATCTCCATTATGAATTGCTTTTTACTCTCTGCTGCTTGTCATCAAGGTCATCTAATCAATAGTCTTCGTTTCAGAGAGAAAAACAAAGGAACAGAGGAGTTAAGTGGCTTGAGAGTTATAAAACCTTGTTCAGTGAAGGCTCCACAAACAGCTAGGTCCTTAACCTGAGCACAGCCATAAAGTGATTCTGCTGTTTAAAAAAAAGAGAGAGGCGATTGTGGGTTTAAAGTAATTAAATATCTCTATGTTTAAGTGACATGTGGTTTGAATGATTACTTTCAGAAAAGCCAAGAAGGGGAAAAATGAACTCAGAATTATTGCTTTGGGCACAGAAAGAAGAAATAGGTTTAATACCAGGGCATGGACTAGTTGCTTTGCGAGGGGCAAGGATTAGGAGAAAAGGTCCCAGGCATCTGTACAGCAGCACCTCTAGGGCCAGGAGCAGATGGGCTGGGGGTGGGGGGGGTAGCGGGGGGTGGCAGTTATCACTAAGGGAAATGTACATCAGGCCCCTGGGAGCTTGCCCCATGACTCCACAGCAGAGGAGGCTGTGCAGCATAGGCAACAGGCATGGACTCTGGAAGTGCAGTGACCTCCACTGTGGTTCTAATCTTCCCCTTACTGGCAGTGTCCAATTAGGACAGTTATTTACACAACCTCAACAATCCCATCTGTAAAATGGGTATTATAATACTGACCTAGCAGACTGTTGTGAGAAGTCAGTAAGATTTCTCCTGCAAAGTGTGCCTAACACAAGATAGGTGGTCAGTAAGCAGCAACCTTGAGCCAGCCACTTTCCTTCTCATCTTCTTTACTGTCCAGTGGTATTTATTTGCAGAACAGTAGACCACAGTGATGATGTTTCTGTTTACAAAGATGACTACTCTGAAGAGGGAAACCCAAAACTCCATGCATTAATTCCACAATCAGTGTAGGAATATAGCACCAAGCTCTCACTGGCACCCTATCCAGACCCAGAACACAGTAAATGAAGATCCTCTGAGCTTAATGGAGAACCCCAAAGCAATGCATGAGCCACTTGGAGAAGGGGCATAAGCTACATAAATATAAAATCATAGTAATGAATGTGGGCACAATCACTCTTTGGTCACTGGCAATGCCTTGACTTGTGAAGTGCCAGAAAGCCAACCAGACACCCAGGAATTACCCACCTCCTGCATGGCCACGTGTCTTCCAAACCTCGACAGCTATGTGTATGTGTAATCAACCAGTTCAAAGCCCCTGTAGCAGGAGGCAGTGCTTTGTTGTAAAACAAAACTGAGATGAAATAACCGTCATCCTTTCAAATCTCCTCTGAGAGTTTGGTATTTGAGGCACATTCTGTGATGTACTTCTCTCTGACCTCGAACACTTTGATTCTTTTTCTCAAGTTCACATAAAAGACTGAAAACTCTCAGATCGGTCTACTGTATCGAGAGCCTCGACTGGATCTGAATTCTTTGCTGGTGTGGAGAATTAGTTGTTATTCCAGATAGTTAAGAAGTGGAGATAAAGGGCCATTACATTAGAGAGGCCCAGCCCATTGGGAAGTCGGGCCATGTCTGCTCCTTATTTAAAAACAGATTAGTTCCCACTGCTCCCCAGAGGCTTCGAAGGGTACACTTAGATATTGTAAGTTCCATCCTGACATCCCTCCCTCCCATTCACAATACACTTGCAGAATTTGAGAATGTGGCTTGTCTGGAAGGCTTAAAACAAATGCTTCAATTTTCCATTCTCCAAATGAAAATCAATGGCAACAGAGAGGTAAAATCAATGTTCAGCACTCTGTAGGGAAACCTCCACCCTCTGCCCCACGATCTCCCACCCCACAGAACAATAAATCAGAACCAGCCATGCAGACTAGCAGAAAATCCCTGAGGGCAGAGCCCTCTGCATGCTTAAAGACTTTCTGTTTGTCCCCCTGTCCCCTAAGAGAACATTTTTCTTAAGAATGCCTATGAGAATGTTGCTAAAACCTAAGTCAGGAAGAATAGCACAAGGTTGTAATAAAAACCCTTCTTCCGCAAACAAACCCATTTACCAATGGGATCCTGGGCATCTAAGACCAGAGTGTGACTTAACTGTCTCCCAAAGGGTCTACTTTATGATCGAGGCTTACAGAATGCTTAGGCACTCAATGATCACTACTCTGAGGACAAATAACCTGCTTTCTGTCATCACAGATTGGTCTGTATTCTCTACAATTTCAAGTAAATGGAAATTGTATAGTATCTCCCCCTTTTTGTGGGAGGTTTGTCTTCTTTCACCCTGCCTAATTATTATCAGATTCATCCATTATGTTGGATGTATCAATAGCCTATTTCTTTTTATTGCTGAATAGTAATCCATTATGAGATAGACCACAATCTGTCTACTCATTCATCTCTTGTTGACATTTGGGTTGTTTCACAGTTTTTATCCATCACACATAAAGCTGATATGAACATGCAGGAGGGAGTCTTTAAATGCACATATGCTTTCATTATATTTTACAATCAAATCTTTTGTTGTACATGTTTTGCAAATATTTTCACTCAGAGTGACTTGTCTTTTTCATTTTTGTAAAAGTGCCTTTAGAAGACCAGTGATGAAGTCTAATTTGTTGCTTTTCTTTTTGCATTACAGTTCAGGCTTTTTGTGTCCTACTTAAGAAATCTTAGTCAAACTCAAGGTCATAACTCCTATGTTTTCTTCGAAGCCTTCTTCCAAGACTTCTAAAAAAGCCTAAGCTCTTATATTTAGGTCTACGACTCATTTCAAGTTATTTTTTGTATAGTATGTTATATAATGATTAAAATGTATAACTATATTGCTTGAGCCCAGGAGTTCAAGGTTACAGTGAGCTATGATCGCTCCACTGCCCTTCACCCAGATGATGGAGACTGTCTCAAAAAAAAATTATATCTATAAATAATTTGTAGTATCATTAAAATACTCACTTATAAAAATTAACTAAAGAGGATGTAATAGAAATTTTTATATGCAATATAGGAACCACTTGATCAGTTTTGACAAAAACACACCAATAGACAAAACCCATGATTTGAAAAAAGAATGGAAGAAAATATTCCACAATATTTTAATTACTGTTTTTAGAGAGTGTGACCATTGCCTATTTCTTGTTTCTTTTTTTCTCTACTTTTAATGTTTTCTATAACAAGCATCAACTATCATTACACCAAACTAAATTAAAAATTATTTTAAAGTAGCTTAAGAGAAGGCTTCCTGACTCCCAGCTGTCTTCACACTGCTCTTTTGTGCATAACTGGCCCTTTTAGAGAACTTGAAAGATGAACATACTACAAAAATCTGTCCCTTGCAACCCCACTCTACATTGTTTAACAGCAGGAAGGTGTGAAACAAAGAATTTCCAAAGAGAATTCTCCAAAGAGAATATGAGTTTACCTGAAACCAAATACAAATGCCACCCTAATCAAGGAGAAGAATTCCAGCAGGGGAGGGCTGGCTGCCTTGCTTGGCCCCCCACTGAAATTGCTTGCCTGCCGGCCCTGACACACTGCAGTCACAGATGTGTGTGTCAAACAGCTTCTCTGCTCACTCAATCTCCACAGACAAAGAAAGCTAATGAAATTCTCTCACTGACGTGCTCACTGTCCTTCTGTCTTGATCTGCTTGCAAAGATAGCCTAAGTCTGGAGCCTCATAATCAGCTAAAGCCTGGCCTGGCTAACTCTCTGTGTGCACTCATGACTGTCTGGCAGGTGAGATTTGCCTCTTAAGCTGCTGCAGAGGCCAACTTGGCTGGCAAGAGTGCCTACAGATGTTTCACAGAGAGAAAGATTACTTCCCTGATTGATGAATAAATAGAGTTGTCAACATGGTCTCCCTGGTCAGAGGGGACTCCTGGAGTATAATGTGGAAGGACAGATGTTTCTTCTGGGAAGGTGTCCAAGACCCTTCAAAGAGGTATGCACTCAACTGATATCGTGGACTGAGTAATTCAGCCTCTAAGAGGAAGACAAGGAAGGCTGGACATAACAACCACAACAAACACACTCAGGGACTTCCTGGACCAGGCCACCTCCCAGATCTTGATAAAGGAGTGGGCACACCATCTCAGCCAGTGCCTCCTCCTTGGGCTTTTTCCATTGAACCAGTGGGCCCAATTATCAGAAATCCCATCATCTTCTTAGTCTACACCTGCTGTGAATTGCAAAGGGGGCAGCAGAAATGACACTGTCATCCTCACGCTAAACCTCAAAGGCTTCCTCTTGCAGAAACTGCAGACGCAGGTGCAATCAAACTGGGTAGGGACCAAGGCACCTGTAGTGAATTACTTTTTAGTCAGTAACTTGCAACTTTGGAGATTTCTGGCTGACCTTCCGAAATGAAGTAGATAATAATAACTATTATCATAATTGTCTCAGTAATTGTACGAACAGCTGCTATTATTTGACAATAGACTATGTACTTTACACACCATCATTTTATTGAACACTCAAACACACACACACACACAAAATACTCTGCAAGGATTCATAAAATTTATCATCCATAAACCCTCCCTGTAAGAATTACTAGAGGATGTGTTCCAGCAAATGAAAAAGAGGAATGGTAGAAGCACTGTCATTAAACCTATTTAACAGATAAGGAAGCACAAATTCAGAAAGATAAAATAACTTGCCAAGGCCACTTGGAAAAGGAAATAGCCAACCTGGGAATTGAGCCCAGATGGGTCTCCTTCCCAAATCCATGCTCTCACCCACTGTAATTTTATGGTCACCAGGAGATGTGGGAGATGAGGATTACAATTTTCAACACAAGCAAAAGTGTTGGTGCTTCCAACACAGAAACACGGCATGCCCAGAAAAACACCATTTACACCTGGATATGCCTGAATATCAATGAGGCTGCTGAATAGGTCTCAAACCGATTTGAGTTTAAAACCAAAAATGTCTTGTCTAACACTTCCAGAAAGGGCTATATCCTGCATTGTAGGAGGAAACATGCAATGGACTCTCCATCTTACACACACAAACATACACACACACACACACACACACACCACACACACATGGCTAAACAACCTAGAGCACCATCCCAAAGGGTATTTGGGTATTTTTAATTCATATGGCCACATCTTCCCTCCATCCGAGAAGAAAGACATTGCATGTAGCAGGAGATTCTAGGCTAGTTTTCTCAGATAATATATACCTTAAAAGGAACTTCAAATAATAACCCCCCCCCCCCAAAAAAAAGTGGTATTTTTTTACATACCACTCCCCAATGAACTTGACTTTCCTTGAGGGTAGGAATAGGGTCTCTTGTTTACCTCTGTAGCCTTAGTGCCTAAGGCCTCAATACCTTTTCGTTGAATGTCAATGAATGGATGAGCAGACAATGACAGGTAGAATGAAGACATCAACATATTGTAGTAGTGAAAACCATAAGCTTTGGAGGCAGACAATCCTGGGTTTGAATCATGCTGCTGCTTGCAAACAAATTACTAATGCCTCACTAGCTTCAGTCCTCTCATTTGTAAAGCAGAGACAAAATAAATACCAAATTTACAAAATGGCTGAAAGAACTCAAGGAAACAGGTGCTGAGCACAATGCTTGCACAGGCTGAAGTATTCCAGGGATGCAATCTAGCTTTACTACCAGGAAAACAGTTCAGTCTGGGGACAGAGAAAAGCACATTATGATACCTTGCATCTTGCTCTTGTAGAGACAAAGTCTGATTATTTTAAAAACAACCTTGACAGTGACCTCAGAGCAAGATGACCCTGGATGCTAGGTCTATTGTTGCAGGTGCCAGGCTTAGAGAGGCCAGAGGGGTATGGGGTGGGGGCTGCTCTAGATGCTCACCTCATGCCAGGAGCACCATTTCTCTGCCAGACCATGATTTCAGAGGGCAGGAGCTCCCTAGGCACATTCAGAGGAAACCATTTACAGGATTGAGGGAAATTAAAACATACCCCCAGAGGAACAGCCAAGGGGACCAGCATTGCTTGGACTTCAGGAACAGAGGGAAGGGATAGGACCCATTCTGCATGGTCCCAGCTCAAGCTGGAGATATAAAGCAAAAGTTCTCGGTGGGGAGCCGATTTAAGTGGGAATCTTTATTTATCTAAATTCAGAAAGGTTGCTTTATTTGTCTGAGGTCATGGTACAGTGCCGGTGAGCAGCAAAGCATACTACCCACTTGGGAACTGGACATGGGCAACTCCAAAGCCCCACTGCGACACCTCTCAATTGTACAGGCAGCACAGGGAGAAGTGCAGAATATGCACTGAAATTGCCTTCCTCTCATCCCTGCCCCATCTGACTCCCTTCTTAAAGAAAGCCCGTTTGCATGTGTATGTTTGTTTGCTTTCATGCTTCAGGTATTTTTGCAGGACCAAAGGCAGAAGCAGTCTGAATTGAAAGCCTGTATCCATCATTTGTGAAAGCCTAAATCCACTGGATAGATGATGCTGGGAGTGGAATTAGGGGTAAAAGCAATGGCTTTAAGGACCCTGAAGAAGATGGGGGATACTTCCCCCTGGGCTGGGGAAAAGAGGATATCAGGGGCTGTACCCTGAGGAAATAGCATGTTCCCAGAAGGAATGGTGGTGTGGTGGTCCTGAGAAGGCAGGACCCAAAAACCAAGGATGGCAAAGATGCTACATCCAATGGGGACATGGAAGCAGAGAGCCCTTGGGCCTCAATGGACCTCGAAGAATCATCACAGTGAGGTTGTTAGTGCAACCAGGAGACTAAACACTTGGCCCCTGCTTTCTTAGTTGTAAGTTTCCTGGGTCGTGGCATCACTCTGGGAGGAGAAAATTCTCAATCATGACCAAGAAGGAATTTTCTGCTCATCTGTTCAGATCAGGACTCAGAGTCAAAATGAAGTAGATTTAAAGGAAATAAAGATGGACATTCTTTGTAAACCTGTGTTTGAGAACTGAGATTCCTATCATAGTCAGAGTACAGGCACCAAACACCATACAAATGGCGACCCTAACACTATGCTCTCCCCTCCCCATATCCCCACGTCAAAGACTGGAAACCCTCAGATCTGCCAGCTGCAGAATGCCTCCCAGCCCCCAGCCCCCGGCCTTCCTGCCTTACCTGGGGAGCAGGTGCTTGCGGCTGACACACAGGGCGGTCTGGTAGTCCTGGGTCACACACACTTTGTGAGGGCTGCATTTTACCTTCAGGCAGGGGTCCTTGGATGGGTCCAGGGCTGAGGCAAAAACAAGAAGGAGGGCAGGGTTTAGGACCTCCAGGGAAATTTAATTTTTTTTTTTTTTTTTTTTTTTTTTGTTGAGACGGACTCTCGCTGTGTTGCCCAGACTGGTGTGCGGTGGCGCGATCTCAGCTCACTGCAACCTCCCCATCCTGGGTTCAAGTGATTTTCCTGCCTCAGCCTCCCAAAGTAGCTGGGACTAAAGGTGCACGCCACCATACCCGGCTAATTTTTGTATTTTTAATAGAGATGGGGTTTCACCATGTTGGCCAGGCTGGTCTCAAACTCCCGACTTCAGATGATCCACCTGCCTCGACCTCCCAAAGTGCTGGGATTACAGGCCTGAGCCACTGCACCGGGCCTTAATTTCTATTTCTACTTAAATAAACAGATAGGAAGTAAACCAACCATGTGTTTGCCCTCGGTGCTGTTCTCTGAGGCTGGAGGGGAACAGAATGAAAGCCCAAGCCAGGGGAAATTCTGTGTCTATCACACATTCTTCCTCAACATCAGGGGAGCAATTCCTTTGTGCTTTGGGAGTTTCAGCATCTTCAGCTCAGGCAGGAATTACTTTTAAAAAATCCTTTAGAATCTCACATGATCCAAGAAACAAGAGCTACTTTTCCCTCTTTGGTTATGAATCTGGTGTTGCTTTTTATGACTTCATTCATGCCTAAGTTTACTTATTTCCTATGAAAAGTCCTTGAGGACAGAGTTTTTTGCTTCCATTCAATAAACACTATGTGCATAAACAACCTATTTTAAGTTTTTGAAGAACTTCAGGATATGTAAGACAGTTTTGTGCCGCACAAAGTTACAACGTAACAGGGAGGGGGAAAAGCTTACACATAAATATTTATTGTGCAAGGCAGAATTAGATAAGGACCATGACGGGCATATAAAATGATAACAGAGCCCAAGAGAAAAATGGAGATCAATTTCTAGGGCAAGGATTGGTGAAGCATTAATATGTGAATTGGATCTTGAAGGATGGGCAGGATTTTGAAAAGCAAAGATAGAAAATGCAATCCAGTCAGAGTGAACCGGCACAGAGAGTGTAGGGAGGCATGTTCAGGCAATCATAAGATACTCAATCTGACTATTAAGTGTGGTTTGTAGGGAGGCAGTAATGAGACAAGAGGGGGTGAGGGGAGTTGATTCCAACAAAGTAACTCCAGAAAGGGTCTCCAAAGACAGCAGTTCATATATTGCAACATTTCCTGGAATAGGCTGAGCAGCAGGTCCTCAGCTAATCAGCGCTCTGCGTGCTGAGGTGCACATGCTCATCATTGGCACAGAAGAGGCCTCGGGGAATTCTCTGCAAAACAAAAGCAATTGTGCCATCTTCAAGCTCTGGGGCCTAAAGCCTATTAAGCAGTAAATCTTTCATAACTGCTCTCCACAGTCAGGGGAGGTGATGTCTCCCCATGTCCTCCCCATGCAAACATTTGGTTAAACAAATTGGCATCCTGAGCAGGTATAGCAAAACTTCTACAAGAAATGACATGGTCAAAAAACCAAACCAAAACAAACACAAAGAAATGTCACAGTGCCCTCAACCACTGGACTCTTAGCCATCCTGACTCCTCAGCATGTAGAGGACATCACTGTTCCTCTCCTCCTGCCCAGGCCCAGAATCTGCACACTACTTTCTTCAAATGCCTGCTGCGAATTTCTCAAGGGTCCTGAACACACAACATCCAAAAGCATTTCTGCTACTTGAACAGCTTAACTGGCTCCCTCCACTGCCGCAGCTTCAGCAGCTGTAAACAGAAGCCAGGCTGCATTCTCAGGCCCATCTGGAAAGTAATAAGACCCAGGGCCCGGTCCTAGGGGAGTCACCTGGTAGAGTCTACTCCCCAAGGGATGTGACTCTGATACTTGGAGCTTAGCAGAAAGAAACAGGCTGTGAGATAAAAGAGAGGCTGATTTGAGCCCCAGGGACAGAGTGTTCATTCACTCAGAGCTCTTAAGCTGAAGGCAACCTCTGCAAGGCAGGTGGCAGGGCCCTGTGTCTGCCTTCAGAGTCTTCCAAGGCTGGGGCTTCCAGAAACTTGCAGCAAGAGCTTCCTGGTCCTAAGTGGAACTCTTTTGGTTCCTGGGGATGTCTGCATAAGAAGCCAGGAGACTGGTGCAGTCTCAGCCCAGTGCACTGCCGCCCACGCCAACCCTGGGGCTGCAGCTCAGCCAACTTTGACTCACTCTCCAAGAATCATTCAAAATTGAGTCAACAATTAAGAATGATTACCAGATGACCACTAATGATGAAAGTTTCTCAAGGGTTCTGAACACACAACATCCAATGGCGTTTCTGCTGCTTGAACAGCTTAGCAGGACATGTCAGTCCTTCATTGCCCCTTCTCACACTTCCACACACCACAGGATGAAGACATTTATAGATCTCAAGAAACCTGGGGACTAGACCACAGGCAGCCCCAGTCATAGTTATCAGCTGAGGCATTTTCCCCAACAGATGCCAAGTGCTGCAGCAGAGAACTTGAGATTTTCACTTGAGTGGATGTCAGAGACAGAGAAAAACAGGTTGGCCTAGGGTGATGGGTGTCAAAATCTGCAGTACTACATGACAAGCTTTGTGGCAGAATTTGAGCTTATTTTTGCCTCTGTATCCAACTTTGTTAACATGCCACACTGTCCTCCGGGTGGTCTCAACGGACAGTGCAATCACAAGGATCATGAATCAGCTGAGCAGATCCGGGAACAGCACAGACTCCAAGGCAGAGTAGCTTCTGGAACAGCACGGACTCCAAGGCAGAGTAGCTTCTGGGACTGAACCCTGCCTCTGCTGCTTGCTAACCTTGCTATACCTCACTTTCCTCTCCTGTAAAAATGGGGATAATAACAGCACCTGCTATTGCTTGGTGGTTGTCATGAACATTTAATGAGTTAATATCTGTAAGTACTTAGACCTGGAACATGCTAAGCACCTCATATGTGTTTATTAAGTTTTTTGTGTTTGTCTTTTTTCCCAGAGTAAATAATCAGTTTTCATAATAACAAAGAACCATAGTTAACACTCACTGAGTGCTTTTGACATACAGGCAGTGAACTCTGATTGGATTACCACATTTAATTTTCATAGCCACCAAAGGAGGTAGCTGCTATTAATGTGCAAGTCTTAAAAATAAATTGCTAATGAGAGATGCAGGACAAACCTGGTCTGTGACTCCAGAACCCAAACTCTTCACCAGTGTATGCTTGAAGCATGAGAATCTCCTACTATCTTCTTTAAAAAGCTGATTGCGGGGCTCACCTCATGCCAAGGGCCCAAGTGCACCATATTCTTAAGAGGCTTTGGGGGCAGAATGAGACTTACTGGGTAAAAGGAGGGGGCAGCCAGATTACCCAGTGCTGCAGAGGATGGTCCACGATTCCCTCTCAGTACACCCCACAGGATGAGGTCACCAGCCCTGATCTTTCCCCAGAGGCTGGGGTGCCCAGCTCTGGACACCTGAGCCCTCAGCCTACCCCCTCTGAATGCAGCCATCCCCCAACTGAGTCAAAGGAACCATGGTCTGGTCAATTTTGTTCCTGTAGTTTTGCCATCTGTCACCCTACCTTAGGCTAACTCCTGTAGACCACCCTCCACTTCTGGAAGCTAACATTTCTTTAAAAACAAAAAACCTCCAACCCAAAATACTAATAAATAAAAACTGTTCGTTATTAAACTCCCTACATACTTAACAATTTGCATACAGAAATCAAGTCTGCTAAAAATCAATTACTGGGGTCTGAATACTTCAAACATGTATGCAAATTATTTAGAGTAAATGAACTTCACAGAGCAACAAAACAGTAACAAATCAAGCTGTCAGCATTTGTTTAATCACCTCGCCGCATTTTGTTTTTGAGAAACAGCAACACTGGGATTGAAAGGGGATGAGGAGTGTGTCATTTCCATTTAAACTCAGGCCTCCCAAATACGTTTTACCTAGCAGCCTCAAGGCTCAGGGTGATGGATGCTCCTGAAAGGCACCCAGCACCAGTACTGGAAAGGACTGTGGCTGCACTTTGAAAAGGGAAGGATAAGAGATCCGAATAATAAGTGGCATTTGAGAGGCCTTTTAATAAGTAGGGGAAACTGTAGGTGAGAAGGTAGGAGAGGCAGCTGAGCGTGACAGCCCTGAGCAGAGTTCAAAGTTTCCTTGTCATGGTGCTATTGATTTCCTGGGGACTTGCTCCAAGTTTCAATCTCTCTCCGCATACAAGGAGTGAGAGGATGCAGACATCCCCAGAGGATGACAAAGCCCTGTGTCTTCTCTACCTCTTCTATCACCAAACCTGCAGGACTCCTGTGGACCCAAACAGGACAGCATCCCTAGCACAGAGCAGGCGCCCACCAAAGGTTAATTTTATCTTTCCCACCTATATGCAGAACTATTCAAGAGTCAACTGGCACCCAGCACAAATCCAATTATTTTTTTCAAAATGACTTTTTACAGAAACCTTTCTCAAGGAACAAACCAAGAATGAATTAATTTAAAGAGATTTGTTAAGCTGTAAAGCATTGAATTCAAAAGCCAGTTAATTACTGGTTCCATGTAACTTTTTTTGATTAATTTTATTTTTAAGCTCACTACTTGGTCTCAATTAAGGTGGTGATATTTTAATTATCTTAATTGTTTCTGAACTTGTTTTTCAGTTCAACGAGTTATTTTTTAATTAGCTACATTGATTTTAAAATCCTGAATCAAGCCTTTGCACTCTTCTTGAGCACATCCTATAGGCTAATTGGCAAAGGGTCATGACACCTAGCACAGCAGAGCTTGATACCACCTCAGAGATGCTCAGATGAGAAGAAGGTTCCATTTTGTGGGGTGGCCCAAAGGGTTCCTCACCTGGGGGAAATCACACACATTTGTGTTTATTCAATTAATATTTACAGAGTATCATTCAGCGTGAAGAATCTTTCTGCAGGCTAAAGGTGAATACAAAGAGGTGAGCAAAAAGATGTTCTTCCAGCTCTCCAGGGGTTCACCGTTGAACATAGGAGACAGGTGAGACAGGTAAGGTACCTAATTCAGCCTTTCAGGGGGTCAGGTGAGACTTCCTGGACAGACTGACATCTATGGAAAAGTAGGTTTAAACCAGATAATAGGATGAGGAAGAACACTCCAGATAACAGGAAGTTGTCTTTCCAGGGGTAAGAAAGTTTGTGGCAGGCTTAAGGAATTCAAGTGTTTCATGAGGCTGGCAGCAGTTGGAGCAAGCCGGTGAGTAAAAAGGCTGGAGAAGAGGCTGAGCCTGGTCCTGAAGGGCCTTGGAGCCACAGGGACCATGCTGGGGAGCCAGGGCCTTTGAGTTCCACAGTGCCTTCAACCCAGCATGCAAGAACCTGTGACCAGACTAAAGTCGGGGGAGAGGGGCAGGAAGAGGGAACCCTAAATATGCATTTTATGTAGAAAGTGGCACTTAGTAAGAACAGACACACTACATATATTCTCGTCCGCCAAATGACAGAGGACATCAGGGCTGAAAGGCCCAGTGGTCAACTCTTAGAACCCCTTTTCTCCTGCCAGGAACCTCCTTCCTCCCTCTCCCCAGGAACACCAAGCCACACAGGATTCCGGGAGGCACAAGATACCTGTTGAGACCAGTAAGCAAAAGATTAATCTAAAACAGCAGCTTGAACTCCTGGCCCACTCTGGTGAGTTCCAGAATCTTCCTCAGGCCAGAGGCCACTCGATTTGCAAAAAGTCCACCAGTTAAAGATGCCTTGTTGTCTCGCTGTTGCTTTTAAGACTGCTCTCTGCCTGAGTCATGCGATCCCAAGGTTCACGTGAAGAGCAGACACTCCCAGTGATTCATTAGGAGTGACTTAATGGACGACTGACAAAGAAATTACACCAAACTGTGAAAACCTCGTCAAGCTATGAGCAGGAACATTTATTGCAGCTTGTCTGTCCCCATGGTAACCCGTGCATGCATCTTGCCTCCCTTGTCTCCAGAGAGGCTTGTTCACCAGCTGACGACAGAGCCTCTCAGAATATAAAATAGAAGATTCTGCCCATAGGATTTTTGCTGTAACCAGAGAAGAATGGCAGCTTGGAAAGCCTCCTCACAATTCTTTCCTTTCATATTCAAGGGGCTGGCCAAGTTCTCCGAGGCCAAACAAAGGGCCTATTAGACATGTGCCTGGATAGGGCAGAGAGCAGAGTGGCATAAAGGTTGGACTCATGCATTTAAGGATTGGGGAATTGGTGGGGAGGGACACAGGACAGACAGAGACAAAGAGGCAGAGGAGAGAAAGATGAGTCTGACCAAAGATAGCCCTCCTGGGAAGAGACCTTTTCTTTCCCCTTTAAACTGAGGTCCTGGGGACTTCTTTCTGTGTCAAAGATAAAAGCATCTTCTCTGTTACATTATTTGTGTATGTGTGTGTGTGAGGTGGGGGAGAGGGTTATAAATTGATAACAGCCTTTTTTGGGGGTCAATTTTTTGGTTGTGCCCTTAAATGATAACAATTGTTAAATGTAGGTAGATGGGTGTATAGCAGTTTATAGTATCCTCTCAACATTTTGGTATACATAAAAATTATAACAAGAGAAAAGGGAAAAAAGAAACATCCTATGACCCAGCAAGTGAACATATTAGGCAAAAATGTTCATCTTAATAATCTGTAATAAGGGAAAATTATAACACTTTGAATGTCCATCTGTGTTAGTCTGCTCGGGCAGCCATAATGAAAGTACCACAGACTGGTGGCTTAAACAACAGAAATTTATTTTCTCACAGTGCTGGGGACTAGAAGTCTGAGATCAGGGTGCCAGTAAGGTGAGGTTCTAGGAGGGCCCTCTTCCTGGCTTGCAGCCAGCCAGCTTTTTGCTACGTCCTTACATGGTCTTTCCTCGATGCAAGCACTTGGAGAGACAGAGAGCCAGCCCTCTCTCGTGTCTCTTCTTATAGGACACTTATCCTATCAGCTCAGGGCTCCACTCTTTGGACCTCTTTTAACCTTAATTACTTTCTTAGAGGCCCCCTCTCCAAATACAGACATCCTAGGAATTGGAGCTTCAACGTGGGAATTTGAGGGGGATAAAAACATTCAATCCAGAACACCAACTGTAGGGAAATGGTTTAGTTAATAACATAATACATTTTTTAAACATCATGCAACTATTTTACAGAAACTAGTAGATCTATATTTGGTAACATAGGTAGATATTTATGATAAATTAAGTGAAAAGGCAAGTTGAAGATGAGAAAACCAATTTGAAACGGTAAAGTAACTTCCCAGCACCATAAAGCCTTAATGGCAAAGCCAGTACTCAGAACCAGACCTGCCTTCTTCCAAAAGAAGCGCCTTTCCCTTCCCTACCCTTCCTCTCCGGACAGCCACAGCCTCTGCCCCACTCACAGACCAGGGCCCTCAGTTTCTCCTGATTGCCCTCTATCTCATATCCTGTCTGCAGCAAGGAGACAATGACAAGCCATGACCATGGCCAGGGTCCAGAGCAGGTGTCCAGCCCTGGGTGATCTTGGCATGTGTCTCTGAGATGAAGGAGTTAAGGACTACCCACTACTGAGAGTGTCTGGGAATTGCTTGGCCCCTCTGCTCACATGCAAAGCAAGACATTATGAGCAACCACTGATAAGCCCAACATGGTAATTTACATGTCCTGATCATTAGAAAAGAAGGCGTTAAGAGGGGTCTGCCAGAGCAGCTGTGGAAATGTGTGTCATAAAATCAACAACCACAAAATTTTATTAGCCTGGGCAGCCAAGCCTCCCTTCTCAAAGCTATCATCTCACATTTTCCCTGCTCCCCAGCTGCTCTGACAAGGACCCTCACTCAGCATTTCCATCAAGAAATTGATTTCCCTTTGAAAGTGTGATGGGAGTGGAAAGAGGAAGTAGAAGGAAAGGGGGAATTAAATAGAAAGGAAGGGGAGGGAGAACATTACATACTCTGTCACCCAATTAGGGGGCTGACATGGAGACAATGACAACGACCAACTATAGAATAATGTACTATTATCCTAATTCAACAATAAAGAAACTGATACAGAGATCAGATCATTCTTAATTTACCAACTGGTAACTGACAGAGAAATGTTAAGCCTGTTTGTGGTCACACAGCCAGTGAGCCTGGATTTTAATCTTGGCGAGTCTCACACCAAGGCTGATACTTGAAGCCACTAAGCCACTAATGAAAATAACTTCTGATGGGGATAAAGGTGATGATTAAAGTGTCAAGCAGCAATGTATCACACCCCTCTGTCCACCTTCCCCAAGATTCATGTTACCCAGAAGACCTCATAAAAAAAGACTTCCTGTGAAAAAAAAAGATTGAGCTATCAGAAATCAAAGCCAAATTGCTGGCTATCTTAATAAGCTTGTATTACTTTTATAATGAATACAAAAGTGCGAGCTGCTTTTAAAGGCAATGCTGCTGTCCTGTGAACTTAACTCCCTCTGACTTAAGAAACAATAGTGACCAGGTGAACTGACTGTGGTTCCTTCCGTGAGGGGTTTCTGTGAAGTGTGCGTATGTTCCACACTGCTAATGGGGAGATGCATGAAGCCCAGCGCAGCATGGGACAGGGCAGTGTAGGCAACAGGAGCTGAGAATGGCCTGGCCTCTAAGTAGAGAAAAAGATATCATCCACAGAGAAGTCTTCACCTTCTCATCCATCACAATGGCCAGAATTTATTAAAATGCTATAATAGTAAAGGTATTTGGGTTCTATTTCATTATAATTGACATAAATTATTCATAAGACATTTATGAACAAAGGAGAGAGATTTACTCAAAATACAAAAGAACCAATTCTATAACCTAAGAGAATAAGAGGGCATAAAAAGCATAGTAAAAATCAAATATTTCCTGGAAAAAAGTGTACTTAAAAGATCACTGTGGCTCACACAGTCTATCTTTTGTACCTGTGCTTCACTTTAATGCAATTAAAATTTCTATAAAAACATGGAGCTTTTCCCAGGCCAAAGACATCCAGAGAATTAACTCTTTTGGTGCTGATTATTCTGACATTATTCAGCAGCCATGGTTGTTGATCATGTAAGGATTGGGAAACTCAGCAACTCCAAGAATTTCTGCCAAATTTTTAGTGTACCTAGAAGATAAGAACCCAAAGCATTTGGCTCGGAGAGATGTAAGTTTGAGAGGAGAGAGGCAGCTTTGCCACTTCTTGCCTATGAGGTATCTTGATGGGTTACTCAACTCTTTAGGATTCAGTTGCAGGCAAACAGATCCACTTTACTGAGATGTTGTGAGGATCTGATGGGATAACACATGAAGGTTTTCTAGCACAGGGCCTGGCGCACAGTTCATGCTCATTTATTATCCTCATGGCTTTTACCAGCTCTTTTTAGCTTGCTCCTAAAATACAGAAAATGGATGTCCACCAAGGGCAAGGGACCCTGGACACTTCAGAAACACAAGATCCTGGAGCCATAATTCTGTTCAGTCTTTCCAATCTCAAAATGGTAAACTCTATAAGAAGAAACATTAAAGCTTTTCAACATCAAGCATGGGGTCCACTTTGTCCCGAAAACTTCTGCTGACTAACCACATCCACACCACTGATGAAGCCACCCTACAACAAACAAGTAGCTCATGCCTCTCTAGTAGAGCTGTACTCTGCCTTGTCTCTACCCACAGATAGTAAGGGCTGGGAATAAAGGATGAAAATCCTCTTCCTCTCCTAAGTTTTGGGCACTAGGTTCACACAACAGAGCCTTGTACACAAACCTACGCTCATGCTCTTTTTGTTTTAGGAGAAGCTCTGTGGGCTTTGAAATGTCACTATTGAAGAGTCACAGAGCTTAATTGTTAAGGTATCTTAAGGGCCCACATTCAAGCACTGTTGGTAAGAGGCTAGAAAAAAAGAAGAGCTTGGTTAGGGAAACAGAATCTGGCAAATATTGTTGATCCAAGCAGACAAGGAGTCCAGGGAATTTGGTGGCAAGGGGTATGTTGGGGACAAATGGGCAGGCAGGGCTCAGCAAGGCAGGTGTGGTGTATAAGGTTGGGGCTTTCTGATCCTCAGCCCATGAATGTCTTCTGCCCTCTCCTACAGAGCCTGGCAGTGACAGGTGTTAATTGAACAGGAAAGTCTGTAGGGAAAGCCTACCCCAGATTAGAAACAGGGATCTCAAATCACCTCTCAGAGCCTCAGATGAAGAGGTCACTTCTGCAGTATGGCAGCCTATGGAACACAGCTTCAGTGGAGCACTCTGGTGAGGTCATCTCTCAACAAGTCTAAAAATCAACTAAAGGAAGGGAAACAGGTAGGCCTACACCATATGCATCTAGCACAGCCTGGCCACTTCTTTCTCTTGTGTTCCCATAATCCAATCTAATCCTTGCTTCTCAGACTATATGGTAGGCCAAGGAGAATGCAAATCTATATTGAATCTCCCTGCAGCATCTATTTTACCAGATGGTAGTAGGTAATCTAAAATTTATATTTTGTATTTTGTAATTTTTTTTTTGTTGCTGTAGAGACAGGATCTGTCTATGTTGCCCAGGCTGGTCTCAAACTCCTGGCCTCAAGCAGTCCACCTATCTCAGTCTCCTGAAGTGCTGGAATTACAGGCTTGAGCCACCAAGCCTGGCTAGAACTTATTTATATTAAGGTAATCAATGATCTATTATGGAATAGAATGCAAAATGTATATAAACTTGTATAGAAGAGACTTCAAGAACGTACGTCTCACAGTGGATTCTGCCCCCGAACCTCAAAATAGGTATTTGCTCTTACTTGTCATTAGGAGCTCTTTGGTAGAAAAGTTTGAGCAGTGCTGAAAGTATGGAACAAGTTTAAAGGGTCCTAGAATGAAGTGGTAAGCTCTCCAGGGTACTGTTACATAAGATGGAAAATCAATACCAGTAAATGTACACACAAAGAACTCTCATAAGCAAATTCCTTATTCTTGCAGGACCAGAAAGCAGTTCCCATTAAATCTGACTAATCAAAAATATATCCCATGCCCCCTGAAACAGATTTCCATACCATCTCTTCCCTTGAATCTCAATCCCACAGGTGAAAGGTCCTAGAGTTTTTCAGAGAACTGACTCTGCAAAGTTCAAAGCTTGTTTGAGAGCCTTGTAAGTGCCAAGCACTGGGTGAGGTATTTAAATGAGCTACAAAGCATTTGCAGTTCCCCAGATATATTAAAATTAAAGCTGTTACTACTTTCATCCCTCTCACTGTTAATTTTTCAGAAACATTTGGCTGTGGGTTTATAAATGGATATTTGAAGACTATTCATTTCCAAGCCCTTTCTTTCTCCAATTAGAGCGGGTTCATTTCTGCTTCTTTAGGATGGTTCCCAAGGTTATTAAATTTCATTCCTCAACTGATAACATTGAAGCCATCATGACAAAGTTAATGTTGATTGGAGCTGAAGTTTCTTGGGGCATCTACTATTAGAAACCACCTCAAGCTGAGAGAAAAATGGTTGCATCCCCCACTATAGGAACTGGTAAGTGCCGTATAACTTAAGTCTTATGTATTCTTGCTGTTTTTACGTTTTGTGTGTGTGTTCTGTGCTATTCAGTCATGACTAAAATACTTCATCAATGCATCTAAATAAGCTAAATAATTCGCAGTTCCTGCCTTGCTCACAACCAGCTCTTTCCCACCTATCTCTCCACCAATGTGCCACTCAATGGCTAATTACTTCCCTTACATTAGCTAAGATAAGGGCTATCATGCTAATATAAAACATAAATCAGGGCTTAACTGCACATGGAAGACAGTTGCAACAATAAATAATGGAAAAGGACCTATGGGGTTTCCTAAGACAAGCATAAAACAAACACAAGGGGCAAAATCTTTCTTTTTTTGTTCTATAGCAATAAATACTGATCACCTAACAGGTAAGACACAGCAGAAAGAAAGTCATCTTTGGTTACTATAATGGCAGCAAAATTCTTTCCACCGGAGGGGTTGTTGACATTCTAGTTTTTGTTAAATTTAAGGATTCTAATTTTTTTCTTTTAAAGGAGCCTCATGACTCTGTCTTCTACAGTCTGGCTTGAAACTTCCCTTCCAGAATGTGGTTCCCATTTCCTGCCAATATTCTCCTTATCATCCAATATTTACCCTGCCTTAATTTATACGGACAACCCACAAACCCTCAAACATCTGAGGTGCTTTCATGTCTCTTGAGCCTTGACTGCACTGCTCAATACAAAATACCATTCCATTCTTACACCACCCTGTGAGGCCAAAAGAAAGAATTAGAATTTGCCGGAGATAATCCAACTAGTAAGTAGCCAATCTGGGATGTAACTGTAAGTCTGCTAAATCCAGTTGAAGCTCCAAGAGACTAAAGACAGTGTCTATCCTCTTCACTGCCACATGCCACCTCTCACCCAACACAGTGTCTGGAATATCTTGGGGGTTCAATAACTATTGCTGAGCCCAGGTCCATGGGCTTAACCACTACTCTAGCCTGCTCTGTGAGGCCAGGGGCCAAGTTTTGCTCACTATTTCTGAATCCCAAGTCCCCTGACATGTGTCTGCTGTAAAGGACATGTTCAGTTAATGCTGAAAAACTCTGTGCAAGGGGCATCTCTGGATGGATCTAATAACTTAAGATTTCCAGGTCACAAAAATTCAGAGCTGTGAGAATCCCTGGAGTATTTCCAGACCAACACACTCATTTTTCTTTTATTGTTTTGTTTCACAGAATAAAAACACTCATTTTTAATGTAGGGGAGACTTCAATTTGTCAATTCAACAAACATTTATGAAACTCATTTTATATGTCAAGTACTATTATAACCATTGAGAATTTAGAGATGCTTAAGACAGAGAAAGTCCTAGCTCTTAAGGAACTCATGACCTAGTAGAGATGTGATAAGAAAGAAAAGAGGGGAAGAGAAAGAGGCCAGGCACGGTGGCTCATACCTGTAATCCCAGCACCTTGTGAGACTAAAGAGGGAAGATTGCTTGAGCCCAGGAGTTCAAGACCAGCCTGGGCAACATAGCAAAACCCTGTCTCTACAAAATTTTTTGAAAAAAATTAGCCAGGCATGGTGGCACGCACCTGTAGTCTCAGCTACTCAGGAGGCTGAGGTGGGAGGATCCCTTGAGCCCAGGAGGTCAAGGCTGCAGTGACTCATGATCACACCACTGCACTCCAGCCTGGGTGACAGAGCAAGATTCTGTCTCAAAAAAACAAAAAAACAAAAAAAGAAGAAGAAGAAGAAAAGAAAGAAGGCAGGGAGAGGAAAGAAGAAATAGATAAGGAAGAGAGGTAAGGGGAAAACATGAGATAATGATAAGACCTAAGCAGCACATTTTAAGAGTGATATAATAAGGCCGGGCATGGTGGCTCATGCCTGTAATCCCAGCACTTTGGGAGGCCGAGGTGGGCAGATCATCTGAGGTTGGGAGTTCAAGACCACCCTGACCAATATGGAGAAACCCCATCTCTACTAAAAATACAAAATTAGCCAGGCATGTTGGCACATGCCTTTAATCCCAGCTACTCAGGAGACTGAGGCAGGAGAATCACTTGAACCCAGGAGGCGGAGGTTGCAGTGAGCCAAGATGGCGCCGTTGCACTCCAGCCTGGGCAACAAGAGCAAAACTCCATCTCAAAAAAAAAGAGTGATATAATAGAGAAGCTCCTAGGTGGTCACTCTAGATTAAGTGGTCAGGGAAGACCTCTCTAAGGAGGTGACATTTAAGCCACAATCTGACAAGACAGAGCCAGTGTTTTGAAGATCTGCTGAGGAACAGTGCAATCCCAGGAGAGGGATTGCAAGGGCCCCAGGATGGGAAATGGCCTTGGAGTGATGGATAAAGAAAATATAGCAATAGATCTCATGACTTTTCCAAGAACACACTATTGGACCAGGACCAGGAAGTATCTTTAGAATGATGGGTTCTCACATCAACATGTGCATCCTTGGTGCAATTAGTCTCCAGATATCTGTTGAACATGTTGAAGTCTAACTGAGGTTCATCAGCACCAATGGGCTGGCCTTGCTCCAGATCTGTACTCAGCTTTATGATCATCATAATGCCCTCACAGACCCATGGGGCTGCTTCAACACAGGGTTCTTAAGTGACCATTGCTCAGAGTGCCAAAGCTAAAGGCGAACAATCTGCACAGAAACCAGATCACCAACTTCCTGGTCACAGTCTTTGCTCCTATAAGCAAATCACCAACACGTGTGATAGAAATTATGTAGGAAGGGCCGAAGGAGAATGAACTGTGGGCTTCATTCAAAGGAGAATGAACTGTGGAACTGACACAGCCAGTTCCAAATCTGAGCTCAGCTCCTTGCACACTGTGTGACCTTGGGCAAGTTACATAGCTTCTCTGAGCTTTAAAGAGGAGTGGTAACATCTCCCTGATATGGTGGTCAGGAGGACTGGGTGAGACAATGTGTCAAATGCTTAACATTGATCTTTGCAAGTCCTCGGTAAGTGTTAGTTTCAACTCTTTCCCACATGATCCGTTTTAAGCATTCCTTTCAGTTGTAGCAGCCCAAACTGGGCCCCTTTTCCTCTCCAGATTTCTCCACCAGGTCATCTTTAAGCCAAATTACAGTCCTGAAATTGTGTTGCCTCTAATGTCTATTTCCCAGGAGACCTCCTGTGAGCTGCCCTTGGTGCCAGAATGGCCCTGCTATCCATAGCAGTCCCCCGTCCCCTGCTGGTGAGTCCCCTTCTCAATGGGCCTGTACTCTACTCTTGCAACTCCAGAAATCAGAAGGCTGATCACCTCACTTGGCCTCTATTGTTGCCCAGTTAGCCAGTGTGGGGAAAGGTGAAAGGATGGTTTAACACCCTCCACTCAGTGAGGTCACGCTGGAAACTGATACATGGCACTCCATCAACAGCAGAAAGGAGATGAAATACGGGGATACCCTTTCTCCAAATACTCCTTCCCCATGCAAATGTGTAACAGAGATTTTTGGCACCAGATCCCACTGGCTGGGACTAAAACAGCCATCAGGCTTTTTGTGATCCTGAAAAAGCTAATGAGAAGATGTGTCTCTGTGTAATTCAAACAGTATCCATTTCATGGACAATCGTTTTTTAAATGGGCAACAAATCTCCCTGGCATGTTCCTTTCTCTGACAAACAAAGGCTCTGTCTGGTCTCTTTGTGGGCTGTGTCCAATCAACAAGGGCAAGAGGCCCTTGATGCCTGTTCAAAGCCCTGTTAGAGGGCAGACCCACTGGGCGGCCTTGCTCCCTCCTGAAAAGTTTCTCTCATTGGAAGCCAAGTCAACATCTAGAATTTTCAACTTGGACTGATGAAGCAGGCCACTGATTTCAACTGACTCTAAACGGCAAGTTGAAAACTTTTCAGACTACGTTTACTCCTGTTTCAGGCAGTAGCATTAAGGGATGGAGTAAGACAAAACCACATAGCATCACCAGATAGGGTAGCACCACAATGTAAGGGGCCCCTGGGGTGCATTCCTGGCTCCTCAGGTCCTGGGGGAGCAGGGTAAGTGCCTCTGAACCCTGAGAGTGGGGAGGGCCCATAGCAATATAATACTTTTGCACCAAGTATTGCTGCAAAAATGAGGTGACATGTGAACGTGGTCTGCCCTGTGAAGCTGGCCTCTGCTGTCCTGGCTTCCAAGGGTCATGAATAAAATAAACAACCACACTGCTTAAATTCCAAAAACTCTTCAAACCATCCCTCTCTATCTCAGCAGAGTTTGCGCATTCTTATCCTGGAGCAAAATTCCTCATGAGAACACATCGCCATAGCAACCCCTCACCTTTTGACCTCAAAAGGGAAATTAATAGGAGAATAGAGTTTACTCTGAAGTAGTTTGACAACCAATAATTCATGTGTGTGTGAAGCAGTGACCTTCACTGAGCACCTACTACATGCAGAGAGTTTCGCTGAGCACCTACTACTACATCATTTGGGGTGGTGAATATACATGTTGAAAAGGGAGGGCCTATACCTGTGCTCAGGTAATTGCAGGCCTGTGAAAGGTATCTGGTAGGTGCCTGGTATATATGACCTCAAGGAATCCGTACAGCAAAACCATGAGCCAGGTGTTCCCTTCATCCTCATTCTATAGCCAAGGTAACAGAGAAACTTGTTGAGAGAAGAACCAGAATTTGCTCAAGCACCTACAGCTAGAAGGGATGAGCAAGAATTCATACATAAGTGGATCCAGAGCCCTCCTGCACCAGAGGCCATGAAGAGTGGATCCACTGAGCCCACAGGTGTGTGGTGACCAGCCCATATAATGCTTTTAAAATAAGGTGTTAGCAGTAAGAAATTAAGGAATATCACACAAAAATCTATCATAAATTTTTAGGTTATTTTTAATAGAAAGATATGGCCACACTTGGGCTTGCACTCCCCCATGGCTGCCTCCATCCTGTTATTATTTCCTTCTCCCCCTTTACACTCTGCTGCCCCGGTCCCTTCCTCCCTCCTGCACTCTTACATGAATTGCCCACTTGGTCCCACCGGCACTGGTGTTTGCACTACCTAGAGCTCCATAAGAACACATCTTTTCTTCATAAAATAAACAACCACACTGCTCAAATTCCAAAGACTCCCAAGACAATTTGGATGGGAATGCTCCAGGAGGATTAGTTTTCTTCAGTTTAAAAGCAGTTCCCAGTCCCTGGTACTTCACTGTGTGGCAAACAACATGATAACTTCTTTTTTAGCTTAACAGGCTGTGTCATTATTCTTCCTTTGAATTTTTGCATCTGAGTAATTAATTTAGCAATCCTCTGTCCTGGAGAATTTTCCCCCTCCTACTAGGTTGGACCCTGCTTTTTTCTTTCAGTCTTAAGTGTGCCGTCTAAATGCTGTTGGATTCCAGAGGTGACTCCCAGAGCAAGAAAGGGACCTCTTCCTCCCAGTGCTTTTGCTGGGCTGGGTCTTTAGCACCATGTATCCAAAAGCTGGCAAGTGAGGAAGGCTTCTACATGGTTTCTCTCTCCATAGAGTTTTCTGTTAATCACTTGGTCCCAATCCCATTCCCCAGGCACTAACCTCTGAAATGATATGAATGAGCAGAAACTATGGATGAAAGGTTGGTCACTAGGATTCTGGGAACAGTTTTTAGATGGTTTAAAACTTGCATATGGGGCCAGGCACAGTGGCTTACACCTGCAATCCCAGCACTTCGGGAGACCGAGGCAGGCAGATCACCTGAGGTCAGGAGATCAAGACCAGTCTGGTTAACATGGTGAAACCCCGTCTTTACTAAAAATACCAAAAAATTGGCTGGGTGTGGTGGCGCTTGCCTGCAATGCCACTTACTTGGGAGGCTGAGGCCGGAGAATCACTTGAACCTGTGAGGCAGAGGTTGCAGTGAGCAGAGATTGTGCCATTGCACTCCAGCCTAGGCAGCAAGAGGGAGACTCCATCCCCCCAAAAAAAAGAAAACTTGCCACAAAACTTTATGGGCATTTTTGTGATGTGGGGTCCCAAATGCCCAATCCCCAGTAAAAAGACAGATGTGCCAGCTGATCCTGCCTCTCCCCATCCTGGTGATTCCATCCCAGTGACTGTCCAGAGACTCTGAAATGTGAAGGAGGAGCCCCAGGGCAGAGGGGACACTGGCAATGATTAGACTGGGGTTCCTGCTGTCTAGCCTTTTGGCCTCCCCTTAGTCCTTTCACATTTCCAACCTGGGGTTTTCCAGCCTCTCGCAGGCTCTGGGAGCTTTGGATAACCTTCCTGTGACAATTGAGTCACGTTCTGTTGCTAACGTCCAAAGAACTCCTTGGCAATATAGCCTCACACTTTGTAGAGAACTTCAAAAGGGTCTCTGGTTAGAAACCAGTTTTGGGACATGGAACATGTCAATTGAAATGCAGCCAACACCTGGGCAAGTTATCACACTGAACCTTAATACTGTGAAGGCTCTGAGTGATTGGGGTGAGCCGATTCTCCTCAACACCACAGCCCACAGAAAGCTGCTCCCTGGAGATGAAAAATACTATGTATATCACTGGAATGGGTGTCATGAAATTTACACAGAACACTCCACAAAGTGCAGCTGGAAAGGGGGCAGTGGCTGTGCCACAGAAGGGAAGGAGTCTCGGGGGCACCATAACAAGGGAGGGACCATGGAGAAAGGACAGGTTGGGGGTGTGAGAAGACCCCCAAGCAAACCTCATCCACTTCACAGGGATGAGGTGAATGACCTGGTCCACAGAGGATGGGATCTCCTAAAGAGATGGCAAATTGCCAACTTCTCATGTGGCTTCTCCAGGCTCCACAGGGGAAATATGGCTGCCCATGGCTCCCAGCTCCAGTAACAGGAAGAGACTGACATGCTCTTATTCCTAAATCCAAATTCTCAGTCTAAATGATCACGTATACCTGACTGGTCCTGCAGGAATCAGATGCTCCCCTTGACCAAATCAGCTATGGCCCAGGGAGGGGAGGCTGGTCTCAGGAAGCAAACACAGCTACAAAGAGCCCACCCATAGGTCTTTCTTCTTCTTCCTTTCTTTGATGGAGATACAATATTCCTAGAGAATGGGTAATTTGGAGGCGGGAAAATACTTCAAAGAACATGAACATCAGAAGGAGTTACATGAGGCAAGAAAATACAGACTTCTTAAAATGGGATCACTTCTACTTTAAATATTCTAGGCCATAGAATAAATACCTTAGAGTTGACAATGTCAAGTATATGTTGTCTCACAAGTCTCCAAGTAAAGCTAATTAGGATCATTTAAAAACCTAACGTTTTCTGGGATTTTGGTACACCCATCACCTGAGTAGCATACACTGTACCCAATATGTAGTTTTTTATCCTTCACCCCCACCAACCAGCCCCACCCCCGCCAGCCTCCCACTTCTGAGTCTCCAAAGTCCAACATATCACTCTTTATGCTTTTGCATACCCATAGCTTAGCTCCCACTTATGAGTTAGAACATGCAGTATTTGGTTTTCTGTTCCTAAGTTATTTCACTTAGAATAATGGCCTCCAGCTCCAACAACATTGCTGCAAAAGGCACAATTTTATTCTTTTTTTATGGCTGAGTAGTATTCTACGGTGTATATATACCACATTTTCTTTACCTACTCATTGGTCAATGGGCACTTAGGTTGGTTCCATATCTTTGCAATTATGAACTGTCCACTTTTAATTCTAGTTCTCTTTCTCTTTCTACCACATCTGCAATTACTTCCTCCACTGAAGTCTTGAGTCCCTTGAAGTCATTTATTTTTACTTTAATTTTTTTGCCAATCCATGTCTATATTTTATTGGAAATCTGGCATCTTTTCTTTACCTTGGTGAACATAAGGAGGCAAATAAGTCTTTTTTTCCATAAGTTATTGAGGGACTGGTGGTGTATGGTAACATGAGTAAGTTCTTTAGTGGGGATTTGTGAGATTTTGGTGTACCCTTCACCCAAGCAGTGTACACTGCACCATATTTGTAGTCTTTTATCCCTCACGCCCTTCCCACTCTTCCCAAGTCCCCAAAGTCCATTGTATCATTCTTATGCCTTTGTGTCCTCATAGCTTAGCTCCCACATATCAGTGAGAACATACGATGTTTGGTTTTCCATTCCTGAGTACTTCACTTAGAATAACAGTCTCCAATCTCATCCAGGTCACTGCAAATGCTGTTAATTCATTCCTTTTTATGGCTGCATAGTATTCCATAATATATATATTATATATATTATATTATATTATATAAATATATAAATATATAAAATATTTAAAACATAAATATATATAAATATATGAAATATATATATAATATAATATATATATTATATGTTGTATATATATATGGGACATAGAACATGTCAGTTGAAATGCAGCCAACACCTGGGCTATATATATATACACATATATATATAATATATAAAAATATATAATATATATAATATATATTATATATTATATATTATATAATATATATAATATATAATATATTATATATAATATATAATATATATTTTATATAATATATAATATATATTTTATATAATATACAATATATAATATATAATATATGTTATATATATATGGCCATAATCAAAAAATCAAGAAAACAGTAGATGTTGGTGTGGATGCAGTGAACAGGGAACACTTCTACACTGCTGGTGGGAATGTAAACTAGTACAGTCACTATGGAAAACAGTGTACAGATTCCTAAAAGAGCTAAAAATGTAACTACCATTTGATCCATCAATCCCACTACTGAGTATCTACCCAGAGGAAAAGAAGTCATTATTCGAAAAAGATACTCACACACACATGTTTATAGTGGCACAATTCATAATAGCAAAATCTTGGAACCAATCCAAATGCCCATCAATCAATGAATGAAGAAACTGTGAGATATATATATATATATATATATTACATATATTTTATATATATCTCTCTAATATATTATATATCTCTAATATATATTACATATTATATAATATATATATCTAATATATAATATATATAATATTCCTAGAGTATATATATCTCTAATATATAATATATACGCTATTCCTAGAGAATGGATAATTTGGAGGTGGGAAAATACTTCAAAGAATATCAACATCAGAAGTAGTTACATGAGGCAAGAAAATACAGACTTCTTAAAATGGGATCACTTCTACTTTAAATATTCCAGGCCATATATATATATGGGATATGGGGCATGGAACATGTCAGTTGAAATGCAGCAGTAAACCTAATGCTTTACACAAACTATACTCAGGGCATCCCATGTTGCCCAGGAGCCTCTAAACTCTCTCTCCAGGTAAGGCTGACTACCTTGCCTGCCAACATGACCCCACACTTGGGTTTCTTTGGGCTCCAACGGAAGTAATTGCTTAGGCTATAAAATCATCATTGCTTTCATCTACACATTTTTTATGATTTATATTTTGTGTCATGCTTCCCCTGGTTTTTGTCTTACTTGTAACAAAATTGTGAGCTCCTATTTTATATAAATATTTTTACTTCACTCAGAGCAGCCAGTACCATACTTTTGCTGACGAAATGTTATTAACAAGTTCATAATAAATGCATGCTTGATAACATCCTGGCTGCACTGAAAATGTTGTCCTCTCCAAACTGTTTTTGTATTAAAAAAAAATCCAGGATTTGCCTGTATCTAAGATGTGAGCAAGATGGAAGATTTTTAAAACGTATCTTTTTCATCAAGTATTCAATGCTACAGCTATCCAATTTCCATTACGTAAGAATAAGATCCAATAGCTGTCATATTCTGGGTAAGATCTAAGAGTTGTCACTCCCTATTCTCATCTTTGGTGATATATTGTGCATAGAATTATCTCAGTGTGAATTCAGATCCCCAGCAAAATATTTGGGCTAGCTTTATATCTTTACTTTCAAGCTGGTAAGAAAGTTGTTTTTCTTTCTTTCTTTTCCTCCCTCCCTAGGGGTAAAAGATGCCCCTTATCAATGTACCATTCCCATTTGTTCTAGTCTCTAATGCTTTCTTTTTTTTTTTTTTTTTCCTCTTGAGATGGAGTCTTGGCTCTATTGCCCAGGCTGGAGTACAATGGTGGGATCTCGGCTCACTGCAACCTCCACCTCCAGGATTCAAGCAATTCTCCTGCCTCATTCTCCCGACTAGCTGGGGCTACAGGCATGCACCACCACGCCGGGCTAATTTTTTGTATTTTTAGTAGAGACAGGGTTTCACCATGTTAGCCAAGCTGGTCTCGAACTCCTGACCTCAGGTGATTCTCCTGCCTTGGCCTCCTGAAGTGCTGGGATTACAGGTGTGAGCCACTGCACCTGGCCTTATAATGCTTTCTGAAATAAGACTATGAAAGAATGTGTGCCTAAATCAGAGATGATTTTTCCCTTTCCCTGCCTCGGTAGTCATTTAGCAACCTCTAAAAACATTTTTGCTTGTCACAACTGTGTGCAGAGGTGGGGGTGATGCTACTGGTATCTAGTGGGTTGAGGCCAGAGTGGTGCTAAACATTCTACAATGTACAAGACAGCTTCCTCCCCTACAACAAAGAATTATGTGGCCCAAATGTCTGTAGTTATAAAGTCGACAAACTCTAGCTTAGATACACAAGATGTGCTGGGAGAAGCTATTGTTTAAAAACTTCTCTGGGGCTACAGTGATTTCTGTATGGGAGACAAGAAGGAAATAAATGAACCTGGCAGTTGTTGGAGGCATAAGAAAAGAGGACAGGAAACTGAGACATGTCCCTAAAGAATCTCCTGAGAGCCTACTTATTCCACATCAGCGTTGGAAGGGTCTTTAAGAAATTACATAAACCAATTTCCTTGTGACGCTATTTGGGAATGGAGAAGCAGAAAGGGAAGGCTGACTTTTCCAAGGTTCTTTAGCAAGTTAGCTGCAGAGCTGAAACTAGAACTCTGGCCTCATACCCCTAGCCCAGTGTTCTGCCTACTGTATCATGCTGATCCTAATGAAAACAGAAAAGGAAACATTGCTCCAAAAACTACCATTGGCCTTTAAATTAATTAAGAGAGATGGGAAGTGAGAAGCCAGTAAATTTATTCAACAACAAATATGTATTTAGCACCTACTATATACCAAGCACTGGTTTTGGTGCTGGAAATATAGCAGTAAATGGAAAAGAAAAATCCCCTGCTGCCACAGGACTCTTTCTAGTGATATAGGCAAGAGAGGTGGCGTGGCTGCCAGGGAAAGGCAGCAAAGATAAACAGAAGTCTAAGATACATCTGGTACCCTCCAGGGCTCAAAGACCTCAGTGGGCAAATTCCCTAAGTACCTTTATACAAGATATTTTAGGATGATGTGACATTTGACTTCAGGCTCTAAAAATTCCATAGGTCACTAACTAGTTCATTACTAGGCAATGAAAGAAGAGTAATAATAACATCAGCCAACACTTCCTGGATACAAATGTATGTGCAGGATGCTATCTTACCATCTCACTAAATCCTCATAATAATCTTTTGAAGTAGACATCATTATCCCAGTTTATAGATGCAAAAACTTGGGTTTGATGACATAAAATAATTAGTCCAAGTTAGCGGAACTCACCCTCAGGTCTGTCAGCCTTCAAGGCCTATTCTCTTAGTGACCAGGCTAGATCGCGCAAAGATTTTCTAAGCTTTTGGAGCTAAGATCAATCACTCAGTATGGCAGCTACTTCAGGACAACATGTGACTCTCAATTTCCCTGTTCCTTTACCAAGGCACAGCTACAGTTTCTCTATAAGATCTCATATCATACAAACACCTATCTTAATTATATATATTGCTCATATTTCTTTCTGTTTAAAGTAGCTTCTCAAAAAATTTAAATTGTTAGCAGACCACATATTTCACACACTGGAGTAAGGGCCACCTTGTTTGAAATGTAAATGCTTATATGCTGTTAAACTCTGAAAGCAGAGAGGTATATGAAGAGTTCATTTGCACTTTTGAGCACTACCAGGCAAGACTGATTGCTTGCTGCCCCATAAATTCTCTCCACTAGATTAAATTTTGTTAATGGGACCAAGAATATTCAAAATAACCCATTTTTCTATGTGAATACTTGATCTAAGTCATTACTTCTCTACCAGATTAAGTTTGTCTTTTTTTTTTCTTATCCCTACCAAGAATCTCATCAAGCTCAGCCACACACCGGTCAGTGGGGAGGCTCCAATTCCAGGCTGTAGCTCTTGGACGACACTTCTAGACACACCATGGGACAGAAGGAAACCCAGTGTCTTGAGGGGAAGGACCCAGTCCTGGAAAGATCCAACACCTGCTGAATATAGAGCCCTTGGATCCTGAATCACCAGCAGTGATAGCCAGGTAGCTCACTATGGGCCTTAGGTGAGGCTCTAAGATGTGCTGGCTTCAGGAGAGACCCAGTACATTCCCAGCTGTGGTGGCTACAGTGAGAGACTCAGGGAGGCTTTCTTTTGTACCTTAGGTACCAACTTGGCCACAGTGAGATAGAGTACCAAGCAAGCTCTTGGAATCCCTGCTTCCAGGTCATGGCTCTTGGACAGCATTTCTGGACCTGCCCTGGGCCAAAGGAGAGCCCATTGCCCTGAAGGATGAGTCCCAGGCCTGGCAGCCTTCACCACAAACTGACTAAAGATCCCTTAGGCCTTAAGGGAACATCAACGGTAGCCTGGCAGTACTCCCTGTGAGCCTGTGATGGTGGTGGCAATGGGGTGAGGCTGTTCTACCTTTGGAAAGGGGAGGGAAGAGTGAGAAGGACTGTACCTTGTGGTCTGACTGCCAACTCAGATGCAGTAAAATAGAACACTAGGTAAATGTCTAAGGTTTTTGACTGTAGTCCCTGGCTCCCAGATGGCACCTCTGGACCTGCCCAGGTCCTGGGGGAACTCGCCACCCTAAAGGGAAGGACACAGACCTGGCTGGCTTTGCTATCTGCTGATTGGGGAGCCCCAGGACTTTGAGCAAACATAAGCCATAGCCAGGAAGTGGTTACAGTAGGCCTTGGGCAAGAACCAGTACTGTGCTGGCTTCACATCTGACCCAGTGTGGTCCTAGGGGTGGTGGCCACAAGGATGTTTGTGTCACTCCACCCCCACCTCCACATGGCTCAGAACAGAAAGAAAGACTTTGTTTGTTTGGGAGAAAGCAAGGAAAGAGACCAAGAGTCTCTGCCTGCTAATCCAGAGAATTCTGGGTCTTGTCCAAGACCATCAAGGTGGTACTTCTATCAGTCTACAAAACCAGAGCATGACTGAGCTTAAGGTGTCCCCCTAAAGGATATACAGTTTATCACAACACCCAAGTCTTTGCAAATATCTGAAAAGCCTTCCCAAGAAGGATGGGCACAAACAAGCCCAGACTGCAAAGACTGCAGTAAATACCTAATTCTTCAATGCCCAGACACAGATGGACATCTACAATTATCATGATGATCCAGGAAAACACGACCTTACCAAATGAACTAAATAAGGCACCAGGGACCAATCCTGGAGAAACAGAAATATGTGACCTTTCAGACAGAGAATTCAAAATGTTAAGGAAACTCAAAGAAATTCAGGATAACACAGAGAAGGAATTCAGAATTCTATCTGATAAATTTAACAAAGAGATTGAAATAATTTAAAAGAATCAAGCAGGAATTCTGACTTGAAAAACGCAATTGGCATACTAAAGAATGCATCAGAGTCTTTTAATAGCAGAATTGATCAAACAGAAGAATTAGTGAGCTTGAAGGCAGGCCATTTGAAAACACACAGTGAAAACACATAAGAAAAAAAATTAAAAACAATAAAGCTCACATAAAAGATCTAAAAAAAATAGCCTCGAAAGGGCACATCTAAGAGTTATTGGCCTTAAAGAGGACGTAGAGAAAGAGATAGGGGTAGAAAGTTCATTCAAAGTGATAATAACAGAGAACTTCCCAAACCTACAGAAAAATATCAATATCTAAGTACAAGAAGGTTATATAACACCAAGCAGATTAAATCCAAAGAAGACTACCTCAGGACATCTAATAATAAAACTCCCAAAGGCCAAGGATAAAGAGATGATCCTAAAAGCAGCAAGAGAAAATAAACAAATAACATACAATGGAGTTCCAATGTGTCTGGCAGCAAACTTTTCAGTGGAAACCTTATAGGCCAGGAGAGAATGGCATGACATATTTAAAGAGCT
Organism: Homo sapiens; assembly: GCF_000001405.40. Lineage (NCBI taxonomy): Eukaryota > Metazoa > Chordata > Mammalia > Primates > Hominidae > Homo > Homo sapiens. The sequence goes on from NC_000005.10 coordinate 137,166,279, forward strand.
GAAGGAAAAAATTTTTACCCTAGAAAAGTGTATCTGGTGAAACTATCCTTCAAATACAAAAATGAAATAAAGACATTCCCAGACAGACAAAAGCTGAGGGATTTCATCAACACCAGACCTTTCCTACAAGAAATGCTAAAGGGAGTACTTCAATTAGAAAAAAAAAAAGACATTAATGAGCAATAAGACACCATCTGAAGGTACAAAATTCACTGGCAATGGTAAATATACAGAAAAACACAGAATATTATAGTGCTGAAACTGTGGTATGTAAACTACTTATCTTAAATAGAAAGACTAAAAGGTTAATGAATCAGAAATAATAACTACAACAACTTTTCAAGACACAGACAATACAATAAGATATAAATAAAAACAAAAAAAGCTGGGGGACAAAGTTATAGTGTAGAGTCTTAGTTTTGTTTTTGTTTATTTGTTTGCTTATGCAAGCAGTAAGTTGTTATCAGCTTAAAATGATGGGTTATAAGATAGTACTTGCAAGCCTCATTGCAACCTCAAATAAAAAACATATGATGAATACACAAAAAACAAAAGGCAAGAAATTATATCACCAGAGAAAATCACCTTCACTTAAAGGAAGACAGAAAGGAAGGAAAGAAGGGAAAGAAGGCTGGCCACAAAACAACCAGGAGGCAAATAGCAAAACGGCAAGAGGAAGTCTTTATTTATCAATAATAACATTGAAAGTAAGTGGACTAAACTCTCCAATGAAAAGTCATAGAGTGGCTGAATGGATTTAAAAAAACACTGAAAGATCTGTTGCCTATAGGAAACACACTTCACCTATAAAGACACACATAGACTGAAAATAAAGGGATGGAAAGAGATATTTCATGCCATGGAAGCCATAAAAGAGCAGGAGTAGCAATTCCTACATTAGGTGAAATAGATTTTTAAGATAAAAACTATAAGAATAGACCAAGAAGGTCATTATATAATGTTAAAAGGGTCAATTCAACAAGAGGATATAACAATTATAAATCTATTTGCACCCAAAACTGGAGCACCCAGATATATAAAGTAAATATTTGATCTAAAGAAAGAGACAGACCCAATACAATAATAGCTGGGGACTTCAACACCCCAGTTTCAGCACTGGACAGATCTTCCAGACAGAAAATTAACAAAAAAAAACATAGGACTTAATCTGCACTATAGACCAAATGAATCTAGTAGATATTTACAGAACATTTCATCCAATGGCTGCAGAATACACATTATTTTTTTCAGCACCTAGATCATTCTCAAGGATGGACCTTTTTTGTTAGGTCACAAAACAAAACTTGAAACATTCAGAAAAATTGGAATAGTATCAAGCATCTTCTCTGACCACAATGGAATAAAACTTGAAATTAATAACAAGAATTTTGGAAACTATACAAACACATGGAAATTAAACAATACGCTCCTGAATGACCAGTGGATCAGTGAAGAAATTAAGAAGAAAACTGAAAAATTTCTTGAAACAAATAAGGGAAATGCAACATACCTATACCTATGAGTATAGCCATGGGATACAGCAAAAGCAATACTAAGAGGGAATTTTACAGCTTTAATGGCCTATATCAAAAAAGAAGAAAAATGTCAAAAAACAACCTAACAATGCATCTTAAAGAATTACAAAAGCAAGAGCAAACCAAACCCAAACTTACTAGAAGAAAAGAAATAGTAAAGATCAGAGCATAAATAAATGAAATTGAAACAAAGAAAACAAAAGATCAATGACACAAAATATTGGTTTTTCTGAAAAGATAAACAAAATTGACAAACCTTTAGCCAGACTGACAAAGAAAAAAGAGAGAAGACATACATTGGGGAAAAGATAGTCTCTTCAATACATGGCACTGAGAAAACTGGATATCCATATGCAGAAGAATGAAACTAGACACCTATCTCTCACCATATCAAATCAAAATTGATTAAAGGCTTAAATCTAATACCACAAACTATGAAACTACTAGGAGAAAACATTGGTGGAAAGTCTCCAGGACATTGGACTGAGCAAAACTTTCTTGAGTAAGCACAGGCAACCAAAGCAAAAATGGAAAAATGGGATCACACGAAGTTAAAAAGCTTCTGAACAGCAAAGAAAACTATCAACAAAGTGAAGAGACAACCCACAGAATGGGAGAAAATATTTGCAAACTACCCATGTGATAAAGGGATTAATAACCAAAATATATAAGGAGGTCAAACAACTCTAGAGGAAAAAAATCTAATAATCTGATTGAAAAATAGGCAAAAGATCTGAATAAACATTTCTCAAAAGAAGACTATACAAATGGCAAGCAGGTATATAAAAAGGTGCTCAACATCACTGATCATCAGCGAAATGCAAATCAAAACTACAATGAGATACCACCTCACTCTAGTTAAGATGGCTTTTTTCCATAAGACAGGCAATAAATGCTGGCGAGGATGTGAAGAAAAGGAAACCCTAGTATACTGTTGGTAGGAATGTGAATTAGTGCAATCACTATGGATAACAGTTTGGAGGTTCCTCAAGAAACTAAAAATAGAGCTACACTATTATCCAGCAATTCTACTTCTAGGTATATAAAGGAGGAAATCAGTTAACTGAAGAGATATGTGCACTCTCATGTTTATTGCAGCATTATACACAATAGCCAGGATTTGAAAGCAACCTAAGTGTCTATCGACAGATGAATGAACAAAGAAAACATGGTACATATACACAATGGAGTACTATTCAGCCATAAAAAGGAATGAGATCTTGTCATTTGCAACAACAAGGATGGTCATTACGTTAAGGGAAGTGGCTGGGCACAGAAAGACAAACTGCATGTTCTTGTTTGTGGGAGCTAAACATTAAAACAATTGAATGTATGGATATAGAGAATAGAAGGATGGTTACCAAAGGCTGGAAAGTGTTGTGAGGGGTTGGGGGGAAGTGGGGATGGTAAATAGGCACAAAAAAATGTTAGAAAGAATGAATAAGACCTAATATTTGCTAGAGCAAAAAGGTGACTATTGTCAAAAAAATTAATTGTACATTTAAAATAACTAAAAGAGCATAATTGGATTGTAACACAAAGGATAAGTGCTTAAGATGATAGATACCCCATTTGTCCCCATGTGATTATTACACATTGCATGCCTGTATCAAAATATCTCATGTACCCAACAAATATATATACCTACTACACACCCACAAAATTAAAAATTAATTTTAAGAAATTTCACTAAATGCCTATCTGCCCAGGCACACACACCCACTGGATCTAGATGCCCACATCAAGGGCAGGAGAGTCAGAGCAACATAGGAGTTAAGACTACAAGTTAATTAACTGTGCCAAATCAATGAATACTTTACCGGTAAACCTCATCCCACCAACATTTAGAGAACATCAACTATGTATCAGAAAATACAGGTGGTTTCACATGGATTATCTCATTTAGTCCTCATCAGAAGTCTGGGAAGTAAGATGTGTTGTTCTCATTTTACCAATATGAAAAGCTGAGGTTCAGAGTTTTGACCACTGCCCCAGAGCATGTGGCTAGGACACAGCCAGGCCAAGATTCAAAGCTACAATTCTGAATCCAAAATCTCTTGTCTTTCTCCTTTCACCCACATCTTCACTGTAGCATTCATTTCTGGCAGAAAGCCACAAATAAAATACAGGCCTCACTTAAGTATCTCAAAATTTTACAGGGAAAAGAGATATACCCATGCAACTACAGAAGTTAACATTCACAGAGTAATGTTGTCCTTCAGTATCCATGAGGAATTTGTTCCAGGACCCTTGCAGATCCCAAAATCTACAGATGGTCAAGTCCCTGATATAATAAAATGATGTAGTGTTTGCATATAACCTCCATAATCCACCTGTTTGCTTTAAATCATCTCTAAATTACTTATGATACAATGTAAATGCCATGTAAATAGTTGTTATATTGTTTTTATTTGTATTTTAACCATTGTACTTTTATTTTTGTTTTCTCTTTTAATATTTTTGATTCATGGTTGGTTGAATTGGGAATGCAGAACCCTTGGACCCACAGGCCTGACTGTACCTATGGTGTTCCAGGCACTGGACCAAGCACTCCACAAGCATTATCTAAAAGCAACCAAATGAAGCAGGTACTGCTATGGACTGAATTCTGTCCCTCCCAAAATGTGTATGTTGAAGTCACTGGCCCCTAATGTGATGATATTTGGAGATGGGGACTTTGGGCTATCAGGGTTAGATGACGTCATGAAGTAGAGCTACCATGATCACATCAGTGCTCTTATAAGAATAGGAGAGACACGAATGAGCCTGTTATTTCTCTCTCTCTCTCTCTCTCTCTCTCTCTCTCTCTGTGGACACTAACAGAAGGCCATGTGTAAACACTGTAAGAAGGCAAGTTGCCTGCAAGCCAGGAAGAGGCGCTCACCAGGAGCTAATTATGCTGCCTCCCTGATCTCAAGACTTTCAGCCTCCAGAACTATGAGAAAATAAATTTCTGTTATTTAAGCCACTCATTATATGGTATTTTGTTGTGGCAGCGCAAGATGACTAATGCAGGTGCTACCACTGTTATCATTTTAAAGATAAGGAAACTAAAGCTCAAAGAGGCTGTGAGACTCACCTGAGTGCACAGAATCATAGGCTGTGACTTGGGGCCTCCTGTGGGTGACTGCAAAGCCCTTATCCTTAATCACTGTGCTGTGAGACTATGCCCACAGTTAACCAGGTGAGAGACTGTCCCCATAGCAGGGATATAAATACACATGTTCTAGGGGTTCCCAGTGGGGACAGTGTCCTATGGAGTGAACGGGAAGAGCCTCCAATGGAACTCAAACATAAGCAAGCCTTTGGAGACAGCAAGCATCCTCAATGCACCCGAGACTACATGCTCATCACTGGACTGTGTCCTGACAATCTGCTCTTCTCCCATCACGCTCGCCTCTGAACTCACGCTCTTGTCTTGACAGCCTCCTATGACCCATATTCAATTCTACACACATGGAAAGGCACATGGTCCTCTCTGCCACTCTTGCATATCTTTCTCCCTGATGGTGAGCTCCTTGGGGACCGAAAGGGGATCTTGCTCATATCTATGCCCCCACTGACTTCCATGGGCCTGATACAGAGCTGGCACTTGATCAACTTTTGCTGAGTTTAACTGAGAAGCGACCTTCTTGAAGCCACCACATGAAAGGGCCAGCCACGCTACCAATGTGGAGGATCAGGACCCAGCTGGTATTGTGGGCTCTGTAAATGTCTGCTGGATCAAGGAAATTCCACCCACCAGTTTTAAGCAACTAAAAACCATTTATATGTAGATATCTTCAATTTATTCTCAGACCCAAGTAGTTGTTGGGAAAAAAAATTACAAATGACCAAAAGTAAAAATAATAATAATAAAGACAAGAGAGGAAAACCTCACGCTGGCACACGGTATGCATTCAATGACCGTTTTTTGACCTGCAGAACTCGTTTCCTATGAACAGATCCCACAACTAACAATTCCTACAAAGAGAAACTGATGCTAGTGTGAATTGCCATTCATATCTGAGAGGGCAACATCAGTATCCTCGTACCTTTCTAATAAACATATGTTATATGTGTGCCTACAATATAAAGGTTACTGTGACTTAAAATTCCATTGAGAGTACCAGAGCAGCTGCTCCTGTCCTGTTCATCTTACATACGAAACCACCATGAACAATTTGCCTCTGTGGCCAGTGAATGGCCTGAGCACCTGGCCTTTGAATGCAGGTTGTCATACTTCACTTGAGTGAAATAGCTTTCTCAAGAAAGTCAACGATTATTTCATTTAAACCCCTTCCACCAAACAATGCAGCCCTGGCCCTCAACACCCAACTCACAACATTTCTAAATCTTCCAGACAGACAAATAACAAAATAAGATTCTACCAAGTTTTAAAAAGATGGTCAGAATGGTTCTCAAGCTTAACCCACAGAAAGTGCCTGATCCTGCAAGCTGGTTTATATGAAAACGCCAGTACTTTCCTGAGCCCCTCCATTCATTTTGATACCTCAGTGATGGCAGGATAATGAGGATTTGGAAAACAAGAATCACTTGGGTCTATCTCTCCATTAATAGACAGGGCTTGATATGGTGAGCGAAAGAGTCACAATGTTTCCAATCTATCTCAGTTGCCATGTAGAAAAACCAATTATCCAGAGGCCCCTCTCCCCTGCAGGAAGATGAGCTCTCTGTGCATCAATATTTCATGCACTGTCATCTGTGCATTATTTAATAAAGCAATTGAAGGGATGAGTCTATTTTATTTTTCCACCTTCCCACCAGAGACACTAGGCCTACAGTGCACACAGTGCTAGAAGTTGGTGGGCAATCCTAGAGATATATTTGCTGATTTTTTTGAGGCCAAGGTGCTGTTTCTAGTCTTAACTACACACTCCCAATGTCTAATACACTCCTTACCCCAGGGACACCCAATCTGTGTCTGTGCTAATGGAGGTGAGCTCACTTCAGAATCCAGTAAGTGGGATGCAACTGATCACCAGGCATTTACTGAGTGCCATACTTGGGGGTACAAAGCTTATAACCCAGGGTCCCTGCCTCCTGGAACCTAAAGGCTGTCTGCAAAGACAAGATGAAAATTCATGGACAGGCAAAAGACAGACTACAAACCAGCTAAGCACATGGTTGACCAGGACACAAGTGATGCACAGGGCCTGGCATGTCAAGGGCACAGAAGATATCCATCTTTTTTATCCCCTACCCAATATCTAACTCCCTTTCTTCTTGCCCCCAATCTCCCATTGTGTATGGTGTTAGTGGGAATGCAGCTTCCATGATGCTTGCCTCTCATCTCATAAGTGAAGGTACCAGATATTTCTTTTACCTGAGTCCTGGTATTGCTGTGGGCAGGTACATGGTCTGAACTCAACACGAGACCTCTTTCTTGGACCTCCAAGTCTTCAAGGAGTGACTCAAAGAAAATCTCAAGATCAAATTCACTACAGCCAAGAAGGTAGCCCTTAGAGTTGACCTTTTCCAATGTATGGCCTTCAGCAGGGCCCTCAGATTCTGCTCATTGTCCTAGCCCCCTGGTAGTTCTGTGAACCTGTCATCGTAATAAATCAACTTTTTCTTAACCAGAGTTGGCTTCTGTTTCTTGCCACCAAGATGCTGACTGATCAAGCAATAAAGAATTGTTTGTTGAAATAGAGATTGAAGCTGTGATCCAATTGCTATTCCATTTCATCACCAGCAGCCTGAACATGTGCTTAGGGTACCAAAAATATTTTTCTAAGACTGTGATATTTCAAAAACAAAAACTAAACACCACCAAGCTGTGGACTAGAATGATGATAAACATCAGATACAATACAAATCGGTATTTCTTGAATTTATTTTGTAGTTCAGTATTGTTTTTAGTTTGAATGGCATATGAGGTCAGAACTTAAGGATCCTAAAAATTTCAGCCTATCTCTGCTCAGTGTACAAATATCTTTGCATTTATCAAATCTCCTTAACCAGGGTAATGACTCCTTCAGGGAAAAGTCTGAGCAACACTTATCCTCCTAAATGTCTAGCTTCTATATACCTGGCACCATCCATGCCTTAAACAGTTACTAAAATCTGTGTATCCTTGTTATCATTTAATCCTTGCAACAATGCCACGAAGTATGTGTAATTACCATTTTATAATAAAAGGGATAGAGGTCCAGAAAGGAAAACTAGCGCTAACTTATGCAACTGATGAAAGGCAGAGCTGAGATCTGAACCTGCTTTAAGAAATTCACAAGCATCTGTGTCTAACCTAACCAAGTGATGTCACATCATGCTTACTCTCACATACATTATTGTGGTACTTCTCACATTTAAATCAAGTGAGCAAGCCCAGGGAACAAGAGGAAGTTTAAGACATATCTAAGACAGCTCCCTGTTTCTGCCTAAGCTTTCCTTCTGGAAAGAGGGACTCTTTCTGCAACTTCAATGCAAGCACTTTTGTTGCTCATGCCAGCAGGTAACAATTGCACATCTAGCTGAAATCATTCCTTTCCAAGCTTAAACATACTTCTGTCCCCTCCACGGGGAAGAGACAAGCTGACCTAACTCAGTGGTAAAATTGGCTTTCATATGCTTCAAGACAATTACTAGATCTCCCTGCAGGCTTCTTTCCCTGAGGCTACAATTCCTAATTATTTTTCATACATGCCCTAATTTCCAGCTCCACAACCAAATCTGTTGCCCTCCTTTATACCATGTCCGAGCTGTCCTTTGCAGTCAGCGGTCCTGACACATGAGCAGTGCACCCCAGTGCCTGGGCTTGTCCATCCTCTCATTCTGGACTCAGGTGTCTGCATCCGTGGGGCAGAGATAAAAAGGATCATCCCAGAATGTGCAGGACAGTCCCCATTCCAAAAGGGAGCATTTGTCTTGATCAGATATTTTGTTCCAAAGCCAGTTCACTGGCAGGCCCAAGAACCCACAGGTTGGTATTGATCAGGGAAGAAACACTATTATGGTTTGGTGTCAGGGAAGTCCTGGCCCTTCACCAGACCCAGTGTTCTCTAATGAATGACTGAGACAGAAAAGAGGGGTCCAGAACCCATGGGAAAGAGCGATGGCATAAAGGCACCATATGCCCCATGGAGCACCCCTCACTCTAGAAATAAAACCTTGCTAGAGGCCAAGGCCACCACCACCTTCTTGATGTTCTGTGTAGCATTACAGGCCCAAACCCATGTACCCGACCACCACACATCTTTGCAGAACCACTCTCACTCATTCTGTAAAAATCTACAGTTCAGTCCTGCCCTCAAGGAGTTCACACAACTATAAAAAGAAAGGTGCCAAATGTCACAAGACAGAAAAATGACAAATTACTATGGAAATGAGTTATGAAGAGGGAGAAATTACTACCTGCACCAGGCATGAAGCCTTGTGGAAAAGAGGGTGTTAGGAGTGGGCCTTGGAAAATGGGTAGTACAAGACATGTAGAAACTGTGGGTAGTAAAACCATGTGATCAAAGGACCAGAGGCCACCATTGAAGCACTGGTGGGTTGGATAGGTAGGAGGCCAGTGAGGCTTTTGAGTAAAATTGTGATATGATTAGAGCTGATTCAACCCCTTGATAAGTACAAAAGTTGTAGTCTATAATTAGCATTTAAGCTGCTTAGGGGCAAAGCATACAGTTGTGCCAGGGAATGGTACAGTAGGAGACTAATACATGTTGGTTATGATTTGATCTGCCAGTTCCTGGAATTGCTGGATTGTTCTATTAAGTGTTATTGTCAGTCAATATAGCTTACTAGTTAAAAGCTCAGGCTTTGGGTTCTAATCCCAGCTTTACCATTTACTAGCTTTTTAACCTTGGATAAGTTACTTGGCTTTACTTGACCTCAGTTTATCTTTGAAGTAGAAAAATAATTATAGCTATCTCGCTTCTCACTAGGTTGTCAAATAACAAAGCAACCAATCCATGTAAAGTGTTTTGCAGAGCACCTGGCATATAGAATGTACTCAGAAAAGCTCCTAAACCATCCCATCCAGCCCCACCAATCTCCACCACCATCCATTTAGACCTGTGCATGTGGGTACACCTCAGCACATGCAAATACATCTTTATGGCAAGCAACAGGCAGCGACTTCTTGGGGAAAATGCATAATTTGTTCAAATTTCACAATAAAAATTTATCTGCAATAATAGTAAAGGCAGGAGGCTTGCACTGCCCACATGTATTTTTGGCTATACTTATGCTAACTCTAATGCTACAGAAAGAAACTTCTAGACCTGGATATCAAACCCAGAGGAATGCCAACAATATAAACTTTTACTTTATCTTCCTAATGACTGAATTAATCTAAGGCAACAACCATTAAAACTACCAACCCTCTTGCTTACAAAAGCTCCTAAGATGAAAAGCACTGAGCAAATCCCACAGTGATGTTTTATTTGTCTTTAAGTAAGAAAGACCGTGTTCCTTAATCACACAAATGGCCGGTATATCCTCAACCCCCTTCAGCATTTGCCATCAAGGTCATCTTGAACAGGCTCACAGGTAGGCATTCTCTTGGCAGTGAACACAATAGCAAGGGGGTGGTGCCATGAGTTGGCAGATCCCCTAGAAGCAGGGAAGACTCTTGGATGTCCTGGAGGATATTTAGACCTTGCTAAAATAGACTTGAGATGTTCTAATGGAGAGACTCAGGATCCTGACAGGCTTCTAATGCTTACAAAAATCTCCCCCACCACAATGTGTGTGTGTGTGTGTGTGTGTGTGTAGGTACATGTGTATATACACACGTATGTATATTTACCTTACTAGAAAGGTACATTTTATTCATCGGTAATTAAAAATGACTCTAAGAACCCGTCATACCTGTTAAGTCCTCAGAAAGATGAACCCTTCATCAGAAAAGGCAACAACTCAAATTGATGTTCTCATCAATACAAATCAACTGTAGGGGCCAGACAGGCTGAAGGCTGGCATGGATAGAAAAGAAAAATGATGCTAATAAACTGCATATGGAGCTAATAAGCGGTATCTAGTTGATGAAATGCAGCATCAATTGATGCCAAAAGAATCCTAAAGCCCTGGTTTCTCTTCTTATAATATTCTCCTAATTGGCATTTGTGGTGGTGGAGGTCTGGTCAGGGCAGGCAGAAGGGCAGTGACTAGGTCTGAGTACATAACAGTACAACTGTAATCCACTAATCCATTTGCTTTCTTTTTTTGAAAGTTCAGATCATGTCCTCCTCTGCCAGAAAAATTTCAGTAGCACCCAAAAACTGGGACTGTGCCTTACAGACAGGAGTAAATCCCTAGACACGAAAGGAATTAATTAACAGAAAATGGGATACAGTATGCTCAGGGAAAAGAGATGAATGAATGGCCTCACAGAGCAGCATCTCCCCCTCAATAATGAATGCTGGGTGTACTTTTTTCTTAGTAGCTGCAGAAATTCCTCCCAGAGAAAATCTACCACGTGAAGTTAAAGACAACATTTGCTTTCTTTGAAATCAGGGCAACTTCAGCCAGTGGGCAAATAGGTGTCCTGCAGTACAGGTCTGCTGGGGGCCATCCCCAGGTTATCAAAGGCATCTTCAAAGGAGTCTGGGGTTGGAGGAGACCAGAGGCCCCTTCACTTAGAAAACAGCCCTTGGCAACAGCTGGGTTAAAGAGCTCAGGGAGTCCAGCTTGGGGACAGAGAAAGTGAGGGCAAGGGAAAACCAGAGAGGAAAGTACAAAAAAGAAGAGGTGGGAATCATGCAGTCGTGGCAAAGAGAAGATCAGATCAGAATACATGCTTCAGGAAAGGGGCTTCAGGAGGTTGGGGGGTGCTTGGAAAGGAGGAAAAAGAAAATGGAATTTTCTAAGACAACAAAGTTTAAAACTCCCTTTAACATTAACGCACATTAAAAAAAGTATTCCTCCGCAAAAATGCTGTTGGACTCAAAGATAAGAAGAAGGGGAGCCCCAAGCATTCACTTTGAAGAGTCTTTTTAAGAAGAAATGTCTTTGGTGTGATCCAGTCGAGAGAAATGAGGAGTGGGAGGGAAAGGAGATCTCTAGGGGAGAGGGGGTGGGGAAAGAGGGAATCAACCAAAAAGCTTTCCAAGTAGGGACTGAGAAATAAAGCTGGGGAAGTCCATGCCCTCCTGTCCTAAATAGAGGCAGTATAGCTAGGAAAAGGTGAGGACAAGGGAAATGGAAGGACCTCAAGGACCACATGTTGAGAGGAAAATGTGCCTGACACCGGCTTCCTTCAGGAAATCTCCTCCAAAGCCCTGGCAGGTGAGCAGAGAAAAGATGAATCTCTGAGGCAATTTCACCCCTAGCCCATCTCACCATCCAGATCAATGCAAGTGACACTTCCTCCAAGAAGCCTCCCAGATCATCCTGTTGCTTCACCAAGACACTGCCCTAAAATTGGCCAATACATTTGTTTGGTTATTTCACATTGATTCTCCTGCTAGAATGTGAGTTCCATGAGTGAGGGAAATTTGTCTGTTTAGCTCTCAATCCCCTGTGCTTGGCACATGGTAAACACATACTTTGTGGAACAAGGGATAGAATTTCCCAACAATTCCAGTTCTCAGTTACATGAGTAGCACTGTTGGGGCAGCACCTTCTTAGCGGGCAAAAAGAGAAAGCCTCACATTTTTGATGTCTGGTAGGCACCGGGCATGCGATTGCAATCCATTCTTACAACTTCCCATGAGGAAGCATCTTTATCCACACCTTGCTTTTAAGGAGACCGAGGCTCAGAGAGGCCAAGTGACTTGACATTTCACATGACTGAATACCAGAGCAAGAAGTGAACTCAAATGCTGAAGTTTCTTTCTCTACAGAGTCTGCGGGGGAAGAAGGGAAAACAAATGACAGAGTCTAGTACCAGCCCAACCAACTCCCCTTCCTCTGGGGCCACCCTCACACCAGTCCTGCACCCTCAAGTGAGAAGGGGGCAGAAATAAGAAATGAAGATTTGTTCAGACTAAGACTGCCAGTGACCTGCATCTGGGCTGGCCCACCAGAGACACTTTGTTTATATGGCCCAGTAGAAGGCACATCCACAAGAGCAGTGATCTTTTCTACCGTGTAAACCACTATATCCCCTGGGATAGGCTTAAGATAGTAGTACAGCATAACCTTAATAAATGGCTAAGAATCCCTCCACATCCCCAAGGACTAGCACAGTGCCTGGCCCAGAAGAGCAGGTACTTGGATAACAATGGTGTGTTGGGTAGGGAATGGTGACTTCCTCCGTTTCCAACCTGGCTAATACATGACTGACTACAGAGTATTTCTAAGGCCATTCAGCCTATTTAAACTCTGATGTTATTTTTCCTCCGACATCAAAAACAAGTTTTTATTACAAAAATAGGACTGTGCAAAAAGGCAGAATCCATCCCCAGTCTGCTAAGAACCACATCTATAGTGGTTTAATAAAAATAAAGGGACTGGTTTCTACCCATATCCAGTGAAAAACAACAAAATATCTGTCCCCTTCTCCCAATTTGATCTAAAAATAAAGGCACCAGCTCTGAATTCCTCTGAGGGCATTTGATTTCAGGTCTGATTTTGTCTCACAAAAGGCACAGCCATTTGCTCTCCCTTAATAGGACATAATGCTACCAATTAGTTAACTTACACATTTAAGCTGTCACACAGGGTGAATTACAGGCTCCCAGGGCTGGCAGACCTTCAGAGGTCATCCAATTTCCCCTCTGCTTTATCAGACCACCCTAGGCACTTGGAAACCACTCTTTTCTTAGGGGAGGGGGTCCCATCACCCACTTACGACACCTTTTTGTTTAACCACCTTTTTGACCAAAAATTCCCCCCGGTAGCAGCCTCAATACTGCCTAGCATGACAACAGATTGTTTGCCTTGCTCTATCTCCAGCAGAGATTGAGGGGAACTCATTCCTGAGGTTGGGTAGCCAAGAGTATGAGGTATAAGACCTGCTCCAAGCCCCACCTAATGACTTGCCAGTCATGAGACTTGGGGCAGTCCCCTGACTTCACTTAAAACAAAAATGGGGGGATTAATAAGACTGTCCCTACTACTTCCTGGGGCTTTTCTGAGGATTAAATGTAGATGAGGTCTTCTACCCCCTTGTGTCATGTGCTCCTTGAAGACCAGGCCCCAACCCCTCCTACCTTGCCACTGCACACATCACTGTGCCCTCACTGATGCCAGGCAACAGAGCGCCACAGGAGGTATCTCCTTTCATCCTCAGAATAACACTACAATGTGACTGCTAGCATCTCAACCTTATAGTGAAAAGACTCAGAAAGGTTAAGCCACTTGCCTAAGGTCACACAGCCATTGAGTAGCTGAATGGGAATCTACCTGGATCTGGCAGAGGCAAGCATCCGGTTCTCCACCCCTCTAGCACCTGCCTCCTAATCATCTCTGTACCTACCTGCACGGCATGGCTGGCCAGGAGCACCAGGCACACAGCACATGCAAGCACTTGTTGAGCCAAGTGTAACATGTTTTGTACAGCAAAAAGATGCACATGTAAGATGCTAGTATTAATATTATGTTTTGTAAAATAATGTTTGTAACTCTACCCTCAGTGGGTTTAGATAAGGGGGTCATGACTGGGGTGGGGGTGGGTAGGTGACAAAGAAGAGATACTTGACTCTCTGAAGCATCAGACACATCACCTGAATTATCTTATTCCTCAATGGCTCTGAGCTATACATTAGTATCCCATTTCACAGGAGGGAACATGAAATTCAAAGAAATTTCCAGCTTCCTAAACTGAAACCAGTGAGTTCTAGTCCTCAAAGACCCTGCTACTAAGAGACTCAGGACTGACAATGACCTGTACCAGGGGGTCGTTTGATTCCTTGGGACAGTTCCGTTCACCACCCCAAGGACATCTCAGCTATGGCCAAGAACCCCCACTGTTTAGTTAAAAGAAAACCAGGTGAGCCAATTCTAGAATATTCAGGTCAGAGCTGTGAGGAGGCCTCATTTCCCCTCTTCAGTGTTTTCCTTCCCAGTCTCTGACAAACAGTCTCAAAATAGAAGCCCCCAGGGTTTAGGCATTGGGATAGTGGAACAACACAGAAAGGCCATGAAGGAGCTGTTCATTCACCTGGTCCTCACAATGAAAAAATGAAATGATGGGTGATAAGTGGATGGCTTGGCCAGCTTTGTCTTGGAATCGAATCCAATCTTACACACATATCATGAGCTGCCTGTGAGGTTTTGGGCTGGGCACCAGGCAGAAAGATGGGGAATAAAGGTGACACCAAGATCATCAGTTCAAGGGCCTTCTAGTCTGGAGTTCCAATCTCACAAATGACTCTAACACCGGTCCTAAAACACCAAATGGGAAACAAGGATGCAGACTAACAGAAGTGAAAACGCTCGATGGAAGGAATAGTATCAAGTTGGGCACCGAAGAACATACAAGATTTCCAACAGGTAGCAATGAGAAGCAGCAGCATGGGCAAACAGAGGCAGGAGAGGAAGGTGGAGGGGTGGTGTACAAGGGTCTAGTCTGCAGATAGAACATGAAGCACTGGGCTATTAAGTTTGGACTTTATTCCATAATCAGTGAGAGCTACTGTTAGTTTCTGAGGCAGGTAGTGACACAAAGGTATCTGCTTTAGGGTCCTTCATTCTATCAGCAATGAGGACTAGGATGGACTAGAAGCACCAATCAACAGGGGGCTGTGGTTCTGCTCACAAAATGAGGCTCTCTCAAATTTCTGCCTCAGAAATGAAAACTCTAGGCTGAATTCAGGGAATGGGAGAAACAGTCACAGGGCTGGACTTGGAGGGGCCCCACGGCCAGTTTCCCAAACCCAGAAGTCTGCAGCTTGCCATCAGCTCTGCCCCTCTCATTTGCTGTATTTGA
This sequence comes from Homo sapiens, assembly GCF_000001405.40. Lineage (NCBI taxonomy): Eukaryota > Metazoa > Chordata > Mammalia > Primates > Hominidae > Homo > Homo sapiens. The sequence continues at coordinate 137,181,630 of NC_000005.10, forward strand.
ATTAAACATTAAACAGAGCTGGAAACAGGGTCCCCACGGGCGCTAGAAACTTTGGAGCATTAGCTGACAAACAGGCTTACTGCTGTGTAAACTCCCAGGGCAAATGCAAAGTGTAAGCTAATCTTGCCACCATCACCAGTTCTCTGAGCTGAGGATAATGTATGATAATCTAAATCGGGCTGGGCAGATGCCTGCCTGGGAAATCTGATTAGGATTTGCTTGATGATTCCCTTTCATCCCCCAGGAGACTGCAGGGCATGGTAGACAGGACCTGGCCATGAAGTTGACATGCTCCCAGTGGTCCAGGCCCCAAGGCACTCCTCTGCTGAACCTCCACTGGTAGCAAAAAGGGACATGAAGACAACAATCTGCAAATAGTTTTGCAGCAGTGGGCCTAAAGGAGCAGATCCCCAGGTTGATCAATGCACAGCTAAAGAGATCAAGGCCTCTTTCTTATAGAGACTGTGTAAAGTGTGTAGGCTCAATCGTGCCACTTTTTTGCCCTGCATCCTTCAATGGATACCATCAATTCTGGAATAAAGTTTAAATTGCTCAGTAGGACCCATCTCTCTGGCCTTCATCAGCTGTGATTTTCCTCACCTAAAACTTAATGTCCAGATAATAAATGAACTGCCAGTAGCTTCCCTCATCTACCTCACACACCACCGGGTCTTTGCTCCTGCAGTGCCCTCCATCTGAAACGCCCTTCCCCAGGCTGAATCTTAACTCATTCTTCAAAACAAAACTCAGACATTTCCTTTTCTGGGAAACTTTTCCTAAACAATGTCTCAGCTCTTGGTTATTCAACAAATATTTGCCAGTGTTTCCTATTGGTATACACCAAGTACCTACTATTATAATCCCTTCTTTACAATGAGGGAGACCAGAGAGCTTAACTGGCTGGAGTTCACATAGAGACAGCCTGGATTCACCCCACATTCCTGACTGGATTTCGGAGCCCTTGTCTGAGTGACCTCCCTCCTCACACTAAACCTCTGGGTCAGCAGTTCTGCTTCTGGGTTTGCCTGCCAGACTGTGAACTCCTTGAGGGCAGAGATGGTCTGACCCATCCCTCTGGCCAGCATGGGGTGTTGGCCTGCTGCAGGTGCTCAGTCAAGAGTCCCTGAGCTAAAGGTCTTCACTTGCTCAATAGAAGTGGCCACAGTACCATCAGGCTAAGCTCCTAAGCTGAAACTCTCCTCCCCTCTAGACCCACATGCCCGCAGCTCTGGCCACCTGCCTTTCAGTTCCAGGTCACCAATCTCCATGGAGGCCTGGTAAAGGAGCGTGGATGGGTTAGTGCAGAGCCACACCCACAATTTGAAAAACAACTCCTAGTGTGTTCATTAGGTACAAGGCACCTGCACTGGTGTTCTCTATCTGAATGGCAATAACTGAAGCATGAGAACCTCATGTACATCCCCTATAGTCTCTACCGGGAAGGAACAGGTAACTCCACATGCAAACACAGGCCATTTTGTTACATGTAAATATATCCTTCCAAGCATCCATCAATCTCATTAATCTTTATGGTATACTCACTATGTGGCAGACACTATGAATAAAAAGACTAAAAAGTACTCATCCCCAGTCACATTTGGCAAAGAAGAATGAGCAGGCACTAAGGTCCGCACATGGTATGAAGCAACATGCATGGGGTCACAGAAAGATGAATGGCTAATTCAACAAAGAAAAAAGTCAGGAAAAAAGTCTATAAAAGGGGCATGGAAGACATCCTGGCCTGAAAACCATGGTTCCCTGTTTAGAAAGTTATTGGCCTTAAAGAGGATGAAGAGAGATCAGGGTAGAAAGTTTATTCAAGGAAATAACAGTGTAAGTGTCTGGGTCAGTGGTTCTCAAATCCAACTTCACAACAAAATATTGATTCCTATATCTCACCTTCTGAAATTAGAATCTTGGTGGTTGTGACCAAGATTCTGTACTTTTAAGTTCTCCAGAGGACTTTTGCAGCCTGTTTGGCACTGGTCTAGGGGTGGGACCTGGTAGCCACTGCTGTGGGTCATCAGCTACCTGGAGAACACTAGAGGCAGCCCAGGGAAGGCTGAGAGAGCCTCAATCTCTCGAAAGGCTAGCTGTGAGTCCAGTTTCCAGCCCTCGCTGGCTGTGTAGACGTTGGCAAGTTGCTTAGCCTCTCAGGAACTCCTCATCAGCAGGCAGGAAGGCACAGAGGTAGAGAATCAGACTGCCTGGATTAAAATTCCAGCTCCATTCTTTCCCAGGAGGATGACTTGCTTAAAGTCACCCATCCCCCTCTATGCTTTAGCTCCCTTTATTTGTAACACAGAACTGTGACTATTATCTATCGCATAGGAGACAATCCAGCCAACACACTTAGCACAGTGGCTGATGCCCGACATTATTGACTGCTTCTGTGCTATTATGATTGTCAGCAACAATTGCTAAGGTGTGGCCTTAGGATTTAGTCCAGTGACCACAAGCAGGAGGATTCTCCAGGACAAGAACAAATTTTACCAATTTTTAAGTGTAGTTTTGCTTTCCTCAATGACCATGTAAAGTAGGCTTTTGCAGTGAGCATCTGAGCTTCAGCTTTCTCCCAAGGGCATACGGCTCTGTTTAAGAGGCTAGCCAAATAAGCACACAGTAGACATGATTCTGATAACCAGAGTCAGAGGAAACCAATGAGGCACAAGCCTGGTTCAGGGGCATCTCAGCTCCTCTCATGGACAGATCCTAGCATCCAGCCACAGGAAGCCTTCTCTCCCCTGGGCCCACACATGTTACTCCTGACCCAGATTGTTGGGTCTGTCCTCGCCCCAGAATGTCCCATCAGCTCCTGGAATCTGCTGCCCAGCACGGGCAAAGCTTTTCCATTTGGGAGAAGGTAAAGACCACCCTCCCTAAGCTGCTGGGCAAGTAGCAGAGGTTCTGGCCAGAGCTCTGCAGAGTTTCAAGTAAAATAAATACCCATGTCCATGAGTCGATGAAATCACAAGGGGCATCTGGACCTTCACAGCCCAGTGCAGAGAATATTGGGGCAGCCACATCACAACCCAGCTCAAGGAATGAGGATGGAAGGCACAGAGCACAAGACAACGGACTTCTTCATGAGGATCAGAAACAGGTGCATGCATCCCAGCCTCTCTCCAACTCCTCCATCACCCCCTCCTGTTCCCCACCCTCAATGCCCCCTCTCCCTCCTGACCCTTGCTCTCAATGCCTCTCTAGGAGGCCCTGGAATTGCAGCTCCCTCTGAGCCCTGCCCCTCAAATGTTCTCAAGCTTGGCTCCTTCTCATCCACATGTCCCCGCCTCAGAGATGCCACTCCTCACCACACTGTCCCTGTCATTCTCCATCACTGACACCTGCTGATTCCCTGTGCAGAACTTAACTACGCTTGAGACTATCTTGTCTGTCTTGTTGACCACTGTATCCAGCACCTAGCACAGCAAATGGGGCAGAGAGAATGAATGAAATGACAAACAAAAGGAGGAACAGGGTGAAGTCAGGGCAGAGAGAGGAAAAAATGGAAAGGGTCAGTTGGGAGAGGGGGAGGGAAGAAGAGTTGGAGAAGGTGAAACAGAAAAGAAACTGCCTCTTTTATATCCTGGGTGGCCAGAGACTTTTTTATTTCTTATTCTCTTTCCTTTGGAGGCCTATGAAGGGATTACACAGGTTACACTCCATTCATTTCAAATTTACTTGCTCCAAGACTGAGGCCAGAAGAACCTGCCACCAGAAGATAGCCACCAGCTGCCCCTCACCACCTGTCACCAGAGCTGAGCTGCAGGTCATGAGCTGAGGCAGGACCCTGGAACTCCTCTCACAGATGGCTTGGTTCTAGCACCAAAGGAGTCTCAGCAATTAGTTTAATTTGTTGCATTTCTCTTTTTAATTCAGGAAATAGAAACGGACGAATTAGCTACACTTGTATGACTTTAATACCTGACAGCTTTGTAGCCATCACTTTTCCATCTAGGGCCTTCTGAGGCTCCTAAGTCTTAATAAAATAAAGAAATAAATAAAATCTTCAGAAGGAATGCAGAGAACATGGTGGGATGGGCATGAGATTAGGTGATGGACTACCGTGGTGCCAGGGTGCCGAGAGGAGGCTGTCTCACCAAGGGGCAGAAAACAGATGTGAGCCAGGCTGGCATCTAAGGAGGCCCCTGCAGGACCACAGAGAAATACTGCACAGGGAAGATGCAAGCTGTGTCTCTGCTAGATAAGGCCTTTCAAAGTACATCTTGGTAATTGAAAACAAAATGAATGTGGTATTGCTACAAGACAGGCAGTAACAAAATACAGTGCTCCATCCTGATAAGCCATGAGAAACGAAGTCTTCTAAAGGGGCAGAAGCGGGAAAGGCAGCGTATCGAAACAAATTCCCTTTGAGACCAAATTTATCTGTGCCACAGAATAGAGATGGTTATTGGGAATCCAAAAAAATTCCTGTCCTCACAAGCACAAAGCCTTCTGAAAATCCTGATCTGGAGGTGGGACAGCTGAATAGACTTGAGTCACCCCGTCTTTAACAACTCTCAGTCCCATATCCCCCTTCAGATATTTTCCTCTCTCATTGTCCTTTCACAGCCAACCTTCTTGAAGGAGTTGGTGGAGAAGTAGTACTGCTGATCATTGAGATAATGTACATGATCAGTACATGATCACAGAGATATGCTAAGTTGAGCAGAACACTTTTATGAGCCACCCTTCCCTTTGCATAGGCCCGTTTGGGGTATAGGGGGATTGCATCAATGGCTAGACAGTGACATAAGGGCTAGGACTGCTCCTGCTCAGCCATCTGTTTTGGATTTCATCCACTGTCACCAGCATTGTCTTGGAAGGACTCAATTCCACTCAAAGAAAACATCTTCAAAGCCCTGGACCAAACTGGACAAGATAACATCAGTAACTTTCCTCTAGCTTCACAAGGCAATGGGAAGGGGACAGAAGACATGGGGCTTAGGAGGACATAACAGTTATTGTGTCTTTATGAAATTTCATTTGCTGGGTTGGATTTATATAAGGGCTATCTGACCCAAGTGGAGCCAAGACTTCCAGTCTGTGAGCCAGGTGTTCTCTGCACTCCTTTCAATTATCTCAGGATTCCCAAACGTCCAGCCTGGGAGGCACAAGGCAGTGAGCTAGGTGCTGGTCTCCATCCAGTGTATAGCTACTGTCTTCACTGCCTCGCTTCCTCCCCTTGGCTTCCCTCCCTGTCACTCCACTTCACAAAACTGTTCTCACCAGAGGACCAATGACCTCCAGGCCATTAACTCCAAAGGCCACATCAACATCTTCATCTGGCCTGGCTCTCAGAGCCCCTTGGCCCCTGATCATGTCTCCCTCCCTCCTGAATGTGTTACTCCCTGTAGTTTCTGTGATATTGTGACATTGCCCCATCCAGTCCACGTCCCACCTCTCTGGCAGCTCCTTGGTCTCTTTGTAAACTCTCATCCCTCTTGTTATTCCTTATGCTTTGCTGTTCCTTGGGGTCCTGCCCTAGGTTATCCCTCTGTCCCACTCCCTGAAAGGATAATGCAGCATGCCGCCCACTCCATGGCTACAAATACCAGCCTCATGCTGACGACTCCCAGACATTTCTCTAGGCCCGACCTCAACCCTGAGCTCCAGGCTCATCTGTCAGCAGCCTGCTTCTCCTCCTCCCCAGGGTGATTCACTGGAAACAGAGCAGCAAGCTGGGGCCAGTGTTTACCTCATGCTTTCTCTTTCTGTGTTCATGTCTTCTTTCTACATTCCTTATCTAGTTAACAAAGCCAGAAACTTAGTCATTTAGAGTGTTGTCCTTTCTCTCCCCACATCTCAATTCACCCTTCTACCCTCTAGTTACCACTCCAATCAGACCCCTTCTCCAGCAACCTATCATAATTTCTCATCTATAGCAAATACCTCCTTACTGAGGTGTTCCTGGGTTCAAGCTTAATCTCCCTCCCATTTGCCATTGTTATCTACCCCCAACGCAACTGTAACTCATACATGTATGGAGTACCCAGCGTGTACCAGGCACTGTGCTGGGCACTATGGACACAACGGTACGCTCACTCTAGGCATGCTCCTGGTGGCTGTCACTGCTAAACAAGACAGGAACCATTAAAATTCAATATGTTAATAGGAGAAATCTGTGTATAGTTATGTGGGAGCCTAAAAAAGAGAATGATAAAGCTGTTCAGGTCACTTCCCCTCAGCAACTCTCAGTGATTTCCCTGCAGATGCCCTCAAAAAGCTACCAGTAGTGGTGTTCTGACACATGGAAGGGTTATGATCCATTATGAGATAGCCAAGTAATTAGTTAGCATAAATTAGTGGAAGTAACAATGGCTCAAGAACGGGAGTTTTTAGAAGGTTATCCTTCCACCCCTTGGAGCAAATATAAGGTTGTCTGATAAGAACACATCTCTTGCTTAGCAGCAGTGTAGAGAAGAGGAGTTACAATCCTATTAGGTGAGCATCAGCCCAGGCAAGTCCACAGGACATCCTGAGTCAGGTGAATCATGGCAGAAGAAAGGTTGGGAGCTCTTACTATGCTATCCAAGATCCCACGTATGTGGCCCCATTCTTCCCTATCTTACACCTGCCCCCAACTTGCCGCTTGCTCCAGCCACACGTGGCCACCACTTTCTGCCTATACAGCATATCTTATCTTATGGCGCTTTGCTTATTGAACTTCTCAGATCTTGCATTTTTTACTCATTGAAGGTTTGTGGCAACCTGAGTTGAGCAAGTCTATTGGCATCATTTTTCAAACAGCATGTGCTCACTTTGTGTCTCTGTGTCACATCTTGGTAATTCTTGAAATATTTTAAACTTTGTCATTATCATTATATGTATTAGGGTGCTCTGTGATCAGTGATCTTTGATGTTACTATTGTATTTGTCTTGGGGCACTATGAACCACATGTATATGAGATGGTGAACTTCATCAACAAATGTTTTATGTGTTCTGACTGGTCCGTTGACTGGCTCCTCCCCCATCTGTTTTCCTCTCCTCAGGCCTCCCTATTCTCTAAGATAAAACAATATTGAAATTCGGCCAATTAATAACACTACAATGGGCTGTAAGTGTTCAAGTGAAAGGAAAAGTCCAACATCTCTCACTTTAAATCAAAAGCTATAAATGATTAAACTTGGTGAAGAAAGCATGTCGAAAGCCGAGACAGGCTAAAAGCTAGGCATCTTGTGCCAAACATTTAGCCAAGTTGTGAATACAAAGGAAAAATGATTGAAGGAAATTAAAAGTGCTACTCCAGTGAACACACAAATTACAGAAAACCGAAACAGCCTTATTGCTGGTATAGAGAAAGTTTCAGTGCTCTAGATAGAAAATCAAACCAGTCAAAACCTTCCTTAAGCCAAAACCTAGTCCAGAGCAAGGCCCTAATTCTCTTCAATTCTTTGAAGGCTGAGAAAGATGAGGACATTTCAAAAGAAAAGTTTGAAGCTAGCAGATATTGGTTCATGAAGTTTAAAGAAAGAAGCCATCTCCATAACACAAAAGTGCAAGGTGAAGCAACAAGTGGTGATGGAGAAGCTGCAAGTTATCCAGAAGATCTAGCTAAGAGAATTGGTGAAGGTGGCTACACTCAACAGCAGATTTTCAATGCAGGCAAAACAACTTTCTATTGGAAGAAGAAGCCATGTTGGACTTTCATAGCTAGAAAGGAGAAGTCAATGCCTGGCTTCCAAGCTTCAAAGGACAGGCTGACCCTCTCATTAGGAGCCAATGCAGCTGGTAACTTTAAGTTGAAGCCAGTGCTCATTTACCATTCCAGAAATCATAGGGCCTTTAGGAATGACACTAAAGCTACTCTGCCTGTACTCTAAAAATGGAACAACGAAGCTCAGATGACAGCACATCTGTTTACAGCATGGTTTACTATGTATATTAAACTCACGGTTACGATACCTACCACTCAGAAAAAAAGATCCCTTTGAAATAATACTGCTCATTCACAATGCATCTGGTCATTCAAGAGCTCTGATGAAAATATATAGGAGATTAATGTTGTGTTCAGGTCTGCTAATACAACACCCTTTTTGTAGGCCACGGATCAAGAGGTAATTTGACTTTCAAGCCTTATTATTTAAGAAATATATTTCATAAGGCTATAGTTACCATAGATATTGATTCTCCTGATGGATCTGGGCAAAGTAAATTGAAAACCTTCCGAAAATGATTCATAAGTCTATATGCCATTAAATACATTAGTGATTTACGGGAGGAAGTAAAAATACCAACATTAACAGATATTTGGAAGAAGTTGACTCTAATGCTCATGGGCGACTTTGAGGGGTACAAGACTTCATAATAGGAAGTAACTACAGATGTGGAGGAAATAGCAAGAGAACTAGAAGTGCAGCCTGAAGATGTGGCTGAATTACTATAATTTCTTAATAAAACTTGAACAGATGAGGAGTTGCTTCCTATGGATGAGAAAAGAAAGTGGTTTATTGAGATGGAATCTACTGCTGGTGAAGAGGCTGTGAGCATTGTTGAAATGATCACGAAGAATTTAGAATATTCCATAAACTTAGTTGATTAAACAATAGCAGAGTTTGAGAGGATTGACTAATTTTGAAAGAAGTTCTACTGTGGGTAAAACGCCATGAAACAGCACAGCATGCTACAGAGAATTCTTTTGTGAAAGAGTCAATCAATGTAGCAAACTTCATTGTTGTATTATTTTTAAAATCTGCCACAGCCACCCCAACATTTAGCAACCACCAATCTGATCAGTCAGCAGCCATCAACACTGAAGCAAGACCCTCCACTAGCAAAAAGACAATGACTCTCTGAAGGTTCAGATGATGGTTAGCATTTTTTAGCAATAAAATATTTTTAAATTAAGGTATGTACATTGATTTTTAAGATATAATCCTACTGCTTGGAATAGTGTAAATATAACTTTTATATGCACTGGGAAGTAAAAAATGTGTGTGACTCACTTTATTGCAATATTCACTTTAGTGGAATGGTTTGGAACCAAACCCACAGTATCTCTAAGGTATGCCTGTACTCTGTGCTCCCTAAACTTTGGAATCTTTGTCATACTGTTCTCCCTCTCCTGAAATCCTTTTCCCACCCTGTCTACCAGCCTTCAGGTCCTTCAGGTCACATGTCACATTTCAGGAAAGCTTGACAAACCACTTGCCTCCCCAGAGCTCCTTTTCATCTGCAGCCTTCCTTCCCATTCCTCCAAGAGACTGAGGTCAAGATGGAGCAGGGCTGCTGTCTAATCCAGACACTGGCAATGAATACAGGTCTATGTATATTTTCTGAGCAAACCAAGGAGAACTCATTTTGAGGTCCACCTGTTTCAGAGCCTTAGGAAATAAGCCTGTCCCAGACAAGGAGAAGCAAGCCTTGAAAGACCTTCCTGTCAGTGTCTACCCTTTGTATCTGGGGATACAGAATGTTCCTGGCTGTCTTCTATTCTCTTCTCCATTAATTCTTCTGTCTTATTTTCCCAGCTAGAAGCTACAGAGGGCCAGAAACAACAGGATATGGGAGAAAGAAGATTCTAACTCTTCTTGGCTGGGATCTTGAGCAAGTTACTTAACCTCTCTGAGTGTTTCCTCTTCTGAAAAATGAGAAACATAAAACATCCCCTCACATGGGTTTTATGAAGAATAAATAAGTTAACACACAGCTTTCAAAGCCCAGAGTAAGTCCTTAGTTAATATGTATCTAACTAATCTTCTCCATTCTCTTTTTTCATAATCTTTGCTAAGCAAACCACAGGATCTCATACCACTGGTTTCCAGAGAAGGCCTGCTGTATGATGGAAATTCTGTATCAGTAGACTCTAAGACACAAACCGTACTCTAGGGTTTAGCTAAGAAGTCTAATGTACTTGGACTTTGAACATAAAAACTTTTGTTTGAAATAAAGTAGATTTCATCCAGTACCTCAAAACCTTCGCATGAATCATAAATTTCTTTTTCAAAACTGCAGTATGTGACCTGTAGTATCAATAGATCAATCATACTTTCCAAATTACAGACAATATCAGTGGCCCATCAGGTAAAACAGGCTTGGAGCTATTTTTTCATAATAGAAAATGGCACATTCTATGTGCCATGTACACCACTGATGACCTTCACTGCCTTTGGCCAAGGTCACTGGAGACGTTAATGTGTGGGGAATAATTTGAAACAATACCTAAAGTCTACTAGTCTTAAAACTAAGGTGCTCAGCTCCAGAAAATTCCCAATGTCTGCATTCTACTTTCCAACAAACTCACCATCTGTCCTTGCGGAAAAGATACAGGAAACAAATAATGAAAAAGTAAGCAGTATGAAAAACAAGCGGCCAGGCGCAGTGGCCGGGTGCAGTGGCTCACACCTGTAATCCTAACACTTTGGGAGGCTGAGGTACGTGGATTGCCTAAGCTCAGGAGTTCAAGACCAGCCTAGTCAACACAGTGAAACCTCGTATCTACTAAAATACAAAAAAAAATTAGCTGGGCGTGGCGGCGTGCACCTGTAGTCCCAGCTACTCGGGAGGCTGAGGCAGGAGAATTGCTTGAACCCGGGAGGTGGAGGTTGAGCCGAGATCACACCACTGCACTCCAGCCTGGGTGACAGAGCAAGACTCTGTCTCAAAAAAAAAAAAAAAAAAAAAAAGAAAAGGAAAACAAGCTCAGAGAGTCTCCTTCCCAGGGCTGTGTGCTGCATGGAGAGACGGAGGGAGGAATGAGTTGTGCAGGAGAGCCTCACACACATGAAAGCCTGGCAAATACCCAGCTCCCAAGACCTGAAGTTCAACACGGCAGAGTCGTGTTATTTGTTAGTCACACACCAAATCCCAGCCACTGCTAGGTGGGAATAAGGAAAGGCATGGAGTTAGCTTACATTAGAAGGATTTTTCCCACTCCTGAGACTGCCTCCCTGGCATCTGCCTGTGTGGGCTGTGCAGTCCCTAGCATGGGCAGGGGCAAACAAGGCCACACTTCCTGCACAGCCTCCTAACCAGGGCACTGAAGGGTTGTAAACAAAGGAGAAACATGATGTGATTCATACTTTGCAAAGATGACACACTATCTATCAACAGAAAGATGGACAAATAAATCATTCTGTACACAATAGACTATGGCCCAGCAGCTAAAGTGAATGAGCTAGAACTGCATGAACCAACAACACGGAAAAACCTCAAGACTATGTCAAGGAAAAAAACAGTGTGATACCATTTGTACGGGGTTTAATATGTGCAAAATAATAGTATGTAATGTTTACTTACAGATCATAGTAAAAACATACACATGGGCATGAAAAATACCAAATTCAGAATTGTAATTACTTCTAGGGAGGCAAGGAGAGAACGAGATCTGGGAAAGATATACTAGGGTCCTCACTGACAAATCTCTGATGTTTTGTTTTTGTAAGTAAAAGCTCTGAAGCTGATAGGGCTGTATTAATGCTGGTAGGTAGATACAAAGTTGCATTTTTAAACAGAGAAGAAAGTATCACCCTGATGTTTGTGTGGCAAAGACTCTGGAGGGGAAGGGGAAAGACTGGAAGAAGTATACCAATTAGGAGACTGCTGCAACTAGGAGGTTTAAGAGGGTCATGTTAAACTAGGAGATCCTAAGAGGTAGAGGAAGGGGTAGACCAATTAGGAGGTTGCTGCAATTAGGAGGTCCAGGCAAGAGACAGTGAGAAGTGAAGAAACCTGGGATATGCCTGGGAGGTGACCCAAAGCCTTGGGGATTGACTGGGACGTTAAGGGGAGGTAGAAAGTGATGGAAGGGGAGAAGGAATTTTGATGTCCAGTTTTCTAGCTATAGTAACTGGGTGATGGAGGCCCTGGAGCAGGCAGAAAGCAGTGGAGAAGAAACATACAGACATTCCAGGGATAGATCAGAACCAACCACCCCCAGCACCATTCTCTAGCAAATTAAGTGAGATACAGAAATCTCCACAGACTCATAATGGGCAGTCACCATAGAATATCACGAGAATTATAAGTCATGCTTGGTGTCCGCCTCTGATGAAATAACCTAATTAAAGAAGGGATGGAAAGGGTAGAGCTGAAGCCCCAAGTAAAGCAGCCAGCCCTTGCTTCATTCTGCCCTCAAACCTTTGGGTACAACTAGCAGAGAAAAATGAGAGGTCTGAATGGTGTCCATGAATACTTGATAGCTCAATATAGCTTTGGGGGTGCAAATGGCTAAGAAACATGAACAGCGTCTGGCTGCCCCAGAGAAGTTACATTAGCGGTAATAACATGGAGGGCTATAGGTACAGGGTGCCGGTAATTTATTTCCCCTTTAAGGATATGTTAGGAAAGGCAGATTTAATAGTGTGGAAATTAGAATGGGTGAGAGATGACGTGGCAATCATGTAGGTAACCTATCAGGCTACCCTAGCCCCAAAATGGCTGGGGTCAGCTCTCCTCCCCTAGAGGCAGCTCTGAAGCCCTCTGAACAGCTTCTTCCCTTCGCCCTAAGAAAAAATATTGCACACCTCACTCTGTTGGGCAGAATGGCGAAGCATTTAATTGCTTATTTAATTCCTGGGCTGCTGGCAGAAGGCAGGGAGAGCCTGGGCCAGCCACTCCAAACAGTATCACCCACAGGTGGAAAAAGAGATGGCTACAATAGCAACTTTTCTTCCTTCATGCTTTGCAGATTCAATAGCTCATCATGAGGGGACAGAGTAGCATGGTGGTCTTGATCACTTTTGTTAATGAGGTATTGACTGTGCTGGGGCCAGGGCATTAGTCAAAGAAGTGAAAGAGCGTTTCAGGGAAAGGGAACAGCTCGTACAAGGGCGCAGGAGTGAGAGAACATGCAGCCTGTTAGCTGAACTGCAGCAATTCAGTTTCCTCAAAGCAGAGTGGCGGGTGGAAAGTGCCAAGAGCTGAGGGTGGGGGGCCAGGCAAGAGCACTGGTCTTTGCTTTCTCAGGACTCGGCCCTGTGCCACGCTATGCTGGGCAGATAGAAGGACGACATGGAAAGCCCTGCCCTCTAGGAGCTGACAGAGCACAGCCAAGTCTTCCTCCCCTCCTCCAACATCCTCCTCTTTCCCGGGCACCAGACTCCTGCTTCCCATACCAGGCCCCACCTGATTTCCTTCTAGGAGGGCAGTGATCACCCCGTGGCTCCACCCTCTACCCCAGAGCATTCAGTGAGCACTCTCCTCTCCAGGTCCACGAAGACTCAGTGAAAGCTCCCATCTGAGCCTCCCATAAGCACCAGCCCTGAGCCGGCAGCTACAAGCCCATTTCTGGTCAGAGCCTTCAGATAAAGGATGCCATCACCATGCACAGTACCACAAAGGACCCTGGTCCTGTCTGGTCAGGCTCCACAGGTTTAACCACAATGAAAACAACGTGCTGAGAGCAGCCACTCTCTCTCTTCAATGTGGTTCTGATTCCCTCCACATCCAACACGTGAGTGAGGGAGAAAGACCAACCAGGCCCCCAATCCCTAATTAAATTCACCACACGGCAAAGGGGTCATCCATCACTTCTTTTGTTTTCTTCTCACTCTAACAATGTAAAATGACCCTCTTAAACCAAACTAAATAAGCTCGTTTGGCCTGTCCTTTTAATGCCCCTTCATTGAAAGCATAGCCAACATATGTAGACAGGTTTCCAACTCCCTCTACTCGCTTCCACTTTGTTTCTCTTTCCAACTTTTAGGAGCCTCTGCCTATTTAGTGGTTTGGCTTCCAGGAAGGCCTCTCTCACAGATACTCACCTGCCACTTTGCCTTGATGGGCAGTGGGCAGTTCACCAGAATCTCATAGACATTTACGAAGATAATTTTAGGGCTGTGGTTTTGCTTAACATTAATTGTTTTTTGAAGATATCTTAACAAAGCATGCAGGCAGCCATAAAATGAGTTCTGAGTTCCAGCGCTGACATCATTACTGCCTCACTAAGCAGAGGAAGATGTGGGAGCTGGGGCAGTGGATGAAGGATGGGGCTTAGGCATGACGGCCACCCTATTTGGCCACAGGCTACAGTAGGCCAGCCTTGAGCTTGGACTGCTGCCAATGTGCATGGCATGATGTGAGGGTGGCCCACAGCTCCAGATTTGGAAACTTTATGTCAGTCATCACCCAGACTACCTACTCCAAGGCAGGTGACTCAGCCCAGGCAGGCTCCTGCAGCAGGAAATGCAAAGATAGGTATGAGTACATGACTGGTTGGCAGCACCAGGGAAACATCCCTCCAGGATGGCTGGAATAGGCTGGGCCAAGCCAGGGATGCAGATGCCAGCCCTCTGGGTAGTAGTAAATATGCAGAATTGTGTGCACCCCACAAGTCTCTTAGAGCTACTGTCACAAAGTATGGCCCCCAGAGTCACTAAGATACCTCATCCTGGGCATGTGGAAGACTGAAAGAGAAGAGAATAACTCTCTCAGGCCACCCAAGAGCACCAGTCAATCAAATTAGCATCTACCATGTGCCCAGGGCAATGCGAAATGCTGTGAAGGATCTCAAGAAATAGAAGACCCACTTTTGCTACCCATTACCTCATAGATCATTGCCTCAGGCCCTCTGACACCCCTCACCTATTCTGAGTCCATCTACGTGCCACCATCTCCAGCACCAGCTCCTTTCTAGTGCAACCTAAGACTAATGTACAGCAACAGTCTCCCAACTGCAGACTCCAAACCCCAGCTCTCCCTGCCCAAACCATTCCCCACATGGCAGCCAGAGAGCACTTTTCATAACATAAATCTGTCGCCTAGCCCTCTGCATCTGCCTGAAAACCTTTCGGTGGGTTCCCATTGCTGCTAGGATGAGGACAGTACTCCACAAGGTGCATGGCCCTGGGCCATCTGGCTTCAGCTGGTCCCTCTGTGGCATCTCACCAGGCTTTCCTTACTCTCTGCAAGTGGTCTTCTTTGACCCCCTCCCATCCACTGCCTTCCATCACAGAGTATTTAAACATGTGATGCCACTGGCTGCAATGCTATTCCTTCTCTGCTTTAACCTATTTAGCTCCTTCAAGTCTCAGCTCGAATGCCACTTCCTCAAGGAAGCATTCCCTGACTGCCTCCAACTATATCAGATCTTGCTTTTATAAACTTCTGGAGCACTGTGTGCCTCTACTTGACACATATCACTGTTTAAAATTTACATTTATTTATGTGATCATTTGGTTAATGTTTCCCACTGAACTATAAGCTCCTGGAGGGCAAGAATTGTGCTTGTCTTTATCATCATGTGACCAGTACTCTTCAGGGTGCCCCCTGCACAATATGAGCTTAGTAAATATTTGTTGAATCAGAAAATCCTGGCATCAAAGGGCTTGCAATAGCTGGTCTAGTTTCATGAGAGGATCCATATCTAGCTTCAATTAAATTGACATTCAGCAAAGAAAATAACCTAGTCACCCCGGAGCTGTTGAAGAAATCCAGGCAAAGAGGTTGACCAAAGTCCCCTATGTGCCAGGATACCCACCTGAGGACCATCACCTTAATCTTGACAACACGATCAGGATCTTACACTCTTTGGATGACTGTGGAGGCTCACTGATTCTGCGAAGACTCCAGAATTCATTTAGACATGAATCTCTGCATTCATACAACCAAAACCTGCTCTGGAACTCATATGTCCAGGAGCTTCAGGGCCCTCTCACATCAGAACAAATGACTGTCCTGAGTAAGCTGCTGGCACCTGCTTGTTTTGCACCATTAAAAAGATGTGGCTGAGGAAGATCGAGATACTCTGGGAGATGAGGGATGAGGGAGCAGAACTATGAATTCTGCTTTGAAAGGAAGCAGAACTATGAATTCCAGCTCTGCAGTGCACTGGCTATGTGACCGTGGACAAGTCACTGTGCCACTCTGGGCCAGTTTTCCCATGCACAACAAGGTCAGGTTAAGAATCACAATATCTACCTGCCAAGGCTGCATGAGGATTAAATAAGATAATGTGTGTGACATGCCTGCCACAGGAAATTCAAATTCTAGTTTCCATTAGAAGAGAAAAATCTTCATACTAAGAATAAAATTTGGTAACACATTGTATTCCTTTAAAAATTTTTTTAAGTTTCTTTTTTTCTGATTCATCACAGTAATACATTTTAATTGAGACGTAATGTGGAATAGGAGATAAGAAGCCATTAAATGGGTTCAAATCTAGTTCCACTTCCTAACAGCTGTTTGACCATGGGCAAGTTACTTACCTACCAGAGTTCAGTCTCTACATTTACTAAATGGCTATGATAGTATTTCCCAATTTATATCCTAGTTGTAGAAATTAAACAAGACAATCTATATAAAGTACCTGATACAGTGCCTGACACACTGTGAGGACTAAGTAAATATTACAATCATCCTCCTCACTGCTACTGGTAAAACTTCTTAAAGTCAGAATTGTACAAAAATAAGAAAGGCAAATAATTTGTAATACCACCCCCCTATAGACATAATAGAGTGTTTTTTTCGTTATATTGACATCAGTATTTTTCTGTTATGAAATTGGGGTCATGTGATATAAACTTTGTCATATTCTGACCTTTTCACTTTTTTATGTCATAATTGTTGTTTAAAAACAAATGTAAAAAAGTTTCACATATTCTATTCTATAAAAGTATCAAAATTAATCCATCATAACAGTTCACCAACAAATGTTTCATTAAATGTTGGTTTTATAAATAATGCTGCAATGAATGCATTTCTGCATATGTCCTTGTCCTAATTTCATTTCCTTAGAAGAGACTCTGAAAGGATAAATTACTGTTTAACAAAACATATGTATTTTTTAAAATTCTCAATATATGGCTAACTGCTTTCCAGAATTTATACCTCCATGCTTTCTAGCATAGTGCTTGCCATATTGACGGGCTGGATAAACAGCTATCAAAGGGAGAAAGGAAAGTAAGCACTATCTTTTCAAAAAATACTGGCTAATAACAGAAAGATTGTTTCTTGTTGCATTTTTCACTTCTTTGAATGCTAATGAAGTTAAACTTTTTCATGCTAATTGTTTATCTACAGTCTACGAAATTTTTTGCTCATCTCTGTCTATTTACTAGTAAGACTTTAATACTTTTATTAATTTGTAAATGCTTTTTATATAGTATGGCTAGCATCTCCTTGACTTATTTGTGGCAACGTTTTTCTTAATTTGATTGGCGTGTTGTTTGATTTTTGACAGGTTTTAATTTTAGTGTATCCAAACTTGTTTTAAGATTATTGTCTTTATGGTTAGATGAAAACTCAACCATGTCTTCTATTACGTGTTCTAAATTTTTATACATAACTCTTCTGAATAAATACTAAACGACTGAATAAATGTATTTTGGTGGGTAGCATGGAATGCTACGTTAAAGCATTTGCAAAATCTACCTTAAAGTATCTGCAAAATCTCCCAGCACCATCAAGAGAACAATCCTTTATGTGATGCTGCCATAACCGTTTGTCAAAGACCTACCAATGACTATCAGGATTTATTTATGACTTGTGGATTCTAGTTCACTGTTCTGTCCATTAACTTTTTCACTGTTTACTGAGCTTTTAAGGAGGAAAAATTCATCTTCCTCAGAGTCTGAGTCAGTGGATTCTGTCACATTGTGACCCAGGAGAACACAGGGTGCTGCCACCTTATTGCGATGACAGCCACCTGTCTTAGAACCAGCCCACACGTTGACACAATGAACCCTGTGTTCAGAAGAACATGGCATCAGTCTGACACATGCCTCCAATATCATCAATACCACTCAGGCCAGCAATGACCCTCCTTCACCTCATGGATTCCCATCTCAGCTGTGGTTTTTGTTCTCTGCGTAGTTTCTCTTAAGTTCGGGCTGGTTAGAAAAGAGCCTCCTGGGTTGCATGAGTCACAACAGACCTAGTTTTGAGCACAAAGTTGACGAGGATGGTGCTCACCTCTCTGTGGCCGCTACTGAAACCTCATGAGCTCTGAGTCCTTGCTTTACCTGACCCATCAGCTGCATTAAACCCCAATGATCTCCTCCTCCTCCTTGAACATTTATTTTGCTTCTAGGACACCACATTCTCATGAGTTTCCTCCCCCTTTCGAGCAATTTCCTCTCAGCCTCTTCTTCTACTGTCTTCTCATTTTTCCAACTTCAGAATGTCAGAGAACCCAGTTTTTAGTCATTAGGCCCCTGCTTCTCTGCCTAGGTGATGCATCTCATGGTGCTAAATACCAACTACAAGCTGATGACTCCCAAAGCTTTTACATGCCCAACCTGGGTCCCTCCCCTGACATTCAGACCACTAGACTCAACCATCAACACAGAAGCCTCTAACGCATCCTGATATGAACACCCATCCTTCCCTGAAAATCAGCACTTCCTGCTGCCAGCCCCCTCTAGACTCCAGCAGCAAACTCACCAAAACATAGCCAGAACTCAGCAGCATCTTCTCGCCTCTGGCATCACCACTCTGGCCCAAGCCCCTAGTGCCCTGAGCCTGCGCTAGAGCAGCAGCCTCTAAGTGGTCTCCCTGCTTCTTCCATTTAGTCTGTGATCCCATGATATCACTCAAAGTGAAGAGTCCTTCTGTATTAGTCATGGCCCCATGGCTTCTCTGTTTTCATTGTCAAATATTTTCCACCCCCTCCACCCTCCACCAGATGTCCCTGTGATTCCTCAGACAGGCCAGATGCACCCTTTTGGGCCTCCGAACCTGCTGCTTCCCTCTCCCCAATGTCCCTGCCTCCTCACTTCATTCTAGTCTTTGCTCATTGGCAGCTTCTCAGTGAGGCCTTTCCCTGGCCCCATCTGAAATATCAAACCTCCTAAAATGAATAAAAAATAAAATGTCAACTCCTCACTTTATACCCCCACTTCCCTGCCTTACTTTTTCTCCTTGACACTTACACTACCAGACTCTGTGTTTTACTGATTTAGCCTGATTGCTGGCTGTCTCCCTCACCAGCATCTATGCTCCAGAAAGGCAGGCATTCCTGTCGGTTTACTGTTGCTAGAACAGTGTTTGGCACATAATAGGTAGGTACTTACTATTCATTCAGTGAATGGGAGTAAATGGATGAATTTACAAATTTGAATCCCTCTTTTTTTCAATTTTAATTTTTTTATTTCCATTTTTTATTTTAAGTTCTGTGATACATGTGCTGAATGTGCAGGTTACATAGGTATACATGTGCCATGGTGGTTTGCTGCACCTATTAACCCACCATCTAGTTTTAAGCCCCTCATGCATTAGGTATTTGTTGGAATCCCTCTTCTATAAACAAGGAAACTGAGGCTTTGAGTAGTTTAAAAACCTCCTGAGGTTGGAATTGGAACCCAGAGCCGATTCTAGAATAAGTCTTCTGTTAATGACACTGTGAGTATGAATTGAAAAGTTGGGCCAGTGACACTGTGAATAGACCCTGATGTACTTAGCAAGCCCCACTCTGTTTTACAACACAGCCGGGGATTTGTCCACTGGCATCTTTAGAATGTGGTTTTCTTGGGGAAAGAAAATAACAACAAAAAGGAAACAATACAGACATCAAGGCAACTGTCCTGTTGAGTTGTCCCAGGAAGGGAAAGGCATCAGCAAGACAATGTCTCACATTGAGTGAAGGATCTGATTGACAGAAAAGGAGAGGAATTAATTCATCAGAACAAAAGAGACCAGAAGGACTGGACCAGCAGAGAAGCATGCTGCCCATCTAGGGGCTCCATGGATGGAATGTTGATTACAAAACAAAACAGTCCTAATAAGATTACAGCTGATAATGAATCCACTACAAAACTCTGGAACGATGTTAGGATTTTAATAAGCATCCCCCAAAGACCATTCAGTCAATTTCACAAATACCCATTCTCATCACTTAATTCTAGTGGGGGAGAAGGACTGCTCTACCTACCTGTTTCCAAATTAATAATGTGCTTCATTCCTGTTATGCTTCAGAAACAAAGCCACCGTAACATTTCCAGCTGTTTGGGGAAGAATTTTAATATTCTCAATGCTAATATAAACAGAACCTTATTAACTAAGTCCCAGAGATGCCCCGTTTGGGATGTAATCCAAGCCCTGGTACCAATGCCAACGTTAACATTTGAAAATACCTCATGTGCATACTTCATTTGAACAATTACAGCAATATAAGCTTTCCTCTAGAAAAATGGAAAGAAAAAGCAAAGATAATGCTGCACCACACTGAGAAAGACTGCTTAATCCCAACTTGGATAATGGCTACAGTAAACGGTACACACTGTCTCTTCTTCATCATTTTCATACCAATACTCTATCAACTCTGAGGGGCCTATACTAAAAATACACCCAGCTCTATTCCATGCAGGGGAAAATAAAATGAGAAAACAAAACCCATGAGACTTAAATGCACATTGAAACTGCACCCCAGCAAGCCACACAACTCTCAGTCCAACCGAGGCCCAGATGTGGCACTGGTACCAAGTCTCCCAGCCCACTAGCTTTGCAGCCTGTGCCTGAACATTCCAACCTACAGGGGTGCTCAAGCCTGCTAAGGAACAATACGTGGCCAACCATCTGAGCAGAGCATGGGCTTTGCATCATTGGATGCAATCATTTCCCAATCATACTGATCCCATTCTTATGACTCGGCCTCTAGGGACATCCCAGACTCATGTAGCTGTAGCAAATCCTCACCACTTCCAATCCCAACACAGGAAAGGCTATGAATAGAATGATGAAAAGGAAAAACTGAAAGAAAGAAGTCATGGGGGAAGGTATGGTTTGTCTACTTGTTCAAAATCTGGACAAAACACTTGCTTGTGAATATACTGCTAATACACAATTTTTTGAATGTTTTTCTTGTGTTGGAAATAGAAACCCAGAAGGTTTCATGCAACATGACAAACCAGAAAAGCCAGACTAATGCCCAGGACAAGCTGGTATTCCACTCCATTTGAGACCTGGTTTTATCCATCCTGATATAGTTGTATGCAGGAATGTACATACACAAATGTACATGATATCAATTTTTGGTGTTCCCAGCATGTATAAATGCCTCCAGGAGAACCAATGAGTAAAAATTGTGTTGAACAGCCCTTAGAGGCTTTCAGTTCAAAAGTCATTTCCTCAGTTTGTAAATGAATTAGTTAGGTGTTCACAGGCTGAAACAGCTCCTTCACTTGAGGAACTCTGATTTGAAAAGGAAAATAACAGCAAAGCATTCTTTTCCTGGAATTAAAAATCAGGTCACAGTAAACTCAAAAATAACTTTGTAAAGGCTAAGGATGGGAATAGAAGAGTTCTTCTATAAATAATCACTAGCATCCATATTCATTGTAAGCCTTTTAAACTCGCTGGACAAGTAGCTTCAGAAAATCTGTGGCTGATCTGAATATGTTACTTTAAGAACATCATACATATTCACGTCCTTGTTGCATTCTAATCAACAAATCAAAGCACTCGACTAATTAAATGTTGATTGCTTGTTGCACAAAGGTGAAAGTCAACCTTCTTAGCCAAGGTTTGGGTTATTCTAACAAATGATGATAGTTCAGCTTTTTCAAGCCATTTTGTGCTTAATGAGTACATTACCCTTAATGAAACTTCATTTAGGCTAATGATTACCTTGGTTTACCAAGTAACTAACTGATGACAGCCTGTCTTTTAATGCTCTAAATGTGGTAACTGACACCATGGACATGAGTAATAGATTTCAAATACTTTTCTGTGCTTGGCCATTGGCAGTCAACAGATGATCTAGTGTGTCCCAGCGCCCAGGTGATGAGCTCAGCCTCATCATCGAGGGAAAAAGTGGCACCTGATATGAGATCTTCACTGATAAGGTTCACGAGAGCTTCAGCATCACCACCCAGGTGTGATGAGAACATTTCCCCAAATTAGGGTGGCAAGGTTAAAGACATGTCACTCATCTCATGAAGTGAAAAAGGCGATGAATGGCTCCAGGCCTAAGCAGCTTATCATTAACTCCCTGGGGAAGTCCCAGGGAGCTGCTTCTAATTACCAATGTTCACTATATGATTTCCTTATCATTACTGCTATTTACACTTTTTTTCTTAGGATGACATTACCATGTTTACCTGAAGGGTAATGTGTGCTTTAGCTAAATGAGAAAATCATCTTCTCTCTATAATCCTCGAGAACTTGGCATACGGGGCCACGTAAATGAATTTAAAGTATCTCACCAAGTCATCAACAGAAGTTATTTGCTTTATCCGGCTTACAACTTTTTGATTTATAGGGTGCTTTCTAACGTTGCACATGTAAACAAGAAACTACTTAGATCAGGAGCAATGTCACTCTTGCATAACTGTCTCTACTTCATCAATTAATCAAGCTGATTGGAGGACATTATGGAAAATCCCTCTTAAGTAATGTGGATTAGCAATGTAGATGTGCCACCACTTCCAAAGGGAGGGGAAAAGTTGAATTCTCCCTAAACGTGGAATGTTGGCAACACACAGAGTAACTCTGGATAGTGGATATGCGCTGGGGCTCTGGATTCTGACAGATCTGGATTTGTCCTGTACTCTGCATTTGCTTGGTGGCCTTGGGCTGGTTATCCAACCAGCTCTAGCCTTGTTTTACTCCTCTGTAACGTGGAAATAACTACTCCTAACTCTTGGTCTGTTATGAGGCATCAATCAATATCATGCCTACAAAGTCTTTAGCCCTGGCTTAATAAATGTTAGATGCTAATATTATTTTTTTATTTTGTTCAGAATATTTGTAGTGATATTAAGCCAGTAGCAAAACAGCTTAAAAATAGAAGACAGTTTTGTAAACCTGATGGAACAAAACCTAAAATGCTTCATGCATCCCCACTCTGTGTCTGGGAGAGCGCACTGTCTCAGCAGAAATGACTCAGCTCTGATGGAAAACTGAGGCAGCAGATTGGAAAGAGGGAAACATATCAGTTGGTTTCTAGGACCCTTCAATAAATGGCACCCTCCCCCACCTAATAGTAAAGGTAGAAATCTAAGAGCCAACCTTAAATTCACCTCATTTCTCTCATTCCCTTTGTTCAGCCCATCACCCTGTACCATAGATTCTACCTCTAAAACATACTCCCAAGACTCCCCCTCCTCTCTTGCACTTCTAGCACTTACCCCTAGGGCAAGCTGCAATATTACAAGCAGCTTGTAACTGACCTTCCCACTTCCAACCCCACCAAATGCAGTCTCCATCCAACAGCCAGACTTGTCTGCTTCAAACCCTTGAGCAGCTTCATCCTGCCTTTGGAATAAGGTCCATATCCGAATTGACCTCCACTGACCCCTGCAATCTCATATCCCGCTCTTTTCCCCTCACTGTATATACCCTAGAAGCACTCGCCTCTGCTTCTCGAGCATGCTTAGCTTGTTCCCACCTCAAGGCCATGTGCAAGTTGTTTCGTCTGCATGAAAGGCCAACTCCACCACCCTTTGCTTGGCTGGCTCCCTCTTTGTCAAGATCCAGCTAAAAGATTTTCTCCTAAGAAGTGATAATCCCAATGACTCCAAAGAAGATGATTTATTC
Source organism: Homo sapiens (assembly GCF_000001405.40). Lineage (NCBI taxonomy): Eukaryota > Metazoa > Chordata > Mammalia > Primates > Hominidae > Homo > Homo sapiens. Next base: position 137,205,043 of record NC_000005.10, read on the forward strand.
CCTATCACCGTACGCCATTTGTTTCTTTACAAGTTTGCTGAAGTTGATGCTCCTTTTGCTTGTTTACCAGTTGATCTCCCCACTAGACTATAGGCTTCACAAGAGCAAGTTCATTCACTGCCATGTTGTCACTGTGTAGCACAGAATTTGGCATGGTACTTGGTAAGAATGAATTATTCAAGCGCTGTCAAGGAGTAAAGTGAGATGTGGATGTTTCTCTACATGGTTTCAGAATGAAAAGAAAAGCCATGAATGGGAAATATGAGGCAGCCTATTGCACGTCAGTGAAAGGAAGCTGTCGTGCTCTCTAAAGAGCTGTGTGCCCTGTGGGTAGTGAGTTTCCTAGGCCTGAGAATGTTCAAGCAGGGACAAGTCAACAGTTTACAGGAAATGAATAATTGGACTACACAACCTGGTAGGTGGCTTTCACCCTATGACTCCATGAGATGAAAAAGGCTCTGCTCTTGGCAGTGATGAATTGTCTGAGTCGGGTGGCAGGAAAGGAGACAGTGGAACTATGCACTTGGGATGCAGTGGCTCTCCCAGCTGCTGCTGTGATTGCAGATGTCCCTGTGACCTCGGATCCTGAAACATGCCTCTTGGACTCAGTTTTAGAGAAGATGCATGATCAAGTCACAGCCACCACTGAAGGTCAAACAACATTTCTTACTTGTTACAAACAGACTGAAGAGCATCTCTGTGCCATAATAGCCTGAGCTGGTCACTGGGGAGAGAAACAGTGGAATTAAAGAAAAAAGGAACATCTAACTGAGTTTTGCATAGCACTTACATGTACTCGGCACAGTTCCAAGCACTCTGTATAAATTAATTCATCTAGTCCTCACCAAAGCCCTATGAGAAAGACCCTATCATTGCCACCACTGAACGGATGAGAACATTTAGACACAAAGAGAGGTCAACATATAATGCCCAAGGTCAAATATCTACAATGGCAAAGCCAGGGTGAGAAGCCAGGCAGGCAGATCAGAAAACACACTGGTAACCCTCACACTATCCTGCAGCACAACGACTCAAAAGCAAGATTCAATATGTATCATTCTTTACAATTCCTCTACAAGAACCATTAGCTGTGCTCAAAAACCTACTTAACATCCTTGTTAAGGCTGCCACACTGGGCTGGATTCCAAGAAGCCAATAATAACCCCTAAGTGGAAGCATACTTAAGTTTAGGTTAAAGAAAAGGGCTTCTGAGAGTGCAAACACAAAGCCACAGAGTGGCCTGAGAATTCCCTCCAAGCCTCTGGAGCTTCATGCCCCCAAGGCCATGCCGGCCTCCTAGGCCACCCACGCTGGGTTCACCTGCCTATCTCTACCCAGCTTTCAAGTTATAGGAGCCTGCCAAACACGGAAAGAGAAACAAGAGTCCTTAGCATATGAAAAAGCCAACAAGGTGAAATTATTTTAGAAGCGTACATGACTGAATGGGAGAAGCCAGGGCCATGACTCAGTGGAATTTTTCACCCTGCAATTTACTAGCAGAGGCACAAGAAGCAAGAGACTTGCCCCACCGTGTGTCTGTTTCTTCACTTATATCAACCAACTGCTCCTTAGGGCTCCTGTGAGGTATCAGTAGATGTATTTAGGAAATGCTAATTGTAATTCTACAAATTAAAGTTGCTTTTAATATGTTACAACCAGCATATTTAATTCAAACAGGAGAAACTTCACATAAATATCATCATAGCTGACATTTATTAAGCATTATCTATGTTCCAGGCAACATCTTATGCGATGTATTTGGGCTGTTTGATTTAATCCTCAAATGCTCCATAAAGACAGGACAAGTATCAAGTCCATTTTACAGTCAAGGAAACTGAGAACCAGAGAGATTTAAAGACTTGTCAAAGGGACACGATGATGATGAAGTGGCAGACCCCAGATTTGAAATCAGCCAGGTGATTCCAGAGGCCACATGCTGAACCACAGAGGCACCAGCCTGTGAAGAATATGAGAGTAAGGCATGCTTGCCCCTGGAATGTGTACATAAATATACCTATATATAAAAGTGCAGTCCTTGGCCCTGAGTAACAGATTTTCCCAGCTCCAGTCTCAGGTCTCCAGAATGTCCTCTTGCCCAGGTCCTCTGGTATCCAGGTACAGAACCCCGAGCAGCCTGTCTGATGAGTTCCTTCCACGCCTGTCACCAGCCGGCACTGCTATCACTCTGCCAAGGTCACTGACAACCCCAGCTGCCCAGAATGAGCACCTGCAGGCCTGGAACAGGCCCACCAGCAGGGAGCCTTTTCAGTGGGGGGCTGTTCTAAGTTGGAACCAACACACAAGCACCTGCATTCTCTTGATTTAGTATTATGTAGTAGAAGGGATGGTGAATAAATGATTTACAGGTGCACATATATTTCCTCCATGAATTTTTTCAATCAAACTTTTTCTAACTGCAGGAAGAGGTATAGGCTTCAGTTGCAACACTGCCCTGGGTTTCCATATGCTTTACCTGCAGGTAACAATAGGTCCCCTGGGTTGCCTCCTCTGCCAGTGTGAGATGGTAAATGGAGACACCACTGTGGGTGGACTTAATAGAGCCCTGTAGCAGGAACAGAGACAGTGGAGGAGGTGGCAATATGACTCAGGGACAAAAGACAGGGGTCAGGAACCAATATTTACCGAGCACATGTGATGTGCTGGGCCCTGTGCTAGATGCTTCTGGGGTGCTGGAGGGTTAAATAAGAGGATGCATGTAAAGTCTCAGCCCCGAGCCTGCTCTGCTCATGCTCCACAAATGCTACTTGTGGTTCCTGTGATTTACTATTGCCATTGGTTATTATTTTTAATTAGTATCATACCCTATGAGTCCACAATCCTACACGGTTTACAATCAGAGCACAGCTCATTCATTTATCAACTTAAAAAATCAGAAATTTCATCCTTTACTCTCCCTGGAAGGCATTTTAAAAGGTTCTAAACATACAATCCCCAGCAACATTAATCAAAATCCCTCCCTCTCCCATTCATCTCCCTCACACCCACAAAAGAGCCAGCCTCACTATGAGCACTCCCAAAATAATCCCAATTTAAATGTCTTTTTCTCTTTGCCCCCAATTATTTTGACTGGCTTAACCTCTCTCCCAACCAGAAAAACATTATTTTTTTCTATTTACGAGTAGAAGGAGAGAAAAACAAAAAAAGGCTGGCAATTACAGGATTCTCTTTGTTGGATGGCAGAGCAGGGAGCTCTGTGGATATGCTCATATCAATAACTTTTGCCCCAGAATTATTATAATATGGATGACTGTGTGAACTGGAGGATGTTGTCCTTGTTTTTAGAGATGAGGAGATGAAGCCTGAGAGGTGTTAAGAAAGGCCACACAACTCATAGATGGGAGAAAGACTGAATTCTGCTTCCCTAAAGAGACCACGCCATCCAAAACACCATTTCATATCTGAAATTCAGTGGATTGGATAAAGAAAATGTGGTACATATACACCATGAAATACTATGCAGCTCTTAAAAAGAATGAAATCACATATTTTGCAGCAACATGGATGCAGCTGGAGGCCACTATCCTAAGCAAATTAATGCAGGAAGAGAAAACCAAATACTGCATGTTCTCACTTATAAGTGGGGGCTAAACAGTGGGTACTCATGGATGCAAAGATGGCAACAATAGACAGTGGAGACAGCTACAGGTGGGAGGGAGGAAATGGGGCAAGGACCCATAAATGAACTATTGGATACTATACTCAGTACCTGGGTGATGGGATCAGGTGTACCCCAAACCTCAGCATCACACAGTATACCCAGGTAACAAACCTGCACATGTACCCCCTGAATCTAAAATAAAAGTTGAAATTATTTTAAAAAAATAAAACTAAGCAGAATTCTAGTTTTATGGAGTAAAGGAAGGAACACAGAATGTGGAGTTAGCTCTGTCTGACTGTAAAACCCAGTTTCATTCCTTCTTGATGAAACAATCACCAATCAGCAAGTCTCCTAGCCCCTTTTGACCTCCATTTCCTCATTTGTAGAACTGGGATAATTAAGTGCTTGTTTTATAGGAGTGTTGTAAGAATTCAAAGAACACACTCAACAAATGTTATTTCCACCCTTCAACCTAATGAGACATCTTTTTAAAAAATTTCTGTATGTAGCCTCTTGAATGTGGCAGCAACAATCTTTCTCCCTTTCAATATCAAATCCCACACCATGGTAGGAATTACCCACAAAGACTGTTTTTACTATCTCCTATCTCCAAAATATATTTTCTGTTGGGTAATTCGAAGCTATTAAGGCTGCCAAAACCCTAAATAACCAGGCCATGTCAGAGCCAGCATCGCATGACCTGCATGCTATAAATGAATTGCTTGTAAGCGCAAGTAGATGTGGAGGTAGTTTGATTTTGCTCTGATATGACTCAAACTAATAGAAACACCGTAAATATCCTTCCCAAAGTTGGAAGCAGGCAGCATTACCATTGGCAGTAAATGTGAAACCATTTTCATAATAATTTGTTGAGCCAAGAACCTCGAGAGTGGCTTCTGTGACAGATGAGAAGTCACTGGGTTTGACTAAATCAGACTAACCACATATTACTAGACAGTACTCTGCCTCCATTATGGCCCTCCTGAGAATTCGGTCTCAGCGTCAGTCAAATCAGGACAAAACAAGAACCCAACCCTTTCGCCTAACAATGGCCAGGAAAGTTACATTATATTAGAAGGTAGAAAATTGATTCATACAGTCAATTAGCATGTGGTTACTGCGATCAAGTTTTAAAAGAGGCACACAATATGCTTGGTATACAAATATAAAACCACAGGAAGTGCAGAGAAAAATAAACTTTCTCAAACACCAAAGGTAATAAATCCATATTTATGCTCTTGGGCATTAAGACTCAAGTACTTTCAGTGCTCTCAATGTTCCACCATAGTCTTTTCAAACTTGTGTATTTGCCAACACAACTAGATTTGATATTGATTTTTTGTTACAAAGCCAGAACTGCAAGATCTTGGGACCAAATGTAAGATCCAGAGTGGTCCCTTCTTCTCCTTGCATTTCCAATTCTATAAAATTTCAGGGTGACACTTCACCCTGTTATACATAGGACAATTGAGCAAAGTGATGAGGAGATGTCAGTTGTATAATATCAGCTAAATGAGTTTCAATTTCATTCCATGCTCTGTCAGCTTCCCTTCTTCTTGCACACCCTCCCTCTTCTATAGAACAGGAAAAAGAAACTGGGCCAAGTTTTACGTGAATTCATCTCAAAGAAACACTGAAAATGCCACCTAAAGAAGCAGAGAACTTCCTTGCTTTCTTAATATTTTCCAGGCTAGAACTGGATACATTATTTATCTAGGGAACCCTTAAGGCAATATCACATCTTAGTCTTTGGAGAACTAAGAATGAATACACAAAAACATGTGCACTTGTTTTTGAAATGCTTTAGAATAATCGGTTTTATTTCAGAGTCATTTCATTCCATTATTTAAAAGCCTCCTACCAATCCTTTTTATTAACTCAAGAAGGTTCAGGAGAGACATAATAAAAGGCACATTTGTAATACAGGTCAGATACACGGTCTGGGACTAGGGGGCATCTGGAGAGGTGAAGGTGAGCCTTTTCCAGTAAGTCATCATTGTGAGTCCCAGAGCTGTCATTCTCTAGATAACCCAGTCACCAGGCAAGGCACACAGGGGCAGCTGGGATGGAGGTGAAGGTTTGCCCAGTGCTCCACTGCACAGCTCTCATCTTCTAATTCTGTTATTTGTATTCTCCCTAGTCCGGCTTTATGCCAGTTAGGGAAGAGAGATATCTAGACCCAAAATTGTCAGTAAACTTGGCCGCATGACATCACTGGAGTCCAGGGGCTCAATTCTAAGGTTGTTCATTCCCCCAGTACTCTGTCCAAAAGCCAATCAGCTATAATTCTCTGTAATGAGCCAAAACAATATGGAAACACAGTTGTCATTCTCAGCAGCCAACACACCAGCAGCAGAGAGACAAGCTGGGGTCATAACTCAGCCCTTCGTATACCTGATGCCCAAAGAGAAAGAAGACTGAGAATGATAGTTCTAAGAGAAACCTCCGAAGCCCCCATCTAATGCTATTTCTTTGAAGATGAAGAAACAGAGGTCCAGGGAGGTAAAGAAACACAGTTCCACAGTCTAGCTCCTACTATCCTGGATCCCATTGGTGCATAGGAGTTAAGAGCAGGATCTTCAGAGTCAAATAGATCTCAGATTTCTACCACAGCTACCCACTAGCTGTGTGACCTTGAGCAAGTCTTTAAGTACCTGTGAGGCTTAGGTCCTACAACTACAAAATACAGGGCACCTACCTCAATAGGGATGTTACTGTGATATTGTGAAAGAAGAAGTACATATTTGGTCTCGGCCCCTGGTTTCTGAGACAAAGCTCCTAAAACTCTTATGGATAAGGGTATAGAAAGATTCTATAGATACAGAATGTTTTGTTCTACTATTTGGTCTTTGACCCTGGCTTCTAGCAGGCAGTTCCTAAAACCCTTGGAATCTCTGGAGTGATGAGTGTCTTTTGTACGCTAATGAGTTGACTGGCAGTTGGGGGCCCCAAGATAGCTTCAAGATGGGGACTGGTCACCAGAAAGACCAAGGAATGAATAGAGGGTTGGGACTTTCAGTCCCACCCCAACCTCTCGGCTGGAGAGAAGGGCTGCAGGTTGAGTTGATCACCAATGGCCAATGATGTGATCAATCACGCCTATGTAATGGAGCTTCCATAAAACCCACAAAAGCAGGGTTCAGAGAACTTTTGGATTGTTGAACACAATCCAAAAGGGTGGTGCACCCCAAGAGGACATGGAAGCCCCGCCCCCTGCCACACACCTTGTCCTATGCATCTCCTTACCTGGCTGTTCATCTGTACCCTTTGTAATATCCTGTATAATAAATGGGTAAATGAGAGTAAAGTGGTTCCCTGAGTTCCATGAGCAGGTTTAGCAAATTAATCAAAGCTGAGAAGAGGGTTATGGGAACCCCAATTTATAGCCAATCAGTCAGAAGCACAGATCACAGCCTGGGGCTTATGACTGGCATCCGAAGGGGGGTCCATCTTGTGAGAGTGAGCCCTTAACCTGTGGGATCCAATGGCAACTCCAGGTAGACAGTGACAGAATTAAGTTAAACTGTAGGACATCCAGTTAGTGTCTGCTGGAGAATCAGGTGTTGGTGGGGAGAAATCCTCACATATTGTGGTGACTAAAGGTGAGTTATTCTGTATTGAGTGTGTTGAGTGTGTTGAGAGTAGAGAGAAAAAACAGGGCTTTTTTTTTAATGCTTCAGACTAAAAATCAGGGACAATCAAAGTGTTTCACCCAGTGTCTGGCAAATAATAAGTTTGCAATATATTGCAACTAATACGTGAATGATGGTGCAATTTCTTAGAATCCCTTTAAACCATAATTCTTTCCAGATTAGTTTTATTAATTCAACAAACATAAGCTGAATATGTACTATGTGTCAGGCACTGTGGATTCTTCTGGACAGAAGCAGACAGCAGGAATTGTGCATCAACTTTGGCCTGATTTGCCTGCATAGTGCCTGATTAACAATCTTATCTTGGTCAGGTGAGAAGCCCATATGGTTACTTTTTTAGTCCATGACTGACCTAGAGGCCCTGGGCCAAAGGCAAGGAGACTTAGTCCTTTCAAAATGCATTTCCAGAATTTCCTAAATTTGTATTTTGTGTGTTGCCAGATTGCTTTACCCTGAAGCTGAGCTTCCTTGCAGTAGACAATGTCAGAGGCTCACTTCTTGCACGTGGATAACAGCCTCAAGCGGTTGGCTGGACAAAGACGCTGCACAGTCTATTGAAATAGAAAACTGGGGAGAGTAGGGTAAACATAACCCCAAGCTTAGCCTCTGACCTCCCAGACTCAAGCTGCTGCTGACCAGGGGGCAGGTGCTCAGCCAGGTCTAGGGGAGGTCAAGGCCATGAGTCTTGGTTTCAATGCACTGCAGAGGCCTCTGCAAATCACTGTGGATCCTTTCAGGAAGGAGAAAGCCCAATGCAGCAGCTGGAGACCATAAAAGGTGATAATCTGGGGCATAGTCATGGGTTTCATTCTTGATGAGGGGGAAAAGAGTGGAGAAATCAAGTGAAATCATCCACCCCAGCACCACTGTAGTCATATCTACCCTTTACTGAGCACTTGCTTTCAGAGTGCACATGTTCATTACAACTATCCCCATTTACTCAGGAGGAATCTGAGGCTTAGAGAGGATAAGCAACTAACCCGAGGTCACATAACAAGTAAGTGCAGAAACAGACTTCACACCCAGGAAGTCTCATAGATTCTGCACACTGACTATACTGACAACAACACTATCAAGAACTCATATTTTTAGACTTGATGAGCCAAGCTCTGTGCAGAGCAATTATATTCTCTCATTTTACGCCATCAAACCTCTATCAAGCAAGTGCCATTGTTATCCCCATTTTACAGAAGAAGAAACAAACTCAAGTCACATTACACAAGTGGGTGACAAGGCCAGGGTCTACCTCTAACCACCACGCTCGCAAGAGCACTAGATTAGGAATCAGGAGACCTGGTTCTAGTACTGTCTTCACCACTCAATGACCACATGCTCCAAACTAATTCAGTATGTTGATGAGCCTCTAGTTCCCCATCTGTAAAATAGGGGAACAATACCTCCTTCTTGGAGTTTGAGTGAGACTCCAATAGAAGGGTGCAGCACACACACACCTGGGAGAATGGTTATTACTGTGATGATAATGACCTTCCTCCCATCTGGGGTTGCTGTTGTATACAGCAAGGCCCTGGAACCAAATCTTGCCCTGGTCTCATCATTTTAATTCATTGTACTCTTGAAGCAAGAACAGTGTCAACAGAAGTACTGCCAACAACAACAACAAAACCAATGTGCATCTGTTCGTGTCTGCATTTAATTTATACCAACACTAGGAAACTTAGACCAAAGAAAACTGCAACCAAAACTCAAGTGCAACGGCCTTTGTCATTATAATATTCCTTAATACTTAGCATTATACCTAGCCCAGGGTCGAACACATAATAAGAGTGAAAATATTTCCAAATGACAGTAAATAGTTAACAAAATTACTATTACTTACTGCTATGAACCAGACATTGTATTATCTCAACTTATCTCCCCAACCTATAAAAAAGAGATTATTTTTATTTCTATTTTACAAAGGAAAAAAACTGAAGCTTGGAGGGGAGATATATGTTGGCCAAAGTCACAGAGCTGGCAAGTGGTGCAGCCAGAATTGAAACCCAAGTTTGTCTGAATCAAATACAGAGCCCACCTCCCTAGAGTACCAATGCCAAGGCACAATAAAAAACATCCAGACACCAGAAAGTGATGTCACTTCTACAAGGCTGAATCCCCCCTTACAGAAGCATGTGGCTCCATCATTCATTTAGAAAGAAAGGATCATGTTTATCTGCTTCACCAGTATTTCTCTACAGCCAAGCAGACTTGTGGCACATTGCAATCACTCAACAACAACGATGTCAGATGACTGATTGAATAAGCATGTATCAGTAGCTGTGGTCTATACCTTCAAACCAATTGGGATAAATAATAAGACAAAGGCATGAAAAGATAAACAGAAACAATACCTCACATACCAAGTGCTAGTGTCAGGATACAAATGAGAAGAGATAAGGGGGAATGAGCAAGAGATAGTGGGGCCTGACGTGGTCAGGAAACTATATTTGAGCTGAATTTTAAAGAAAGTACCTGAATGAGTAGAGATGACATGAGGCAGAATTTATAGTATATCAAATCATGATCAGTTTGCTGTAGAAATATTCCACTCCTATGCATATTTTTTAATTCACAAGTCCTACCCCCAATTTTTTAAAGTAAAAGCTCAATGTAACCATTACAAGGGAAAAGTTAATATTTACTCCTTAATTGGGTGCAGACCAAAGGCATACCATGTCCTAAGCATACACACACACACTGTGACTCAATAAATGAAAGATAAAGTCTTGCCCACAAAAGATACTGGATAAATATTGGCTAGTGTGGGTGGGTAGGTGGCAGGGTCTGTAATTTCAATGGGAGAAAACAATATTTCTGAACACTTACTATGTGCCAAGAACCAAACTTTCTATAGGTTTTCACATCTAAGACATATGAGAAGGATGTTTTTACCTCTATAGAAAACAGGTATATTCCTTCCAAATTAATGTTAAGAACCTGGTTTTCACCCAGGCAATGAGGTGAAATGTCTTCCAGGCAGCCTCACCCACTTGGTGAAATCACCCTGTATACAGGTCTGGCCTTCAGACCAGGAAAGGAAGAACTGTGCTCTGCAGGGTCCCTATGGTCAGATTTTTCCCTCCCACCTAGAGAAGACTTACATCAACTAAGCTTTGAGGGACAAGAGGAAAAGCCACAGCACCAAAATGTCTCGTCTTCAATGAGAATTAGAACAGTTGTGATGACAGTACCTTCCTGGAATGTAAATTTTACTGGATGATAATTTTACACATTTTTTATACCAAAATAAACACAGATATGTTAAGAAGTAGAATTCCAAATGTGTATGAGTTTTTAAGATGAAACCTAAGACTTCAAAGAAATTTAAGGTTTATGAAAGATTGCTTCAGGCCATACTCCCAAACCTCCCAGCAATAGGGTTCATGTTCCCCTACCATGAGCAGTTTGTGGTAGAAAGTTTTGGTGAAGCTCTGAGTTTGTCAATTTTTGTAGATTCAGGAACCACAAGGTATCCTCAGGATAACTGCACATTTTTGATCTGATGCATAACGGTTCATTTCAGAGGTTAATCCTCAGATTCTATGCCAGTTAAAGTTCTTAGGAACACATAACTACCTATTCTAGAGACAAAGAAACTAGTGTTTAAAGAGATCAGTGGCTGGCCCAAGGTCAAACTGTGGCAGAACTGCGGTTCAATCCAGGTTCAAAGTCAAAGCCTGGCCCCTCTTTTACAGAAGCAAATGATCCAGGGGGCATACCAAATGTCCAATGAAAGGATGGCTCATCATGTAATGCTCCCTATGACATGAGTTCTGAAGAGAGTAAGGATGATCAGGCAATCCATGGCATGGCAGGGAAAGGGGGCACTGAGGTAGACCCTAAATGACAGGAGGGACTCAGACAGAATGGGTGACACATTCAGCAGGTGAAGGCTGTCTTGAGGAGGGGTCTCAAGATAATCAAATGAGATGCTTGTATATGGCCCTGCAGAGCTTTGGGCACAAAGAAAGCATGCAAGAAACATTAGCTGTTATGGCTCATTCAGTTCAACATCCAGACATTTATAAAATACTCACCCAGGGCAGCCATTATGCTAGTGATAGCAAATACAAATTGTATAATATAGCAATGTTTCTTTCAAGGATCATAACAGTAAGGCCGGGTGCAGTGGCTCATGCCTGTAATCCCGGCACTTTCGGAGGCCAAGGCGGGTGGATCACTTGAGGTCAGGAGTTCAAGACCAGCCTGGCCAATGTTGTAAAACCCCATCTCTACTGAAAATACAAAAATTAGCCAGGTGTGGTGGTGCATGCCTGGAGTCCCAGATACTCAGGAGCCTGAGGTAGGGGAATCACTCAAACCAGGGAGGCAGAGACTGCAGTGAGCCAAGATCACACCACTGCACTGCAGCCTGGGTGATAGAGGAAGACTTCGTCTAAAAAAAAAGGGCTCATGCAATATGTTAGTAAAATAAGCAAGTATGAAATAAGAGCAAGGGAGATTAAAACACCACCCAACTCTACCTGGAGGAATCAGGGGTCGGGGGTGTGTTGTGAAACCATCACTCGGAAAGGCATAAAAGAGGTGATCTTTTGGCTGACTTTCAGGATAAGTAGGAAATCACAATGGAAAGAAGTGGCCAAAAGGCAAGGTTTTAAAATAGGCATAAGGCAGGAATTAGGAGGCTTGAGGACAAGGAGAGGAGCCCAGAGGCAGGAGGTGGGTTAGGAGGCAAGTTTCTGAAGGCCTAGGTTGGGAGAAGGGAGTGGAGAGCTCAGACTTGACACTGGGAACAGAGAACAAGACAGGGAGGCCCATGAGAAGCCACAAGGAATCAAGATAAACCAACAAAGACAACAAAACTCAGTTGACTGAAGAATTTCATTCATGTACTGGAGTCTCTTTTCAAACATAATGAATAAATAAACATGCTCCCAGTGACAAAGCAGCACTTTGCTTCTATCTAAATCACTCCCCAGAGCCCGTGGTTGTAGGAGCACTGAGAGAGCACCATCTCATCCAGCATTAACTCCTCTTCTTGCAGAGGCCCCTGTGCTGGGCAGCACTAAGCCAAGGGGAAAGAGACAGAGTTCAAGAATGTGCTGGAGTCTGAGAACAGGCCCCACTTTGCCTTGCCTCCACCCAGGGACACTGGACTAGAGCCTCCCCCACCACAGCCTCCGTTTCCCATCTGTAAAACATGGACTCTGCGATTGCTTCCAGCTCAAATGCTCTGATTCTAAAGATGGGATTTCCTCTTCAGGGATGGGATGTAACACGCCTCTGTGCTGCTTAGAGGTTGTCATCTACATCCAAATGTCGGTATCACACTGTGGTTTGAAATAAAAAACTGCTTGGCAAAGTCAGCCACTGTTACTGAAGTAAGTACTCACTGTACTTCTTATATTAGTAAGAACAGCTTGATAACATTTTTACTGATCATCTACTATGCAAAGTACTTAAAACGCCTGACTCAGTCATAGCAATCTTTTGTGGTAAGGACTACAACACTCTCCTTTTACTGATGAGGAAATTACAGCTCCGAGAAGCTAAGTAATGTATCCAAGGTATCGTGGTTAATAAGTGACAAGCGGGAATAGAAATCAGGCTGTGTGGCTCCAACCCTACTCCTATCCATTATACTGCACTATCTTACTTACCCAACCTTACCGCATCTATATTTCTACATAGGTATAGATGGTTAGAAGGAGAAGGAGAAGGAGATTTGGCAAGACCCAGCTCAGGATTGCCAACACTCACCCTTTCCTCCCCTAAGGCAGACATGGCTAATCAATTACAGAATTCTTCCCCACTGACTTGTGACCACAAATCCATTTCTGACTAATCAGAGTTCAAGATGAAGCTCGATCCTTTATCTTCATCTCTGGGATAATGGAATCCCATCAGAGGGGTGTAATTTGTTTAAGGAAGCACAGCTTGTTAGTGACAGGGTTGGAAGTAGAATCTTGGTCTCTTGACTTTCGGTCTAATGGGTTGATGGTAAGATCTCCCTATGCAAAGGACAGTGCCTTTTCTAACTGACCAGAGAGAAATAATAGAAGGTATACCAAAGATGACCACATCATCAGGTGCCAGAGGAGACTGCTCTAAATACAGCCCTAACACATGGTTCTTGGACATTGCAAGTTATCCAATTAATGACAACTGTAAAACAGCATTCCTGCTTTGTTCTGATTGAAATGAACAATTTGTAAAGCTGAGAAATTAACTTCCTTTCAAGGTAACAAATATTTGAAGTTGGAATCCCAGAAAACTTGTGAATTAAGCAAAAGAACAACAATGCCACTTATTTAATCCTTCTGGAAAGACTAGATTTTATTCACGCTTTGCTGGGAAAATTGACAAGTTGTATGACTCAGCTACATCAAACAAATGAGCCACTGGTCTCATTCCTGAGACACAGCAGAAGCAAGCTGCCAGAATTGAGTCCTATAGTAGCTAGTCAGATTCTTCCCCTACATTTAAGGTGTACAACAAGCACAGGTGGTCCCAAACCTGCCCAAGGAGGAGCTCCTTCTCATCAGACCACCATACCAGACAATACCACCAAAGGTAACTAGCTGCCAGGTACCTGGGCAGAGGCGGCATGGTGATATGAAAGAAAATCATCAACAAGGAAAAAAGCAGTGCCCAGGCTGGCTCCAAGCAGGCTGAAGTGGGACAGACAAAATGCAGGGTCCCCACCAAGGCACTCCTTTGTTGTAAGACCTGCAAGGGGGAACCTTAAGGAGGCATATGAGAAGAAACCTGTTTTATACAAAGCTCTCTTCCCTAGGATCTCACCTGGAATCTCTCCAAATAGATGACGGCTGCCAAATCTGCACACAGGAAATGCTAGCATCACCCTCTTAATTTGTCTAGTAGCCTTTTACACAAATACACTGTGTTCTTTGTGTGAACCTGAATTAATGATGCTAAGATGACAAAAATCACTCATTTAAAATTATTTGCAGAGTGGTAAGTAAGCAGGATTCTGGCAGTGGGTGTCAAAAGATCCTTTCATTAAATGTTAACTCTTCCTTGTGAGAGGTGGAGTTCAGTGGAGGCAGAGGGATTGGAAAAAGTAAGAGTATCCCAACACTTAGCAGGTCCTGCCCTGGGGAAAGCCAGACATCTCCGCTGCTAGAATGGGCCTAATGAGCCAGGAATTGGCATTGCTGCAAATATGTTTCTTTATAAAAGGGGATTCATTATTCCAGGACTCGCATTTCTGAATTCATGAAGGTAAAATTACAGCAATTAAGAATCATGCCTTTTTTTCTCCAAATGAATAGAAGCTCAAAATACCACCAAACAAAACTCCAGGTCAAATTTCATGAGAAAGTATACCTTATTGCCAGAAAACACACAGATGTGTGAAGAAACAATAACTGGCATAGTGCCTTTGCCCAATGTTCTAGAGCTCATCATGATCAAAGTATTCACTGAACATATGTCTGTCCAGGCTGTGTTGAGTGCTTAGGAAGCTGAGGTCTTGGCCCTGGCTGGGCCCCTAGTCTACTTCACTGAAGATAACCTAGGTGGCTATTTTTCCTGGAGAGACATGATGATTTTATAGGGCCTCCATGGTGTCTTTTAGAGCTGCTTTGCCTCCTTAGAGTGAGCAGGTCCTGAAGAAGTAATTAGAAAATGTGAACCTTTCTAGAGCCATGGCCTTCAGGATTCTCTTGATCTAGTCTCTAAGCCCTGGGCAACCCATCCAGTACTCCATCTGCCCCAGAAGTAGATTCTGAAAGAATAGCCCAGGGTATCTAGACACCATGCCCTCCATCTAGTGGGGGTCAGTTGCATCTCCTGACCCAGGAGGGTGGTGTTTCTAGATAGAGCAACAAGAACCCATGTTTCAGAGGGAGGAAGATGGGGAGCACAGAGACAGAGCAGTGCAGAACAAAATCAAATGACCTCAAAATCATGTCCTCCACATCCCATATTGACAACTCCTCATTTCCAAAAGCACCATTTTGGTTAAATCTGTGGAAAAAGAAAACAACCTTCTCTCATTTTGGGGGGCATGTACATAACTAATCCTTTCACTTGAGTCGCCCTGCCTGGCAGTGCCCCCCAGGATGCATTTTGAGTCACTCTCTATAGCACCTGGCTGTGAAGCCATGAATGGATCATCATTTTCTAAGTATTATCACACGCAAGGAACTGTACTTTACATGGATTTAGATTACTTAATCCTCAAAGAGCCCTGTGAGGTTGTTTGTATTTTACCCCACTTTATAGAGGAACAAACCACATCACATAGGATGTAATAATTTGGCCCACATCACCCAGGTCTGACTCCTGAGTCTAGTCTCCTAACCACTATGAACTCCACTGCCCTCTAGTGTAATTGTTGGGTTTCTCTAAACAGTGAGGACACTAAGGACAAGGACTGAGTCACAGTCATCTGTTTCGTCAGCACCTTAGATAGGAATCACTGCTCAGCAGGCACTGAGCAAATGGTCACTAAGAGGCTGTGTCAGCGAATAGGTAGGTGAGTGAGTGAATAAGTGAAGGTTGCTAGTCTCCATACTGAATCCTCAGCCTTTCTCGGGCACACACATGGTTCCAGAGCAGAAAATGTTAACATTCTAAAGAAAGTCTAGTGAAAAAGTCCCCCAACTTTTATTAAGATGTGTGACTTTATATCCATGTTTTCAAAGCATCTTTGCAATTATTCTTAGAATCACTCATTTAACACTCCAGCACAGTAAGCCAACAGCCACAGAAACGTGGCCAGCAGAAATATATCTGCTTAAATAGGTGTGTCTCACTTTGAGAAAAACTGGAATATAAAAACCCAAATATCTATGTAGAAACATAAATGGGGGAGGCATTCCAATTTTAAAAGGATTCACAAGTTTCCTCTAAATAGCCTGTTGCCTTGGAAATTTCCATTTTAAATGTCTGATTTTGGCACCTTCCAAAAATTCCATCTTTTAAATGTCTGTCCATCCTAAGGTAAATGACCAATGAGTTATAGTTACTAAGAAAAGCACATGGCTTCATGTTATAAAAGTCCAGGCCCATTTCAGAAACTGCCATGTGCATCCAGCTGCAAAAAAGCACTCGAAGAGACAGCACTCCTAACCCCCCTAAAATGAAAATTATTACAAGGCAATATATATGACACACAGAGGTCTTGTTTCAAGGAATCTGTCCCAACAAAGCAAATAAAAAATTCAACAGATCTATATGTTATGAGGGTGGTTGCCTCATCTCCGGGTGTCGAAAACAGCATGAAATTCCTAATAACCGAGACCTTTACACAACATCTTCGATGAGATATTTTCAGTTTCAGTCAATGACTGAGATGACAATAGATTCCAATTTTAGGAACTTAACTGTATTATTACAGCCATGAGGGTCCAAATATCAGAACCATTCATTATGATATGTGTTTAGACTGTAACTAAGTTCATTTTCTTGGCATGAATATTCATTATTTTTCTTTAATTGTTAAAATAAAAGTAAGTGTGAATGTCAATCTTCTCTTCCAAGAAAATTAGCATCTGAAATATTTCTGTGGAGAAACAAGGCAATAATGAAAATGATGAATGAATACTTCTCCTTCTGGGAATGTACACAACCAGTTATTCCTCCCACAGCATCTCAGGGAAGCAGCGCCCACCCTCCACAGGGCTCAGGCACTGGGTTTGTTTCTGTCTGATGAGAAAGCCTTGATCAGACTCCATCTGAAAAGGTCTTCCTGGTATCTGGCTTCTTTAACACACCAATTGTCATGCTTTTATTACTATTCCCATCACAGAGGACAGCATGAAGCCTCGAGTTTTCTTGTTTTATTTAAGGTACTCAAAACTCTGGCTTTTATCATGTCACATACATACGCCATCAGGAGAGAGGACAAAGCAGCTGCAGAGTATCAAGGGATCTAAAAACACACAGGCTGCCTGGGCAAATCCAGAGTACACTAAGAAGATCTGTTTAAGTGCTTCTATTTGATTCCCGCCCCCACTTCAGAGTAGGTGGGGGGAACCTCTCTTTGGGTAAGGCCAAGCAAAATACTCTCAGGGGCTCTGTCACCAAACAGTTCAGTTTCAGTATCAGAGCTTAAGTGGGAACAAAGGCTAACACCAGTAGCTAATAAGAGCATTTAGTAAATTTGTACATTTGCTTTCTGTGTATACATAGATCATCAGGGATAATTATCTATAGGTTTAAATAAGACCCTCAATTAAAGCATTACCTCTCCTGGATAATCAGACTCTTAAAAGAAGAGCACAGATTTAATACAACTATAAGAGGGAGACCCCCTTCACATATCTGTCAAGTGGTTAGCCAACATTTGTTTGGCCTCTACTGAAAAAGAAAAAAAGACAATGAAATTCTAAAAACAGGTGCTTGAAAACAGCAAGCACATCATTTATGTGTGGGTTTAATCACTTTCATGAAGACAGACATCCTAGGTAAGTCAAATTCATTCAACACAAATTAATTGAGCACCTACTGTGCTCCATGTACTCCTTTTGACACTAGGTCTGGAATGTGCTTTCTCAAAGGGGGCCACACTGTCCCTCAAGGGAGTGAAAACTGGTTTTTGAGGGATGAAAACAAAATCTTACACTTCTTTTTACATATAAAGCACAGATAGACAAATAGCATCTAAACAGATACACAGTATATTGGTGGCTTTAAATTTCAGAAAGGGGAGAGGCAATTAGGAAAAAAAAATTTAAGTCTTCTTAGGGAAGTGATAATGAAAAAAACTGTTGAGACACGCTGATCTAGAATGGCAAAACTCCCTACTCTTACGGAGCTAATAGTCTACCAGTGACATACAGATGATAAACAAGTATCCATGCTATGGCAAAAATAAAGCAGGGAAAGGAGATAACAACTGGGCAGGAAGAGACTGAGGATGGAGACAGGAACAGACCACCATTTCCATCAATTAATTTGTCACTTTTCTCCCAATCATGATATGAGAAAAATGAACTTTTGATGACAAATTAAAGGGGTAGCCCCTATAATCCAAGGCAGCCCTGTACATAATGTGCTATAACATGAAAAAAAAAAAAAGTAAAAAGCATGACAATGAAACAACAGGTGTAGCTATGGGGGATTGTCTGTTCTCTACGTATTAAAAACAGCATGAAATTCCTAATAACTCAGCTTTTGAAATATCATCTTAGATGACACATTTTCAGCACTTCATTTGTGCCCTTTATTTTCCTCTTTCCTCACAATTGACTACGTAGTTGGCTGTCTTAATTCCAGGGACCATCCATCTGAGACTAATGATTCACCATTTGGGGCCTGCTTAATGACTCCCAATGTTATCTCCACATTTGTGAGACCCAGGTTTCAACACATATTTTCAACAATGAGATGAAATTATTCTCATTTTATCACATGTTGATAAAATAATGAGCAAAAACATGTTCTAAATGTTCAAAAAATTGCTCAAACATGTAAGGTTGTACAAGCAAAGGTGATGGTCTTGCCAAAAACATGAACCGTTAGCTGACATGCCCTGCCAGAGTTCAGAATGTCTGCCTACTCAGGAACATCTGAAAAAAAAATATAAAGCTAGTGGACAAAAGGGTCATTTGTGGGCATCAGTTCATAATGTACAAAATAAAGTTTATGAAAAAGTTAAATCTGAAAAAGTTGGAATCACCTTAGTGCACGCACCTACTAAATAATAAGAGAATGGTTAAGAGTCATTTCTTGAAGTTTATTCCTGAGGTCTTTTTCCCCTAACTAATGATGCCAGAGAGATTCCAATTTCCTGCAACACTCTAACATTATAACAGATGCTAAACAAACTTACTCTCCAAGGGAGAGGCTGGTTCTTTGGAAAGAGGAACAGCATAGCTCAGCACTGTTTGTTAAGTTCAGTCTCCCTGTAGCTTTGCCACAACTTTTCTACAGGGAAATTAACAAGAAAAGCTCTCAGCTTAATATATTATTGGAACTTGGCTACAAGCTTATTAGGAAAGAGAAATCATAGGGAAATGCAGTCCATCACTGGATGTCTCCAATATAAATCTGGAAAATGGTGAGATGCTGAACAGACAGAGGACTGCTTGCCATGTAGGCAGGGTATACACATACATTGTGACTTAATTTACATTTATTCCTTGGAGTAAGTGACATGCTTTCAAGGTACAGACTCCAAAGTTGGGGTCCATAAGGAGAAAACAGCCAAACAGAAATCCTTAAAGAATGTTAGCTGGGAAAGGAAACGGGTGTAAAATCAAAATGGCAGTTCATACCTAATTCCCAAAGTACCTACCTACATGCAGCTTTCAGAACCAGGGAGAAACTTGAAAAAGCATCACCGATCAACCTGAAAGTAGCAAGCTGAAGTTCAGAAGCTGACTCTATTGAGCTTAATAAAACAGAAACCTCATACACACGGCTTCATGAAGGTGTCTAAGCCTCTGCCAGATTCATCTTCCCAGTTAAATAAAATTGTTACTTCTAACTGTTTAATAACAAGAAGAAACTCCCCAGGGAGACCCGCAGGCAGCATGGGAGCCTTGTCCTTCTCACAGGCTGCTGCAATGACCTGGGAAGACAATTAGCCAGGCTCCTCCCACACTCCAGGTCTATGTTTTAATGGCTTCAATCACAGGGGGCTGGAAGCACAGGCCCGGCCCAATTTAATAGGCAGTCATTCACTTGTGGTACATTTCAAGTGTAAAATAGCTCACTTCATTTTCTTGGTTCCTGTTTATGCTTCTAAAGTTACTCTTGGAGAGAAGATTAAGTACCGTTCTCCCCAAAAGCATGAAAGCCCTTCATGTTCAATCTCTTTGCAGGGCTGTATATTGAAACACGTCCACCAAGCCAGCCCAAGAGCCGCACACAGGAAACCCAGGTGATCCTGAAATCGGCCATCCCCAGAAAAGCCAGTATACAAGCAGAGAATGACAAGAATTAGACTTCAGTGGCCAAGTGCAGAACTGGGCTCAGTTTCCATCTCTACCATTTTCTGGTTGGATGATCTTGAGAGAGTTAGTTAACTGCTCTGAGCCTCACTTTTATTATAAAATGGAGACAGTAAATGCAACTACCTCATAGAGGTTACTGTAGAAATAAAATAGGATAATGTCTACAATGCTTGGCAAAGTGACTGTCACACAGTACCCACACAAAATTGTTAGCTATTGTCATAAACATCTTCATTAGGTACTAACGAGTATTAAAGAACTTTCAAGTTTCACTCAGCCCCTACTCAGGTGTTACCTACAACTATTTCCCTGCACAGAACCTTCCCTAAATGGATCAAACATGTTCACCCATACTCAAACACAAACTTAGACCTTCCGCACTCTCAAATGCTAGGGCATGCCACACGATGCCTCGACATACACACTTGATGTAGCAGTGGTTCTCCACTTGAGCATCCTTTAGAATCACCTGGAAGGCTTGGGAAAACACAGGTTTCTGGCTCTATCATCAGAAGTACTGATTCAGCATGTCTAAGGTGGAGCTGCAAAATTTGCATGTCTAATACTGCTGGTACAGGGATCACATTTTGAGGACAACTGTGCCAAAGAAAGGAGAAAGACAAGCCAACTTCAAGAACTGAGAAAGGAATATGTGGAAACAAAAGCCTTTTGTGAGAAGCTCAGAACCAAAAGAAGTCTAGCCCTCAAGGACACTAGGTCTCCCCCCAGAGAGCACCAGAAATGGTGCGGGCAGCCTTCTTCCCACTTGGAGCACGCCTCACCAGGCTCCTGGATCTTGGACTGTTGGGCTGACCCAAGGCCACAGCTCAACAGGGACATCCAGACCCAACCTAAATCCTGAAAAGAGATGGGGTTTTTGACACAAGACTATCAGTGGGCTGCACACCATCCTGCTCAATTATCATCTCTTCCTCCTCTGTGTTAAAGCAATTCTGCAGCACAGTGATTCTTCACAGGGAGATTGATGGGCATCTTTCATGCTAATTCATTCCTGGAGTTGGGAAGCCTTTATTTTCCTCATGACATGAAGAAAACGATGGCAGACATTTCCAGTAGAAATGCCACTGCATTCTTTATAATGTCATTCAGCTGCTGCCAGAATTAAACTATTGACCAAACTAATCTGTTTAACACCCACGTTGTGGCTTGATCTCCTTGCCCCGAGGGGTGAAGCATCATGCTGCAAAGGCATCCACATTTATTCTCAGTAAGTGATGCTGGATTGCAAAGTGCCATGCATACAGGCTGGGTTTTTAATGCCATGGAAGCCCCACAGAGGCCACCTCATCCTCCACTGTGCTTTACCCACTTCAAACCATCCCCTACCTCCTTGAGGGTTAGATCCAAACCCCTCAATATGGCTGATGAGGCCCATATGACCAGACTTTCATTTTCACAGCTTCCAGTCTCCTCTGGTCTCACTCTCTACACCCTAGGGAACCCCTACCCGTAGGCTCAGGACTTGCCCATCTCTGGGCCTTTGCATAGGTTGTTCCCTCTGCGTGGAAGATGGCCCTCCCCTGCTTTCTCTAGATGTTTAATTTCTACTTGTCCTTTATCCAGTTTAAGTATAACTACCGTGTGCCCTGTAGTATCTTATACCTCACATGTTATAGTAATCATGTTGCTGATAATTATTTGTATTCAGATTATAAGCTTTGTGAGGCCAAGATCCATATCTAATAAAGTACCTAATAAAAAATGTGATGTAACAGGTGCTCAAGAAATATTTATAAATGAATGCATGGATAGCTAGCTCTGACAACTCCCTCTTTCAAAGCCTTCCTCTGTTATCCATCTGCAAAATGAGGAATTTTGACTGAGGATTTCTAACAAGGGATTTGTGACAAGGGGACAAAACAGGGGTTCCAGAGAAGCTGCAAGAAATGAAGTTCAAAGCATGCAGGGAATCAGAAGACCCTACTCCAGGACCTTTCTGTCTTTTGTGAACTACAGTACTTTTCCCTTAGCTTCAAGGCAGTGGAGAAGGATGCTTAATGGCAATACTCCTCAAAGCATGGACCCTGAAATCCTGGGGTTCCAAGAAAGTGCCTCAACATCTATTGTAGAAAGCAAGGAGTAGGCCAGTCTTAGAAACTGTACCTTAATCCATTTGAGGTACTACGTTCTAGGTGAGAGTTCATTTGCAAGAAAAGTAGACTTTGCTGCTTACAAAAAAGAAATTTGAAAGCAAGAGCAGAATTGGTCACTGACTTAGGATTTAAAGTACATCATCATCAGAGGGTCATGAAATCCTGACAATCCTCTGGCTCTGGTATGCTCGAAACAGATAAGAGTCTTTGAGCATTTGGCATCTCTTGCCCAACTCACTACCAGGCATTGAGAATTGCAAAGGAGCCTAAAAGCCTTCTACTCTGGTGAAAAGAACAAAGCTTCCTACACAGCAAGGTCTATAGAGTAAGGAAACAGGGAATAACCCAAACTCAATAACTCTCTTAGAAGAAAGGTCACAGCTTCAGATCAGACCCTGGGGCTTTGCAAACAAAGATGAGGGCAAGTTATCGTAGGAGCAAAGGGAACAGCCAACAGTGCCAATAACTCCAGATACAGACCACCAATGCAGATTTGTGCCATAAGCTTGTACCTCTTAGACCCTTCCCTCCTCTGAATCTTTCTTGTCCTATTTCTTGGGGCCTCATGTGAGGCAGATACATCTATGAAGAGGAACCACAAAACTCTGTGATCTGGACATTTCCTCATCCATATCCAATGCAGAAAAAGTATAAATACCCTTTCTTTAATAAAGCTAATCAGCCCAAATATGCAACAATGAGTAAACCAAACCTGTTTTCTTTTCTTTGCATTTTCTCCTCTTCATTTATCTGCAAACAGGAATACAGGGCTTTCTGACCAATGCCAGTTGATCTGAGCATCCCTGAATGACTTAAGCCCCAGGACTCATACATGATACATGGCTGGTACAACTGCAGAGATGGCTTCAGCCAACATGAATGACCAAGGAGGCTGTCATTGTACACAGTTTGTAAAGATGGCTCCCAGGCCACAGGGCAAGCCTTAACCATCCAAGTGAGACTTCAGACTGAACACAGAAGTGAATCACAAAACGACTTCTTTCCAGGACCCACCCAATATGAGACTTAAAAAACTAATCATCAGCCAGATGCAGCAGCTCATGCCTGTAATGCTAGCACTTTGGGAGGCTGAGGTGGGTGGATCACTTGAGGCCAGGAATTCGAGACCAGCCTGGCCAACATGGTGAAACTCCATCTCTACTAAAAATACAAAAAATTTAGCTGGGTGTGGTGGTGTGCACCTGTAGTCCCAGTTACTTGCGAGGCTGAGGCATGAGAATCACTTGAACCCAGAAGGCCAAGGTTGCAGTGAGCAGAGATTGGGCCACTGCACACTAGCCTGGGTGACAGAGAATCTGTCTCAAAACAAAAATAAAAACAAAAGAAAACAAAAAAAACCTAATCATCTTCTCAAAATATTGCTTGAATGTTACTCAGGTGGAATTGCAGTACAAAAGTGCAAAATTTTAAAAATCACCTCCAAGAATATTTTAAATATGTTTTGCTGAGGGGCAGAAAGCATGTACAAATATAATATTTTCAGTTTAATTACTACATAGTAGCTCTTACCCAGATAATGGATTTACCTCGGAGCAATGTCAGAATTTAGGAACAATCTAAATATACTTCTGCAATCCCGCATTGGTCTTGATTCATGAATTTGTTAGAACTTACCCTGGGTGGCTTCCAGTAACCAGCCGAGCTCACGCACTGCAAATACAGGCACTGGGAGCAACCTGGGCTGCCCAGTCCAGGCCTTCTTAAATTCTGATTAGGGGAATTTGTGGTCAGACTGCAGCTGCTCCTGGAAAAGCATCATCCCCAGTAGACATACAATGGGAATCTTCAACCTATCTTGACTGGGATACAGCAGGAAACTTACAGACAGAATAAAATGATGAACTTATTTTTGCCTTTCCATTTATAGTTAAGAACAGTAAGATAAAGGGGAGAAAAAAAGAAAATAATGTATATTGATCTTGGCAAAAGTATGAATTGGGACATGTGAATGCATGTGAAGGAAACTCAATGTGAACTAGCTCAGCCAAGGAATACACCTCCCTAGCTCATAAAAACAAACAGCTAAAAGGGGGGCTGGTCTCGAGGATGACTGGTACCAGAGGCTAGTCTAGTACCAGGTCCTAGAGACACCTCTGGTAGCTCTCAGGCCCCCAGTCACTCCTTTTGATCAGGAGACAGACCCTATGGGAAGATGACACTCTCACTTGAATCACAAGATTAGGCAAGAGGAGAGACCCATCTGCTAGAAAGGTGGATGGCTAATGTCTGGTCAGACCAAACAACAGATGTCCATAACAGGGGGCTCAGACGAGAGATGTATTAAGCTAGGAGCAGCCTTGTCACTGTGCTGTAGAGCAGCAGTCCCCAGCCTTTTTGGCACCAGGGACCAGTTCGTGGAAGCAAATTTTTCCACAGACCAGGAGGTGGGGTTGGGGGAAGGGGGTGCACAGAGATGGTTTCAGGATGAAACTGTTCCACCTCAAATCATCAGGCATTAGATTCTCATAAGGAGTGCACAACCTAGGTCCCTCACATGTACAGCTCACAATAGGGTTCGTACTCCTATGAGAATCTAATACCGCAACTGATCTGACAGGAGGCAGAGCTCAGGCAGTAAGGCTCACTCACCCTGCCGCTCACCTCCTGCTGTGCAGCCCATGGGTAGGGGACCCCTGCTGTAGAGTAGTGACAATGAAGGCAGCCTTTGGCCAATGAAGGAAAGGCAATGCAAGACTCGCCCATGCTCCACTCTTAACAAAAGGGGCCAGTCAGAGACAAGATTGGATACTCTGGAAACTAAGCTTGCCCCATCTTTCTTTATATGCAAACATCTTTTGGCAACAACCTAACATAAACTCAGAGCCACTGAGTGCACGTAAGATGCATGCTTGGTTGTAGTCTCTTGGGTAGCTAACTTCTTAAACTTTGTGCAAGAGCCTTGTCTCAAACCAATAGCATCCCTGCAGAAAGACAGACCCAGCCAGTCAGAAAAAGACATTCACACCCAAGGACTTGGGGATTCTCCTTGGAAAGAAAAATCGCCCCATCAGCTTCCTGCAAAATGAATGTTAGAAGGAAACAGCGAGAGCAAAACAAAACACCACAGCCTGGGCTGTCTATTAAAAAGCAAACACTCATAGGTAATGTTTATTTTATTCCTTGTGTTTATTTGGAAATTTTAAACATAAAGAGTCTTTACTACTTCTGTAAGAAGAAAAGTAAAACTTCATTTTAAAAAATATATAGCATCAGAATTAAACTGATATGTATTAAATTATTTCCTATTTATCTATCAACTTTGGGGATAGGAATTTCAGATGTCACATTGTTTAGTCCTTTTCTATATCCTTTTCTGAAAATATTATAATAGGACCTGTTTGATCATTTTGAATACTTTCAAAATATATTAAACCTGATCACATCACATCATATCTTTTTATTGAATTTTTTTGTTGAGATCATTGTGGATTCATATGCAGTTGTAAGAAATAATCCAGAGACATTCCATTTTCCTTTACCCAACCTCCCCAGAAAGTGACTTCTTACAAAACATTCCATTTTCCTTTACCCAACCTCCCCAGAAAGTGACTTCTTACAAAACTAAGTATAACTGTATTTGCACTATTTGTGTATGTGTGTGTATGTATGCCTAGTTCCACAAAATTCCATCACATGTATACCTTCCTGTATCCACTACCATGGTCAAATACAAAACAGTTCCATCACCACAAGGATCCCTGGTGTTACCCCCTTTTTTTTTTTTGAGATGGAGTTTCACTCTTGTCCCCCAGGCTGGAGTATAATGGCATGATCTTGGCTCACTGTAACCTCCACCTTCCCGGGTTCAAGTGATCCTCCTGCCTCAGCCTCCTGAGTAGCTGAGATTATAGGCATGCGCCACCACAACCAGCTAATTTTTGTATTTTTAGTAGAGGCAGGGTTTCACCATGTTGGCCAGGCTGGTCTCGAACTCCTGTCCTCAGGTGATGGAGACCCACTTCAGCCTCCCAAAGTGCTGGGATTATAGGCGTGAGCCACCGCACCCGGCTGGTGTCACCCTTTTATAACCCACCCACCTTCCTGCTGACCCTGCCCCCTTGTTCCCCTACTATCCCTAACCCCTGGCAACTATCAATCTTTTCTCCATTTCTAAAATGTGGGCATTTCAAAAATATTATATAATTATACAGTCTAACATTTTGGGGACTGACTTTTTTCACTCAGCAAAATTTCCTGAAGATTCACCCAGGATGTTGCATGTATCAGCAGTGCATTCCTTTATTATTGCAAAGTACTATTCCATGGTATGGATATGCTACAGCTGGTTTAACCACTCACTCACTGAAGGCCCTCTGGCCTGATTCCAGATTGTAGCTATTGTAAATAAAGCTGCTAATAAACACTCATGTGCAGGTTCTTACATGAACATACATTTTCATTTCTCTGGGATAAATGCTCAAGAGTGCAATTGCTGCCCTGTATGGTACTAGCATTCCACAGTGACTATGTCACTTTACATTCCCACCAGGAACACAGGAGTTATTCAGTTTCTCCACAACCTTGCCAGCATTGGGTGTTGCCACTATTTTTCACTTTAGCCATTCTGTTAGGTGTCTAGTGATATCCCACTGTTACACTTTAACTTGCATTTCCCTGATGATGGTGAACATCATTTCATGTTCTTACATGCCATCTGTATATATTCTCCTTGGTGAATGTCTCTTCATATCTTTTACTCATTTCAGATTGGCTTGTTTTTTCACTCTTGAGTTTTAAGAGTTCTTTACATATTCTCAACACTTGCCACCTGTAAGATATGTGATTTGCAAATATTTTCCAGTCTAGTTTGTCTTTTCACTTCTTAACAGAGTTTTTCACCCTTTTTTAAAAATTTTTTAATAAGCCCAGTTTACCAAACTTTCCTCTTATGAATCAGGTTTTTGGTGTCAAGTCTGAATTCTTTGTCTAGGCCTAAATCCTGAAGATTTTTAATGTTTTTTTCCTAAAAGTTGTATAGTTTTAAATTTTACATTTAAGTTCATGATGCATTTTGAGTGAATTTCTGTCTATGGATGAGGCTTCGGTCCAGATTCGTTTCTTTGCCTATGAATGTCCAGCTGCTCCCGCATCACTTATTGGAAAGGCTGTCTTTTCTCCCTTGAATTGCACCTTTGTCAAAAAGCAGTTGAGTATATTTGCCTGGCTCTCTTTCTGGGTTATCTATTCTGTTTCACGGATCCATGTGTCTATCCCCCTGCCAGTACCACACTGTCTTGATTACTGTAGCTATACAGTAAGCCTTAAAATCAGGTAGAGTGATTCCTCCTACTTTATTCTTCTTTGTCAAAATCACTTTAGCTATTCTAGGGCCTGTGCCTTTCCATATAAATTTTCAGAATAACCTTATCCATGTTTACCAAAAAACCTTGCTGCAATTTTGATAGGAATTTCATTGAACCTGTATAGCAATTTGGAGAAAATGAACATCTTTACCATGTTAAGTCTCCAAATCCATTAACGAGATATGTCTTTCTGTTCATTCAGGTCTTCTTTGATTTCTATCATCAGTGTTTTTTACACTGTAAATATAATACAATTTGTATTTGTCAGTTGAAATAGATGTGTTATTCCGCACTATCATGGATGGAGGGAAGATCTTTGTTTCAGGCTACATGGAACATACTGTGGTTAATCCCAGTCCTGCTCATTGTATTTGCCTACTTGGACTCCTTTCTAGACCTGCATCACCATTTGACAATATTCAGAATACCGATCCTAAATATCAGCAGTCCTCACCCTTTTTGGCACCAGGGACTTGTTTCATAGAAGACAGTTTTTCCATGGACCAGGGGAGGGGCAGGCAGGGATGGTTTCAGGATGATTCAAGTACATTATATTTATTGTGTACTTTATTTCTATTATTACATACATATGAAATAATTATACAACTCACCATAACATAGAATCAGTGGGAGCCCTGAGCTTATTTTCCTGAATCTAAATGGTTCCATCTGGGGATGATGAGAGACAGTGACAGATCATCAGGCATTAGATTCTCATAAGAAGAGCACAACCTAGACCCCTAACATGTGCAGTTCACAACAGGGTTCATGTGCCTATGAGAATCTAATGCTGCTGCTGATCTGACAGGAGGTGGAGCTCAGGCAGTGATGCAAGCAATGGGGAGTGACTGTAAATACAGATAAAGCTCTGCTTGCTCACCTGTCGCTCACCTCCTGCTGTGTGACCCTGTTCCTAACAGGCCATGGACCAGTACTAGTCCATGGCCTGGGGACTGGGGACCCCTGCTATACATGTCTTAAGTGTATATCTAAATATTTCTTTTTCTTTGGAGTAATTATACATGATATTAACTTCAATTTTCACATATTCATTGTTAGTATGAGGATATGCACTTTTTTTTTTTTTTTTTTTTTTTTTGGTTATTGATCTTGTATCCTGTGACTTTGCCGATCTCACTTACTGATTCTAGGAGGCTGTATTTCCTTTAAAAAAAATTTCTTGGGATTTACTACACAACTATGTGATCTGCCAATAGGCACAGCTTTATTTCTTCCAGTGCCCTTTATTTATTTTTCTTGCCTCACTGCAGTGACCACAATTTCCAGTACTAGGATGAATAAGAGTGGTGAGAGCAGACATTCTTGCCTTGTTCTTCAAGGCAAAGGGTTTCCTCAGACCAGGCCATCTAGTGTCACCTGGCTGGAAAGGACAGTCTGAGGTCCATGAGGATGAGAAGACATCCTGAGTGCCCTCTGCCAGTGTCCCCAGCTGCCCAGGTGTCTCTGGGTAGGGAAAAGGAGTTTTGAGCTCACAGGGATAAAGAGGCTTCCCATACCAGGCCACTTATTGTGGGGCCTGTTCTGCTGATGGCCCCCAGACACTGTGGCCTCTCTCAGTAGAGGACAGGATTCTCAGGACCAGCAGGGAGGCCAGTATTTCCCTTAGCCTCTTACCCTGGGGCTGGGTTCAGCCTCTTACCCTGCTGGGGCTGCTTTCTTCTGCTGGGTGGTGGGTCAGGAAACACCATGCCTGGGCCACCTTCTCCTGTTGGGCAAGGGGAGGATGTAGATGCCCTGCTGCTGCATCGCCTTTCCAGCACTGGACTCCCAAACCAGCTCACCTTCTTACCACTTTCATCATTCTCTTTTGGTTGCCTCTTGTGCTATTTCCAGCGTTTATTATCATATTTAACAGAGAAGAGCAGAAAGAAACAAGTCTATACGATCTTGTCCAGGCCATAAATCATATCATATCCCATTGTATCTTTTTAAAAGTTAGGGTGAGTGAGATATTTCTTTCAATACAATTCTAAATAATATATGTAGACGCTGGTCCCTACAGGAAACAGACCTTAATTCCTCCCCTCCTCCCCTTGAGGGTGGGCTAGGGTTAGTGACTTGCCTCCAAAGAAGAGTAGGGAAAGGGGAAATCATGGCTTTACAGAGAGGCAGCCTGAAAAACACCATGTTCACCAACTGATCGAAGTCTGGAGTTTAGTTAATTAGTGATGTACTAATGTGTTTCTTAGGTTTGACAAGTATATTACTAAATACCAAACATTCTTCCAATAAAAATTGCTCATCAGAGAGATGAACATCTTACAACACTGACATTAAAGGGTTTTTGCCTAAATATTGCTGACCTGGAAGTGCCTCACTGAGCACATATTATTTCATCTCAGAGACAGTACTGCTACGGAAGTGACAAAACCAAGTGCATGCTTTGTGTCTGCTCCTTCTAGTAGGCAGTGACCTGGGGACCAGACATTTGGGGCTGAATCATTGGCAAAGTGGGAGCTGAGGCTCCCAGGAAGATCTAGCGTCACTTTGTCTTTCCTGCATGGTTTCTTTGATGTAGGATGTTGTAAGGAATGCTGAATACTGTCCTAAAATATCCAGGTCAGGGAGCCATGGCCAAGTCCTCTGACCTGTTGGATGGCAAGTGTAAACCTTCAGAGGGAGTGTGTCACCTAGAGAGACAAGGTAAAAGGGTGTTTATGTTCAGATTACCTTATGGTCATCAGGAAAAACAATGTGGCCGGTATTCATTATTCACTCATGAGTCATAAGTAGAACCTCTGTAAAATAACTGCACGCAAAACCTTAACGCCTTATTTCAACCACTAGTTTCAACCTGAGTCCTGGTAATACCAATGATCACAAGTGCTGACAAGAAAAACATGCCCAGATAAAGTGTGGCTACATGTTAGAGAAATGAGTATGGGCAGAAAGATGCCTACGTTTGGAGGTATGTATACAAGTGAAATGTTGGTGGGTATACACACATGTGTGAGCAGGTAGATGCACGTGTCTGTGTGAAAACACTGCTCTGTGTGAAGATTTGCAACAGGGGTCTGGGTATGAATGCCACAGTGTGGCAGACAAGTGAGAACTACAAAGAGTGTGTGTTTATACATAAGAGTAGTACAGATATGACCACTAGGAGTATAGGAGTCTGTTAGTGTGTAAGGATGGAATGTGTGAGTACAAGAGGCAGGCAGCTCACATAGGTGGTTCGGCTTCTGATCATCCGTACATGTTAATGTCTGTGGGGGGTGTATACATGAACATGAAAGTCTGTGTTTAAAGCCTCTCCTTTGATGGAGGCCCCGGATAAATGAAACTATGCTAACATTTTGCAAGTCCAGCATCATGCTCAGACACAGGCAGGGAGAGCCTCCACTCTGTGCCTGATCTGACTGCGTCCCTCCCAGGGCGGTGGGGCTTCTGTAGGGCTTAGAAAAAAATGACCAGCCAGAGCTCATGCTTTGCCTTTCCAGCCCATGTCCTTGGTCCCTGAGATCCCAGAATTTTCTGCCCAAATGGCCCTGAGCCACCTTCCATGACTATCTGGCCTGTCCTCCAGGTCTATCCTTTTGAGGTGGCCTAAGCTGCCAGTGAGGGCCCTCTAGGCCCAGGAGAGGCCATGGGGCAGTGGTTTGCAGTGACGAGGGGGTTACAATCAGCACCTTGCTGGCTGTCTGCCGGCATGCACACCAGGCCCTTCATGGAGTAGGATGAAGCCAATGGTGGTCAGTGAATGGGAGCTCTTTTCACACAGCCACACCCCAAGCATTATCAGGGTTAAGCTGCCAAGGAAGGAGGACAGAACACATGTTATTGTTTAACAGTGGGTTAGCCTGATTTATGATTTAGTTATTTAGACAGGAGGTATGTGAACCTCTGCTTAAACTCTCCCTGTAGGCCCCACAAATGTTAGAGGCAGGCTGTGCATAGATGTACATAAGAGCATGCTTGCCCAGGTTTCTTTGAGCTCTACCAAACCTAGTCTCCAGCCCTTAGGTCCTGAGGTATAGAGATGTAGACTGGGGCTATGGTCATATCTGACCTGGATTGGGGAGGGAATGGTTTAGAATCAGCTCATACAAGTACACACTCTGCAGACCCTAAAAACTGGTTCCTTTCCCTTATCAATTCCCCACTGGTCACACATATAGATGCACAGCAGGAAAACATCTACTGAGCACAGAAATATGTCAGGCCTGGGAGCTTCCTGAACTGGACAAGATACCTGAATATAATGAAGAGCTCATTTCAGCAAACTATACTTGGTCACTGGTAAACCCATAGCACCCTCACAGCCCCCAACCAATACCATTCAGATCTAATTACTCTGGGGTGAGGACCAACGCAGGGATGAGAGGCCTGTTATCGAAAACCACTTTAGCACTGCTCCAGCTCACAGCCACACTGTCCTCTATAATGACTTCACCCAATTAGCTTGCTAGCAGTCTGCCTTTTGTAAATCAGCGATGCCAATGGAATGAATTCTGCACCGAAAGGGAAGGGCAAGCAACTGGTAATTGCATGGAAATCATTAATTGCCTTTCAGGTTAAGTGAATTATCATTATTTCCTCCATTTGGTGGCACTGTGTGCAGATGAGGTCAAGCGGGCAGCCCACCATGAGCTCCCATTCCCAGCATTCACTCATTCAGTGAATGGAAGAGTGGCAGTGTGTGCCTCTCTGAGAGGCAGAGGACTAAGAGTGCTGGGCCCTCCCCTGAGAGCCCCCCATCTACTTAGTCCCAGGAAGGAACATCCCACAGACAGGCCATATATGGAAAATGTACACATCTATGAACTGCTTTCACTCCTAAAATGAAGCCTAACCAGTTTGTTTAAGACCTCTGCCTGGACTGAGGCTCTGAGTAAATGATGCTTTACTGACGTCTCACAAGAATGTTTAATTCTCACAAGTTTCACAGGGAGCTAAGCTGAGCAAATACTCCATTTTGTAAACAAGACATGTGGTGTTAAACAAATAATTAGCCTTTATTTCTGGAAAGAAGAAAGAATATTTTGCCCTTATTCAAAGAGTCAACGTGTTAATAACTCCTACAATTCAGACAGCAGAAGGGAAGAAGAGGATGCAGTCTCTAAGGCACTGGTTCTTGAGCTTTAGTGTATGTGAGGATCACCTGCAGGGCTTATTAAAACACAGATGTTGGGCCTCATTCCCTGAGTTCCTGCTGCAGCAGATATGGTTGGAGTGTGGGACTCTAACAAGGTTCCAGGGGTTGCAGATGCTGCTGGTCTGGGGGCTACACTTGAAGGCACTGCTTCAGGAAATAGGTTTTTTTAACCTCAAATTACCTACAAAAACTCAAACTTATTTTAAAAGCAATACATCATGGTGGTTGAGAATATGGACACCGGGATGAAGGAGATCTAGATTTAAAGTGTGATTCCTCCCTTTACAGCTGTGTGATCTTGGGCAAGACTGGTTCACCTCTTCAAAATAAGCTTTCTCTTCTATAAGTTGAAATCAATTCCTCACAGGGCTGTAGAGAGAATTAAAATGAACTAATATATGTAAACCCAAGCTACTTATATTACACTAAACAATTACTTCAGTTAACTAATGACTGTTATCAGTAGGTCTTATTAGTACTAATGAAGTGTTAACAAATTATTTTGCATAATATGCCTCCCCAAAGAGACAAACCCTATTTTCAGTACTGGCTGAAATTTGCACTCACATACACACTGCAGTCCTTGAAACCACTTGTTCCTTTATGCTAAACATGCTCCTTACAATCTTGCTCACAATGTGAAATTATTTAGAAAACACTCTTTCACAGAAAAACTAAATGTAAGTTCTTTAAAATAAGTGCTACACATAAAAGGCAACTCAAAATGAATCTCATTTATGAAGAGCAAAGCAAAAAAAATTACCACATAAAGAAGCACAATAAAAGAATAGTATGTCATGACCAAATAGAGTTTACACAAGAAAGGCAAATATTGCACAAAATCAGTAAATCCATCAAACCAGTGAATATTAATAGAGCTCACGTAAAATCATGTAATCATTCCAAAGACACTGAAGAGGTACTGAGCAAAATTCACCCAGTCTTGGTAACAACAAAAATACTCAATAAAATAGGAACAAATATATACTTCCTTAACACGATAAAATATATTTTTCTCTATTACAAAGCTAAGATCACACTTAATGGGGGCAACACTAAAATACATGTGTGATAGTGAGATATACACTTGATCTTAGCCAAAAGGCTAAAAAGTGATTGATAGTGAGATATAGTAAGAAATATACATTTGGTCTTCATTCCTGATTTGTGGCACAGAGCTCCTAAAACCCTTAGAATGTGAGTGATACATGGGAGAGAAGCATCTTTTGGTATTCACAGTAAGATCCTTTTAACCCCATATGAGTTTATGCTAATGAAATGACTCCTGAAGGATGGGGGCTGGTTTCCAGAGGAGCCAACCATGTGATTAAAAGATTTTAACTTGCAGCACTAATCCCCAATTTCCAGGGAGAGGAGAGGGGCTAGAGATTGACCTAATCACCAATGACCATTAATTTGGTCAACCATGCCAACAAAACAAAGCCTCTATAAAAACCCTAAACAATAGGATTTGACAAGGTTCTGAGGTGGTGAATGCATCCACATGCTAGGAAGGTGATGCACCCCAACTCCACAGGGAAACTCCTGCACTTGGGATCATTCTAGACCCTTGCCCTATGTATCTCTTCATCCGGACTTTCATTTATATCATTTATAACAAACCAGTAATAAATAAGCAAAGTATTTACCTGTGTTTTAAGTATTTACCTGGCACCGTGACCCATTATAGCAACATATTGAACATGAGACGGGAGGTGTGGGAACTCCTGAATGTATAGCCAGTCATCAGAGGTATGGGATTTGTGACTGGCATCTGAAGTGGGGGGCAGTCTTGTAGGATTGAGTCCTTTAATTTGTGGGATCTGACACCAACTCCAAGTGGATAGTGTCAGAATTGAACTGAATTGGAGGACACCAGTTAATGTCCACAGAGAATCAAAGGATTGCTTGGTGTGGAAAAAAAAAATTCAGACATTTTGTATTAAAAGTGTTATGTCTATAGAGAAAAAGTTTTTCCCTTTAACAGACAAGAAAAATCAAGATCAAAATAAGACAAGGGAATTCACTACCATCATTGTTAACTTACATTGAATAAGGGAAACTAGGAAAAGCCTAAAAAGGTATAAAAATGGTAAGAAGCACTTAAATCTAGGACTTTTTAAAAACAAGTTGATTATATACTTAGAAAGTCTAAAAGAATAAGCTAAAAAAACTATAATAAACCCAACACAGCTCAGAAAGCTAGCAAAATACAAAATTGACTTGCAAATATCCATAGCTTCCTTATATGCAAACTTCCATTAAGTAGTAGACCTATGTGAAGAGAAAATTCCATGTAAAATAGTACATATGAAATAAAATACCAAGGAATTGACTAAATAAGAAATACACCAGAGCTATAAGAATAAAACTTTAAAACTCTTCTGAAGGACACAAAAGAAAATTTGAACAAATCAGAAGACATACCATGTTCTTGGACAGTGTATTAAACCATTCTTGCATTGCTATAAAGAAATATCTGAGACTGTGGTAATTTATAAGAAAAGAGATTGGATTCTCTCAAGGTTCTACAGGCTATCTCAGAAGCACAGTGGCATCTGCTTCTGGGGAGGCTTCAGGAAGCTTCCAATCATGATAGAAAGCAAAGGGAAGCAGGCATATGACATGGCAAGAACGGAGCAAGGTGGGAGGAGATGCCACATATTTTTAAATGACCAGATCTTGCCAGAACTCAGAGTGAGAGCTCACTTATCATCAAGGGGATGGGCTAAGCCATTCATGAGGGCTACACCCCAGTGATCCCGACACCTCCCACCAGATGCCACCTCCAACACTGAGGATTACAATTCAACATGAGATCTGGGTGGGGATATCTATTTAAACTATATCACACAGGAAGACAAACTCACAGAGCTGTCAACTCTCCTTAAGGAAATTTGTAAATGTAATGCTCTCCTAATGATAACCTTGTTTTTAGGTTGGAGATTATACAAGTTTATCCTTAAATACATTTAGAAAAATATAGGACTATAAAAAAAAAGAGAGACTCTGAAAGAGAAAAGTCATGAGGAAGGACAAGCATATCAGACAGTATAACATTATCGAACAATGATTAAAATAGTGTGGGACTGGTACTGGAATGTGACTATAAGACAAACAAATAGATCTAAATACAAAGTCCAGAAACTAATCCAAATACAAATGGAAATACTTCAGTGTAAGTGAAGATGGCATCTCAAATCAGTGGACAAAAAAATGTATATTCAACTAGTGACACAAGGACAACTGGATAGCATCTAAAGAATAAAGTTGGTTCTATATCCTACATCACGTACCAAAATAAATTCCAAATGGATAATGAGATTGATAGGAAAATCCTATTAAATTGAGGGGTGGTGGGAGCAAAGTTAAATTTAAAAAATAATGGGAGAAAAACTAGAAAAATCTCTTATTAACCTCAAAGTGGAAAAGGCCTTTAAGACATGCCTGAAAATCCAGAAGCCATAAAATTCGAGGTTAATAAATACAAACACATAACAATGAAACTTTTACTTAGTAGTACACATAAGCAAAGTCAAAAGACAAACACCACCACAGGAAACTGATTCAAACTATAGGTAAAAGGCTAATATCTCTCTATATAAAGAGCTTCCAGAAGTTAACAAATGAAAGACCAAGGACCCATCTGAAAGATGGGCAAAGGACATGAATAGACATACTTACTGCCAAGGCTGGTTGGAAACAATTATTCCCAAATACTGACTGCTATGGTTTGGATGTGTCCCCTAAAAATCATGTATTGGAAATTTAATCCCCAATGCAACAGTGTTGGGAGGTGGAGCCCAGTGGAAGATGCTTATGTCATGAGAGCTCCACCCTCATGAATGATGAATGTCAATTATAAAAGGATTCCAGTCTTTAAGTTTTATCTCTTGCTCTCTGTCACCCCTTTTGCCCTTCAGCCATGGGATGGCACAGCAAGAAGGCCTCACTAGATGCTAACCCCCTGATCTTGAACTTCCCTGCCTATAGAACCATGAGCCAATAAATTTCTCTTCATTATATATTACCCAGTCTGTTGTATTCTGTTATAATAGCACAAAGAGACTAAGACATTGACCATTATGGAATGGGGACAATTTCCCAATAGCCATCAAAATTAAGAATGCATACATCTTCTGACCCAGCAGCTCCTCTTCTGGGAATTCAGCATATTGAAGAACTGGCACAGGTATATGAAATGACATACATACAAAATTATTCATTCCAGAACTGCTTATGATAGTAAAATACTGGGAACAATTCAAAGACTCATTAACAGAGGATAGGTTGAATAAGTTATGGTCTATTTAACACTAAAAAACCATACAGGCCAGCATGGTGGCTCCCACCTGTAATCCCAGCACTTCAGGAGTCCGAGGCAGGCAGACCTCTTGAGCTCCTGAGTTCAAGACCAGTCTGGTGGATATGGCAAAACCCCATTGATATGGTTTGGCTGTATCCTCACCCAAATCTCATCTTGAATTGTAGCTCCCATAATCCCCAGGTCATGGGAGGGACCCGGTCGGAGGTAATTGAATCATGAGGGTGGGGTTTTTGCTGTGCTGTTCTCATGATGGTGAATAAGTCTCATGAGATCTGATGGTTTTATAAAGGGTAGTTCCCTAGCACACACTCTGGTGCCTGCCACCATGTAAGACTTGCCTTTCTTCCTCCTTCGCCTTCTGCCATGATGGTGAGGCTTCACTAGCCATGTGGAACTGTGAGTCCATTAAACCTCTTTTTCTTTATAAATTACCTAGTCTCAGGCATTTCTTCATAGCAGTATGAAAATGGACTAATACACTTGTCTCTACCAAAAAAATACAAAAATTAGCTAGACATGGTGATGTACGCCTGTAGTCCCAGCTACACAGGAGGCTGAGGTGGGAGAATCACCTGAGCCCAGGAGGTCGAGGCTGTAGTGAGCTGTGATTTCGCCACTGCATTCCAGCCTGGGTGACAGGGTGAAACCCTGTACCCCCAACCCCCAAAAAAACCATACAGTTGTAGAAGAATAAAAAAGTTAACAATTATCTCTATGCACAAACACAAAAAAAAGACATATTATTTGCAAAAAGCAGGGCGGAGAACATTGTGTATAACATGTTCATATGTCTTGGAGAAAGAGAATATATATACAAATGCTAACTAATGTGTGTATTAAAATTCCTCTGGAAGAATACAAAGAAACTAATAACAGTGGTGACAGGGTGAGAAAATTGAGCACAAAGAGACTTTTTACTGTACTTCTTTCTATTTTCATTCCTGAACCAACTGAATTTATTCCTTATTTAAAAACTATATTCAATAAAAAAATAAAAAACCAAAAGGAATGTGATCTTTTCTGGGATTATTTTTTAGAAAATGTTATCCAAACGTGTCCTGGGAAGTGCCTTGTCCCACCTACAACTGAGCCGCTGATTTTTCCTTGGCTCGTTCTTGAGCCCCATGTTTCCTTTCTCTTAACAGCTAATACCTGGGGAAAAGCACGCTGAGGCCTTAAGATGCCCATAATCGGCGGCTATTTTTTAATCTCTTAAAATTACAATGAAACTCACCCAAACGTTTCAAAGGCAGGCTAGTATTTTATATTTTAAATTCAGTATCAGAGCCTTTCTATTTTTATGTGTTTTCAGTCTCACTTTCCTAAGACCAAAGACATCATCGAGAAGATAATTTTCTGAAATTGATAGAAAAAAAGGTGAGTATTTAAATGGGAACTGCTGTATTCACATATGGGTACCATCCAGAACAAACTGATTTAAAGTTTCTAAGATAATGGAAGACTTATTCATGTAAAAAACCTCCTACCTCTCTGTGTTACCAAAAGACCCTAAATTAATCAACGTAAGAAATGATTCTGTCCAAATCTACTATTACATTTCACAGGAATTCTGCAGGAAAAATGCCATAATTTAAGACACTGATGGTGCTGCTGATTCAATTTTCTGCTTGCATAAATATCTGCTAAATCCCTTATTATGACTGAACATGGCTAGCTGCAGGTATGAGACCTCCAGTTCTAATCACTGCAGCCACCAGAACTAATGATTCCATAACGACTCGAAACTGATAAACTAGCAGGCCAGCCTCACCCACCACACTGTTCCGCGGACTTGCATTAACAGCACTAGCAGGGAGAGTCAGGATCTATGGGCAATGAACAGGGATTAAAGGATTATTTAACCAGATAAAAGCAATGAGGATGAAACTATTTCTAATAAGGTGGCAATGGCCCTCTTTCCCAACAGTGGTGGCAGTCTCAGTAAATATTCCAGAGAAGAGTGTTGCAGCTTAGGTTATTATTGATGAAAGATATAACTCTAATAAAAATTCAGTGAGTATAAAAAATGTCAGAGATGGTTTTGTATCATGTGTAATAAAGAAAGGCACATAAAAATAACATGTTGCCTATAAAGAGACTATATTACATTCAATAGAGGTACTCAAAAACACAAAGTCAGGGACTTAAAGAGTCTGCTAGTGGCACAGGGATCCACAAAAAACAAACCTCCAAAATTCAACGTGTAGAAAATTCAGATTTATGCTGGGACTTGGAGAGACTGCTCTGGGAAACCCACTGTCTTTAAGGTAACTGTGAGCCTGTTGCTTCCACTATGCGATTTTCAAAATGAAGATATTTAGGAAGAAAACACATAACAGAATTTGAAGGGGGAAAAAACCATTTTTGAGGCAACTAAAAAGAAACTGTATATATTGAAGCTGAATTCTAGATGCTTCCAAAAAGCCATAATACCAAAGTGGAAAAATTAATTTCTGACAGAACTATAAAACACAGTAATCAATTTTGAATTTGAAGTCAGGAGAATGTGAAATCTGTGGGCCTTAATTTAGTAGTATCCCACCAGACGACAGAGTCCCACTTGACACTGACCAACAAGATTTTGTTCTACCCTCAATGGAAAGTGCTCACACCCAGAAAAAAAGGAACTGGGGCTACC
Source organism: Homo sapiens (assembly GCF_000001405.40). NCBI lineage: Eukaryota > Metazoa > Chordata > Mammalia > Primates > Hominidae > Homo > Homo sapiens. The sequence goes on from NC_000005.10 coordinate 137,244,721, forward strand.
AAACATATTTATGACTGCAAATAACTCCACAAGGCAAGGTGCTGGGCACCTGCTGGTACCTGGGTGCCCTTTTTCCCACCCGATGCTCTCTGCCATGCCAGTTTCTGTCACCTTGGCCTAGTGCCCTCCAACATAAGAACCAAAGATCCAACCCCCTACAGGGTGGGGAGGGCAGACTCTTTCAAAGATCTTTGCTGGTTTTTAAATACTAATTTTATTACTTACCAATGTCCAGGACAAAGTTTACCTCTACCTAATAAGAGAAAATTGCTCATAGAAATGGTTGAAAATTTTAAAGGTTGATTTTAAACTCTGAGTAATTCAAAATAATCCTCTACAGATTTGAATAAAAAAGATAATGACTCTCTCCCTCCCACCCCTATCCTCCGCAAAATTAACAAGGTATTAGTGAACATGACCACGTGTCCCACTAAAAGGAGAAAATAAATATTATTGGCATTAAGCTTCCAGGTGAGAGCTAACATAATTAATAGTAAACACATCATATTTCACTAGGATTCTCCTTGATGCCAGTATTAAAAAAATCAATCATCTTTTCAACTTAATAGCCAATCTGAAAAGTAATTTGAGAAAAATAATTGGTTTTAGAAACACATGGATGTAAGTGTATCTTTCTATGACTTTCTGGAACTTTACAAGGCCATTCCTAGTACTCATATAACATTTATAAGAAATAATTATACCTCAAATGATTATTATGCCAATTGTTGGTTCTAATCAATAGTTAAGGACATAGCAGAGGAGGGAATTCATTAAATATTCAATATTCCTCCTTAAAAATGAAAGCAAAATTGAGGGCAATAAAAGCATCAAAAACTTAGCAGAGTCAGAAAAGCACAAGGTCCAGATGAAAGTGCCCAGGCATGGAGGGCTTCCGCTTTGCAAAGGTGCACAGAGCATTCTGGAATTGAATCACAGAGACATCCACAACCTCAAGTCTCAAGGGATGTACGGTTAGATGGCCCAATCATGAATTCTCTGCAGCATGAATTTTCTCACAGCTGCATTTGTTAAAAAAACAAAACAAAACAAAACAAAAAAAAAACAAAAAAAAAAACTGTCTTGAGATATTCTTTAAGCATGGGATCCATGATTAAATAAGTTTGGGAATCACTGTATATACTGCCTGTCTATTAACATATAAAAGGCTTTGAGAAGTCCAGCAAGAAAGATATCTACCTAATGTTTAAACTAATGTTGTCCCAGCTTCTCTGACCAACATGCATGCCTATAATAACTATAACACCTATTAACAGGACAAGGACCATCTTTAGGAAAGGTTTCTCTCTGGATTTCTTAGTTGTCCTCTATGTCCTACTTGAACAGTTAGTGATGGGATGTCAATCCCCCTACAAGCAGCCCATCATTATAGTCAACTCTATCTACTGAGAGGAAACAGCAGAATGGACACACTTCAGGTTTTAAAGTGAATCTGACCAATATTTGAATTCTCACTATCCACTTAATCACTGTGTACCCTTAGCAACATTTTTAATTACCTCTGAGATTCAGTTCCATCATCTGTAAAGCTGGGGTAATAGTAACCATTTACTATGATGCTGTAAATCTTAGAGACACTATCTATAAAGTGACCAGTAAACTGTCTGCCATCTATTACTATTGTCATTAGGATATGACATTTCCTTCTATCAAGATAAAGTTGACCTCCCTATAACCTACATCCATTGAGACTAGTTCTACCTCCTGGAATCAAACATAACATATTTTCTCCCACTCCCACTTATTACATTGGCTTTTCCCAAATTAAACATCCTCATTTCAACTTTCCATCAAGGCTTCCAGAGCTTCCACTGCCATCTCCACATTTCACTGCTTCTCATATCTCCAATTTTGCTATTCGCTTTGTAATGATAGACTCTAAATTTGATGGCCCTGACAGGGGTAAGGACAGTGTGGCCTGAGGGGTCTTCACCCTTGGAATCTGCCATGAATGACCACTCCCACCCACTACTCTAGATCTCATTCTGTCACACATTCAGCCTAAAATTGTCCAAGCAACCTTGCCCAACATGTGGCCGTGGCACATGAGGGGTAGAAGCAAGAACCCCAAAACAAGCTGAAAATCACAGAGTGAGTTTCTGACAGCTGCAATGAGTCACATGCCTGGAGCTTCTGCTACACTGGTTCTTCAGGTAGGTCTTTAGATTACCTAAATCCGAAGCCCCATCCCAGACCTGCTGAATCTAATCTCCGCGGGTGGAGCCCAGGATCAGCATTACAGCACATACCCTCACATGTCTTCAGGACACTTCTGTACCACAACCCTGCAGTTTGGAGGACATCTAAAGTTGAAGTTCACTCAACCTGCAAAACTGTCTGAAGGATGAAGAGACATCAACCAGGGTAAAGAAGAAACCACGGAGGGAAGGCAGAACATGGCAGGCAGAGGCTATGAACAAGGCATGGATAAAAGGCCCATGTGCCAGAGTGAGGAAAGGGCAGAGGAGGGCACTGTGGAGGGGAGCTGGAGATGAAAATGGGTGCCTGGCCCAGGGCCTGGCAAGCAGCAAGCTCAGTTCTTGCACCGAGAGCTGGAGGAGCTCTTCCAGGTCACTCAGTTCTGGTGCAGGTCAGTGGCAAACATGCCAGGTTTAGACTCCCCCTTGATTCAGATGCCACCAGCCATGCAGAAATTATGGCCTTGCTATGGTGAGTACCCATATCATCCTATGATTATGGAATTAATGCAAATTGTGTGATTTCTTTGCAATCTGTCTTCTGCTTATGTATCCATAATCAACCATAGTGCAGAAAACATAACATATATCTCTTCTGGACCCCAGCTATACAACCGATTATCACCAAATAGATTTGCAGAGCACTTTAAAAAAAACTGCTTATCTTGTCGTCCATTTTGTGTTGCTATGAAAGAATACCTGAGACTGGGTAATTTATAAAGCAAAGAAGTTTATTTAGCTCAAGGTTCTACAGACTCAGTTCAAGGGCATGGCCCTGGAGTCTGGTGAGGGCTTTCCTGCTGCATCATGACATGGCAGAGGGGGTCTAAGGGGAAGACAGGAAAACCTGAGGGGGTGGCCTGGCTTCATAACAACCCGCTGTTGCAGGAACTAATCCATTTCCACGAGAACTAATCAGTCTCACAAGAACTCACTACCTGGGTAAAAGCACCAAGATATTCACGAGGGATCTGCCCCCCAAAAACCCAAACACCTCTCATTAGGCCCCACCTCCTAACATCGAAACATTGGGGATCAAATTTCAACATGAGCTTTGGCTGCGACAAACAAACTTATCTAAAATATAGCAGTTTTAGATAAAAGTTTAGATGCAAAAGGCTTTGGGTTAACTGTTCTTACCTATTTCCCTACACATAACTTAGAGGTGAAGGATTAGCTACCAACAAACTTTTAACATTAAAAATAAAATTAACTATTCTTTTGATCTCATTACTAAGTGAGGAAATATAGAGAAGAATATACTTTCTAAGCCCTCTTTTCCCTTAAAAATCTATAGCATCTTAATCTTTACACCCTACTACTTAGCCCCTGATATTATAAAGCCTTAATATATCTTCTATTTTATGTGTATGTATCAAATTCATTCATTGATCTGTTCAGTTAGTCAACATTTGTTGAGCACCTTTCTGCACTTGGGTCATATAGGTGTAAGTGACCCACCATCCTGTCCTCGAAACCCACAGTCTGGCAGAAACACCTGTTTCTATGTCTAGCTGTGAAGCAGAAGGCAGAAGCAACAGCTACTTCTGTGGCTCCCTCAGAACCATTCATTGATCTCTATCATGCAGTAAATTAATACTTACAAAATTTTGAGATGACTGGTGATCAAAAACAGTTTTGAAGTCAACTCTGTGTTCAAAGCCTAGCCCTACCATTTCCTCGTTCTCTGACCCTGGGCCTCTCTGAACCTCAGTTTCCGCATCCGCACAGATAGAGATGAGTGAGAATAGTCCCAGTCTTACATGTTCATCATGCATATTCAAAGAGATGATTCATATAAAGGGCTTAGTAAAGAAGCTGGAATATAGCCAGTGGTCAAAATCAGTAGACATCAATTAATGTATAAGCTATTAACAATTCTCCCTTAGGCTTTGAGGAACATTTACAGAGATTATGGTTTTCACAAAGCATTGTTCCTTTCCCATCTGAGAATCTTGGCCAAGGAGGCCCAGAAAACATTTCTTATGTTATCAAAGATAAGTTGACTTTTCCTTTAAACAGATGTCAAAGATCATGATGAGATCTGGAGCCCAAAACCTTAGTGTCACCGTGTATTAATTCTCTACAAACTATTTTGAAGATGAAACACAATCTATTTTCTCAGCAAACAGAAAACAACAGACAACTGGAAGCGTTAAAGGAGGCAGGAAGGAGTCAATTTTCCCATCAGCAATGCTATTCTTTGTGGACATTCATGGCTCAGGCAAATAACTTGCTTGAGAGTTAATGTAAGTAAAACATTAATTATCAAAAATGCACATTTCCTTTGATGTAGTGGTTTCACTTCTAGGAACTTATCTCACAGAATTATTTATAGATGCATGATAGATTTAATTACAGCATATTGAATGAACTATTTTTGGTAATAACCAAAAACTAGAAATAAATCCAACAATGGAATCATGGTTAAATAAATAACAGTATTTCAGAAGTACACGACACAGAATACTATGCTATAAAAATTATGTATCAATAGACAAATTTTTATGGAGCACTAAGATGTATTACATGAAAAGGCAAGTATGCAGTTAAAAATGAATATGCATACATACATACTGATATATTTACATAGCCAACTTCTAGAAGGATGCAAAAAGGCTATTAAGAATAGTTATCTATGGGAAGAATTATTAGAGATAAAAAGCAACAAGAGAAAGAGTTTTACTTTGCCTTTTATGTACTTTTGAAGTATTTGAATTTTTATGCTATGTGCATGTTTATTTTACCTAAAAAAACTTTACAATTCCAAGCTGTCAGTTCAAAAGCCAAAATGCCTTCCCAAATTATAAGTAACACTGAGCTAAAAAGAAACACATCCAGAGGAAATTACAATTAGACATTCCTTGAAAAATTTGACAATCTTCAAGATAAAGGCAAGTAGTATTTTTAGTACAGATTTTTTTTTTAAGAAATAAACAGTTGACAATCAGCTACTCTTCTTATTATGTGCGGCATAGTATAGCAGAGATTAAAACCTGGTTGAGGAGACACACTTGGATTGGAAACTTGATTCCAGGTGACTGTAAATCAGGGGTCAATAATCTATGGCCCACAGCCAAATCTGGCCTGCCACCTGTTTTATATAACCCATGAGTTAAGACTTCTTTTTACATTTTAAAGTAGGTGAAAAACTTAAAACAATATTTCATAACACATGAAAATTTTATGAAATTCAAATTTCAGTTTCCACAGATAAAATTTTATTAAAATGCAGCCACACCCACTCATTTGCATACTGTAATGGCAGCTTCCCTCTACAAGGCCAAATTGGGTTGTTGCAGCACATATGGACCCCAAAGGCCAAAAATATTTATTATCTGACCTTTCACAAAAATAAATTTGCTGATTCCTGCCCTATAAACTGACTTAATTGAGCCTCCATTTCCTTTCCTGTAAGATAGGTACAATAATAGATAGCCTCAACTCCACAGAGCAGTTATGAAGCTTGAAAGTAATGATGTATGAAATGCTCAGCACGTACTAGTTTTTTAATATTACTTCTCACATTTTAACATTGAAATCAGGATTTTTTTTAACAGTCAATGGCATGTCTGAGTCCGTTCATAGAAGTGGGGGAAGCCCCACTGCACAGCCTCCCTGAATGCTCCCTCAGCTACATCCTCCCCACTGCCTGCCAACACGAGCTGCTTGCCCCTGTGTGCAGAGGCTTGGGAAGCTGAATCTTTCCAAGAGAGCCTCAAGAGGACACACGGATGGCTTCAGTATTCAGGAACAGGCTGTATTATGCTACGGAGAAAGGAAGTAAATGAAAGTAGCCTCAAAGGCACATCATAAGAGGGAGTACCAGGGATATTTACTAGTCCACGAAGATCAGAGCAAACAAATGTTCCAAGCTGGATTACTTGGGCTAAAACTGTACAAATCACACTTGCCTGTATTAGCTCACTGATTCTTCCACCAATTCAGCAAGTTAGGTAGCAACACTCCTATTCTACAGACCCAGAGAAGTCTGGGACATACCCTACACACCAGCTGATGGCATAGCAACACCAGAAAGCGGAGTCTCAGCTTCTTTCCACCTTACCAGCATTTTCTTAAACTTGAGCTTGCATCAGAATCAACCAGAGGGCTTGTTTCAACATAGATTGCTGGCCCCCACACCCAAAGTCTCTAATGCAGCAGGGTCTGAGGTGAGGATGGAGAATTTGCATTTCTAACAAGTTCTCAGGTAAAGACCACACAGCTGTCTGAGGGCCACGCACTGCAAACCAATGAATTATATCACTAAGCCACTGAAAACGTAAAGTCCTCACCCCTCCTCATCTTTCACACCTCCTATTCCTCAAAGTGAATCCCAACCAACCTCACCCACACAATAAACTATTTTCTTGTTGTGTTGCCTGTTTGTTTTCAGGAAAGCAATCATACTTGTCTTCCCATTGTTGTCTTGATGGGACTCACTGCAAGACTAGGAGCCAGGAGACTGCAGACTAGTCCTGATCGGCCAGTAACTAGCTGGGGGGTTTTTGGCAAGTGACTTCTCTCTAGCCTTGGTTCCCCCTGTGTGAAGTGAGAAAGCCACATCAGATTATTTCCAAGAGCTTCCTTATAGAACACAAGGCTGATGCTCCGATTTGACAGAGCAGCCTCCCTGCCTGAGTGGTCACCTTCAATCCATGAAACTCATAGATGGGTTCCCCTCAGTAATGAATGAACTAAAGAAAACTACTGGGTGAGACCTGTTTATGTAGGCACCAGCAAAATGGTGCCACAGATGGGCTTTTAGATGCCTGCATGAGAGAGCTCACAGTAAAATGTTTAGATAGACAGCATAAAAAAATTATAAAGCAAAAAGTAAATTCCTCATACCCCTCTCAGCCCATTCCTCAGAGATAATACATTACAATTTGGTACTGATTCAGGTATTTTATATGCAAATACAAGCATTTGTCAGATACATACTCTGACATAATTAGGATCGTATTCGACATATTATTTGCTTTTTTATTTTTCTTCGAGACAGAGTCTTGCTCTGTTGCCCAGGCTGGAGTGCAGTGGTGCAATCTCAAGCTCAGCTCACTGCAACCTCCACCTCCCAGGTTCAAGCAATTCTCCTGCCTCAGCCTCCTGAGTAGCTGGGATTACAGGCACCTGCCACCATGTCCAACTAATTTTTGTATTTTTAATAGAGATGGGGTTTCACCATGTTGTCCAGGCTGGTCTCAAACTCCTGACTTCAGGTGATCCACCCGCCTCGGCCTCCCAAAGTGCTGGGATTACAAGCATGAGCCACTGTGCCCAGCCTAATTCACTTTCTTAATTACAATTCTCCCATCTCCCCCCATGCTATCTGGAAATTTATACCAGCAGGATAATTTTCCATTTGGTACATTTGAAGAATCAAACTCATAGAGGAGAGCATGGTTCTAAGAAAAATGGTACACATATAGAGCAATACAGAGCAACGGAGAAAAACGTGGATGGCAGTCATGATCACACAGCAGCCACTGAGAATATTGTATGCAAAAGTTCCTAGAATATTGTATGCAAAAGTTCCTACAGCATGAGTTACTTAATGTCAGGCATTATCTTTCCTGACTGATCCCTGCCCTGTCATACTTCAGCCTGAACATCCCTGCAGACAGAAACAGTTCTTCCTCTTTCTCTTCCAGGGCAGGCCAGCTCATTGTTGACCAGATATAAACACTAGGCACATAGTTTCCAAACACATAATAATGCCTCTTCATCTGAGAGTGGTAGGGCCTTTTCTTTGGTGTCTGAGATAGCATGATGTTCTAAAAATGTAAGAAGTTGTTACTTGATACACTAACAAAACTACAATTAATCTGGCATGCACTTCAATTTTCAAACAACATGAGCTAAGTCAGAAGACAGGAATCCCTAAGAGCATGCCCTTTGGGGCTGTGGCATGGATCTGTGGATACGGCTCCACACTTCGAAGCTGGACAACAGCACACTGGTAGGGACACGCATAGGAACTTGTAGGGATCTAACCTACCCCTCCAGGTCCTCGGTGGTTACTCTGTAAAGACAATGACTTCCTATGCCATTCTTTATTCACCCGCTACTTGCCTCCCCAAGCACCTGAATGTCAGGCAAAAGCACTTCCTTTTCTAGAGGACAAAAATCCCTCTACATGAGCCTCACAGTGAGAAGTCACACTGCATTTGGAAACGTATGTCCGCATCTACAGCTCTGGATAGACAAAAGAGGGCACCAACATCATTTATTCCCCTGCTTTTCTTACCAAAGACAATAGAATTCACTCAGAGCAATAGGTTAGTTCTAAATTCATGAAACTGAAGCTCTACAATGAGTGGGTAGGTTGCTTTTCTTTACTAGGAACACCCAGTAATTCTGCCATTTTTCTTTCTTACTCCCTTGTATTTGCAATGAATGAGGCTTTGATTGTAAAAGATTGACCTAATTTACTTATTAGATATTCTTGCAAAGCTGCATAGACATAACTTTGGTAAACTGAATCTACCTCAGACATACCAATTAGGCAGGCTGTTTGAGGAAATTCTATGGGGAGTCATTGTATAAAACAAATTATCACCTCTCAACAGTCCTGCCTTATCACAGAACTGCCTAAACTCAAGGTCAGAAACAATCTCAATAGTATCTCTGTCCTCATCCAGTGTTCAATTTCCCCGACATCAAACCAGCCATGTGGCTGTCTACTCTTACATGTACACATCCCAGGAGCGGTGTCTCAGTCTCCTCCATGGCAGCCTACCCCATCCTCACACAGCTTGGGATATGAAAATGCCATACTTGGATTGAGCCAAAAGCCATCCCTTTGCAACTCCCACCCTCTAATTCTAGGGCTACCCTATGGAACCAAATAGAATCCTCAACTCCCTGTGAGCAACCTACAAATATCCAGGTATGGCTATTATGTCTGAAGGAGTTCAAATGTCCACACACTGCACCAGCTTATGTTGAGGCTGCCCCCAGTTCTAGGTGTCCCACCATGCTACCCCTGCTTTTAAAACTATTCATAAAGCATTCGAAACCATTTCTGGGTGAAGGAATCTGTGCCTTGCTATGAGAACAGAATGATGAATGCTCACTCTTAATCTGACAGTATAATTTTATCATTACAAACTGGGAATTTCTCCTCCTGCCTAATCACTGGTAGAAAGAACAACTCAGGATTGACCTCGCTAAAAGCAAAAATCATAATTATTAGCAGATGCCTGACAACATTTACATGGCTTATATCCAAAAATTATATTTTTCCCAAGGGTATATTTTTCTCCTACAAATAATTTTATCTTAGCAGGGTCACCGCAAAGAGATGTGGCTTAAAATTAGGCATTCTGTGGATTTCTATTGGTATTTTTTATGGCTGTTTCATAATACCTGCTTGAAAACATTACAAAATGAAACTCCTGTATGTACGCACTGTGGTAACGTGCCCAAATTCTTCCACCATGAGAAACCCTTTCCACTGTCAAAAAAAAATTTATAAACTCCACCTCCCCTTGACCTCTCCAAAGATAGCTATCATACTAATCATTCTGTTAGTTGCTGAGAATTTTATAATGACAAGATCTAATATGGATTTGCTAATGTCTTTAAATAAGATGTGGATTTTATTGAGCACATCAGCATCCATACGCGTTTGAGAAACATATGTAAATATGTACGTATGTGTGCAAGGAAAGCATTTCCCACCCGTGTAAAGCCCACACTACACTGTGAAGCTCCACATAACACTGCCCTTGGCTCTGGTGGCCTATAGGGAAGAATACTGACATTCTTAATCCATCATTTGCCTGTGGGGTCGAACTAATCTACAGTGTTAGCATGGAGGAAGGTAACTATGCAGTCAGGCATCAAAGCTCTAGTTTGGATTCTGAATGTCTAACCAACAAGACTGGCTCTGCCTGCCACTTGGCTGAAGAGAGAAGAACCATATGCTTCCATTAATTGAAAGCACAGATCATCTGAACTCCTTGTTCCTGCCAGGAAAAGCCCAGAACTCTCTGTTCCCAATGCTAATCAGTTACCAGCAACAAAACAATCAGAGTATTCCCTGATGGAGATGCAGGCCAACCATTCTTCCTGATATTGTCAATTTCGTCCATGTATCAAGCCAGGCCTTTAGAAGACAGTGCATTCTGAATTATTGAGTTAACTTATAGAACTGTACTTTGGCACTAAGCATCATTGTATACTGAAAGATCTTGGATGAAGTAATCATAAAAGCTTACTGGGGTATTCACTGCTAGATACTGGCGGGAACACGGGCCACCCTGACAAACCCCCTTCTGAGAACCCACAGGAGGAAAGCATCTCTGGCCTCACTACTATGAATACCTGTATTTCTCCTGAATACCAGCCTCGTTTACACATCATGGGAACATAGTGCTCTGTGTGTCCTTCTCTGCTTTGTTAGGAAGCTCTGAGCCCAGTTACAGAAGTATACAGAAACTCACTGCGCATGTGATGGAGTAACAACATACATAGCATGGCTTTGCTATGCCTTTAATTTACTTATACTCAAATGTTTTTTCTTATACTCAAATGTTTTCATCTATTCGTGTTATCACTTGACACTTACATATGCCTACAAGTTGTTTTTTGGTGAATGAGGCAAAGACAAAAACAAAAAAAGACATATCGGGTTATCATGTATTTGGTTACAGATTCAAGGACCACTGAGTGACAGTTCAAGTAAGTTCCTGCAGGGAAAGTGAGCATTCATGGACGTGAAGTGAAGGCAGGAGGAGAACTCAAGTGCATTGATTACCATATATTGAAGTTAGGAAGGGAAAGGGGGAGCTAGAGCAGAGTTCAGGGCAAGGGCCTGAGAGTGACACAACCCTGGGCAAATTTAGGACCTGAATGTCACAGTGGCTCCAGTGGGCTCAGAGGATAATTTTTCACCTAATTAGGGATTGTCTTGCCTTGGCAATGACTGCAACTAACATTTTCCACCTTCTCTAGCCCTTTCTACCATGAATTTTGGAGCCAAAGAAGAAGATGAGCAGTGCAGGGCCATCTACTGTACACAGCACCCATCCTCTGCTAAGCGGTTCCTCCTGGCCAGGCTGCCAGTGCCCATGGAATTACCCACACCCTCCTGGCAGCAAGGAAACTCAGCACCTCACATCATCACTCTTGAGATCACATGGGTTCCACTTTTGTTCTTTGGGAAGTGGCATATGTTTCTAAATCCTGGTGGCACCATATTCTGTATGGATTTTTGAGTATGAGACTTGTGCATGTGTGCATGTATGAGGGCATGGGCTGTGTTTCCCTCTTTTAAAGGCTAAACCACTCCATCTCCAGGTGATGGAGGCCACACAGAAATAGCAATTCAGGCTCTTAGGCTTATTACAAGTGGCTTTAGGCCTTGTACTGGTCCACTGTGTGCTGCTGTAATAGAGTATCATAGACTGGGTAATTTATAACAAACAGAAATGTATTTGGCTTATGGTTCTGGAGTCTGAGAAGTCCAAGATCAAGGGGCTGCATCTGGTGAGGGCCTTCTTGTTGTCTCAGGACATGGGGGCAGGCATCACATGGTGACAGAGGGCAAGAGGTCAGACTCACAGCCTCAAGTCCTTTTACAATAGGTAGGCATGGCTCCATTCGTGAGGGTGAAGCCCTCATGACCTAAACAGCTCCCCTACGCCCCACCTCTCAACATTATTGCATTGGGGATTATGTTTCCAACACATGCTTGTGGGGGGAACACATTCAAACCACTGCAGGCTCCTGTGGTCTCTGAGCACAGTCCCAACAAAGACAACTTCTGCTCAGGCAGTCTGTCCCCAACTCTGCGAGGCACTGCCTCCACCCCAAGGGCTACGCAGCTGCACCAAGTCAGAGGGACCCCAAGGACGCATCAACCTCCAGCGCACGCGTGCCACAAGCAAAAGACAAGAAGAGAAGCCACAAACAGCCCAAAGGCACATTTACCGTCTTGCTGTATTTTTTTAATAATTGATTTTCCAGCATTGAAGAATTAAGTTTCACACACAAAAACAAATGTTCATTTCCAGCTGCTTTTGAGCAATCCGTAGTCCTTACAATGCTGACCCAAGCCCTCATAACCATCGTCAGCTAGAGTTGGGTCAGGGCTGCTCTCTGCCAGTGGCATGGGTGTTAGTTTGTCCCAGTCCCACCACTCCCAGTGTTACTGCATCAGGCCCATCTTGCTATCTGCAATCCTGCTCTGGGTGTTTCAAGGTGCCTAGCAGAATGAGACTTGAGAGACAAAGGGAAAAAGTGAAACAGCCTACTAAAGTAATGACTGACATTTCCTTCATATCTCTTAACAAAAGTATTTTTAAAAGAAGCATCCCATCTGCATTGAACTGAATGTTTGTGTCCCCCCCCAAAATTTATGTGTTGAAATCCTTTCTCCAATGTGGTGGCATTAGAGGTAGGGCCTTTGGGTGGTGATTAGGTCATGAGGGTGAACCCTCTTGGATGTGATTAGTGCCATTATCAAAGGAACCTCAGAGAGTTCTCGAGCTCTCTTTCCCCCAACATGAGGACACAAGGAGATGGCCATCCACAACCTGGAAGAGGGCCCTCACCAGCACCCAGTTATGCTGGCACCCTCATCTCCAACTTCTGGCCTCCAGAACTGTAAGAAATAAATTTCTACTGTTTGTAGGCCACCCGGTCTATGGTGTTAGAACAGAAGCCCCAAAGGACTAAAGCATGATCAGATTTCACTTCTGCAGCACTGAGCGATAAGCTATCAAAAAACATTTCTCCCCACCAGATGCTCCCCTTCCTCTCTACCTCCAAACATCTGCCCATCTTCAGAAAGGCCCCAGGTCACCTCTTCTAGGATCCTTTTCCTGACCTTCAACCAGGAAGGGCTAATTCCTGGCCTGAGCCCCAACTCTGCCAGCTTCTGTCAGGGCACCTCAAACACATCCTTTGAGTGATTTTATTTCGTGTGTGTCTCTTGGCTCTGTAGACCACAAGCCCCCTGAGGAGAGCACTGTCACACTCCCCTCCACAGTCCTCACCAAGTCTGTGAGTTCTTGATTCAATGATTAACTGATCAATGAGCTCACACCCTTGTGGAATAGGCAGAGACATCAAAAACCACTAAGATCCTTCCCAATATGAAACACCAGAAGAAGACAGCAGTACTCTATCTCCTGCCAAAGCTTTCTTGCCTTTTTCATGTGCATTCTGAGATTGAATCAGGAGTTTTACCCCTCATGCCACATGTGTAATAAATGTCATAATTTCTATGTTACAGATAAGAAAACTGAGGTACCCACTTAGGTACACACAGCTATTAGAGGGAAGAGCTAGAAAATGAACCCATTCTCTGAGACTGCAAAGCCCCAGGGCCTTTCCACTATACCGCATTGCCTTTCATCAGGCATGGTTTCTGGGGCAGAATGAACATTTAACAGGTTTCCAGCAGTTAATTGCTACACAGTACAATTGAGGAGCTTAACAAAACAAAACCCCCATCTCAGGCCTGAAAGTTGTAGAGGACGCAGGTGATGCCTGCAGGTTTTTCTCCAAGCAGCCATTTCCTGATTGGGAAAATGCAATAATCCATTCTACATTCTCAAATGAGAAAAATTTAACAGCATTATTGATTGATTTTAAAATTCAGCTGACATTTTTTTCCCTATTGAGAATTTTCCCAAACCAAGGCTGGTTCATTAGGACTCAACAAGTACAATATAATTAATTCAGGGACTGTTGTTCTAGCAGGTGGATTAACAGGAAGGTTTTTTCCCTCCTTTTATACAACTAACACCACATTTTATGAGTTTGGGGAAAGGTAATAAACATGTCTTTAAAATGGATTCGTTCGTGCTGAAAGAACCTCTTAAACACAGTATTAGAAAGCTGCAGTGCCCCATAATTGTAGGGAGAATTTTACCACCCTTCATCATTCACTACGATTCCCTCCAAAGGGTGGAGCACAACCCAGAATGGCTTTTGCTCCTTGGTTCTAGGGGCACAGAGTCCTGAGAGCCCTTTGTGAAGTCAGGGTGAAGCCAGAACACAAACTCATAGCCGACCCCAGCACTCAGTGAGGAAATGGAACCTACACAGTTCCTGACAGAACTGACTGAGCAGGAAGAAACGCTCTTTGTAGAGAACATACCACATACCTACTCCTTGGCCCTTTGCAAACATGATCTCTCCACAAATGGCCTACAAGACAGCTGTGATTAGACCCACTCTACAGATAAGAAAACAAAGGCTTATAAATCATTCTACTATAAAGACACATGCAAACATATGTTTACTGCGACACTGTTCACAATAGCAAAGACGTGGAACCAACCCAAATGCTCATTAATGATAGACTGGATAAAGAAAATGTGGCACATATACACCATGGAATACTATACAGCCATAAAAAAGGATGAGTTCATGTCCTTTGCAGGGACCTGGATGAAGCTGGAAACCATCATTCTCAGCAAACTAACACAAGAACAGAAAACCAAACACTGCATGTTCTCACTCATAAGTGGGAGTTGAACAATGAGAACATGTGAACACAGGGAAGGGAGCATCACATACTGGGGCCTGTTGGGGGATGGGGAACTAGGGGAGGGATAGCATTAGGAGAAACACCTAATGTAGATGACGGGTTGATGTTTGCAGCAAACCATCATGGCACATGTATACCTATGTAACAACCCTGCACATTCTGCACATGTGCCCCAGAACTTAAAGTATAATAATAATAAAAAAACACTGAAAACAGATGAAAAGTAAAGACACATGAAAGTAAAAAAAAAAAAAAAAGAAAACAAAGGCTAGATAAGTCAAATGACTCAAATGTATACAATAAGCTTATGGGAGAGGCAAGATTTGATTTGAGCACTTTCAACTCTTGCTCTTTCCTCTACAGCTCACAGTGTCCCATAGGATTCTGTAGGAAGAGACTTCTTTGGCCTTTTTTCTTTTTATTCTGAGCCCTCTCCACCCTCGATAGTTAAAAGGCCCATTTAATTCCATTGGTTTTATTTCAGTTACAATATATTCATAACTCATTAGCCAAACTGTAACCTTTGAAATAAGAGCATCATGCTTCAAATTTTTCATTTTTCCTTTATGAGAAAACATATATGGAAAACTATTCTGCCTGAACTTAACTACCACAGCTCCCAAGGACTTCAGCAACTATCTCATCTACCCTTTTTATTTCAGAGATGGGTGAACTAAAGTCCAGAAAGGACATGTGATTTGCCCAAAGTTGCACATTTTAACAGTGGCAGAGCCATGTCCCACCTCAGCCCTCCTCCTGGCATCCCGCACTCTTCAGGCCAAGCAGTTTACATTTAAAAATACTAAGAAAAAGCAGCCCCAATAGCAAAACAGATGGAGTCAAGAGAAACATCCATCAGTGGGGGAATAATTGAATTAATTGTGATATATTAATACAATAGAATAGCACAATATAAAATAATTCATTAGATCTACAACTATCAAAAAAGTTACCTCAAAAGCAATGTTAAGTGGAATAAACAGATTAGAGAGGGAAACATTAATTTCTATTGTAAAATATATAATGTAACATTGCCTGTATACATATACATGACATAAAAACATAAGGACATGAACAGAAAAGCAAATTAATGATATGGTCACCTTTAGAGAAAAGAAAATGGGAAAGAAGAAGGGGCACCCATGAGATTCAAATTTTATAGCTGATGTTTTATTCTCTAAAATAAGCAAACAGGCAAAGGCAGACAAAGACAAAAGAGAAAACATTCAATTTGATCAAACATCAAGGCAGAGAGACTGAGTTAAAGTAGGAGCATACTAATATTTGAATTAATAGCTTTCTGTTTCTTCCCTGGAGTACTGAATTAGAATGTTTAAAAATCAATACTCCAAACTTTTTTTAAATAGGACTATCTTATTGTCACAATGAAGAAACAGAAGAAAAGATGGCAGTGGGAACAGGCTAATTAGGCTGGAGCCGAGTGTGCGTGTCTGGGGCAGAGAGCAGGTTAATGTGAATAAGATGAGTAGTTGCTGTTGGGGAAAGCATATTCCTAATTATGTGGAAAAGGCAAAGGTGAGAGGGAGAAACCAACCAGACCAAACATGAGCGAGCCAGGAGAAAAGTATTAAGATGCTTCCCACAAACGAGGCCAGCTGCCTCTGAAAATCCACAGCTCCAGGGATCAGATAAGGTGAACAAATTCTTAAAAAAACTGAAAAACTTTCAAGGCCCTATAAATGCTAATCAGAGGTTCTTTTAGGGTGAGGCTAAACTCCACATTATGAAGAAAGCTATGGGGACTTAAGATTTCTATTAAGCCTATTATGTAAATTTTCAGATTAATCTAGAGAAGGAAAACTCCCCTTCTATGGAAGATTTTTAGAAATAAGCAATCTTGACTCCCCAGACACCCTTTAAGACCTTGGCAAAACACAAATGCTGTGATAATCCACTGGGCTGGTGGTTCCAGAAACACAGCTGGAACATGAAAAGAACTCCCTCCTTTTGAGTTTTAGAATTTTTGCCTCAAAATAGTTCAGGGCTTTGGTCAGGATTTGAGTTTGTCAGGATCTTGGTATAATAGACTGGAAGTCAAAGGGTGAGGTCTTTCTTTTCTTCTATTCACGAGAACAGCATGAGTGAAAGGGGCCCCTGACTCTTTGAGTTTTATTTTTATCTGGAGATCAATTTCTACAAGTTCACATGCTGCTTTGAAGATCACCAGCAACATCTGAGGTTTATCTACAGCCAGTCTGCTCTGGAAGAATGATTAGTATTCACTCCAGAATAAAAAGCATCATCTTTAAAACCAATGTCTATACACTTTATCTAAAGCGTTCATTGATTCCACTTTAAAGGAACCCACTTGTCTCAGGAAAGTCCCATGCTAAATCTCTCCAGCCATTAGTCCTACAGTGGCTTGTCTCCTCTAGTGGAACTTCATAGCCAAATAAATTGGGGAGGTTCTTTCCTGAGTGCACCCTGGCTCCAGCAGAGAACCTGTTAGTGTTCCATCACTTTGAGACAACTTCATGTAATCAGAATTTTATTCTAAAGTAGTATAGTGGTTATATACATAAATTACCTTCCAAACCCTCCAGTGCACAAAAAATCCTTTTGTTCAGCAAAAGTACTATAAATAAGTTTCCATTTTCTTCTTCTAAAAGAACTAGTCAGGAAGCTTTGAAACACCTTGTTAGAATTCACTTTGCTGTATATTCATCCCCTATTCAATGAATCCCCAAAGCATTACCTTTATTTTATTTTTACAACAGCTTTGTGGTTCAATAAATTCTATCTTTCATTCCCCTCCAGACCCTCATCAAGTCATCTCACTTAAAGGCAAAAGATACAATCTTTGTGACAATACCTTTATTATTTGCATTGAAGGTAATTGTTACCAGCAAGTGTTGGTTGTACAGCATCAGGGAGCCTGGTCCACATACCAAAGGCACAGACTGCATAAGGCCAAGGCATAGCAAAAAACATCACCTCAACTAAAACTGACCTGTCACCTGTATAAACACTTGACATATTAAGGATTTCCCTGTTACCCAGACCAACTCTACTCACTTCCCTACCCCCCAGTAGGACCTTGGATGGATGTCTCTGAGGACTGATAACTGGGAGTGTCCCCCAAGAGACGTCTTCCTTAGTGTTGTCCCTATTATCCAGTTCAGTGCATTTAAACATCAGGCATTTGGTAACTGCTTATGGAATGAAGGAAGGAATGAACACATTAAGAGCCTGAACCTCTTCAGCTCCAATAATGGGGATCTGGAGTGTACCAGTACGATGCCCCAACACTAGTTAAGACAAGCCCGTGTCAGTGTAGCTCCGAGAGCTTCAGAGCATCACAACTTGGAAGGCCACCAGAAAGGAACAAAAGGAGAAGGGAATAAAACCAGAGTGGAATGGGAAGAAAGACACCAGGAGAGGCTGCTAAATAGGAAGAGAATGAAAACAATCAATGACTTGCTGATCACTTGTCAAGCACTTCCTATATGCCAGGCATATTAATTCACTTCATCTTCTCAGTGCTATTGTTGAAAGTACTTATCATTATTGCCATTTTCAGATAGGAAGATTTAGAATCAGAGAAGTTAAGCTACTTTCCCAGGATCACACAGCTAGTAACTGACAGAGTCAAATTCTAAACTTGGAGAATCTGACTCCAAACCCTAAGACCCCAGACTGCACTTACCAAAGTGTATCATGCCAAATACATTACCTCCTCTGAGTATCTGATAGGTGTGTAGTGGAAAAAAATTGAAAATATGGTCACAGGCAAATTTGGAAAATGATAGGTTAAATGGGTTTCTTTACTGAAAGACGCCTCAGAGTTTTTTAAGTTGATAATGAGCATGTGAATCTTCAAGAGATGAGGGTATATGTGTGTCCCTTATTTGACCATCAATGGTTTTCTTGGGGAAGCATCTTGCTGACCCAGATCCCCACTGAGAAGCACTAACCTCATATGCGCTCCTGAGTTTGTCAGGCGCCAGTTAAGGGAAGGTGCTGGCAAGGCAAAGTGGCAGAGGCAACCAAAAGCTCTGGAATCACCCCAGAGCTCTGCAGCCTCAGCCAGCCCTCTGAAGGTCCATCCGGGGGCCTTCATTTCTCCTGACTATGCAAGATAAGAAACCCATTTGCATTGGCCCATGGCTCTCTCAAACTGTGCAGTCTGCCCAACTCTCTCTGCACAGTGTCTTTCTTTGTGGACTTCACAAGCGAAATTTCTCACCTGAGTTAATCATTGCCTTCAATTCTGAACTCCTGTCCATCCTTTCTGTGAGGAGATTTGGCATTAAATCATTACAAGACAAAAGGATATACTACTTATGCCACTTTACCCTAATCTCAGGAAGAATTCTTAGAAAAGTCTGAAGTTGATGGCCATTATACTCCACTGACAGAAACATTAAAGATTCACTTAAAGATAACAAGTTAAAGACATTCTGAGTCTCATCATTGGAGAGCACCAGGTGAGATACTTTTCTTCTAACTGCCTTAGAGTCAATTACATGATGATAGCACTCGCTCCATGAAGCCCTGTTGTTCAAAGTTCAGTAAATATCTTTAAGCAGAGAAGCAATTACAGCTAAGTAACTATTTCTTGAATACTTTGAGTCTTCTAACTATTCACCACACCAACACGACAATCAGAAGCTGCATGGGCATTTCAGAGGTCAAGCTGGAGAGCTGAATTGATAAGTCTGACCACCGGTGACAGCCAGAGCCCAGGGCTCCAAGGCAATGAATGATGCCATGAAGAAGTTACCCAAGAGTCCTAGAGGAGTGACATCATTTAGCAAGTATGTTTTTGGGTTCCTAATTATAGCTGTTGTCACCAAACCAAATTCTCTAAAATACTGCCCTCATCATGTCACTCGCCTGCTCAAAGACTTTCTATGGCACCCCACTGCCAAGAAAACAAAGTTCAAATTTGGCTGATTGGTATGGAATGTCCCCTCAACCCATTTCAAATCCACCTTTCTGACTACACTATTACCAGAATTCTCTATGCTGGGCCTTCCTTCCCCTCCTCTCCCTCTATATTCCAAGCCTACTCCACACCCACCTCCATCATGAAGCCCCTTCCATCCCCATCCTAAACCATATTTGTCATCTGAAACTCTGAAGACACTCTTCAACAAGTTCCATTTCTACAAACTAAAACTTTTCCCTAACCACAAACCCATTTTAACTATGTTTGATTCTTTTTTCAGCTGAGGAGAGGAAATGACTCCTCTCTTTGGCTGTCATCTTCCACTGGAGTTCAGTAATTCTCCTAGTTTCTGGAAGATGAAACGCTCTACATCTTCCATGCCTGTGGTTTATATTTCACCAAGTGGTGTCAGCGCTGACAGAGTAACCTCCCATTTTTATTGAGCCGCACACAATGTAATTGATGACATCTGCTGGGGCTGATATTTTAAGTGAAGGCTATTCTCAGCTCTGCCTGTGCTCCTCATGGTTCTGTATATAAATAGCCAACGGCAGCTACCCCTGAGGTACAAAGTGGGGATACTCAGCTAAGGTCCTTAATTATATCCCATAAAGTCATAAGGTTTTCTGGGAGGGTTAATCTGAGCAGACCCAGTTTTCAAGCCTGCAGAGCTAGAAAAAGAGAACAGGATGGGGCTCTGCTGAATATAGCTGCCATCATTCCTAGGAGAGAAAAATCCTCGTTTGAACTGTTTACCTGCTCAGGTTTAAAGACGGTGATTTTGTGGTTCCCAAAATTTCTGTGTTAACTCCCAAACCAAGGGAAGCTATCATTTATATCCCAAGTGGCAAATGACACCTACCTTGATGTATTCCTTCTCCAATATGCATTAGTAAAAGTAAAAATGTCTTCCCTCGGGAGAGTGTATTCATTTGCAAGCTTTGGCAAAGAGTAATTTTTGACAGTTATTTAGGCAACATTTGATCCTTATAGCACAAGAACCTATTTCTAGTTCTTAGCTAAAAAGAATCAGTTCACAGTGACTGTCAATTGAGTTACCTTTGCAAGCAAAAGCCTGGTAGGGTTGTTTGCAGAAGGGCTTGTTTATCAGGCACAGACAGGGAATTTGTTGCTCTTTAACTACCAGTATTCTTCATAGATAAAGTTTTATCCTATTAAAAAGTTTTAAAATTTTTGATCACTTTTAATAAAACATTTCTAAACTAAGTTACAAATGCCTTCATATGCTTTTGAGTGAATCATTGTGATGATTCAGTCATTGTTAGGATTGTAGAAGAATAATTCCGTTACCACTCTAAGGCTGCTAAGATATGTATAGTCCAGATAGAGCCTCCAAAGGAAGGTTTTGCTGGACACCTTGCCCTTTACAAAAACATATACAGTTCTCCATCTGTAGATTCACATGCTTCCCTGAACACACCTGCATCACAGCCATTAACAGATCCCACCACAATTATTGACTGATTTATTTCCCTACTCCCCACTCTGAGCTCCTGTAGGGTAGGCACCACAGCATTTTTCTCTATCCCCAGTACCTGGCTTGGTGCTTGTGCATACAGCGAAAGCTCAATAAATGTTTGAGAATGCTAGCATGCATGAATGAAAAAATTGTTACACTACTTCAAAGCCTATGATAAATGTATATATGGCAATTTTAATACCATTTTTGCTTACGAGAAAACCAGAGTCCAGAGGTAGTGACCCATTAAACTGACCAAGCAGAGGGCAGAAAGGAGCACCTTCCTCCATGTCACATGTCAATGCCTCCCTCGATTTCTTCGTATCAAGTTGACCATCATGATCACATCGAATACTCACATTACAGAACTGAAGCTGATTCTCAGAAGAATGAACACTTTGAGATGTGGTAGGTAATACTGTTTCATTGTGTTTTGGCATTAATTCCATATGAACATATGAAGTGCAATCTACCATCATTTTCAACAGCACCACACATGGAACAACGGGGGAAGGGATGTGATTCATGGCAGGTCCTCACTGTGTCTTAAATAACTCACAGGAGGACACTGTTAGTGATTTACAACAGCTATCATGAGAGACTGGTTTGATGCTTGCTGGGGGAATGGGGGTGGAGAAAGCCTTCTGTGGGCCATGCTTAAACCCAAGTAGTCATCGAGCTAACTCTGAAACAGGCTTCTATTTAGAAACCATGAAGAAGTTATTTAACAAATAAAATCGCAGTACCCTTGACAGTCTCCCAGGATTAACCTTTTTCTAGAAAGAAAGTTTCATTGTTATGGCTCATGTGAATTAGGGAAGCATCTCCAGGCATAGTCTGTTCCATGAATGAAAGCACTGCATTCAGCCCCACAATTCACCATGTTAATTTGATAATCAAATTTCACTTTTTTTTTAAAACAAAACGAATCAATGATTATATTGGTCAAGCCAATTAAAAGAAATTGTTTAAATCAGCCCTAGATATAACCTCAGACAAATAACCAATTTGATAAAATAATTTCTATCACCCCAGTCAATTCAGTCCCCAAAGTCAATAAAATAACACCGCTAGCTGGCCCTTGTGGGAACATTAACTCAGCATGCAAGGAAGGAAAAATGAGACCACATTTACCACAGACTATACAGCAAGAAATATTGCATCCATTACCTTGGTCAAAGGGCTTGTTGGGATTCCAGTTTCTGAAATAATCATCCTATATAAGGAAAAAATAGAAAACAAAGGTCAGAGTTCAAAAAGCTTCTCACATAACTGCATAAAAACCTGCCTTCCTTTTCACCTCCCAAAACACAAAGGAAAACACTGAAAGCTTAGAAATTTTTCCCAAAACAGGCATTAATGTGTAATAAAAAAATATCAATTTCCTTTTCAAATTCCTGTCTTTCAAACCGTATGTATTCAATACTGGGAATAGTAAAAACATTTCAGCCCAGTATAGAAACAGCGCTGCTCTTCTTAGTTTGACATATAAACCCAGACACCTTCTAGGTGCAAGGTGTATTTGCTATCAATTATACTGTAGGTGATGCCTTGCTGCTCTCAGTTATGATTAAGCCTCTGTGTTTGTAACAGCTGATAATTCAACTGTCAACATTTCTTTTACATACAGACACGCATCTTGTGGTGCACAGTTCCAGTTTTTCAATACTCACAAAACCTAAAAAGAGACAGCCTTCCAAATGTTAGAATTAACCAAAGGCGTACATTTAGCTTAATACCATTTGTTCTGGGTATGGAAAGATGAAAAAACAAAGGCTGGCCAGTCTGGTCTCTTCATAACCATGTCTTTCCTGCATTTGGGTTGCATCAATTTATGCTCTGAGGCTAGGCAATTCATTACTTTAAAATTGCAAGGATCTCAATCACTCAATTCTTCACAGCTATGTTAACTTCTTCCCCACTCCTAATAACCCTTTCCTTCCTAACAGCCACCATGTACTCCCTTTATTCTCCCCATCAGCACTTTGACCCCATTGTTTCCTGGCACACCCACTGTATCAGCAAAACTGAACAGTTTGCAAGTTGAAGAGGTGTCACCCATGCACATTATCCTCATAGCATCTTTAAGGATTTGTCCCTTTGTAGTTAATATTCAATTGCTTTGCTATATGTGTTTTTGGCAGGCAGTCTGCATGCTGCAGTTTTAGAAAGCTGCCCAAAATGAAGCCTCAATATCTCTTCTGGTAAAGCTAATTTACATCAAAGCGCACAATTAGTTTAAATTATTGTCCATGCTGTGTTCTGATGCAGTTTATCTCTGACACGATCTCCTGTGAATTTTATCAGCCTCAGTGTCATTCAATTATGTAGCTTTATTATATCCTTGTTGAGTTCACCTAGGCCCTTAAATAGATTTTAGGAAACTAGCTTTAGAGTAAAATCAGAACATATTGTTTCTTGGCCAGTGATTCCATCTTCCAAGGCATTAGGAAATAAACAGCTTCCTCTGGATCCAGAGGATTCAGCACTAAATTATTTTTAGTTTCAAAGAATTGCCCACTTTGCTCCAGCTTTAGTTTTATAGAATAACTGGCCTTCTCACCCATCTGGTTAGGGAGTCTTTGAGCTCTTTACCATGAAATATCACTAAGGAAATTTAAAACAGTCTCTCTGCAATATCTTTCCCCATTTATAAGTTTAAATACAATCCCAAACTTTTGGAATTGTGCTGTCAGAAACTCGGCAGCCACTGTTAAATGATATTAAGTTAAAAGTTGGATGGCAGATAGGAAATTTAGCACCCAATTTCTAGGTTTGATGACCAAAGTGTTCTTAGCCTTAGACAACCATGTTACCAACATTTTCTGCTATTCTCAAGGGCAGAAGAGATAACCCAAGATGAACTCATTCTCACAAGTGGAGAAAAAAAGGATCAACCGTTCATCCTTCCAACTGTGGTTTATCAATGCTCTCTCCACATACAGAGGATGGCATCACATATAATGGCAATGTGAAATCTTGTGAAATATTTTCTACTTGAACATGCTGTTCTAATAAAGCCCTTGGAAGCTCAGGCTGTGTGTCCAACAGGGAAGGGCTGGAACCAAAGACAAGTTCCTTTAACTTTAATTTCACAGGCCACATTCTCTTTGATGTCAAAGAAAGGTTTGAGCAAGTCTCAAGAACTGGATATTCCCTAATGATTTCAACATATTTTATAACTTGGATGGAATTTGAAGCATTCTTCTGGACCTTGCCACTTTTTCAGGTTAACTATAATTACCATTTTTACCTATTTCTTAGGGAAAAATCACAGTTTTAAGTATAAGGCCTCCAAAAGTAGCTATCTGCATTAGAATATTTAAAGCTCATTGCAAATGTAACAATACTGCCTAATTGCTGCCAAAATGTGAAAGTACACCTTGAGTGAAAACTCATTATGCAAAATGAGTCCTTCAAACAACCCCTTGCCCAGCCAGGCCAAGCAGGGAAGAAAAATGATTCTCTGCATCTGATTGCTTTTGCCCTGCCTCAGGAAAGTGGACTGCCAAAGCAAAAACCAATGAGCCAGAGCTGATAAACCTTTGTGTATCACTGCTTTGGCTGCAGCTGAGAGAGGAAACCTCACATCAGGGGCCAAGATCATGAACACATGTGAAGGACTCCAGGCACCAGAGCCCACTTGGGGGATGGTCACTGAGCATGGGGGAGGGGTCTCTTAGCAGCCACTGCTGCAGTCTATGTCAGGAAATAAGTGCTGGAGTATACGTGATCACTCCTGCACACTGTCCTAGCTAGGTTCAAGGGCTTCCACACACGGTGAGTATAAGCAGGCTGGGCTGCATCAATTAAGTCACTCTGTGTCTGGGAGAATTCTGGTGAGGCACAGTCAAAACTCAAGTGGAGAAAGCCAAAGATAAAAGACAAAAGAAAAAAGAATGGCTCCTCTAGAGCTTCACCTCCTGAAAATTTGTTCATCCCTGAGACCCACTTAACGATTGGGGTGCTCAAAGGACATAAGGATAGTTGTCAGTGGTCCTGAACCAACACCCTACCAATACCAAGGCTGGGCATTTCACCAGGGCCTAAGACTCAGGTGGCAGAGCCAGGCTTTTAAAAAAAAAAATCTTATTTTCTATCTAAATAAAAACATATTGTATCTATTTTACATTGTCCTGAAATGAACAGACCCCATGACTTGCTATGCTGTCAATAATTCTATCACTTCTACCCTGGGAAGTAGTGTGTCTGCCCCGGCACGATCCCAGTGCTGTGTGGGCCCCACACTTAAGCCCTGAAGCTGACAAAGTGCAGGACATTAACAGCCCTTGCCTCTGACCTTCCCTCTGGCCCAATAAAGTTATGGCTTGTTAAAATTCAAACTGTGGTGAAAGACATATTGGATAGATCAAACTTGTCAGGCAAGGCATATCTATCTGAGTTAGCCTTTTGAGTGGCAATTTTATCATCTAATGATAAAGCTTTTTTAAAGACTTGCAAGGAGCCCAGCAACAGTTAATTTTTAAACATAAACCCAAATAGAAAGATGCATATCTAAATATAGTCATTTAAGTTCAATAGCTCCCATTAATGCATTCCACAGGTTGAGGAATGAAGGATGGCAGTGTTACTACATGTCTATTTTATGGGTTACACTGAAGAATATAATTATGTCAGGCATCTTCTGGACAGGACAGAGAACGGTCTTGCTGTAAATTCTAACTAACCCATATGAGGAAAGACTGAATCCATTTCACTATAGCATTTCATAAATGAATATTATTCAACCCTTTTTTAGAGATTGTTAAAACCTGAAAGACCCTGTAAATGTAAACAGAGGCCCAAACTTAAGCATACTGACTTAGGTCTAGAATCACATAGTATTCCAAGGCAGCAGGAACTCTCATGAAAAGTTGACATGGCCAGGCCCAGTGGCTCACACCTGTAATCCCAACACTTTGGGAGGCTGAGGTGGGTGGATCACCTGACGTCAGGAGTTTGTGACCAGCCTGGCCAACATGGTGAAACCATATCTCTACTAACAATACAAAAGTAGCTAGGTGTGGTGGCACATGCCTGTAGTCCCAGCTACCCGAGAGGCTGAGACAGGAGAGTCGCCTGAACCCGGGAAGCAGAGGCTGCAGTGAGCCAAGATCGCACCATTGCACTCCAGCCTGGACAAGACGGAGCAAGACTCTGTCTCAAAATTAATTAATTAATTAATTAATTAATTTTTAAAAAGTCACCATAAAGATCATGGTAAGAAAGTGACAAACCATCCATGTCCAGGATGAAGGAGGAGGGTTGGTGTTAGTGGGAGAGGAAGAAACAGAGACTGGTAGCAAATAAGACTCCAGTTATTGTTTTATTTTCTACAGCTGATCAACAAAGATAAAACTATATTTCTCCATTTATCTCACTTATTAAATATTCCACTAAGATAGTACTGAAACCTGTGAAATTATTGGCACTCGATGGCTGGTGCAAAGGAATTTAACTATTAATGCTTTAGAGATATTCTGTTCAGATAAGCATCAATGAAAAAGAAAATATGTTTTACATATACATATATACACATTTTATATATAATATATATTATTAAAGATATATTTATTATATATTACTATATGTTTTTCATACACATAAATATGCCAAGACCACTCCACTCTATAATGCATCTTCCAATGAAATAATTAAGTCTGCTTAACATGAAATGACAAAATATTCTTGCTATAATTTGGGTGATTAAGTCTCTTCATCACAGATGATCATAGCCAACAGCCCATTTTGAATAAGAACCTGAATTTTCTTTTACTATACCATAGCCCCAAAATGACTGATGCAATTTAGCTCAAATATTCACCAGGGATTTGCCTTTCAAGAGGTGCCTATTTAATCTCCAAGGAATGTCAAAGCTGACTCTGAGGAAAAGATGGGGTGGCAGAACCAAATGAAAACCCAATTGCCTTGGCACCCAATTATGAAGATGATAATGTAATTGTATCAGCTTCAGATGCTACAGATCAAACACATTTAGTTCTCATGAAACCGATCGTTTCTCCTTCATACATATTTTAGCTAAGCTGTTTGAACCCTGCCGTTTCATCTGATGATTACCTGAGATAATATTAATACAAATTACCAGCCTAGAAAATAAATGGGAGCCTCATTTGTCTTGACCAGGAGGGAGCAATAGAGACATAAACTGAAGGAAGCAAATTAAAAGGAGGGCAGGTAGTCATTTTGGAGTTGTCTGTGGGCTGATTGCAGATACACACAAAATGGAGAAGCACTTCCCTGCAAGGCTAAGTAGATCAGAACTGAGTTTGTAGATCCCAGATGGAGGCACACTCCACTTTACCAAAACTGCAACCTTTAGAAAGAGATCAATGAAGGGACTGTAGCCAAACTGCTCTCAAGAGAATTCAGTGCAAACTGGTTCTATTTATCTTCACACTACTTGACTGGGGGGAATAGGAAGAAGATCTGGTTGGTGGGTGGGAGAAATGTCCCCGAAATGATAATAGAAGTCACCAGAAAAGTGAGATTTCCAGACCATTATGTAAATGCTTCTGTTATATAATGTGACATTTGCCTGTAATTTTGTGTGCAATGGAAATCTCTGCTAATCAAACTATTATAAGGTACAAAACACTCCATTTATTAAGAAAGGAGCTAGCATCACACACAACTACCCTACCTCTGAGCTGTTTTCATTCACATCTCTGGGCAAATAATTTGCTGTTTGTCTCCTCCCCATCTCTGGTGAGGAGCCTCAGTGAGAATCCTTCTGAATGAAGTGACCCAGCTTGGGCAGTGACTTGAGGCTTCTCAGCCTTCCATCCAAAGCTACCACTCGTGAGAACCCTGTACAACAGAGCCTGGGAGTTGTCTGCATTAATACATTTCTGTGTGCACAAATCACCCACCCCCACCCCCCCACCCCCCAACACACACACGGGCCTAGGCCGCTTCTGAGCAGGGATGGGTCTTACTCACCTGCACATCCCCTAAGGCATCACTCAACAGCACACAGTAAATCCTTGCTAAATCACATCAAATATAAGTAAGCAATTCCAGTTTGTAAGCAATTCCATCTCTGTATCCCTGTGAAATTCCCATAACTATTACTAGTGTGTGTAAGTACAGGTGGTTGTATGTTTATACACACACTCTAAATCACCTTCACCCTGAATAGAGCAATTCTTTGATAAATTGGTCTGACATTTGGTTTAAAGTCCTCCAGGTCTTAGACAAAATGATTCAGAAAATAACAATGTCAGTTGCTCTGCTCTTTCAATAAATAACCCACCAGTAAAACACAGATAATAACTGACAATCATACTTGTACTGTAACTAATGAGAAAAGATAAAGCAGCAAATGGACTGTTTATATGCATTTGATAAATTGCATCCCTTGGATATACCAATGAAAAATAAATGTGTGTGGTACTGGTTCACTGAACTAAAACAAATATTTACTACTGAGATTTCAGATTTAGAATGAAATTTACATTTTATTTGGCAACTACTTTAATGCTATGTCTACATACAGTTGAAAAATCAAAAACCTACCTCAACTTCCTGAGTACGAAAGCATTATAAATGAGAAAAAAATAAAAGAATCACATCAAACAATAGGAAGAAATGTATACATTTTTGATAATTGCATCAAATTTTCAAATTATCATAACATTAGAAAGGTCATCCAGATATGCTCTCTTAATTCACCTACCATCATTCCTTTGAAAAGGTCCCAACAATTCACTAAGTTCATGGGAAAGGACATGAGGTTATGGGGTAGAATAACTGAAGTGGGATGAAATCTGAGTGTGGTCTAGTGATCTATATCATTGCTGCCGAACAGCTAGCAAAATCATGATTAAATCCCAACACTCAGCCATGATTACCATCCACAAGAATTTCAAATGAGTAATTGCCTGTGACATTGGTCCAAAGGGTGAAATTCAGTAAAAACCCCAAGATGACATCCAAGACCAAGAGTAGTATACCTTCTACATTTCTGCAAAGAAATTCCTTTGCCTTGCAGTTTCAAAATAGCTTGAGGGGTCCTCAAACCTGAGAAAGATATGGATTTATGTTCCTAGGAAATATGTAAAATGAATAGCATTGTCATTGCTCCTCTAGCTGATTCAAGGATCATCACCAACACAAAGAGCTCCCTCTTCTTAGGGACTTTCTGTCTGTCCTGGTCAGTCCATCCAAGCTGGGGTGGAGAGAAGTAACCCACTGGCTTGTTCTTTTCCCAAGGGAAAGAACTGAGTCTGAGGTTTATTCCCCAAAATATGCCCTGTGTTTGGGCTTTTCTTCTGGGGATATGAATGGGCATATGATGCTCCATTTGTACTCTGGCCAAGACATGTGTTGTCTCCTCAGACTCAAAACCATCCACAACCTTGACTTTATTAGCAAAATTATCAAATTGAGCTGGCCAAGAGCAGCCTTCTTAATATCTAGGAAGGAAAGAATAGGTCAGCACCAAGGAGTTAAAGTCAGAGAAGATACTGTAAACATGGCAGGCTTTGAAGCAGATGTGGGTTCAAATTCTGGCTCTAGCACTCACCAGCTATGTGGCCTTGCACAATCTACTCAGCTTCTCCGAGTCAATTTCTTTATCCATAAAACAAGACCACTTGCACCTACCTTGAAGGATGGTTGCAATGACTTGCAATAATGATGCAAAGTGCTTGGTATGATATCTGGCATACAGAATTAATAAATAAAAGGTACACAATTTCATGTCCATTTCCTGAGGTTTACAGTAGGGGGATGTCCCAGGAACACTGAGAGAAACATTAGACTTTGTGGATATGTTTTAAATTTCAATAATGCAATTCTTGCATATTTGAATCTTGTCAATTAGGCCCAAGTGAAGGGAGACCAATTGCAACTGGAAAAAATAATTATGAAATACTTAAATGCATGTAGTTTTATTAGTCTCATGTATGAAGAGAGATTTTTAAAAAATCAATGAAATTTGAAAACTTGAGCTACAGGCATATTTTGCGTAAAGGGCAGACACGTACTATCTAAGATTCGGTCACACCTCTCTATTAAATAGACCCCATCTATTAAAAAAGACAATACTTACACCAGTGGGCCTATTTGTGCATTGAGTGTGGCATTTTAAACCACTGAAAGGTATTACCTATCATGTAATTGTAAACAAATTAATTAAAGTTTCAATTATGATTAACTATATCCTGATAAGGGACCTGAACCTGCTCTGAACAGGCAAAATTTCTGTGTAATCATTAATTTACATGTAGAAAACAGATGGAGGAACCCTGAAAGGGTATGTCTCCTTGGCACACCAAACAAAGCCATTGCCATCTTATAGCTTATAGCACGTAAACCTTCATTTCAGAGAAAGTACAAATTATACTGGCCTGAGGCCCAGCCTTGTCCGAGTATCACAAATCCCAAATTAATTAGGTCCAGCCATCTTTCTGAGAATGCCTGCTCCCTTCCCCCACCATAGCTGGCAGGCCTCCATGAACATCCAGATGCTACCTTGTAGAGAATAAAACACCAGCTATTAACTACCACCTCACCATCCCTCCCCACTTATCCTCTCACCAAACACAGGGATTGGCAGAAGCAGTGGTTTCCACCTTGGCTGATGGCTGGGGATGCTGTGGGGCTTTTCAAACTCTGATGCCTGGCCCAGGGCAGGAGGTGCTGATTCAGTGGCTGGAGTGTAGCCTCCACACTGGGATGTTTTAAAAGCTCTCCAGGTGATTCTAATGTGCAGCCTCCATAGGAAGTCACACACTAAATCACAGTGACTGAGGTGACTGAGGGAAGGCCAGGCCCACCATGGAGAGCAAACCAGGTACAGAACATCAGGGGCCTTCTCCCCCAGCTTCTGGAGCTTTCCAGAGTTGTATCCACCTACCACTTTCAGGGTCTGCTGCTCTAAGAGTCTCCAGCTCATTAGACAGCACCTCTGTCCACCTGCTGCTGAGGCAAGAACCCAGGCCACAGGCTGGACTCCTCCCTCTTCCTTCCCTCTGCCGTTCAGGCAACAACGAAGTCATCTTCACTTGCACTCCTGGGTCTCTTTCACAACTCCCCTCTCCTCTGCCTTGGGTCAGGCCTCCACAATTTCTCCTCACAACATGGCCACGTGCCCTAACCAGCCTCCCTGCCTCCCCTGAGCCCTGCCCAGGCTGTTCACACTGCCTCAATAGTGACCTTCTAAAGGGATGTTCTGGTCACATCACCCTCCTGCTTAAAATGCTGGAGGGACTCCCAGGTCAAGGCCAAGCCCATCAGCCCAGCTCACAGGACTTCTGTGCCCCAGCACCTGCTGAGCCTTGCAGTCACCTTATGGCCACACTAGCTTACATGGTCGAGCCACCAATGAACTACGTTTTAATCCTGCAGCAGCCTATGCTCTCTTCGTTCCCCAAAACTCTGTCCATGCTATTCCTTCTGTGCCTGAAACACTCCTCCTTACCCTTCTTTTGTTAACATTTACTCCTCTATCAAATCCCAGTTTAGACACTTCTTCTCGTGGAAAGCCTTCCTTGTCCCCAGTCCCTCTGCACTCGAGACACCCCTGCTGTGTGATCTGCAGCCCCCTGGGCTGCCTGAACAGAGCACTGAACTGCTCACACTGTAGAAGCTGGCTACTCCTCTGCAACTCAGCCACACAGACGGCAGTCCCTAGGGCCAGGGGCTGGGTGGCCTCACTGCCGAACCTCAGCACAGCATTCATTTGGCACCAGGTACTCTAACATCTACTGAATGAATAAGATAACAATCCAACCTCGGCTGGTTTTTTATGCCAGTATCTTGGACTGCAGCTCCACAACTTCTTCCCCTTTGTCTCAAAACTGATGGTTCTATGACCTGGAGGTTTCTGAGGAAGGTGAAATAGATAACTCCCTTTTAGTGACTAACTGGGGCAGTAACAGGAAACTGGAAACCAATGGGGATGACACTGGAAGGTCTCAGAGGGATCAACCAGGCTCCATAGGAGGAGGACAGGTAGATTTCTGCCCAATGGCCCCACCCCACATCTACTAATGCCCTGAGTCTCCTCAGGGACCAAGAGGACTTCATGATTTGGAACACCACAGCTGAGCCAAAATCTGATACAAGATTTAGGACTTGCATCAAATCAAAGCCCAAATCAAAACATCAAAGTAATAGTAATATTAATAGTAATCATCGTAATAATAGCAGCTACCACATTTTTTTTTTAATAGACAGGGTCTTGCCATCACTCAGGCTGAAGTGCAGTGGCACAATTGTAGGTCACTGTAACCTGGAACTCCTGAGCTCAAGTGATCCTCCTGCCTCATCCTCCCAAGTAGTTAAGACTACAGGTGTACACCACCATGCCCAGCTAATTTTTAAATTTTTTGTAGAGATGGGGTCTTGCTATATTGCCCTGGCTGGTCTCAAACTCCTAGCCTCATGTGATCCTCCTGCCTCAGCCTCCTAAAGTGCTGGGATTACAGGCATGAGCTACTTTTGCAATAATCATCTGAGACAAGCATCTCAGTGTTATAGTTGTGGAAATTGAAGCTTAGAGAGATAAAATTACTATACAAGTTCACACAGCTAGTGAGAAGCAGAACCAGGATTTGAACTCCATTTTTGCCTGACTTCGAAGATCATGCTGTAACCACTACATACTACTGCTTCAATGGCATCAATGTGAACACCAGAGACCCTGGAGAGAAGGCATGGGGCTGCCTGCCCTGTGGAGATGCACCATGATACAGGAGATACCAAGAAATGGGAGGTGACAGCACAGATGACGGGCCTCTCAAGAGATTCTCACTACCACTACCAGGACTCTCATTATATCTGAAGCCTCAGCTTTCCTATCTGTGAAATAGGGGATGAAAACACCTGCTTCACAAGGTCTCTAAGTAAGTGGACAGCCGGTCTATCTGTCATGTGTCTGCCCCAAGAAAGCAGGCAGGACACCCTGGATTCCTGATCCACCCCTACCCTCAGGCCCAGCCTCACTAAGATGGTTTTCTGGGAAGAATCATGGCCTTTGGCCCCAAAGAGAGCAGCCCCAAGAGCAGGCCGGCAGGAGATGCACAGGAGTCTCCTGCCTTTGTGTGCCCTGAACTGAGCACTCACACCTGTTTACCACCAGCACTCCTGGTGGCCCTGTGCAAAGTGAAACATCCAACACCAACATCCAAGCACCATGCTGAGGATGTAGTGGCTTTAGCATGAATCATCTCTCTGGAAAACTATGGCTGCAGGCTTGGCATGAAGTTTTCTTTAGCTGCAAAGTGAGGGATGCTATGGCTCCTCCTAGCCCTGCCATTCAGCAGCTTCTCTTCCAAGGAACATCTGGGAAAGAAAGCAATAAAACTCCTTTCACTGTGTCCCTAAGACTGTCCTAGCTGCCACCTTGCAGCCCTGTATCCTGAGGCTCCAGCCTTTGGATCCACTTACACAGCAGACGCTCCTCACCAAAGCCCCAGAAATAAATTGAGTCCAAGACTTTGTCCACTCCAAGCCTGTGCTGTCTTGATCTGATAATTCTCCTTTGAAATTTGCAATTTTGGAAGTGACATTTTCCCCACGGTAAGAGGTAACCAGAGTAGGCAAGCCTACCACAAATGGACCCACATTCCTGAGCCACAGTTTTCCTGTACAATCACCAACAAGGCTTCCATGGAGAAGAGTGGGCATCCCCTCTCTGAGCAACAGCCACTGCTAACAGCAGGGCCCACCACATGGGTAGAACAGTCCTCTGAGATTGACTGAAGGCTCTCCACAGAACCCACACTCCCAAAGGCTGCGGGGTCAAGGAGTCCTGAGCTACCCTGCCTGTTACCCAACAGGCACTGACGCAACTCTGTAATTGTTGTAACACAATTTCTCCTCCCCAGCACTGACAGAAAGATGCCTGATAGAAACAAATGACCACGAGGCACTTCAGCCAGGCTCCACTCTTCATAACTTGCTCAGCTGACCCCTTGGACAGAGAGATGACGTACTGATGTCATGTGGACAAGACGGATGGTCCAGAGAACCTACAAGAGAATTGTCTTTAGAACAAGAGCAATGCACATGAGTCCCCAGATAGTAGTCCTAACCCCACTATTGAGGACCAATGTACTAGTCTATGCCATGAACAACTGGCTGTCCTACTTCCCCCCAGGGGGAATGCTATTATCTGGTCCCGCTTATTTAGGGCCTGGGCACCCACAGAGACAGAGTGAGGCTAAGACTAGGAAAGAAATGGAGATCAAAGGCTCTAGGACCTCAATGCCCGATGACACATCCAGATCTAACCTATAAGCACTGGGGAGCCCCTGGAGGGCTTATTTGGAGGGTGACTCCACCAAACTGGTATTTTCTAAAGCATACTGCACTCTCTCTGTGTGGGACAAATTAGATGGAGCCCAACTGAAACCAAGGACACCAGCGAAGACTAACAACTACCCTTACCCTCTTGAAACCCATGGTCTAGCCAGAGGAGAAGTAACAAGAAAGGTAACCAGATTAAGCATAACATGACCTGGTAACTATCACTTAGAAAAATTAGCTATGGGTACACAGAGGAAGAAGTCACAAATTATTCCATAGAACCAGGGAAGATTCTACTGAGGAAGTACCACTGAAGCTAGTTCTTGAAGGACAGTTTTCCAGAGGATGGACACACAGTGGAGCGAGAGAGGACATTGCATTCAGGGGATCTGGCAGGTGCACGATCATGCAGTCTTTGCCGCAGCAGCTTTAATCTATGACAAAAGGCCGTGAAGCATGAGCCCAGGTGCAACAACAGAGAAGAGACAATGGGAGATGCTGGCAGCTCTACTCAGTGTCTCCTGCACCTCTCAGTCTGCCCTTTGCTCTGTGACTAGGAAACTCTGTAGCTACTGCAGCTGGCTGCCGGAGATAATGCATATGACAATTACAATCCCTCCACTTTAGCTGGAAGGCTAAGCCATGACACTGTATCTATGCCACCCAAGGGACAAGAAGCAAGCTCACACCCTGGCCCTTCCAATCCAGCAGCAAGTTTTGCCATGCCACCTGTTATGGACATGTGTGAATCATTATGAAGCATAATTAAAACCAACTAGTCTTCTGCCTGCCCTCTTTCCCTCCTAAAGAGACATGCTGAGAGCTTGCTGTACCTTTCCTTTGTTAAATAAGTAAACATCTTTCCCTCTGAAGGTGAGCTCATAGGGCCATGCCATGTGCCCATGAAACCAGGACCCTGGAGGTCCCCCGCACAGCCAGTGATCATGATTCATGGCCTCTGGCTCTCACTCGGCCTTTGAAAGGTCACACTCTAGTTTGCAGGGGACTAGAGAAGCGGAAGAGGAACAACCAGGGTTCCTAAGTCCCATCTTTTAAAATAAAAACTCTCCAGGGTAAAATTATCAGGTAAGATCATTTATATGATAAAAAAAATACACATCAATAAGGACATATTTATTTCTTGTAAGGAGCACCCAGCTGACAGAAATCATATAATACTTCTATGTTTTCATTTATTATTTGGGGAAACAATAGGAATGTTAATAACATTGCAAGTCCCTTCCAGTCCTAACATTGTATGATTCTAAACATGTCAAATGATAAATCAAATATGCCTAAAAGCTCTGTGTAAATAAAGTAGGAGCAATTTTCAGACTAGCAAGGACTGGAATGCACTGAAAGAATACAAGGCAGACTAAAGCAATAAGCTGCTTTTGCTTTTCTTTTTATTTTTGCTTCCAAATTTTAAGGACCTAACATGAACACAAACAGTAATTATGTCCTAGATCTTTAAAAATCCCTTTCCTGTTAAATAACTTATGAATATTAAAGAAAGATTCCAGTTGGATTTTTCTCATGATGCCCAGAACTACTAAAACAGAATCTCTTGAACAAATTACCAAGACCAAATCCTTTGGCAAAATTACATTCTCTTGCAAGTCGAAGACTCTAGGGGAAAGTTACATAGGAAGACATGAGAAGAAAACAGAAAAACAATATGAAAGAAGACTAAAGATGCCACAGTGATTACTTCATCCACCTTGTAAACACAGCCCCGGTGCACCAATCCCCTCCTCCCAGCGCTCAGAGGCCTGCAAAGGAAGGACAGACACCTCCACCAATGTGCTGGAAGCCTCAACCATCCTTACATAGTGCCCATGACCCACTGTAAGAAGAAGAGAAGGGAATACAGAAAAGGATTAGAGAAAAATCAAAATGGTAAAGATAGTTATGGGAATATGAAGGGTTTCTTCCTGTTTCTACTTTACTACTTTTCAATTAAAAAAAAAACATGGATTACTTCTTAAATTCATATATTATCTATATATTCATTCATTTATTTATTCATTCAATCATTGACTCATTCATTTAAAGCCCTCTGGGGTAGGTATAAGGAAGACAGCATCACCCTAACATTATAATCTGGGAAACTACAGCCCAGAAAAGTAAAATCATTTTTACATGAATTCACATAGCACTAAAATCTACAGTATAAGGTCCACGTACACCAGTGGCATAGACTCTGAGAAAAGTATCTACATCCCAGACATGAGAAGTAAAAATGAAGAGCTTCTTGGGCCATGATCATGGCTAAAGTCCAGGAATGTTTCCAGGCAGCTGAATGGAACCACAAACCCTTATAATTAGCCTGTTTCTGGGATGGCAAATAGTGTCACCCATTCATTTATTTCTTTTGTCCTGGCATTTCTGTACCCTATTAAGAAATGAAAGATCTGAAATAAGCAAGGAGTGACCCTCAGCTCACCCACCAACACATAGCCCATGGCCCATGCCAGAAATATGCAGGAGAAAGCCCCAGAAATCACGTTTACCCACAAGGCGGTGACAGCTCCTGCAAAAGATCCAAATTGTGGCTCGATTTGTTCAAGCATTCGGGGCTCAGCTATCTCATCTAATTTACCAGCGAGACACACAAGTCACAGCTAGAACTGAAGGCACCCTGTCAGGGCTGCCTGCTGGAATTATTTGGGAACAATACCGTGTGGGTTATTGTCGAGCTGCCCATCACAGCCTCGGATGTCCGTTTCTCACACCTCTCTTCACAAAACTCAGCTCTTAGCCCAGCTTGGAGCTAAAATTAACGGTTCTGTTTCCTGGTCTAAAACATGAAATATATGAACAGCTATGGCAGTTTTTTAACTGGTAACTTTTCTTGATGTTTCTATTGCCATTGCCTAAGTGACTCTGGACAAGCATTTAACCTTCCTAGGCTTCAGTTTCCTCATCTGAAAATGAGGGCAATGGTGCCTACTCTATCGGGTTAACGGGAGGATTATTTGAGACTTACATGCCAAACACCCAGCGCATAGGATGCACCAAGAAATGGTAACTATATTTTGTAGTTGACCCCAGTATATCCTCTGCCTTACGCTGATAACAGAGTTTTAAAAATATACCGCTACTTTCCTCTGGATTAGTATATTTGTGATGCTGCCATTCTGACTCTGAGGAGATTTTTAAAAATCAAATCTGGGTGATAGCTGCATTGGAAAAGCGGCAGCCGCTGCTCTGTGCAAAAGTGTAAATAAAATGCCACTTAAGTAATCACATTACTCACAGCTTAAGGTATGCAGCTCAGAGCTGCAAGCAAACACGCATGTGTGATGGATTTCTCATTATCTGTTGACTGCCACTGCAGTCCATCCAGCTGTCTGCAGGCGTCCTGCCTAGGAACGTCTACATCAAATCCTGATGGGCCCACACTCCTGCTATCAGTGGGAACAGACCCAGCAGGAAGGAGGTGATGCCTTCATAATAAGGTGATAAAGCAAACAGAAATGTTTGTTTGGAGAAAAGCTGCCAGGTTCAAAGTCAGCCATTAAAGGTCCCTTCCTTAGCTTCCAAATGATGCTGGGACTCTCCAACATCATTTGGGCCAGAGAAAATCTCCAGTTTCTTCCTCCCGGTCCCTGCCATGAAGAGACTTGGCCTCCTCAGAAGCTATGGTATCATCTACTTTTGACTCAGCAGTGCCCAGTGCCAGACCAGGCACCAAAGGAGAAAACCCAGAAATACTGCACTAGACTCTAGCTCCTCTCTGAAGTGGGGCTCTGAAATCCCAGGGGTTCCCATTTGACTAAAGCTGCCCAGAAAAGTGCCAAGAACTGACTGCAGATGCATTAGGTGCTTAGACCTTTTACACTCTGGATAGATACAGAACTTGTGGAGAAGCCACTTCACAATCCAACTGCAAGTGTGCAGTGCAGATGTGGGCATCTACAGGGGCACAGGCTGGAAAGTCCTCAGGTAAGGATGCGAGGCTCAGTTCCTCGTGTTAAATCTGATCCTCTGAGGCACCTGCCACCTTTCCTTGGGGACGGAGCTGCCTCCAAGTGGGTATCTTTGATTGGGGTAAGGTTTATCCTTGGAGACTCTACCCCTTTTGCCTCTACCTCCCAGTGGAGCTTCTGTGCCCTCATGATCTTCCTCCCTACCTTTGCTCCTCAACACTTGCTCCTGGATCCTTCCTCAGCTCCCAGTTCACTCACATGTTATAAGTGATCCAAGCCTGAAGTGACAAACTTCTACTAGGGTGTCTGCCTCCTGAATTTATGGCATGCCTGTCGGCCTCAGTCAGAAAAGGATGGAAAGTGAGGACACTTAAGAACTAGCAGAGACCAGGCGCAGTGGCTCAGGCCTGTAATCCCAGCACTATGGGAGGCCGAGGTGGGCAGATCACTTGAGGCCAGGAGTTCGAGACCA
This sequence comes from Homo sapiens, assembly GCF_000001405.40. Lineage (NCBI taxonomy): Eukaryota > Metazoa > Chordata > Mammalia > Primates > Hominidae > Homo > Homo sapiens. The sequence goes on from NC_000005.10 coordinate 137,283,519, forward strand.
GCCTGGCCAACACAGTGAAACCCCATCTCTACCAAAAAATACAAAAATTAGCCAGGTGTGGTGATGTGCACCTGCAGTCCCAGCTACCTGGGAGGATGAGACAGGAGAATCACTTGAACCCAGGAGGTGGAGGTTGAAGTGAGCCAAGATCATGCCACTGCACTCCAGCCTGGGTGACAGAGCAAAACCCTATCTCAAAAACAAGATGAAACAAACAAAAAAAAAAACTAGTGTAGAGGTAAAAGGGAATGAAAATATTCTGCAAATAGCATTCAAGGAAGAGACAGTGACCAAGAAAATGAGCATAGTCGATGTGAAAACATTTTCTACTACAGACCTGAAATAGGCCCAGTAGGCAGCAGAGCAAGGACCCAGGTCCTAGAGGAGGTAATGGTACCTTGCCATTTTCTAAGCAGAAACCAAGAAACTGTAACTTGAGCCTGTGTTCACCTACAACAGGAAGCAAATGAATGTTTACTGAACATCCATGGCCTGCCAAGCACCGCACTCTGTGCTTTATGTAGATTATTCCACAATATCAGCACAATGACTTTGCAAGGATGATGGTGGCCTCTACATTTTGTAGCTGAGGAAACTATGGCTCAGAGAAGTTAAGTAACCTGTTCCAGGTGACACCAGGCAGGAAACACAAGAGCCAGCAGTCACATCTGGTTCTGTCCAACTGCTCCTTCTGTGCACCACGATAGCCTACTGCCCCAAATTGGCTACAGATTCCACCAAGTTCTAGACCATCATCTCCCAAAGGGTGAACTCTGCTGCACCCGACTCAGACCCATACAACCAGCAGGGACTCAGAACAGGTATTGGTTGAATCAAAGCTGCTACATGGAGAAATTATGACTCCTCTTGGCAACTAACAATTCTTTTGAAGGAAAAAGACAACCCTTGATAAAGCCCAGGGAAACTGAGCTTTCTGTGCTAAAACATGAGTGAACACAGGATTTAGAAGGAGAGGGGAGAAGAACTGAAATCCTAAGAGACATCTGGAAGGAAGCGGACGGAAGGACGAGGAAGGTGCTGGGCCTGGCTCTGCACTAGAGTAAGGTCAGGAGAAAGCCAGTCCATGGGAAGGGCCCTCGGGTGGCAGAGTGACCTCATGAAAGGAGAAAATACATGTTTAATTACAAATTTTGAGACTGTCTGTTGTGGAGTGTGTGAGGTAAGACCCATCCTTAGTCTCCCACACAAAATCTTTAGTGAATTCCACTGGGCGCACTAACACCTGTGTGCAAATGACTCCTCTTTGGGAAAGGAGGGGTGGGTTCAAAGAGGTGGCAAGTTCTGTGACTGTGAGGGAAGCTCTGGGAACTACAAGATGAGGGAACAGCTGGTCCCAAACCAACCTTGCTATGACACTGGACCTCTGCATGGCTCCTGGGTAGAGATGGGCAGCGGGCAGAGGATAAAGCAGAAGTCTCGCTCATACAGCTTTTGTTTACACAAGTTCTGGGGAGGGCCAGTTCTCAATGTATGGAGAACAACTCGCTAATGTGCATCAGCCCACAGTTCGATATGTGAATTGCCCCAGACTAATGTGCCTCTGTCCCCAGCAGCAGCGCAAGCACAGATTGGGCCCAACAGCCAAGCGGGTTGCTCGCAGACACACACACGTTAAGAAACCTGGGGCCCGTCTCACTAAAATTAGATGCAAATTTGATTTTGGTCATTGCTTGTCTTCCTGCTGGTCCTTGCATTCTTCTTCCACACAATGATTATACCTGATGACAGAACTGGAGAAAATATTAAATAAATTATGAACACATGCTCAACCACAGCAGCACAGATCTTTTGTGTTATTAACATTGTCTCTCTGCTCTTTAGAGGACCACATTATTCTTGAATCTTTCACAGCTAAAATCTACCTGGAAACATAAATTTCCCTCACTGTAATGTGAACAAGTCCCTTAACAACAGCAGCAGTTCATTACCAAACCATTTTGGGTTAGATTTCTCCAAGAAAATAAATAACCAGTTTAAAGACCGTCAGAAAAATGGCCCACTCATATTCAGCTTAAACATGGTTATTTATTAGAAATCATCAAGAGCCACTCACACCTGTGGTAACTATTAGCACAGAAGGTCCTCAGTGAGGTTTCTACTTAAAGACAGGAAAAAGACATGAAACATGGAGCTGCCATGGCATTCCATTTTGAATAGATCCGCATTTCAGCCTCGCCTTGGCCTTTGTGTCTGCTCTTGGTAATGGAAGCCTTTTGCACCAATTGTTCAGGCATGGAAGAGCCCTAGGGAGATATTTGTAAGAGGGGAGAATACCACATGTAGAGCCACTACTCTGTGCCAGGCAGGGCTCACCCTCCAAAGTGGAAGTCAGCACAATTGTTTTTTTTTTCTGTAAAGGGCCAAATAGTAAATAGTTTAGGTTTTGTAGGCCATATACAGACTCTGTCACACATTCATCTTCTTTTTAACCCCTCCTTTAAAAATCATTCTAAACTAGCTGGCCTCAGCTGGAGCAGGCCTGTAGGCTGAGTTTGTCCATCCTGCTCTAAACAGACTACATCTCTTAATGTTCTTCACCACCCTAGGTGGTCAATGCTGTTTTTACCATTTTAAAGATAAAGGGAATGAGGTGCTGAGATGTTAGGGAACCTGCTTGAGTTCACACACTTGGCTAAGTGTCAAAGCACAAAGCCAGACAGGATCTAAATCTAGGTCCATTCGTTTTTAAAGGTCAGACACTTCCCACTATATCACATGGCCTCAAAAACATTCTAAATTTGGCAACTCTCTTCTCAGAAAAGAGTGAATTTATACTATGAGTAAGAAGGGATGTAGGGAACTAATGTTTCTTGAACATCTATGTGTTGCCCTGGCCACGAGAGTCCACAGGGCTGCCATGGATGGTTGTATAGGTCACTCGCTGAACAAGAATGCCAGGTCAGGAAACTAACGCAGGCTGAAATCCCATCTGCACTGCACACAGTAACCAAGCACCCTGGAGCAGGTCTGCACTCACCCAGAAGGGCCCCTCCTTCTATTTCTTACTAGGCCCATGGTGGCTGCAGCAGCCCTGCTAGTGTACCTCCCAGGGAGGCAGAATGAGGGAGGACCAGCCTCACCAAAATCCAGGGGAGACTGCAGCCTAGAACAGCAAAGGGAGATAGAATAGAGTCTGAGTGTGTCAAATCACAGAGCAGGAGGGTGGTAGGTGAAGCCAGTGACAGGGACCCAGGTACCAAGTCTCGGCCACAAGGAGAACAAAGTTCCCCCAACAACCTTAGGATAGAATTTTGCAGTAAGAAGACAAATAGACCACTGTTTCACACACAGTATGAATTAACCTACATCATTATCTCAAAAGGTAACAGTGGAAAACAGGTACTTTAAAGGAAGAGTTACACAAATTCTATTCAGTTCAACAATTATTAGCTCTCTTAGTGATCACTTTACAAGAGCTTATTAAAAGGCAACAGGAGGTGCTGGAGAATTTCCCTAATATCTTGATGTTTATATTCTACAGGTGCCATCCTTAACAAAAACACACTGTTAACCTGGAAGAAAAATAGGTGGCACCCAGGGTCACACTGCTTTTCAGTTGGTCCTGCAAGCTCCCAGGCCACAGTTCTTCAGACCATTGCCTCCAAAGTCATCAGCCAAGCATTATGGGGACATACAAGTCCCCACTTGGCTGCCATGGTGCAAACTGTTTCTGCCCTAAAGCTCCCTGTCAGAAGACAGCCGGGGTCCAGTCCCAAGACTGACTGTATGTCCTGCTCATCATGCCCCTCCTCCTAGACTCAGACCTTCTGGTCATAACTTGCAGGAGGCAAACTAAACCAAACACCACCAGAAGCGCCTCCACACAGAGGCATGCTCCTGCCTCAGGGCTCGACGAGACTTCCTTGCAGTGACAATGCTGGCAAAGGGTCCTTAAGCACCCTTGAGGCTTCTGTTCTCCCCCATCCTACCCAACTGGAAAAAATATACTCAGAATCGTCTCCCTGAGATTGCAGAGGGCAAAAATTTAGTGAAATTGATAGGCACTGGTTAACAAATGGAAGAAACTACACTTTCCATTTTTAATCTCCAACTTTAAGGACAAGATTTTTCTCAGATGCCTCTAACAGTTTCTGCAATTGTCTCTAGATAGACACTAGTGAAGAGAGAAAGCAAATTGCTCCCTGCAATTACTAAGCTCTGAACTCCTAAACAGCCAATTTTTATGCTGTCATTGTAGTTGTGTCTATGGACAGCTGGTTCAGGCTAGGGCAATCATTCCCAGAGCCCTTCACTACTGCTAAATGCAATGTGGAAAATTACCCAGAAAACAGCTGTTTGTGCTTTAGGCGGTACCTACATGGGGAGAGAAGCAATGGGCGGGTAGAAGTCACAAGCCATAAAATTGAGAAAATACTATTTTCAAGTTAAATGCAAAGGGAAGTCCCATTACAAGAGGTAATCAATAATCAAGAAGAAGGACAATAAGAAAAGACCCTCTGGTTAAAGAGAGAAGGGAAGCAGCAAGAGTCCCCTCCAAATGACAAATAAGTGAGCTGTAACAGTTCCAGAGAGACTTAACTTCACCACTGTTATGGTCCCAAGAGCATTGATGGTGCTCACTCAGCAACAGGGAGCCAGGCACAGTCCTCAGCTTCTGTGTGATTTTCTCCTTCAATGCACACAACTCCACAATGTAGAGGCAGCTTCTATCTCAATTTTGGTAAAGTTCCGTGGCTCAATGCACACTGCTACTGACTTTTGAAAGAACAAGTAATGGCAGCATACCTATTCTCCTTTCCAACCATAAGCCAAGAATCTAAGAGACTTAGAACCCTTGGACATACCCAATCCTAACTCTGTCCCAGGTCTTGACAATAAGCTGCCCACAACATAGAAAGACCAGCACAGTGTCCTGAATCCTACACAATGCTTCCCCTTCTAAAGGCTCTATCTTCCCAGGCACAGCCAATTCTCACTCTCTACTTTGAATCCCTCTTACTTGTGAACAATTGGCCAGTGGGGTATAAAGCAAGGGTCTTTAATCAGTGAATACAGAGAGGGTCCAGAAGCAGCCAGAGAATCAAATCGCTAGCCTCTCCTAGGTTCCTGAGACCTGGCAGTCATTTGCTGCCAAGCCTGGACACCAGGCTACATTTAGATGGAAAATCTGGACTCACAAAGATTTTTACATACAGAATTCTAAGCAAGGTTATTGAAGTCCCTCACGGTTTATCCAGAACCTCCAGGCTCTCCTAACTGTACCAGGGGAACAGGACACAATGCCATCTGGAATGATGTTTTAGTAAACAACTTTAAAAGCCACTAAGGTGACTGTTGACTTCATTGATTTATTTCTGTGATGGAGAACTGGGGAAGGAAAAGCTACCCAATTTTTCCTCAGTACTGAACTATTCATAGCAGAAAGCTCGAAATGTGGTTTGATTAGCTTAATGCAAACTGCAAAAAGCAAGGATACATCCTCACCAGCAGAGCAGTGCAGTAGAGTACTGAGCTATGGGGTCCAACAGAACCCAGCTTGAGTCTTGGCTTCAACAAGATTATTGACTACGTAACCTTAGAAATGAACTGAACCTCACTTATCCAATCTATGAAATGAGGTTATTAATGAAGCAAGCTTCATAGAGTTTACCAAGTCAAAATGAGTTAATCCATGTAATGTGCTTAGCTAAAGGACTGATGAATGCTCATTATAAGTAATACTCTTGTTTAATAAATGATTATAAATTATATGTATTTTAACCCTTACCTCCTTTTTTTCTTTCCAAGGCCTGCTCATCATATAACTATTTTAAGGGAAAATGGTTAAAGGAAATACTTGATTGGCTTGTTGCTTTTCTTTAAAACACGGCACATTCTGGTTCCATGGTCTAAAATATGATCCAAAGAGTCAGTGACTCTTTGGATTTTACCCAGTGGAAATGAGTCCTTTAAAAAGAGGTCTAACATGTAAGCCAGAGGCAAAGGTGGGAGAAAGTGGTACTTTTTTATCATAAAGAAGCAGCAATTCAGGGGAGAAAGACAACAAGTTTCCCAGCTAGAGATGTGTTGGTTGAAGCTAGAACAAAGCCATTAGAGCTGTATATCCTGCTCAACAAGAGGAGGAAAACCACATTTTCCCAGATCTTGCTTTAAAATGCATACGGGAATGAGCATGCAAAGAATAAAATTCATAAAGCATCTCCCACCTCAAAAAAACACCAAAAAGAGAGTGAAAAGCCAAGCCACATAGTGAGAGAGAAGATACTTGCATCACTTAAAACCAACAAATGGCTTGCATATAGAACTTATACCAATCAATAAGAAAAAGACAGATAATCCAATTAAAAATAAGACACAGAAAGTATGAATAGGCACTTTACAAAATAGGATACCCATAGGCCAAAATATACCAGAATGCCTAAAAACTAAAAGATAATGGCCATACCGAGCATAAGAAAAGATGTGGAGCAACTGGAACTCCTGCACACTGCTGGCAGGAGGGCAGCATTAAAGTGCTACAGCTGCTTCAGAAAACTGTTTGGCAATAGGAACTGAAGATAAGCACATGAACCTCACAGCCCAGCAACTCCAACCCTAGGATTTTACCCAATGGAAATGAGTACAGGAATACAAAAAGATCTCAACAGAAATGTTCATAAGCAGAAATACTCAAAATTACCCTCATTTGAAAAAACTCAAATATCCACCAGGAATATTAATCAAATGGACATTGTGTTATGTTCACACAACTGAATTTTACACATAAAAAAAAATTGCTATGCATTACCAGAGATGATATTACCTACATAACAGTGACTGACAAAAGGCCAGACATAGAAGAATATAAACTGTGTGAGTCCATCTATCCATCTATATAAAGTTCAAAAAAGGGCAAAACTAACATATGATGAAAAGTTAGAACAGCAGTATCCTTTGGAAACAAGGGAGGTGAAAGGAGTCAGGAGGAGAATACAATTAGGGGAGCATGAGCGAGGCTTTTGGAGTAACAGTAATATTCTGTTTCTTGATCTCAGGGATGGTTACATGGGTGTGCTCACTTTGTGGTAAGTCCATTCTATTCATGTACTTTGCACACATGCGTATCACATTTTAATAAAGGTTTGAGAAATAAGTGAAACAGAAACAGGCTATTCTGATGTCTTGATATGATTGACATGGGCCACTGCTTAGTTGTAAATAAAGAAATACTCTGAGCCAGAAAAAGGTATTTCCAGGGAAACCTTCATATGGCAGAACGGACAGGTTTCCTAATACCAGGTGAACTGCTGAAGGCGTACATCCCACAGTTAGGGAGAAGCGGGGCCCTTGTCTAGTCTCAACCCTGACAGGTCTGGAAAGCCAGAAAGGCACAAGGGAAGCCTAGTACTGGCACAAGTAGTAATTAACATATTGATCGCTTACTAAGTGCTGGTATCTTTCCAAGTGCATAAAACATCTCAATTGATGTAATCCTCATTACTCTCTCTTTTATTTTTCAAGTGAAGTAACTAAGCACAGAGGAATTTGGGGGTTGGCCTGAGGACACACAGCTGGTAAAAGCCAGAGCCTAGATTCACCTGGTAGTCTTGATCCAGAACCCACATGCTTAACAGCACAATTGACCACCTCCCTGAACTACCTGGTGATCTATAGAATAGGAAATCCATCCATCTGCCTCAGCAGAAGCATGCATGCCAGCCCAGAAAAGAGCAGACAGACACTGGAGGAGCAGAGCCACCAGGGATGGGCACCAACCACATGACAGGCAACAGGCTAAGCAAGCTCTCTGTCCCAAATTTGATTTAATTCTCACAACAGTCCTCTAATCTAGCTATGATTACTGGCCCTATTTGAAAGATGAAAAACGTGAGGCTCAAAAGAGTTAACTTTACACAGCCAGGGAGGGGCACAGGCAGGTTGCAAGTGTGTAATTCCTTCACCTGAAAGGTCAGTAAGATCTCCCAGGTCCTACAAACCAGAATCAGAACAGGCCCTGACATCATGGTGTTTCCATGGCAACTCCAGGAGGCCACCACAACTGAGGTCAGGTATGGGCAAAGGAGTTCACACCTATAAGACTGCTTTATATGTCCAGGCTAGAACCAAATGCAGCAAATAACGGAGCTCCCTTGAGCAAGGAGAGGGGTAAGCTGAGCTATGAGAACTCCATGCAAATGAAAGCTGATGGGAGGCTTGGACATGCCCTGCCTGGAGTGGTGGAGAGGACCTCTGTTTTATCTGTCCCACAGGCTTCCCCCTTCTTCCAAGCAAACCATTTACGTAAGGTCCAGGCATGGCTGACCACACCCCCAGCCAGGCTGGCCACTGTGAGCTCACACTCCTTGCCACAGCAATGCATCAAGGAATGGATGCATGACCTTCACAGCTTGGTAAAAACCCTTCCTGTTTGCATGTGGATGCCAGAGAGAAAGGGTTCTCTCTCCACATGGCCCTATTAGGAAGAGGCTGGCTTGGAACTGCCAGAGAAGATCTTCCCAGTCATGTGATAAAAGCATCTCTGAGAATAAATCCAATGTGCCAAAGGAGCTGCAGCCAAGAGAGAGGAGAAAGCGAGTGCAAGCCTGGATGCAGCCATGCCTGAAGTCCAACAAAGAACTTTCAAATTACAGGGAACAATAACTCGGCTTTGTATGTAAGCCAGCCTGAACTAAATTTCATTCATGTGTAACCATGAGAATCCTAACACAGTAGAGGTCTCTGGATGAGGGATGAGGAAGGAATATTTTCCAAAGCAAGAAACTGCAGACTAAAGGGGGTGAAGCTGAACAGTCTTAATTACCCCTGAGGAGAGTTTCGAATGGGAACTACCCTAAGCTAAACCCCTAAAAGTGTTGCTCAGCATCCAGAAAAGGAAGGAGCTTGGTTTCATAGGAAAACCCTATGCTGTCCATTCACTGGTGTAGTTAAAAAAAAAAAAAAAAAAAAAAAAAAAAAAAAAAAAAAAAAAAAAGTTGGAGGAGCCAGACCAAAATGCTGGGGCAGCTACCATGGGTGTGGATGTGATCTGAAAAGATGGAGTCACCCATCACCTTCCAGAGAAAACAATTGTTAGAACGAAGCCCTTCCCAGGACAGAACTAGTGCATAGCCAGCTAGTCTTCTGCACATGAATCTCTACAGCGTAATGCACTGACGCATCTTTAAGATTTTCCTTTGATTTTCATTCCATACAGGATTCAGCCACTGAGAAAGAACAAAATGGTATTTTACTACCTGTAGATACACATCCTAACTTTTAAATTCGTATATTCAGATAGGAAGGGAGTTGGCAATAAGAGGTAATTAAACCCATAAATCCACTGATTTATCACTGGACAAACACGAAACTGGCACCATGACAGTAAACTCTTTGCAGGCCACATTTCCCTCAGAGTCGCTGCTGCAAACACGGCGGAAAATCCTGATTTGGAGTAAGAAATAATTTCATTTTAATCTTGTTTATCTTCTTGTAATCTTGTTTATTACTAGGGTCACTAGTAATCCCCTGTGACCAGTACCCATCTGGCACATTCTTTTAAGAAAACTGTGGCCACTGCTGTTTCATTCAATTCTGCAGTTGGTTTGTTGAATTTTTTTTTTTTTTTTTTTTTTTTTTTTTTTTGATGCACATTGTAGGCCATTGGGTATTGGGCTTATTTCTTTAAATAAATCTAATAAACGAACACACAGCACCATTTATTTCAGGAATATTTTGAAAGCACAAATAAGACTTTGGCAGCTTTTATTAGAGCACATGAAATGCTGTCTCCAGGGGAGTTCACAGAGCCCAACAAATTAGTTTAATCTCAAGTGGACCATGATGAAGGAAAGTGATCCACCAAAGCAATATGCAATTAGTACTAATATTCTGCAATTCTGTAGCTTGCATCATCTGAGCATTTTAGGATGGACTACATGCTTTAATAAATTCTGACAATGCCCTCTAGAGCTTCAAATCTCAAACTTTAGCCTGCATCAGAATCACAGAGGAAGTGAAAAAAAAGAGGCAGATCCCTGGGACTTACCCACAGAAATTCTGATTCAGGAAACCTGTCATGGGGCTCTGAAATCCCACCTTGCCCCTCCCCAGTGTGAGTGTGCTCCTGGTATGAATCATGAATACTACCATAAAGAAAGGTAATACCACTTTCCCTATACACAGACAAGAGCTCGGAATAAGCAGAAGCTTGACACTTGCTGTAGGGCAGCGCCATCCAATAAAACTTTCAACGATGCACCGGGCGTGGTGGCTCACGCCTGTAATCCCAGCACTTTGGGAGGCCGAGGCGGGTGGATCATGAGGTCAGGAGATCGAGACCATCCTCGCTAACACGGTGAAACCCCGTCTCTACTAAAAATACAAAAAAATTAGCCGGGCGTGGTGGCATGCGCCTGTAGTCCCAGCTACTCGGGAGGCTGAGGCAGGAGAATGGCATGAACCCGGGAGGCGGAGCTTGCAGTGAGCCGAGATAGCACTGCACTCCAGCCTGGGTGACAGAGCGACACTCCATCTCAAAAAGTGGTGCTGGAAATGGTCCCTATTCTGCACTGCCCAAAACAGTAGCCACTGGGCTAATGACCTCTTGAAATATCACTAGTATGACTGAGGAATTGAGCATTTAATCTTATTTAATTTCAATGAATTTAAATTTAAATGGCCACATATGTCTTTTGGCTTCTTTATCGAACCATATGGTACTAGATGAAACAGCAGCATCTAAGAAAAAATAATTGAGAGTTAGCTGTACTAGATCATATTTATTTCCATCATGAGAAAAACTACAGCAATTTCCTATATTAATAGATACAGGCAAAATGGCTTGGATTGAGTACATACTGTGCATTATAAGTCTCTCAAAAACCCTGTATTAGTTACGTTTTATAGGTGAAGAGACTGAGATCCAAGAAGCTAAGTGATCTGCCCAAGGATGCAGGGCTGGCCAGGACACAGTCAAGAGTTGAACACAAGTCCTACAATTCCAACACCCATGCTGTCTCCATCACAACACACTGCCTCCATGTAGATGAGCTCAACTGAAAACACAAAGGCCAAGGCCGTGGAAGTTGTCACCTCCCTTATCTCAAACTGACATTTTCCATTATTTTCCACATATCAGCTGGCATTCCTACCCAGGGTTCTATACATAAATAAAGACAGCATCCCACAGAGAAGGGAAGATGTTCCAGGACCAGGATTTGACCCTATTGCTTCTCCTACTTTCCATCTCTCCCCTCTGGTTCACTCTGCTCCAGTCACTCTGATCTGCTGCTGCAGCAACGTTTCAGGCACATTCTTGCCTCAGGGCCTTTGCACTTGCTGTTTTCTTATCTGAAATATTTTTCCTTCAGATATCCACATAGCTTACTACCTCTTTCTTGAGATCTCTGCCCAGCTGCCCTTTACAAATGAATCCTTCCTTCACTAGCTATTAAAAGAAGACCAAACTCCTCTTTCCACCCCCATGATCTCCTACTTCTGGCACTGCCCTTCTCCCTTTATTTTTCTCTGTAGGATTCATCACTCATTTATTGCCTGTCTTCCTCTACTCCCTCTAGGACATCAGCTGCATGAGGGCAGGTATTTCATTCTGGTCACTGATGCATCCCAGCACTTGACCCACGGGAGATACTGCACAAATACCCTGAATAAATACCTAGATATACAACCAAAGTTCACCTGCATGGCTGCAATACAGCTGTTTTTTGTTCTTTATGCTTTTCTGTACTTCCCCAACATTCTACAATAAACTATGTCCCCTGCAGTCACAAATCGACATGCCTTTCACATAATGCTACTCAGTGGTCACTGTGTTGCTCTAAATGTCACTGCCTCCATGAAAGCTCACTTTATATCTACCCTACTTGCCACTGTTCCTCCTTAGAGCTCTACCACCAGCAGCACAGAGCTAATATTCCCTGGAAACAGAGATGAGCATGTCTATGTTTCATCAAAACTGTTGGATCGAAGAGCTCACCACAGGGCCAGCCAATGAACAATTCTCCACTTATTTCATTTAAGAAAAATACAACTTTATCACTTCTGACAATTTTACAATTGCAATGAAGGCTGAGAATTAAAGGACCCAGTATTTGCTAAAGTAGCCACGTGACTTTTTCCCCCAGTACAGGCCAACTACAGACACTGTTTATAATGCTGGCATCAGGGAGTTAAGGGTACACTCACTTCACTGACCAAGCAAGTTTAGTTAATACATTTTTACTGAAAAAAAAAAAATACATATTATTGGGTGTGGTTTCTGATTTATGTGAATCAAATATGAGTGGAGTTATATATTAAAATAATAAATACACATGGCATACTACTTCATTTTACAGTGTTTTTCCTCATTTATCACCTTCCTGAATCTTCTGAACAACTCAGTAGGGGGTGGTTTACTCTTATTCCTGTTAAGAAGTTGCTATGGGCTGAATGTTTGTGTCTCCCCCAGATTTTTTGTTGATACCTAACCCCCAATGTGAGGTGTCAGGAGGTAGAGTCTTCAGGAGGTGATTAGGTTGTGAGGGCACAGCCCTCATGAATGGGATTAGTGCCCTCATAAAAGAGACCCTGAAGAGACCCCGCATTCCTTCTGCCACATGAGGACACAGTGAGAAAACAGCATCTATGAGGAATGGGCCCTCTTCAGATGATGAATCTGCCAGTGCCTGGATCTTGGACTTCCCAGCTTCCAGACAGTGAGAAATAAGTATCTGTTGTTTACAAGCCACCCAACATATGGTATTGTTGTTACCGTGGCCTGAACAGACTAAGTCAGAAGCTGAGGAAACAAAAGCACAGAAAGGCAATATGCATGCCTTTCTCAAATATCACCAAGTCACGCAAGGGGAGCCCGCATTCAAACTCAGGACTCAGGTTGCATTAAAGGACGTCATTTCTAGTCACGAGTGATGAGCAAAGCAGCAAGGCTGGGCGTCCAAGTAATGGAGAGGCTGGGATGGGTGACTGCAAAGCATGGCATGGCCGACTGAACGCGAACTAAAGGAGCATCCAGGCTGTGAAATTGTGCTCCCGGCTCTGTCTGTGAACATTACTGTTGGACAAGTGCTGCCCAGTGAATCAGGGGATGAAAAGGCTTTCCCACTGACCTGGCACTAATGCAGGCCTCATAAGTAAATAGCACTCATCTGTGACAAGCACCGATAAATCACAGTTTAGGGCTTTCCTCTGGAAGGACTGGTGGAGATGTCCGGACTAGCATAATTCATCATCCCAGAGAGACAGGTTAAAAGGTACATTCAATGCTATGCAGAATCTTGACACAGGCTCACACAGGTGGGAGACTGGGGACTTGGGATTTGAAGAAGCCCATGTATGGAATAGCAGAGACCTAACAGCAGGCTTCCTGAGACCAGGCTACCCAAGCCCTCCTGCAAAACGGGGAGATAGGCACAGCTAATCCCAATGAACTGCAATGTACTTTGCTTAAAGAATTTTAGCTGGAGTGCACCTCAAGAAGGACAGACAAGAGTATCTATGTGTGTATATATGTACAAACACACAATACATACATACACATGCAATAGATACATATGTGTATATGTATATAAACATAATATGTATGTATATTTTCTTTTTGCCTTTTCTTGAAGTTAAGCTTCAATTAAAGAGGGATGTATATACACACACATACATGTATGTATGCATATCTTTATGTGTGTGAATACACACATACATGTATATTTTTATACAAATAAGTGTGTATGTGTCTACTTATCTCCCTTTAATTAAGACTGTCCTCAGAATGCGTCTCCTTTGGAATTACTGAGTAAACTATGATTCATTCACTCCACAGCATATCATGATACATTAGAAAAGATGCTTCCAAAGAATCTGAAATAATGAGAATATTTTATGAAATTATAACTGAAAAAATTGGGATTTTTGTTAAGCATGCACAACAAAAACACAGTGGAAGCAAATATAAAAAAAACTTAAGGGTAGCTACCTCTTAGTGATAAGAGACATTTCTTCCTTTATGCCTTTCTATAGCAGGCATGAATTGTTTTAACAACGATAAGTATCAGACTATGTTTTAAGGAGACTATGAGGTGTGTCTCTCTTTTGTGAGGGGAGGGGTCCCTTCTGGCCTAGTAGAGGGCCTGGCCTGCAGTGAGCATTCAAATCCTCGAGGAACAGGGTGGGGAGGTGGGACAAAGGCAGGAAGAAAGTAACGGAGAGCCTGGGGAGACATGGTAGGGCACAAACATGAGCAGACCAAGGATTGTCAGAAGTTATCTCACTAAGATCTAGGAGGTCAGTGAATGTCTTCAATCGAGGTGCACAGGGCAGACTTCTGGCACACTTAATTTTAACAGAAGGAGGAAAATGATAGGAGAAAGTACAAATCGGGTAGGAATGGACATATTTTCATCAGAAAAGAGCGTGGTACAATTTCAAAATCTCATCAAGACAGGAAATGTGACCATACAAACATGATTCAAAGGCGGTATTTTACTGTGGCCCAGAGAAGTCTGTCTCTGGAATCAGACAGACGTGGCCCCAACCTCAGCTCACCCACCCACTAGCTGTGAAACTGTGGGCAAGTCACTCAAACTTTCTGAGCCTCATTCTTCTCACCTCTAAAACAGGAATAGTTGTATGAAGATTACGTTTAAGGTACTTTTAACAGTGCTATGTGTGCAGTGAGGACCCAGTGAATGCCAGGTGCCTTTTCCTCTCACTGTGATGGGCTGACCATACCCCACCCTGAGGGCAGGTTCTCTTGCTTTGGATACCAGAATGGGGTCTCCTGAGAGCATGTTTAATTTCCATTTATTTAGGATTTTGTTGATATTGTATTGATACTAATTTCTAATTCAATTCCAGTGTGGTCAGAGAACAAACTTCATAACATTTCAATGGTTTGAAATGTGGGTCTTATTTATGACACTGAATGGTTTCTCTTGGCAAATGTTCCACAAGCACTTATTAAAAATAAGTACATTCTTCTTTTGGGTGAACTGTTCCACAAAAATCAATTAGGTCAAGATGGTTGATTGCATTTTTAAGATCTTCTGTATTCTTACTAATTTTTAATCTGATTGTCCATCAATTGCTGAGAGAGGAGTGTTGAAATCTCCAGCTACAAGAGAGAATCTGTTTATTTCTTCCTATACTTGTCTGGTTTTGTTCAAATAATTTGAAGTTCTGTTACTAGGTACATACATATTGATGACTGTTAGGTTTTCTGGGTGAACTG
Source organism: Homo sapiens (assembly GCF_000001405.40). NCBI lineage: Eukaryota > Metazoa > Chordata > Mammalia > Primates > Hominidae > Homo > Homo sapiens. The sequence goes on from NC_000005.10 coordinate 137,298,721, forward strand.
ACTCTTTTATTCTTATGAAGTACCTCTCTTTATCTGTGTTAATATGCCTTCTTTTAAGGTCTATTATCTGATATTACTATTGTCACTCAAGTTTTCTTATTTTTATAGTTTGCATGGTATATATTTCTCCACCTTTTAATTTTCAACCTACCCATTTCTCTATATTTCAAGTAAGCCTCTTGTAGACAACATTTAGGTGTCCTCCCTTTCAATCCAGTCTGACAATTTCTGATTTTTACATGAATGTTTATTTACATCTAATATAATCATTGAGATGGTTGTATTCAGGTCTGACATATTCCTATTTGTTTTCTATTTGTTCCATCTGTTCTAATTCTCATCTCCTTTCTTCATTTAATCGAATATTTTTAGCATACCATTTTAATTCTTATACTGTCTATTTTGGCTACATCTTTTACTATTTTTAGTAACTGATATGATGATCACAATATGTATCCTTAATTAAAACAGTCTAGGCAGAGTTCCTGTTGTACTACTTAATGTAGGAAACACAATCATTCTATTTATCCCCTCCCCACATCCTGTTCCTACAGGCTATTGCTGATGTTCATATATATGAATACACTTGCACATATTACATAATATATGTTGGGTTTATACGCTATACCCCTTACAAATCCAATAAAGTTTTTTAAGTTTTTGATCCAAATTACTGTCTTTTAAATAAACTGAGAAGAAAAATATATACATATATAGTCCTGTATACATTTATATTTATATATAAATTTATGTTTACATATAAAATACATATATTTCATTCATTCCTGTAGATTCATGTTGCCATCTGGTACAACTGTCTTTTAGCCTGAAGAACTTCCTTTAGCATATCATACAGTATAGTTTTGCTGGTGAAAAATTTTCTGCTTTTATCTGAAAATATTTTACCTTCATTTTTGATGAATATTTTTGCATAATGCAGATTTAAGAGTTGACAGGTTTTAATGTTCTAAATAAATTTAAATTTAAAATATTTTGTTCCATTGTTATCTGGTCTCCATTATTTCTAATAAAGAGTCAGGTTTTTAAAATATCATTATTCTCACTATAAATAATGTATCTTTCTGCCCTCTCTGGCTGCTTTAAAACTTTCTCTTTCTTTTGGTTCTTAGCATTTTGGCTATAATATACCTAAGTGCAGATTTCTTTGTATATATCCTTCTTTGAGTTTGCTGAGCTTGCTGTATCTATAAATTAATGTTCTCGCCAGTTTTAGGAAATGTTAGGCCATTATTTCTTCAAATATTTTTCCTGTCCGACTTTCCTCTTCTTTCTCTGGGATTCCTATTACACATATATTAGACCACTTTATATTGTCCTGGAGGACCCTGATACTCTGTTGACTTTTTTCCTACTTTTTTCTCTTTTTCAGATTGGGTAAGTTTTTATTGATGTAAGTCTAGATTCAGTGACTTTTTCTTCTGCCATTTCCAAACTACTCTGGACTCCATCTGATAAAATTTTCATTTCAGATAGAATTTTCATTTTTAAAATAGTTTCCATTTTTCTGCTCAGAATCCCCAATTTGCGTATTATGTCTCCATTTCCTTTAGGTCTCTGAACATATTTATAACATGGTTTTGAAGTACTTGTCTCCTAATTCTCACATCTGGATCATTTCAGGGTCAGTTTCATCTAATTGTCTAATAACCATGACCTAGACACTCCTGTTTCTTCACATGCCTAGCGATTTGTATTGTATAGAACATACTGTTGGCCACAAAGAGTCTCTAGGTTCTTTTATCTTTCTTTTAAAATAATTTTTATTTTTATGTTCCAATAGGCAGTTAATGTGGCTAGACTCCAAGTCCAAACTGTCTCCCCTGCAATGAGTCACAGCTGAAACTGCTCAGTTCTTCCAGACTTTTCCTGTTGCTTTTTGCTGGAAACCTTGGAGTCTCACCCATTCATGTGAGTTCAGAGGGCCGCCAATAACTTGGGTAGAGTTTACAATGATTTTAGTGCTCCCCTTCTGTGGTTCCGTCCTTTCTGAAATGTCTTCCCTCCCTTTCCAGTTGTTCTAGCAGTTCTTAACTGCCTCCTCCAATTCTGAAACCCAGTTGTAACACAGCTCTCAGCTGTGACCTCCAGCAGCTCCGTGCCACAGTGAATGGAGGTCACCCTCACACAGAAAGCCCCATGAACACAGATTGTACCAAGTGCAGCTCTCTTCTCACAAGGGTCCATTCCCTCCCAGGTTCTGGTGGCCACTGGGTTTTTTTCCTCAAAGAGAAGAGGCTTCTTTAGGAGTCTAGTCTAAGACCATGTGGTCTTAATAAAGGAAGAGGCTCATCCTTAGCCAAACAGGGAAGAAACAGAGACATCCCTGGGAATCTTCTAGTCTCTTAACTGACCCCTTAGTCTCTTTGTCTATGCCTCCATTGGAATTAAGAATTCTTTTACAGCCTTGGAGCTCCCAGTAGGAATGCCCAGGACCTATAGAGGGACCTCCTCCACCTTCCCAGGAAAGGGGGAATGCCTCTGCTATACTCACACCTGCAGGATCTTCTCCTCCAGCCTGGACAAAGAGCAGATCCCAGTAGATGCCTGTGGCTGTCCTGGACCTATTTGTCACTGATATTACTCAAAGCAGCTTACCAACTGAGAGGCATCATGACAATAATATTTGTGAAACTGGGGAAGCCACAGGGAAACTATTTTTGGGCAGGATGCAGGTAGTACCATATTCTGCCAACACCAGTTGTGAACTCCTTCAGAAGCATGAACAGCTCCATATAAACCTTCCTTCCAACTCCACCAACAGTTCCCCTTGGCCTACTCTAGAACAGTCAGTCAATACTAAAGCAGTATCTTTGCATCTCCTGTTTCTAGGGTATGAACTCCGGTTGTGATCTTCAGGAACTACCAGCAAACATACTCATTAAGCATTTCGTCTCCTTTTTTTTTTTTTTTTTTTGAGTATGTTCTCATTTTGGGCAAGGACTACTCAGGGCGCAGAAGGAAGAACAATGACACAGTTTACTCAACTAATATTGGCAAGGTGATTCCATGCCTTACAAAATTTCCTGTACACAAGCAGAGACAATTTACAGAATAATGAAAAGCAAGCTGATTTCAGGTTTTCTATTTTAACAACTCCAGATACACAAATTTTCTCTAAACAGTACTGCTTCAGAGTCATCAATGAATAATTTAAATACTGGGAGGATGGCAAGAGCTGTGAGTATGATGACTGACATCCACGAGCCCACTCCAGGTGGCCCATAATGCTGAGGGTCATGGCGCTTCTAAAACAATGTGCTTTCAACCATTATAAAATGAAATTGGTTCTTGAAGAGGCATCTTATAAACAGCCTGAACTTACTGCCAAATAATATTGCAGAACCTATAAACAGTTGTCCAGAAATTCAGGCTGGTCCACTCCACAGAAACGAGACGTTTTAGAATCAGAATGTAAAGGGAAAGAGAAAATCAAATTAGATATTAAATAGTTTTGAATGATAAATTGTAGGAGAACATGCATATTGTAGGAGATTCCTTTGCTTTACATGAGGAATTAACATTGAAGCTCCTTTAAATCAGTTTATAGGCTGGGCGCGGTGGCTCACGCCTGTAATCCCAGCACTTTGGGAGGCCAAGGCGGGCAGATCACAAGGTCAGGAGATTGAGACCATCCTGGCCAACACAGTGAAACCCCGTCTCTACTAAAAATACAAAAAAAAAAAAAATTAGCCAGGTGTGGTGGCACGCACCTGTAGTCCCAGCTACTCGGGAGGCTGAGGCAGGAGAATGGCATGAACCTGGGAGGCAGAGCTTGCAGTGAGGGGAGATTGTGCCATTGCACTCCAGCCTGGGCAACAGAGTGAGACTCCATCTCAAAAAATAAATAAATAAATAAATAAATAAATAAATAAATAAATAAATAAATCAGTTTTAGATGCCATTAAAAGCCTAACCCAACTATATTTCTTCTCCCATGGAAATAAACATATATACACATACATATACGTTATAAATAATTTCAGGAGTAAGGTACACCTTCTAAAACGTCCTTGAACTCTGCATCCACGAGGACTTCCGGACTCAACGTTAAGAAACTCAAAATAGTACATCTTTTGCTTCCCACTGCTGTCTCAGTCTTTGGGGAGTTATAAGGCTGGGGTTGTTCCATTCATTTCCACAATAGTATTTTCAGATGTGGAACAGGTACAGGGCTGGCACAAAGTAGGGACTCAATACATACTAGCAGTATATTTTATTATTTAATCTTCATGAGAATCCTTCTGAGGAAGGTAATATCATTTCCATCTTACAAAACCAGCTCAGAGAGGTTTAGTACTTGGCTGAGACACACAGCTAGTGAGGAGTGCAAACTGAATTGGAAGAATCACGGGACTCTGATTTTAAAGTGTGCACTTTTTTAAGGCTTTTTGTGCCTCTGGGGTTATTGTACAAAGAGGCAAGCATTTTTGAGTGGGGGTTCCTTTGTGACTAGATTAATGATGTATATGTAGAAAAAAGAGACATTAAGTAACAATGATTTACAGAATGCCTATGACATGTGATATGTCAGACCCTCTTGGGAAAGCGAGACCTATAAGATGTGGGGAGGGGTTCCCACTGTTCAAGCACCTGCTACTTGGGAGGCAAGATACTAGATGCCTCACATACATTTTCTTATTGAATGCTTATGATTATTCTATGTGATAAGTCTCTGTAGCCTTAACTCAGAGCTCAGTGAAGATAAGTAATCTTCACACATAGACACACAGATTTTAAGTGGCAGAACCAGGATTTGGACTCATTTTTGCGTTTGCTATTAACAAGTAATTACAGCGATTGAGAATCAGGTCATAGCATGGTCAACCGATGACAGAGGATCAATGTATTCAGCAGACACATAGGCTGTGTTTAGTACTTGTCCCAAGAGGAAAGGAGCAGGCACTGGGTGGAGAACAACAATGCCTGGTTGAGAAGGCAGGCAAGGCTTCAGGAGGAGGGGAGGTTTGGTTTGGTTCCTAGGGAACCTAGGAGTGGGCTCCTGAAGCAGGTGGTGAGGACAAAGGCCTGGAGACCAGGCTGGGGCAGCCAGGAGGGGCCCACAGAGAAGGCGTGTGACGCCTGGGACCCTGAGCAGGAATTCCAGCAACTCTTTGCCCTTCTCCTTTCTTTGTACACACTCCCTTTTCCTGTGGGCTCCCTGCTGTCCTTCTCCTTGTGCCAGGAACCGGTTTGGAAAGCCATCCCCCTTAGGAGTCTCTCAGTGTTGCAGAGAAGAAAGAAAGATGGTGATGACGTAGGCATCCTTCACTTCACACTGAAAATCTATCTACTTTTAGATGACTTTTTCCCCAAAATGCAATGGGTTTTTTTTTTTTTTTTTGGTTCTGTTATAAAAGCAATTCCTACTCATTACAGAAGAATCAAATTCTTTAGAAAAGCACAAAGAAGGGGGAAAAAATCCACCACCTCATCACCTGGAGAAAACCACAGTCAAAATTTTACATCCATAAGAAACGAGGTTTTGATGTTCAAAGGCTTGAACCCACATGTAATACTCAAGGTAGGGAAAGGAGCAATGTTCTGTTTATCTCTGCATTCCCACAGCACCTGACCGAGGCCCTGGAACACACAGGCTTGCCAATAAACCTGTGTAAACAGCAGCTCACAAGCCCTGCCCCAGCTGCTTTTCCTCTCAGGCTTCCAGAAGGCCCTCAAATGAAGGGCATATGCTTTGCCAAGTTTATCAGTTTGAAGTGTGCCAGCTGAAATGTAAGCTGAGTTGTGCGGGGCGGGGGGACAGGAACTGCAGAGTGTGTGGGGCAGTCAGGAATAGGATTTTTATGGGAAGAGGAAATTAAGAATGTGCCACAGAAGGTGCCCTGGTGAGGTCTGCAACATGGGAAACCAGCAGGTTTGGTAAGGGAGGCAGCTTCCCCCCACTGGGTGAGCAAAGCAGATTGTCTTTTCAATTGAGGAGCAAGACCCCCTGCTGCTCTGGACCAGTGGCCCATGTACCATGTGAATACCACCAGAAGGGCCTCTCTACAGAGAGGAGAGTGGATGCACTGCCCAGGCTCTACCGTGAGTGGCTGTGTGACATCAACAAGTCACTTAATCTGTGTCTCAGCTTCCTCTTCTGCCAGTGGGGGCTGTGACTGCACCTACTTTGTATGTTCGGCAGGGGAGAGTGCATCAGCTTCCTAGGGTGGCTTTAACAAAGTACCATAAACTGGGGGCTTAAACCGCACAAACTTAGTCTCTCAGTTTCGGAGGCTGGAAATCCAAAACCAAAGCGTTGGCAGAGCCACATTCCCTCTGAAAGCTGTAGGGGAGAACCCTCCCCTGCCCCTTCCTAGCTTCAACTATTAATTTACCCATAGCTTCAATTACACTCATCATTCCAATTTTATTAACCACCCTCGAATTTGCTGTAGCCCTTATTCAGGCTTATGTCTTTACACTGTTAGTAAACTCTCTCCTTACATAACACATAATGACCCACCAAACTCATGCTTATCCCATGATAAGCATCTAGTGGTTGTCGGCCACCCTGGGTGTTTGCCTGAAGGCAGTACTTCACCCTCTGCCTTGAACAGCACTCTCACCCCGTGTGTCTGTGCCCCGTGTCTCTTCTCCCTGCATAAGGATGTCTGCCATATAGGATTCAGCCCCATCCTGCTTATCTTATCCTAACTTGATTACATCTGTAAAGACCTCATTTCCAAAGGTGGTCACATTCATAGATGCCAGAGGTTAAGACTTATTCAATGCATGGCCTAGAGACTCCCTGAGATAGGGCTGGAGAAACTCACCTGGCCACCGGAAGTGCTCCATGGGATGTCAGCCACTCTGCTGTAATCAACAACACCGACAGGTTTCGGGATGGCCATTCTTAACATTTAATCTACACCATCTCCTTGTCCTCACAGCTTAACGGCCATTTAATTATGATCTCCGCTGTAAAAACACGCCTTCTCATTTAGGCTGCACCCAGTCCTACTGCCTTCACACCCAGCTCAACTCCAGTTCCTCCGTGCAAACTTCTTCACTCAAGGCAGCCAGAGTTCCCCTGAACTAGAGGCAGCCATGCTGTGAGGTTAAGAGAGCCTCAGGTCTCCTTCTTGTGCATGCTCTTTCCAAGATCTCGGAGCAGGCCCTAGCAATGCATTCACATGGATATATGTTTGCATACGATGTGCAAAAGTAAGATCTTTTAACAACAATTAGTTAAGACCTCTCTCTTTCTATCTCACCTTGTTCCAGGTAGCACTGGAATCCAGCTAAGAGGTGGGGATGTATTCAAGGAGGATTCAGTAGGGTGGACTGTGTAGTTGGTGGTCACTTCTGTGTATAGTTAGAATTACTGCTAGTCACCATGGCGTGGAAATGGCTTTCAGGAACTCACAGTAACACTTAAGAATGGGGCGAGAAGTCATGTGACAAGAGGAACACGTCATACAGTGCACAGCACTGGAAGTCCAGGAAGGTGGAGGAGAAACAAGTTCTGAAACCTATAAAGCCAGAATCTAACCTGTGGCACAACCTGCCAGTTATCAGACACATAAAACCACCATGGGGGTTTGGTGCTCGTTGCTGCCTGTTTAAAATGGAAGTTCTCATCCAATAGGAGTGTCCCCGATAACGCAGCATGTACAATCACAAATGCTCATGCTTTGTTCCTCTATCTCTGGGTGGGAGTCACATGACACAGAATTAATTAGATTCCCTGTGCTTGAGGGGAGCAGTATGACAAGCGGTGAGCAGGGGACATCTGTGTAGGAAGTTGTGTGCTTTCTTCGTCCAATTATCAAAAATAAAAAGCAAATTTCCTCAGCCATGCTAGAGGAAAGACTGAATTATCTTTTCAATCTCTCAGTAGAGAAAGATTACAAAATTGATGTCATATAAAGAGACAACCAAAAAGTATACAGCAAAAAACATAACATATGGGGAAATTTTATTATAAAGCTGTGTTGGGCAGTTAATTCACAATGTAAATCTGTTTTCTTTTTTTTTTCAGACCCGACCATGTTTGTAATGTGCATAGCTTTTTAAAGTTTATAATTTTGTGATTATTTATTTTCTCAGCCTAAACAACACATAATTTTACTCCTAAGCGTGTATATATAATTCTGTGGGGATTTTTTATAAAGAAGGCCACTATGTCATACAAGCTTTAGGCCCCACAAAATCTGGGTGCACCCATGTTTGAACAACTGCAATCTCTGAGTTTACTGCTCTCTCTGGAAAATCCAGTGGTCTCAGAATGCACTAAGCACACACAGAACCCTCCGGTAGGCCCATCCTGATGTCAGACTCCACCCTTACCCAACTCTAGTCCTTGCTAGTTGCTAGTTGTTTATCTAACCTATTTGAGCCTCAATGCTCTTGCCTGTAAAATGAGGATTGTTTATATGGTAGTGTACATATCCAACGCCCAGTAAATATTTGTTAAGTTTCCACACACTAGGAGATAAAGATACAATTATGTACAAAAGCAAGACATGATCCTTATTCTCACAGGACAAAGCTGGAGGCAGGCCTTTGCTGATGGAAGAGCCCAGCCACTTAACTGCCGTCTCCAAAATCATTTCTAACTACCAAACATACATACCCATAAGCCACAATGGCACAGTTTTGATTTACCTACTTTTCTCCAAGAACTGTTTATGCTCTCAGCCAGGGAGAAAAAACACGGCCCCACCATACAGCTAAAGCTCTCAGCCAACATGTTCTGCCACACCATCATGAGCCAATTCAATTCTGCTGCACTATGCTGAAGCTTCTCTTCTCACCATTTTTTTTGTGTTCTGGTCCATGGTTTTTACCCATTGTGGGTAACACTCATAATGGTTTGCAAAAGTTGTCTAGCAAAGGAAGAATCTGGCACATGATGCTAAAATGCCAATTTCCCAGATAAAAACCTACAGAACACAGAGCAAAGGCCAGCAGGCTTTTAGTCATTGGTGACCACTTCGGTGACTTAGAGAGCACATCATAAAAACTGCTGCAGCCTGGATGGACTGCCCTGCAGTTGTCAGAAATTGAGAGTATAATAGGCAAAGATGGATGCCTGACATGGCCTTGAGGACTTTGCCTGGAAGGGTGACTGCCAACATCTGAAGACTAGAACGCTGTGCTGCAGGGGCTCAAGTGTCATGACCTTGCATAGTGCTGACTCAGTGAGCACTTTCATTTCCAGGAACACATCCTGCACTAAACCAGGTATGCATTTCCATAATGACAAAACAAGGTAAATGTCCAAAAGAAATGAATGTGATGCCATGAGCCATGAAGATTAAAATGATGATATACACAAAGGGCTGAGCACAGTGCCTGGCAGTTAGTAAATGCTCAACAAACAGCAGGTGCTGTTAGCCTTCCTATTATCTCCCCTATTGAACTTTACTACAGAGCAGGAGCAATGTCCTATAGTTCTTTGTATTCCCAACTGGACTTCAGCCAGTGCAGGGCATGCAAAAGTACTAAAAAGATATCATCTCATTAATTCTACCAAGATTTTTCAGACACACAAAGCCTTTGGACTAAGTTGACTGATTCTCATCCTTACCAGTCATCTGCCTATTTGATCTCAGAACAATTCCTGGCTCTGCCTCTCCTCTGCTCTGCTCTGTATCAGAGAGAAAAGCATTTCTCATTCTCCTTTGACCTCTGGCTGCAGCAAGGCAGCTTTGTCCAGTGGGAGGCCCAGATGGAATGTTGGAAGGTAGAAAACCAGAAGCCAGGGCATTTCTCCCCAGCTTCCCCTGCTTTGAGGGGCACCTCAGCAGTGAGAGAGCAGTGCCATGCATCTCTTCCAGGGCCCCGGTTCCAAAGGACAGCATATCTGCGGTTCCAGCTCCTACCAGAAGGCCCTGGCTCCTGGCCTCTGGTATCATCACTGCCTCCTCCCGTGTGACCCCTAGCCCAGGGGTGGTAGCAATTTCTTGCTCCTCTCAGCTCTTTCATCTCCTGTGTAACCAATTCCCTGTATAAAATATTTTCCATTTAAAACACCTATTATGGGTCTGTTTTCCTGATTGGACCCTGACAGATACACCATCTAAAGAAGAATTTTTATACAACCATCCTATGGAGTACTCAGCAGCCATTAGAAACAATGATACATATCTAAACATACTGATGTATAAAGATGACTGAGGGTTATGGTGAAGAGAACCAGAAGACAGTGAAACAGTGTTATACCCAGAGAGCAGACGTTGAGAAGTATGCACATTTACACACTTAAAAAAAATGACTGGAGAAATATACATAACATTTTGACTGTGGTTATCTCCAGGTGGTGAGATGCTGGATTTTTTCCCCCTTCTTTGTGCTTTTCTAAAGAATTTGATTATTCTGTAATGAGTAGGAATTGCTTTAATATCAGAACAAAAAAAAATTTCCCATTGCATTTTGGGGAAAAAGTCATCTAAAAGTAGATAGATCTTCAGTGTGAAGTGAAGGATGCATACATCATTGCCATCTTTCTTTCTCCTCTGTAACACTGAGAGACTCCCAAGGGGAACAGCTTTCCAAACTGGTTCCTGGCACAAGGAGAGGGGCAGCAGAGAGCCCATAAGAAAACTGTATGGATAAGGAGAAGGGCAAAGAGTTCCTGGAATTCCTGCTCAGGGTCCCAGGTGCCAGGCACCTCCTCTGTGGGCTCCTCTTGGCCGCCCCAGCCTGGTCTCCAGGCCTTTGTCCTCACCACCTGTTTCAGGAGCCCACTCCAGCTCCCTAGGAACCAAACCAAACCTCCCCTCCTCCTGAAGCCTTGCCCACTTTCTCAGCCAGGCATTGTTATTCTCCACCCAGTGCCTGCTCCTTTCCTCTTGGGACATGCACTAAACACATCCTATGTGTCTGATGAGTACATTGATCCTCTGTCATGGGTTGAGTGCGCTATAACCTGATTCTCACTCACTGTAATTATCTGTTAATAACAAACTCAAAAATGAGCCCAAATCCTGGTCCTGCCACTTAAAATCTGTGTTTCTATGTGTGCAGATTACTTATCTTCGCTGAGCTCTAAGTTAAGGCTACAGAGACTTATCACATAGAATGATCCTGAGGATTAAATAAGAAAATGCATGTGAAGCATCTAGTATCATGCCTCCCAAGTAGGAGGTGCTCAAACAGTGAGTACCCCCCATTCAATTTATAGTTTCTACTTTTCCAAGAGGGTCTGACATATCACATGTCATAGGCATTCTATAAATAGTTGTTACTTAATGTCTCTTTTTCCACATATACATCATTAATCTAGTTACCGAGGAACCTTCACTCAAAATTGCTTGCCTCTTTGTACAATAACCCCAGAGGCACAAAAGCCTAAAGAGAGCATAGACTTTCAAGCCAGGATCCTGTGATTCTTCCAATTCAGGTGGCACCACTCACTAGCTGTGTGTCTCAGCCAAGTTACTGAACCTCTCTGAGCCAGTTCTGTAGAATGGAAAAGACATTACCTTCTTCAAAAGGAGTCTTAAAAGGATTAAATGAGAAAACGTAGGCGCAAAGTGCTTAACACAGCTCCCAGCATGGGCAGTCTCTATAAATAGAAGTTCCTGTCTCTCCCATTTAAATGAATGGCACCAAGCTTTTCTGAGCTCAGGAAAAAAGTAAGCAGACCTCGCTGTAATTATAAACACCACAGCATAATGGCATCCAGGTGGAACCATGCTAGTGTCATCCTCATTTAAGAATTTTATATCGTCTACTGAGTTATTAGCTATAAGAAGCCATTCCCCAGAGGAGACTACAGTTGAAATAATTGTTTTGAAGAAAGTAGGGTGGATCAACATGCCAGAATCATTAATCATCAAAACAGCAACATATACTTGATGAGCTGGCCTCTGTGGAACTTGCTTTCTGTGACGAAAGGAGAATTTGCACAAAAATCTCCAGCCCTGTCATCCAACAACTCTTTGGCATTTTTCCTATATCTGCCCTGTTCCACTCAAACAAAGTGGGAATCTGCATCTGAAAATGACAGTTCCAATGGAGGATGGACCTCATCATTAATTGCTGCAAAGCTGCAAGGGTTTAATGGGTTTATTAATGAATTAATAATTTGGAGAACACTTACTGGCTATTTTCTACTGAATAACATCCATGTAAAACTGCAAAAGCCACCCAGGAAATGAGAAACTATGATGCTGAACAGAAGAAAAAGCTACCTCCCCCAGATGCAGGTAACACACAGCTTTAAAATCAATTTGACCCTCATGACAAAGGAACAGAAGGACTGCTCAATTCCCTAACACAGGCACCCTCTGTGAGGGAACAGGCCTTGGGGAACCCTTCTCTCATTCAAGAGCAAACCTCCGGAAGGCCAGTCTGAAAATCTATGTGTTTTCCTCTTAAAAAGCACATTTCCAAATGGGTACTAGGATCTCAGGCCACAAGGTAGAGCCTCTGAGTGTTGGTTTAACAAACAGAGATAATCCAAAAGGGATAAATTCAAAGTCATCTCTTTTCCCCATTGGCTTCAGAATGTCATGGTTTAATTTTAACCAGAACAAAAGCACTGATCCCAGAAAAAAAAAGATGAATCTTCTGGATACCTACTATGTGCTAAGCACCTCCCTACATTCTCTTGTTGAGGGGTGGGAAGGAGGGTGACTGCAAATTTCTGTCTGTTCCTGAGCCACCATGCTAATGTTTGGTTTTCAATCTGGACCGCATATTAAAACCACCTGGGGAGTATTAAAACATACCACTGTCTTGGATACCTTACAAATGTTCTTCTTCCATAAATAATTACAACAAGCATATATAACAGATAAGGATATTCCCACTCTGTTAAACCTCAGTTTCTTCATCTGCAAGCATAAGTAATGTGTCCAACATAATTTTAAATAATTTCAAACTATCTACTCCGCTCTTTTCCTTCAGTCTAATCTTTACACACACATAAGCACATGTGTACACTTTTATTGACTTTTCTCCTTTTGATAAATATCATGTATACTCTGAAAAATATATAAATATGTAAAAATTTTAAAATAATCACCTGAAAGCAGAACTCCCAGGAAGAATCACTGTTAACATTTTGATGTCTGCCTAGTCAGTCTTTTTGTATACTGTTTTTTAATTATGAAAGAATAGGATAAGTCTGTACCCAGTCTTTTGTAACCTGCTTTTTACACTTAATAAAGCATGAACTTTGCTTCATATCATTAAATATTCTACAGCATCATTTTAGTGGCTGCCTAGCATCGCAGTGTATGCCTGTGCCCTAATTTACTTAGCTCGCCTGAATTAATTAGGCTTTACTGTCTGACAAAAGTTAGTCTTCCATTTCTATCCCCAAACTAGAAAAATCAGGTACCCAGGTATTTGAAAATGTGGAGACACTTTCATTGCTTGGCACGTAGCTCCATTAATATGCCAATTCTTTCGGGTACTTCTTTTTCAAAGAGATCCTAGTCACATCTCATTTCAATAAATGCCTGGAAACCCCCTAGGGGATGGCTCAATATTCAAACTCAACTCCCTTAAATCCCTAGCAGCAGAGCTGGCCTGAAAGAGCTTACCATGCCTGGTCCCAGGCAGCCTGCTGTCAGGAGAGGTGGAGAGGGAAGGAATGTCACAGGTTCCAGACTCCAGGGTCTGGCCTAGTCTTGGGACCTCAGAGGGTCATGGATCTGCTTGATCTCATCCCCACAGCACTCAAATGAGAGAGACCTCCTCCAGGAGGGTTGGAGAATAAAGCAAAAAATTGCTGAGGCCTTCAGGAAAACCATGCCATAAACAGTCAAAACCCTTTGTCACCACACTGGTGAGGAAGGACCAGAATTTTGGTTGTTTTTTTTAAATTTTTTGTTGTTGTTGTTTTCTCTTAATTTAAATTCAGATGCTGGGTTACGAATTATATTATTCCAAGAAGTGCCAATGCAGGAGCCCACAGCTGTCAGGAATCTGGGGTGGTTTAGGTTGGAATGTGTGCTCTTTCAGGAGCAGCAGGCCCATCCTTCAAGCACACAGCGAGTAGGGTACAGTGGATAGGGTACAGTGGACAGGAAAGCACCCACAGGGGCTGTGTATAGAGGTTCTGAAAAGAGATGCTCTCTCTGCCCCAAAATCCTACTTCTATCTCTCTCCCATCATCCCCATCCAGTAAATTGTCCACTTGCAGGAGATTCCTTTGTGTTAGGAGGACTTCTCTGAAGACTAAATGCTACTGGAGGAGGAATGCCCACTTCTGTGTAGATCTGAAGGATGACAGCTACCATCAGGCCACAGTCAACCAGGGACAGGCCCATTTTCCTACTGGCAGGTAAACATGAATCCCAACCAGGAGTATCCTGGGTTGCTGTCTTCCCCGTGCAGCTCCTACAGTAAAAGAAAGGCTAGACCCAGGAGAACACAATGCCACCTACTTGGGGTAACAGAGGGTGGGGTTAAGTTACCTGGACCAAAATGTGTCCCTACCATCCATTCCCAAAAGTGCCTGAAATTCCCACAGTTAGAGTCTCTCCTAAAAGCCCAGTGGAGATGTGTGTGTTTTAATAAACATAAAGCATTATACTTTTGGAGCAACACATAAGCCAGTCCCTGCTATACTCATTAATTCTATTAGCCTTATTGATAGGACACTACAATCATTTAGTTGGAAGTAGGGATGAGGTATGGGCACACAGAAGAGCCAGACATTGACAGGACAAAAAGATTAAAGAGAAGAAAAGTAAAGCCCAGCATTTTGCTTCAGAAAGTGTCTTACCTGCTGCAAGGGGTGGTCTCAGGAAATCATCAGGGCACAGGCCGGGCACCTGTGACACCCACCCAAAACAAGGACACCAGCAGCCTCAGAAGGGATCCATAGGAGAGTCACAGGCTCCAGCCTGCCTCCTACCTCCTCTTAAAATGAACCTGACCCCATTCTTCTAAGCTCCCAGAACATATTGCTACTTTGCACAAATATAGATGCTCTGGGGAAAACAATCATCCAAGTCTATCCAAGCTACAACCCACTGCTTGGCCAGGAGGCCACCCTACCCTACCCAGCTGCTGCCTATAGTTCTTCCAGAGCTCCTTGGACCAAGGGCATTTACAAAAGGGTTGCATTCATGCATGACAGGAAAAGGAACCATTTTCCTACCTAGCTCTTTCTGATCATATACTGCAAGGCTCCACATCCTGGGGGAAATGAAGAACCCCTTTATAAATGCTTCCCACAGAAGAGAGCAGCAGCAGAACTGACATACGCTCACAACAGGGAGATAAGGAGACTCTGGCTAGAGCCTGCTTTTTGTGTTCCCAGATGGTCCTGCACCACACCCACCTGCAGACATCCAAGCTCTCCTCCCATCGTCCTCTCAGAGCTCCTTGTCTCTAGATCATCTCAATTCAGTTTGGCCTCAAGCTCTGAGCTCTACCCCTTAGGCTTTCCTGCCCAGGGGCTTTATCCCAGTTAACCCTCCATTTCTCCCCAGCCCCTCCCCAGCCTGACAGTCTCTGAGGACAAGCAGTGCCCATCTCATTTCCTTTTCTTGGCTCATTTTAATTAACAAGGCAACCAGGCACATCACTGCTCATCAGTGAATAAGGACCAGAAAACATCATTCTCTCACATGATACTGGGACAATTCTTACTTTCTAATACCAGTTCAAAGGCCTCCAAACTCCAGCCTCACAAACGCTACCATCTCTGCACTCTAGTATCTCCACCAGCTTCTGTGGGCTTGATTTAGAAGTGACACATGATTCCACAGAAGGAAGACAGGACTTGGCACATAACAAACCTGTACTGCAACCCCAGTTCTTCCAATGACAAGCTTTCTGAGTCTCATTTTCCTCACCTGTACAACAGAGATAATAAAACCTGCTTTGGGGATTTTCAAAAAATTAATTAGAAATGCCATCTATAAAGCACCCAGCAGAGTGCCAGGAACACACACTCTGTTCTCTATGAAAAGTAGCCAGTATCAGTATTTGTCACCTGTCTATTGTTTATCCACAGCTACAGTCCTTAGCTATCGGTTTACTGCCTGGCTCTATTTAAAAGGACATATGGGATCCTGCCATATTTAAAGGTTTTAGAGTGCATGGACCACGTTTTCCATGTTCTCTTTACTCCTCCACTGCCTCTCATCCTGAGCTCAGCACCAGCACCAAGCAGGTGCTCCATAAATTAGGCTCTCAGGACAACCCCAGCCAGTTCCATGTCTTTAATTGGCTTTACTGAGATAGTAGTGTTTAAAACTGTCTGTCCACCTACATGCACCAGCTCAGTCTCAATACCCAGCAGAAATGAGTTGTCTTCAGGAACATTTGAAAGAGTGGCTGTATGCACCAAAGTCAGCTTCAGTATGCACCAAATCCTGTAGCTTCTCTAAAATAGGAACCCTCACCTGTCTGCTTACCCCTGCCAATCCCGACAGGTCCCTACTCTTCTCTGATAGGGAAAAAAAATGGCAAAAGCTAGAACTAGAACTATGTCAAGGAATAGTTTCACTGTCTTAGCTAAAAATCCATCTCCTTCCACTAGGAAGCCTTCCAAGGTTCACCATGGACAGAATTCAACACTAATCCTCAGTGACTCTCTGTATTTCATATTCCATGGGGCTGTACTCCATGGAACTGTAATTCTCTCTCCATCTCATCTGTCATTCTCATGAGGCTATGAGTTCCAAGGATCTGTCTTCAACTCTGAACCACGTATGGCGATGGATAGAGAATACAGGTTCAGCAAACTTTTGATGAATAACTTAGCAGCCTTGTGAAGCAGATATGGCATCCCACAACCCCCCCACCATCTCCACTTTGATACATGAGAAGCAGTAGCTAGGAGCAACTGAGCACTTTACCTTCAATGCCTCTGTTTTACACAGGAGAGAAAGGAGACCTCCATGCCAGGACATGCCACCAGAGCACATCGAGTGGCCTCCTGCTGCACTGATGGCTCAAGGCTCTCACAAACACCCCTTTGAGGTCATTTCATGATCATTATTTGCCATCTTCTCCTCTGGACAGTTAGCTTCCTGAGACTAGGCACAGTGTCTGTCTCCTCCCACTGTGTCCAGCACTAGCAAGGCAGGCAGGCTGTAGGTTCCCATGAAGATCTGCTGAAATGATACAGACAACTTATCCGTCCCTCTCTGCTTCTCAGACTTCATGGTGCCTATGAATCCCCAGGAGATCTTATTAAAATGCAGATTTTGACTCAGTAGGTCCTAGGGGAGTTGGGGGCAGGGTGCTGGAGAGTCAGCCTTTCTGATAGCTCCCAGGTTATGCCAAGGCCACTGGAAAGCAGACTGCCTTCTGAGAGGTGAGCCGCTAGTTGTTGAAGGCTTGGCTGGTCGTTCACTTGTGCTATGACAAAATACCTGAGACTTGGGTCATTTATAAAGGACAGAAACTCATTTCTCACAGTTCTGGAAGCCGGGAAATCCAAGATTGAAGTGATAGCATCTGGCATCCAAGGAGGGATGTACCGTCCAAAGGGGAGGAACACTGTGTGCTCACATGGTGGAAGGACGAGAGCCAAATGCTACTGTGTGAAGCCTCTTTTATAAGAGTCATAATCCCACTCATGAAGGACATGCCCTCAAATCATCTCTCAAAGGACCCACCTCTGAATGCTATCAAATGAGCAACACCTGAATTTGGGAAGTGATGCATTCAAATCACAGCGGCTAGCTAGAAAAAATCCTTTTATGTTCTAAAAAGAAGTTTGTCTTTCCTGAGCACTTGGGGTTGTCCTTTCTTTCAGCTATGATGTGAGCCCTCCCTCCTGGTCCTTGATATCATGTGATTCAAGGAATTCGAGCAAAGTTTCAGCCCTGAAGAGCTAAAGGCTGAGAGCTGGAGAACCTGCCAGTTGAATCCCCTCTCTGCTAGCTTCCAGGCCCACAACCAGGACTTGTGACTCACAGTTTATTATTGACAACCTGGCCTTGGCAGCAGGAGTATTTTTGGATGCCTTTACTCTTAAATCCCTGGAATTCAGAACTGTACAAGTTAAACCTTATTCTAACTACTTTTTTCCTTGCAGTTTTCATCTCTAGCTCCTCTGCCCTCTGAATATTTCATTCATGCCCAAGACAGAGTCTTAAATTGCAGGAAACCAGAATTCTGCAGATCAATTAGCCTAACTCACAACATGTAATTTTTCTTATTTAACAGTTAGAATAACACCATTTCTGTGTTCAGCGTGGGCCCGCTCTGTGCCCACTGGAAAACAAATCTACCTGCCTTTGGAGGAGATCCATTTAAGAACCAAAGCCCCCATGGTGCCTCATCATCTAAGAAGGGTGACACTGTGAATCCTTCTGAGGATTACTCTTTTTTCCAAGCTGATAAGAGCTCTGAATGGCCACTCAGCTAGGAAGATCAAGCAGCCCACCTTCTTCCAAGGGCCTCTGGGCACAACATGGATGGTCCTTGATTTTACTGCTTGGCTGAGGCAGAGGGGCATGTCTTTTGGCAGAGGTGAGTGCGGGTATCCTGGGGGAGAGTCTCTGGTCACCAACTACAGCCCTTGTCTCCCTCCCAGTTTTCACTACAGCTAGATAAGCACAGAGGGCTTTGTAAGAAATGTTCAGTCAAGAAGCAGAAAGAGCCTCTGCTTTTAGGTCCTACAGTGAAATTGCTGGAAGCCTTTTCTTCCTTGTTCCTTCCATCTCCTGGCCATGGAGTAAGGGTAGTGAGATCTGGTGGTCTCCAACCTTCAGGGACTTCAGGGGATTCGTCCCTGACCTATATTACTGCCGTTTTGGTGCAATGCAGGACACTGGAGAGGACATGGGCTTCAGCAGATCAGGAATAGGTGAGTTTCAGGAATGGATGGAGGGAAGCTCCAGTCAGATGGGAATGTTTAAAAACAAAACTGAAATTCTAACGGTGTACACAGCATAGTTAAAACATCCTTGTCAAAAAAGCCTCTTGGACACACGTTTCAGGAAATGAAGGCTCAGCTCCACAGGTATTGTTCTTCACCATGTCTGACACGTCAACCCTACAAGTCAACAGGTTGAAGAAAAGTCTGGCATTCACAGAAATAAAACATTACTGCAAGGCCACCTCCTTCCTCCAGAATGTGAAGCATTCATGACAAAAGAGAGAATTCACTAACCATAATCTACAAATAAAACTAGTCACGATGGGCATATTTTCTCTTATTTTACTCCATCAGATGAAACTAGTTTCCAAGATCCGCATAGCTATCAATTTCCCCCCTCAATTCATATTTTTATTCTTCTCAGTAGACACTTTATTTTTGTAAGCTGTACCCAGTTTTGTTTTGATAGCTCACCAGAACCTGGAGTAACAAATACTTTTAATTTGATTATTTAAAAAGTCTCATTAATTTTTCAAGCCACACAACATACACAAGCACAAATGAATTCACCAGACACCTGCAACCAGTGAAGGTTAATAGTCATTTAATGTAACTGCATACGTTACAAGCAATCTTCCTGTCCCACTGCATTTTCAAAGACCACATAAATATGTAATCCATTCCTCTTTTTTCCTATCGTAACATTCCACTGGGGCGATTCTGATGAGCTGTCCCCCCGCTGCCTCCACAGTAAAGTGCTGCGCAGTGGCTGATGGATAGATACTGGGTTTGAGTAAAGAGGATTTCTGCAGCCATCCATAAACCCAGCTCATTTAAATTGGTAGCTGTCGACTACCTGAGAAGAAAGAAAAGGCTGTCCTTAAATAATAAAAAAAGCATGGCTCTATTGTCTAGAATGTCAAGCAGAATTCCTATTTCCAGGTAGCAGCACTGAGGGACCACCTGATTATAATGAGGGGTTTGTCTGTCTTCTCAGCCCAGTCTCCTGGGAATCCCTCTCAGTACCTTGAGAAGAGGTAAGAGTGCTCGAGATTCCTCTCCCTGTAACTAGGGTTCTGGTGGATGGTGAGCCAGATAATTGTTTAGATGGCCAAGTGGGTTTGAAGTGGAAATAGAAACAAATCCAGGATGTTACTAGGAGACTACCCTTTGATTAATGGGAATTCAAAGATGAAACAAGTATTGCCTATTGTTTAATTTTCCCTTCTTTGAAAGTAAAGTGTTTGGGGAGAAAGCTAAGACTCTAAAAACCAGAGCATATATGAGACAGCACAGAGCAGGCCCTCCTTAAACTTTTCTCTTGGTCAAGATAAAATTTTTCCTAATCCCAAGACATGCTGCTGAGGGCAGAGACACTCAATAATGTGGATTTACTGACCGATTCACCTGCTTCTCTGTAGGAAATCAAAGTTCATTCATTCACAGACTTGCTCAGTGACAGAAGACGTTTAATAGATGTCATTCTATCCAGGGCATACAATTCATGCTTTAGCCCCTAAAATTTGCCAAGCAGTGCAGTTGAAAGCTAAAAAACATAAGTCACTTTCTCTATATCAGCAGTTCAAGTTTGTCCAATCTCTGCCCTCAGAGAAAAGAGGAGGCACACACAAATTCCAAGACTATATATCATGAAGGTTATGGAGCCTGTTTGAGACATCACAGAAACTACCCAGCTGAATTTTAAGCTGCCTCTCATCAGAGAACTGAGGATTCACAGATTTCCAGGGAAATTGCATTTTGAGGGAAATTCTTCTAGGTAAAAACCCATATAATTCAATGATGAATATTTCCTTTGGCCTTTAATTGATTTACAAGCAATGCTCCATGGCTAGCTTTAGGTGAAAGATCTATTAATTTAAAACCATTCATTACCCCTTTCTTTCATCTAACACATTTTTCCAATATGCTTATTGTTCACTATAAGTAACAGATTGACATCTCTCCAAGAGCAAGTCCTTTTAATACTTGTAAATGGTTTCTTGGAAGGCATCAATGATAAAACTAGTTATGTTTTCAGTAGAGTGATGCTAGGATACACTTTTATGCAATGCCATAAAACTATCCTTCTTATTTAAGTAGCATCAGCAAGACAGTAGAATAGGAAACCCGAGAGCTCACTTCACAACAGAAACACCAGCTTTAACAACAACACATGAGGCCGGGCGCGGTGGCTCACGCCTGTAATCCCAGCACTTTGGGAGGCCGAGGCGGGTGGATCATGAGGTCAGGAGATCGAGACCATCCTGGCTAACAAGGTGAAACCCCGTCTCTACTAAAAATACAAAAAATTAGCCAGGCGCGGTGGCGGGCGCCTGTAGTCCCAGCTACTCGGGAGGCTGAGGCAGGAGAATGGCGTGAACCCGGGAAGCGGAGCTTGCAGTGAGCCGAGATTGCGCCACTGCAGTCCGCAGTCCGGCCTGGGCGACAGAGCGAGACTCCGTCTCAAAAAAAAAAAAAAAAAAAAAACAACACATGATCCAAAAAGCCTTTATGAGAACTCCAGAATTCAGTTAGGAAGTCACAGTACCCCAGGCAACTCAAAATCAAGAACAGCTACATTGAAATGGGTAACAAAAAGCTATTTTATTCCAACTGCATCAATCCTTCTCCCAAGCCAGCACAGCTCATGATCAAAAAGAAGAGTCCAACTTGTGGATTCTCCCTTGGGAGGGAAATTGAAGAAATTGAAACACTTCCAATGTTCCAGCTTTTCAGGAAACTGCCCAAGGGACTGGTTTCTGTCCTGCCTGATTCAGAGTGCTGATGGGAAACTGACATACCTTGGATGCCTGGTATCCACAGAGAACAAAAGAGAGCTCAGAAGCTTGTGGCAGCACCAGAGAACTTGTAGTATCACACAGAGACACCAGCACAGCTTGCCACAATTTTCAGAAAGCACCCAACTCATGGCTTCTCCACTGGGAGGGAAAGGAAGGGTGGAATGTATATATTGTGTTCTGGCTTTTCAAGGGCTGCTAGAAGGAGTGGTTTCTGTTTTGCCTGACTTAGAGTGCTGACAGACTTAGAAAACTTTGGATACCTGGGAGCCAGAGAACAGAAAAGAGCTCAATGCCAGAAAAAGCGCCAGAAAACCTGAAATACCTCATACAGACACCAGAGGGAGCAAGAGGCTACAAGCGCCTGAAAAAGAGACCAGCAAATCTCTCTAAATGGGAAATTACACACACAAGCCTAGAAAAGATTTCTCTCCCCAAAAGGTTAAGAGACGCTTGGAATCTCTAGCTGGGCTGATTGCTGAAGGTCTTTCCCTATAAGAAAAACCATAAGGACTGGGGAAAGTGGTTGTGTTTTCAAATGTGCAAATCCCAACACAAAATTATAAGGCTCACAAAGTAATGGGGAAACACAGCCCAGTCAAAGTTACAAAATAAATATCCAGAAATTGGTCCTAAAGAAAAAGAGTTATATGAATTATCTCATAAACAATTCAAAATAGCCACCATAAAGATGCTTAACAAGCTCAGGAAAATTGTGTATAAACAAATGAGAGTGTCTGTAAAATGAAAAAGAGTATTTTTTAACCAAAGAAATTTGTGACCTGAAGAACACAAAAACTGAGTTGGAAATTTCACTAGAATAATTCAAGAGCAGAACTGTTTAAGCAACACAGAATCAGCACACTCAGAGACAGGTCATTGGAAATTATTCAGTCATAGAAACACCAACCAGAAAAAAAAAAAAAAAGTGAAGAAAGCCTAAAGGACCTACTATGGGACACCACAGAGACCAATAGGTATATTATAGGTATTCCAGAAGAAGGAAAGACAGACAAAGGGGCAGAAAGCTTGTATGAAATAATAATGGCTCTGGTAAAGGAAATGAACATCCAAATCCAAGAAGCCAAATAGATCTCAATCAGAACATACCCAAAAAAGTCCACACTGAGATACATTATAATCAAGCTGTCAAAGGTTAGACAAAGAGAGAATTTTGAAAGCAAGAAAAAAGTAACTCATCACATACAAAGGAGTCTCCATGAGACTATCAGTGTATATATCAGCAGAAACTTTGCAGGCCAAAACAGAGTAGGATGATATATTCAAAGTGATTAAAAAAGAAAAAAAAGGGCCAGGGCGGTGGTTCACGCCTGTAATCCCAGCACTTTGGGAGGCCGAGGCAGGTGGATCACGAGGTCAGGAGTTCAAGACGAGCTTATCCAAGATGGTGAAATCCTATCTCTACTAAAAAAATACAACAAAATTAGCCAGGCATGGTAGCAGGTGACTGTAATCCCAGCTACTCAGGAGGGTCAGGCAGGAGAATTGCTTGAACCCCAGTGGCAGAGGTTGCAGTGAGCCAACATCATGCCCTAGCCTGGGCAACAAAGTGAGACTCTGTCAAAAAGAAAAAAAAAAGAAAAAGAAAACTGTCAATCCAGATTTGTGTGTCTGTGTTTTTCAAAAATTAAGAAAAATTAAAGGCTTTCCTAGATAAACAAAAGCTGATAAAATTTATCACCACTAGACCCGCCTTATAAGAAAAGCTAAATGGAGTCCTTCAAGTTGAAAAGAAAGAATGCTAAAAAACACTGGTCAGCAACATAAAAGCATATATAAGTATTAAGCTCATTGGCTGAGGCAGGCAGTGAACCCAGGAGTTCGAGACCAGCCTGGGCAACATAGCAAAACCCCATTCTTACTAAAAAATACAAAAATTAGCCAGGCATGTTGGCACAAAACCTGTAGTCCCAGCTACTCAGGAGACTGAGGTAAGAGAATAACCTGAGCCCAAGAAGTCGAGGCTGCAGTCAGCCATGATTGTGCCACTGCACTCCAGCCTGGGCATCAGAGTGAGATGCTGTCTCAAGGAAAAAAAAAAAAACACACACACACACAAAACTCACTGGTAAAGGTAAATATATAAATATTACAAATACAGAATATTGTAATACTCTAACAATGGTAGGTAAATCACTTAATTCTGGCATAGAAGTTAAAAGACAAAAATACAAAAATAACTATAAAGGTATGTTAATGGATACACAATACAAAAGATGTAATTTGTGACAATAACAAAACAGAGGGGAGAAGTCAAAGAGTAGAATTTTTGTATGTGACTGAAGCTAAGCTGATATCAGCTTAAAATAGATATTACAACTGTAAAATAAGCCCCATGTAACCACAAAAAACCTACATAAGATACATAAATGAAAATGAGAAAGGAATCAAAGCATATCCTTACCAAAAAAAAAATCAAAAGAGGAAAAAAGGAACAAAAACACTAAGAGACAGGCAGAAAACAAAGTGCATTTTAGTCCATTTTAGTATCACAGGAAACCTGAGACTGGACAATTTATAATAAACAGGAATTTATTTTCTCACAGTTCTGGAGGCTGGCAAGTCCAACACTGAGGGGCCAGCATCTAGTAAGGACCTTCTTGCTATGTCATAACGTGGTAAAAGGAATCATGGTGAAAGGAATCACATGGTAGAAGAGCAAGAGAGAGAGAGTAAAAGGAAGATGAACTCTCCCTTTTATAACAAACCCACTCGTGCAATAACTGTTATTTCATTCACTCCATTCTCATGGCCTAATCACCTCTCATTAGGCCCCACCTCCAAACACTGCTGCACTGGGGATTAAGTTTTTAACATGTGCATTTTGGGGAACATATTCAAGCCATAGCAAAAAGTCAATAGTAAGTCCTTCCCTATTGGTAATTATTTTCAATGAAATTGAATTACATTCCCCAATCAAAAGACATAGGGTAGTTTAATGGATTTTTTTTAAAAGAAAATGAGACTATTTGCTTATTTTAGATTTTAGGACACACACAGGATGGAAGTGAAAGGGTGGAAAAAGATATTCCATGCAAAAAGTAACCAAAGGAGAACAGGGTGGTCATATGTATTCATACAAAATAGACTTTAAGTCAAAAACTGTCATAAGAGACAAATAAGAACATCACATATTGATAAAAGGGCCAATTCACCAGGAAGACATACCAATTATAATTATATTTGCACCTAACATTAGAGGAGCCAAATATATGAAACAAACATTGACATGACATGGGCTCAACAGAAGGGGAAAAAAAAAATAACAAGCCATACTTTAGAAGGGATTAATATCCAAAATATATCAAGAACTCAAATAACAGCAAGAAAACAACCCAATTTTTAAAATGGGTATTTTAAAAAACTGAAATAGACCTTTCTCAAAGAAGACATACAAATGGCCAACATGTATGGGAAAAAAAATACTCAACATCACTAATAAGCAGGGAAATGCAAGTTAAAACCACAATACGATATTACCTCAACCTGCTGGAATGACTATCACCAAAAACACAAAAGATAAGTGTCGGCAAGGGTGTGGGGCAAAGGAATCTCTCACATATTATCAGATAGTGTAAATTAGTACAGCCATTACGGAAAACAGCATAGAGGGTCCTCAAAAAATTAAAAAGAGAACTACCACATGATGCAGCCATCCCACTTCCAAGTATCTACCCAAAATAATTAAAATCAAGATCTCAAAGAGATATTTGCATTCCCATGTCCAATGCAGCATGATCTATAAAAGCCAAGAGGTGGAAACCACACAAGTGTTCATCTATGGATGAATGGATAAGTAAGATGTGGTGTACAAATACACAAGAATATTAGCCAACCTTAAAAAAAGAGAAAATTTTGGCCAGGCACAGTGGCTCACACCTGTAATTCCAGCAATTTGGGAGGCAGAGGTGGGTGGATCACTTGAGATCAGGAGTTCAAGAACAGCCTGGCCAACATAGTGAAACCCCATCTCTACTAAAAATACAAAAATTAGCCAGGTGTGGGGATGAGTGCCAATAATCCTGTCTACTTAGGAGGCTGAGGCAGGAGAGTCGCTTGAACCCGGGAGGCAGAGTTTGCAGTGAGCCAAGATCACACCACTGCACTCCAGCCTGAGTGACAGAAGGAGACTCCATCTCAAAAATAAGAGAGAGAG
Source organism: Homo sapiens (assembly GCF_000001405.40). Taxonomy (NCBI): domain Eukaryota; kingdom Metazoa; phylum Chordata; class Mammalia; order Primates; family Hominidae; genus Homo; species Homo sapiens. The sequence continues at coordinate 137,324,462 of NC_000005.10, forward strand.
AAAATCTTACAAATGGATGAACCTGGAAGACGTTGTGTTAAATAATACAAGCCAGTCACAAAAGAGGAGATACTGCATCATTCTACTTACATGGGATATCTAAAGTAGTTAAACTTTAAAAACAAAAAGTAGAATGGTGGTTTCCAGGGGCTGCAGAATGAAGCAGAAGAAAAATGGAGCTGCTATTCAATGAGTACAAAGTTTCAGTCATGCAAGATGAAAAAGTTCTTCAGCCATACAACAATATGCATATAATAACACTGAATGGTACAATTAAAATTTCATTAAGGAGGTAGCTTTCATGTTATTTGTTTTTTTAACCACAATTAGGAAAAAAAAAAAGCTATACTTCCTGTACAAGCTGGAAATCTCCAAAGAATCTGAACACAACCCATTTTGCAAGCAGGTTTCCCCACCCCAAAATTTCGTTTCCAAAGGGACAGAGAGAGCAGACCATCACCAACACTAAGCTGTGCAGACAAGCTTGACGGCTCAATCCTGAAAAAAAAAAAAATGAGGGGTTTGCACTTACCAAGGAAGCTAAATTGTCAATACACCTGCAGATCTTGAGTTTGATATATGTGTGTATAAACAAACAAAAATATGTCTGGAAATAGATATGGCAAACTAACAGCTCTGTCTTTCCGAGAGGAAAGGTTTTTGGGATGGGGGACAACTGGGCTAAGAGTTTGTCAAAATAATGGCTTAATTATGTAATTCAAAATAGTGAAAATAAAAGTTTTTGATTGAAAAAACTATTTACCAATCAGCTATGGTATTATCTCTCAATATATGTCCTTGATATTTAAAAACATACCAGCCCTCCCTTGCATGACACCCCTTCTCAAATCGGGAAAATTTCATCTTTCTCTCATCAGGAAGCCACATGGTTTCTGGCCACTGAGTTCATTGCCCTTTGTGCTTTGGGGCCAGAACAAAGTACCCCAACACCCTCCTCATCAAGAGAGCCAGATCTTGTATACAAACACTTCTCTTAAGTCACTGATGCCTTTGCTAAGAAGAATTCTGCGTACATGCTTCCTAAAAACTAACAGCCCAGCTCTCTGAAGTTGTCTGCCAAAACAGAACTTCAAGGCAGTAACTTTTAATTATATCACTCAATGATTTATGAATCACCCACTCTGTGCTGGACATAGCACTGCTCTCAGTGCTGGGTACACAGAAAGGAGCAAATCAAAGGCCCCTGCCCTCTCAGACCTCTCATTTGTGGGGGAGATGGACAGACAAACTCACACATGCATATGTTAATACCAGGAAATATTAAGAGCTACGGAGAAAACAGTGGCATAAGCAATCCACAGAGTGATGGGCAGTGGTAGTTTACACGGGGCAACCAGCTATGACTTCTCTAAGTCATATTTGGGCCAAGGGCTAAAATAAAGAGAAAGCCACACAGACATGTGGGAGTAACACATTCCAGGCAAAGGAAACAGCGAGTGCAAAGGCCCTGAGGCCTTTTGGTTCTGATTGATATCAACAGGTCAACCTCTAAAAGGGCTGCACCAATTCCCACTCATCAGCAGCATCTGGGAGTACCTATTTCCCTACATTTTTACCAGCACTTCTTACCGTATTCCCTTTATTTCCATAAAAGATAATTACTATTGTGTCATATCTTGTGTAATATCCATAGATGGACTCAAAGCACTGATGATAGGAGAAGAGGAAATGAAAAAAAGGCAGCTCCCATTCAGTACTCCCCGTACCATACACTGCACCCCTCCCAATTGACAGATGTTTCAATTTATCCTAACATCAACCCTTTAAGGGAGGCATGAGGTACCTACTTCTGCATCCAAAAAAAAAAAAAATCTAGATCCTGCAGACTTTAAGAAATCAGGCCAAAGGCATTCGATTCTTAGGCTATAACCAGAATTGACCTCAGGTGAGCCTACCTTCAGAACCTGAGCTCTTTCTATTCCACCAGGTTGCTCCCTAGTCCAGGGGCACAGAAGAGATTGCTTGGCAATCCCATATGAAGGACAAGCTCCAGCCTGAGAGGAGCTGGTTGCCCTGGGTAATTTCTTGCATATGCATTTGATTTTTCTTTCACTGGATCTTTTTAACAGCAAAAGCCAATCTTCCCCAATGTGCCAGGAATTTATCTACAGCTGAAGGAAGTTACTGTCAGGAAGATGTGGATATGAATAATTAAGGCCCTATTAAACATGCACACATCTTGTAATAAATCTCAAATTAGAATGTGCCAAGATCTTGTTAAACCTGCCAACACATATTCTCAAATAAGGTGGGAATATAATTTGGAGCTTATCAGGAGATTCAACCTTTCACAGAAAAATACTATTTGACTGTTCGGAATTTTAATCTGGAGATTACCTGAATTTGTCTCATCTATCATTCCGCTGTGTTTATGCCCATTGTGAAAAATCAAACAAGTAATTTCTCTCAGGATGTCCTCAAGTGGTGTGTATTTTGATACATACTGTACTAAACCTCATTATTTCTGACATCATCCAAAAGAGCCTCACTCTGAATACACTTCTCTTAAATTCTAAAACAAACAAACAAACAAACAAAAATGTTCATTCATCAGTGACTTAAACAGAACTTTTTGAAAAGCCCAGGAGTTATGCTTCCTGATGTGGATAGGGAGAGAGTACTGTGGTTAAGAGCACACACTCCGAGTCCGATTGATTTCCTGTCCCACCTCTACCACTTACCTATTGTCAAATGGGAACAGCAGGAGTGTCTGCTGCACAGGGTAGCTTTGAAGACCTGATGAGTTAATCACCTAAAATGCTGCCTTCCCCATAGTAAGTGCCAGCTGTAGTTATTATCATTGGGTATATCCCAATAATGAAAACTGATGTTACCAAAAACTAACAGTTTTTAGTAACTTTTAATTTTTCTGATATAAAAAATACAGGTTTATTTTTATAATCTTATAAACAACTCACATGAACAAATAAGAAAATAGATTCTAGAGTATAACATAACGAAGTGTTAAATATCCCTGTGGCACTGGCAGAAACCAATACAACTATATCTATTTTGCCATCAGGGAAACTGAGATACCAGTGGTTGAGACTTTCGGTTTTAATCTTCCAGAAAAGAGGAAGCTCCCCAGCCTTTCATGAGTCTTTCAATGGTGTCTTGCTGCTTCCTGTTCCAATAGGCCAGTACATTCTTGAAACATAGACTTAATTTTTACACACAAGCTGTGTAACCTCAGACAAAGCAAATAACCAGGCTGTGCCTCTGTTTCCTCATCTGCAAGGTAGAAAATAATAAAAACACATAGCTCTTAGAGTCGCGGTGAAGAAAATGAACCAAAATCATAGACGAGTCCTGCCACACACATGCATGAGCTGCTGGAAAGGCATGCCCATTTGTCTGTTCTAGAGTGGGCCTTCCTAACATGGGAAATAATCCAGATCCTCAAGCCAAAGAAACAGTGGAAAAAAGCCACAGCAAGGGGAAAAAATGAATACACTGTTCCTACAGAGACCCCTCAGATTCTTAAGATCACACTGCGGAATTAACCATCCATGGTCCACGCCCACCTGTGAAGCCATTTAAGGTGGAAACAGCAGCAGCTCATCACAGCCTTTGCTGCTGCCTGACATCCCACTGAGAGCTGAACTCTTTGCCAGTAATTGGAGAACAAATTGTGCAAAATGATTGGACTGACCAATAAATCTGTGCCAGTAAACCACTGGAAGGGCAACCATGTGATTCTGTAGAATCTGTACATCTCACCCAGATAGATGGCAAACTTACTGAAGTCCCTGGGTCAGGGGCCTCAAGTTCCCGGGCCATATGCCCATCCTCATCTGTACTCTGAGGACAGAGATGGCGGGAAGAGGATGGACTGGGAAGAGTGAAAGTTTGCAAGGATGACCTATGCCCTCCCCAAGAAATAAATCTCTCATTTAAATGACAAAAGAAAAAACCCAGAAGAGAAAATATGATCCATGTGGTCTTCAGGGGAGAGAGCAAGTCAGATACTAAGACCTGAACCTAGCTCCTGAGCAGGCAGGCCAGAAGGGAGTTCACACAGACAAAGCATTTAACGCCGTGCCAGGCCGACAGTGTTCACTTAATACTGACGCTAGTCACTGCTCTCCTTCTCAATGCAGAACACAGCTCTAACAGCAGCCAGTGTGCTACAGGCCAAGGCACAATGGTAAGTGTTTTATATGAATTATTTAATTTTCTCCTCAAAACAATCCTAAGGAGCAGGTGCTATTCTCATTCGCACTTTCCTGCTGAGATAGCTGAAGCTTAGAGAGGCTAGGAGACATGCCAGGATCACACAATCAGTACGCGGCAGAACCACACCACCAACCCAAGCCATCTGCATCACTACTTCTAAACGACATCGTCTCTGTATACCATGGGATCTTTTAAAAACTGTTTTTGCTACCTGCAATTCTTTTGGGAATTGGAAATGGTATATAAAGTCAGAAACAGCTGGCACACTTTCACCACCCCGCCCCAGCCTTTGGATGCTGTGATGGTTAATTTTATGTGTCAACTTGACTGGGTCATGGGGTGCCCAGACATTCTATGAAACATGATTCTGGCTGTGTCTGTGAAGGTGTATCTGGATGAGATTCACATTTGAATCAGTGGACTGAGTAAAGTGGACTGGCCCTCTCCAATGTGGGTGGGCTGCATCCAGTCCATTGAAAACGTGAATAGAACAAAAAGGCTAGGGAAGAGGGAGCTCCTCTTGCGTAACTGTGAGCTGGGGCATTGGTCTTTTCCTGCCTTCAGACTGGAACTGAAAAATAGGCTCTTTTTGGGCCTTGAGCCTACCAAATCTTAGACTGGGATTTACACCATCGGTTCTCCTGGGTCTCCTGCTTGCTCAATCTCCATAGTCACATGAGCCACTTCCTTATAATAAATCTATTTATATATATATACACCTATATATACACATACACATCTATCTGTCTATATCTCCTAATATCTCCTTTTGGTTCTTTTTCTCTGGAGAACCCTAATACAGATGCCTTGCATCACAGAAATCCAACTGAAGCCTTCATTAACAGTAGAGATTTTTTTATGGGTCATTTGGACACTAAGCATGCAATAAGCCAGTGTTTAAAACTAAATTTTAGAGGAATGTCCAACCTAAAAAAGCACTGCTGTGAAAATAAAATGGGAACTGATGCAAAGCGTGGGATGTAGTGGGGAGGGAGAAGGGAACACAGAGGAGCGGTGTGCCCTCATGCCCCTGCAGAACCTTTCTGCATTATTGTTTTGTTGGCTCCTCTAATGCACCACATCCCTTTGCGCACACACGCTATCCCACAGTGCAAGCTCGAGAAGCCATCTGCATGGCTCACTCAGCATATCACCCACAGGTCTCCTCACCTAAATGAATCTAGGTAAGGATCTGAAAGAGACTGAACAAATGGTAGAAGGAAATGCTATTTTGGGGTCAGAACCTTCTTTGTAGTTCCTGTCTCTCATTTACAAGACAGGCTCCCCTGGCCCTCAAACTAGGCTCAGTGGGAATTAACTGTCATGAGCTGGATCCAGATCAGCCATTATTATATGTCCCATGGGAAGCAGACCTGAGACCTCACTCTGCTCTGCCAGGCCTCCCACCAGGCCACTGCTCCTGAAAATTAGCTATTTCATCATGACGAGCTGCCCAAAGCACAGGAGCTAAGGGATGACCTATGGGCCCAATTCATAATATTTATGTTCCTGCCACTTTGCTGCCCTGTATCTCCACTCAGTACCTTTGGCTGGCTGAATCAGAGACCCCCCAGACACTGTGGGGATGGAAACTATAATTGCAATTGTCAGTGGCGAGCGGCTTTTATGGTGAGGGCTACATACCTACAATCCTCCTGCATTTCCCAGCTCCTTCCACCAGCTTCGGCCAAAATGCAGACTGACACTACCTCTTTAGATTAGGATAAGGCCAGTTTAATTCACTCCTTAAATGCATCAGCATTTATTTTAAAGCCACATATCTCTCAGATCACAAGACACGAACCTGCTCCAAACCTATCACCAGATGCATTGTAAAAATTCACACAGAAAGCTAGAAGCAAAAATTAAAAGTGAATGTGAATGCAAGGCTGATACTTAGGTATGTAACTTGCTTTAAGTTCTTGATAGTAAAAATATCCACTCATGCAACTCAACAAATACATATTGACAAACTACTATGTGCCAGACATAGACTGAGATGAAGAGATGAGGCCATGCCTACATGAGCTCAATGTTCTAATGCACTCCACCAAACCTCTCTCAGTTTGCCAGGAAGGAGTTGTGTGAATCTTTGCAAAGATCTTCCCAGTCCCACATTCACCTTGATAATTATAGCTTTCATCTAAGGAAGTCACACAAGCCAAGCACTATTCAGCCATAGGTATTTTCAGCATTCCATTTATTGAATACCTATTATATCAGGTAACTGTGATAAGTACTATGCACATTATACGATTTAATCCACCTGACATCTCTGCAAGGTATGTATTTGTACTATTATTTTACAGGAGAAGGCCGGAGAGATGTTAAATGACTTTCCAAAAGCCATGTAATCAGCAAATGGTGGTGGAGCTAGGATTCAAATTCCTAGCCTAACTGAACTTCCTGGGCATCCACTGTGATTCCCAAGAGATTCAAAGGAGGCCTGCTCTTCACTCAGCTGTACAGCAGTGTTCATGCTACCCTGTCTAAGGCCAAGGGACTGTTTGTTCCTCTGGGTGAGAAAAAGGAGCACCAATGTAACTGGCAAGGCTGCAGCCATAGGTCCCAGCCTTCCCTAAGTCTGCCTTGTCATCTCTCAAATAAGGAAGGTGAACAAAGGGATCCATAAGACGTCTTCCAACTCCAGAGTCTTCTGAACCCCTGCAACTGGAAGACTTGCCAAAGTGTGGCCAAGAAGACCTAACTCATTCCCAGGGCATGCAGCACCACAATCAGACCCTCACTAGGGCCCACAAGAGAGAAGATGACTCCAAAAGACCTGCGCATTGGGCCATTCTTGCATTGCTATAAACACCTGAGGCTGGATAATTTATGAAGAAAAGAAGTTTAATTGGCTCGTAGTTCTGCAGGCTGTATAAGCATGGTGCCGGCGTCTGCTCAGCTTCTGATGAGCCCTCTGGGGGCTTTTATTCATGAAGGAAGATGAGGCAGGAATAGGCATGTCACATGGTGAGAGGGGAAGCAAGACAGAAAGAAAGGAGAGGTCCCAGACGCTTCTAAACAACCAGGTCTTGGTGAACTAACAGAACTCACTCATCACCGAGGGGATGGTGCTAAGCCACTGGGGAGGGATCCGCTCCCACGATCCAATCACCTCCCACCAGGCCCCATCTCCAACCCTGGGAATCACATTTCAACATGAGATTTGGAGGGGACAACAATCCAAAACATATCAACCTGCCGCAGCACATCCCAGGCAAACAGAACACTCCCCAGACCCATCATTGACCTTCAAGTTCCACCCTGATTTCATCTGACTTGTTGAAATAGAGCCATTATTTACAGATTCAAGTTCTACTAACCCAGATCACATCGCTCCCCCACATTCAAAGTAACACACACACCTGAAAGCCAGTGATAGAAACTCCTCAGCAAGGCCTGCAAGGCCCCAGGTGGTCAGTGTGGCTTCTTTTCCCCTCTCTGGCCCTGCCTAGGCTCCCACGTCCCAGCTCTCCACTCCAACCTCCCCAGGCACCCAGCTTTTCATGCTCTTTTCCTCCTGGGATCCCCACCCTTCCCTCTGTCTCGACACTCCCCCCCAGCCCTCTTCACAAGACTGTGCCCCTCCCTTTGACCTGAGCTCACAAGTTCCCTCTTGTGAGAGGGCTTCCTGCCCATTATTTAAGACTCCAGCCCTGTTTGGTGCCTCACAGTAATATCACAATTAGTAATTTTCCTGCTTAGGTTCATCGCTCATCTTCTCCCACCCCGAGAACTCTGTGTGCTTCATCCACCATCTGCGCTCTGCACCCAGCCCCCAACAGAGCACCTAGCACAAAACCAGCCGTCAGTAACACTTGCCTAATGCTTGAAAGAAACTGCTTTGCTTATCTCAACAGGCCCTGTATGATTACCACAGCGACTGGCTGGCCAGCACCATGGATGCTTCTCCACTTCTATGGGCTGGAGGAGGGGGATGTGCCACGTTTTGTGCAGATAGCAAAGGTTCTGCTCTGCAGGAGCTAAGGAATACATACAAAAGTGTTTTCAGATGATACAGTGTCATGCAAATAGAAAGCACTTTCATATATATGTATGTGTGTAGATACTACACTTGATCTTATCCAAAAGGCCGAGAAGCAACTGTGTGTGTGTAGAGAGGCAGACAGACAGATGTCTGCTGAAAAAATGCATATATAACAAACGTTGAAATCATGGTCCAAGGCAAAATAGGCTAAGTGCAAAGTGAGTATCACAAATAATGAGTGCCGCAAAAATGAGGGAGAGTCCAAGAGGGAGAGATGAGGTTACCCAGGGAAAATGGACTTCAGTCAAACTCTAAAAAGTGGCACAGATTGATAGATGTCAAAAGCCAGAGCAGCATAAGTGTGGCCCCAACCCACTTCCATCAGTATCACCTGGGGTGTTGGTCAACTCCCTGCCTACTAGCAGAGCCCCAGAAGTTGGGCCTGGGAGTCTGTGGTTTTTATCACATGCTCAGGTGATTCTGATGCACATTAAAGAAAAGTCATCACTGAGCCCACCAGGCAAAAGGGCCTAAGTGTACAAAGCTGTGTAGGACAATAATTTGAGAGGACTAGGAAGCAACAGCTAGAAATACATGTTAAGGCTCGAGAGCTAGGTCTGGATTCTATAGGTAAAGGGAAGACACTGAAGGCTTTTGGATAAAGGAGTGACTTAGTGAACATGATGTCCTAGAAAGCTTGGGAAAAAGCTCAGGAGGGACTGGGAAAAGAGTTGAGGAGGAGGGAGCCAAGTCAGGAGGCCACAAGACCTCCAGCAGACACTGGGGCCCTCCCCAGGTTGAGACCCCCATGTTGGCCACCACTAGGGACCAATCGGGGACATGAAGTAGCCTCCCTGGTCTCATCCATGGACATCTGCTCTGGTCTTCCTGATAAGTCCGGGCCTGAGGATGTTTTGATAAAAAAGAAACACACAGGATCTCAAGGCACAAGTGAGAAACTCTTATCTGCAGGCCAAGACAGTAAGAGATCCTTCAGAATTCAAGTGCTCAGGCACTGGTACTTGGCAAGGATGTGCTGTATGCCCGGCACCCAAGTTGCTGGAAACAAATAGTAACTGTAATCTGGTCAAAGCCGAGAATTTACATTTCTCAGGAACACTGAAATATGCACATTAAATCTATAAATACATAAAGATTTCTGGGAGCACTAAATAGAAGTGTGAGATTTTTCCAAACAGATGTGTCTGTTTGTTGGGAGATGAATCTCAATGACCTCTACTACTACTTAACAAAAAAAAGAAAGACAAAAACAATCATGAGTTGGAGGCTATATAAACATCATGTCCAATGCATCACTGTGAACATGAAGCAGGTTGGGTAGTTTCCATCTTGACAAGGGAGTTTAAAGGGTGCCCCGTCAGATCCCCATGGAGTCCTATTCTCTAGGGGTCTCTGCCAATGGAGGCATTCCTCTCTCCCTCCCTGTTTCTGCCTGGCTCTTGTGCTGTGAGCTGTACAAAATTCGCTGTCTTCACAAGAGTACACAGATTGCATGAGACAGACTTGCCTCAAAACAATGCAGATACATAACTTGAACTCCAGCTGACAAAGTGTATGAGGGTCCAAACAAGTTTCTTTTCTGCTGAGATTAATAGAAGAGGTGACTTTTCGAAAGCTTTCCTCTTTCAAATATATGAACAGGGTTCCAGCCAAAAGGAACTATATCATTTCCACCTGTCTGAAGGCAGACAGGCTGTAAACATTCCAACAAGATGTTTGGGGAGTCCTTTAAGCTCCGTGCAAGAAAGTAAATGGTTTGAGAAAGGTCTCTCTAATTAGCTAGTGCAAACGGAGAGCAAAAATGTTTCAATTCCAGGAGTGTGGGAGGGTTTGGTCGCAGAACGCGTTCCCTGTGCTTCTTGCTCTGGTGCTCCACATTCTCTCCAAAGCAGACAATGTTTTTCTGGCCTTGTGGTTTCAAAAGATAACCTTCATGGTAAAAATCAATAGCTGTAACACAGTCTTCGGTTCAGAATGAAGCAATAACCCAGGCTCTAAGATGAGGTCCCCTGTTGAGGTCAGAGAGATGCTGACACAGATGCCTCATTTTCTCCTCACAGTCCTGCTAACATTTGTAATCGCTGCCCTCTTGCCCGAGGAGAAACACCTTTGCTGTTTTGCCTTTCTCTGACAGGAGAGATGCTCACAGCCTTCAGACTGTGGTTCCCAATGCAATGAAAACAGGTGGTACTGACCGATGGTATGATATTTGCACTTTGGTGTTGCACCCAAGGGCGTACCCGTCACTAAGGGGGATACCACTAGTGATGCTCAGAAAAAGAAGCCAAATGCCAAAAACTACCTGTGGAGAGATTTCACCCCTATGACATGTCCACAGACGGCACATTTACAGAGACAGAAGGCGGACCAGCAGTTGCCTGGGGTTAGGGTACAAGTGAGATCTCAGGAAATTTGGGAAGACAATGGAAATGTTCCCAAACTGGATTGTGGTATAGTTGCAAAACTTGTAATTTTATTAAAATTCATCAACTGTATACTTAAAATGGGCTAATACTATGAAATTAAATTACACATCAATAAAACTGTAAAAGAGATGCATTCATTGAGTAGTTAATGATATGGGGAAATACAGGTTAAAAAACACAGAATACCAGGTATTAAATCATATGCTCCTGTTTTTTAAAAAATATGCATCAGCACACATTGGCTTCAGAGGAATAAGAGAAGGCAATATGCCAAAATGTTTATAGTAATTGTTCTTTATGTAGTGGAATGACAGGTGCTTTTCACTTTCTTCTCTATACTTCCTGTGTATTCCAAATTTTTATCATGAATATGCACTTGCTTTCATCATCAAAAATTGATGCTGTAATTTAGTAATGCACCTATGAAATAATTGGCCAAGAGTACATAACTGAAGAGTTAATAGCCAAGTTTGAGACGACACTGCTTACGGCCTCTGCAATTGAGCAGACACTTAATGGCTATTATGAAACTCAGGGATCTGAAAGATTTAAGGCCTCCCTCTTCAAGTAAGCACACCTCCCTCCCCTCATCAGGCCCACTGTATGTGTCCCCAGAAAGGGTCAGGCCTTGCACAGGGAAAGCAAACGTTAATTAACTTGCATATTGCATGTGCACACACACCAGTCCCCTGTTAACACACTGGAACAAATTTCAGCATGTTCAAGTCAATCAAATACAGGTGACAGGAACTGAACTACATTATAAAGCATGAGCCCTGCGGTGCCCATCGCCAATCTAGAACACAGCCTATCTGTACAAATGCTTCTTTTTTTCCCCTGTGAGAAAGGCTCTTTATTTTCTTGGAATACACAGTCTTACCGTAACAGAGGACTCACAGACCCTAATGATTTTCTCTCCTTCAAAATTAATATCACACACTGGCTCTCTAGGTACTTTACAGTACTTACAGAATTTTCTAAAATAATGAATACTCTGTACCATGCTAACACAGGAGTTTCTCCATCCTTGGTGTTAAGATTGAGGACAAGGGTCAGCTGAGGCCAATCCTGCAGTTTGCTGGTTTGGAGAAGGATCCTAAACTGAGCAGACGGCAAGTTTCCTTGATTGCCTCAAGAGGAAAGCTTGAGGGTGGTATCCTTAGCTCATCAGCATTTTTCTACCATTGACCTGTGTCTATCATAGGGACAGGCCCTGCAGCCTGGTTTGCATTCCAGAACCCACCATCCCCTTTCAGATCACAGCTGCTGGAGCTGTGGGCAGCACAGCTGACCCAATTATTCTCTCCTCTGACCTCAGGAATGGGAATTTACAGTACTATTGCTCTCCACTGTTAATCTTAAATAAGGCTCTATAAATTCCAGAGCTGTGGGACAGACATTTGCTGCCAATGTACCTGGTAAAGCAGGTAAATCCAGGCTCAGGAAAGAGCAGTGCAGAGCAGAAAGCAGAGAACAGAGAGAGAAGAGGCCAAGAGTTGCTTTCTTGGCCCCCTTAATTCTCTAGCTCCTGGTAACAGTCTCTGTGAGGTCAGCAATCAGGCTGCACAAACTACCCTCTCTGCCTCCTGATTACTGCTCCTTCTAGCCTGAATGAGTTTTTGTGACTTACATCCAAAGGAGGCTTGGATAAAGAACCTACAAAATAAATTCCTCTCTGAAAATAGGAAATACTTCCCTGGGCTCTCTGCCTGGAGGCATTAGCAAAATGACAGCCAGAGGAATTAAACATTTTTTTCAGGATTGGAGCCCAAGAGAGTTTCAAGTGCAAGTTTCAAAGAAAAGGGCTCCTAGGGCAGGTGTCCAGGCTGGAGACCCAGCAGAGCCTCCAGAGTGAATGATTCACCCAGTGGAGGTCAGAATGAGAGCTCCCCCAGGGCAAAGACCAGTGACACTGTCTCCCTTACTAACCACTGTATCCCAAGCACCTAGAACAGTGCCTGGCACACAGTGGGATCTCAACTAGTACCTGCTGAATTAACTCATGGGTGTATAAATACTTGATGGGTAGCTACCTTTTGCAAAAAGTAATTCTAGGCACAGGCTCAAGAAGTTACATAAACCAAGGCAGAAGCAAAAAAGTACAGTGTATCTCCAGGGAGCAGGTAACGACCCCATTTGGCAGATACATCAAGCCTATTTGCAGAGCTATAGGATGGGACTATGAGGGAGAAAGCTTTGCGTATCAGGCTAAAGAAGTAGTTTTGTCTGCAAGGGTGAACATCCTGCAGCTAACATTTCCAATGACCAAAACACATTTCCACTGGAGTTCCTTAAACACATACTTCCTATGCGGCCTTCTCACTCCACCTCCTAGGTATCCCTACTGACCCAGGAGACTTGATGGCATCTTCCTTTCTGTATCATGTACCATGAAAATAATAAGTCTACTGAAGCTGTGGTCTACAGACTTCACAACATCCTCCACTTCCGGACATTCTGACTAAAGACACCTAATAACTCAAGTTACAGGATCAGAGAGGCAGCATCAGCTTCAGCATCCATCGAGCTAAAGGCAAGGAGCAAGTATCAATTCACACTAAGACCAGAGATTCAACTCTCTCCATTTTTATAACAGCACGTATACAAGTGTATATATTCACATACACACAGAGAGAATTCAGTTTACAACTGCATCAAGCTCTGACCCTCCTAAACAAAGACGTTTTTGAGTTTCTCCTTGTCATTGAAGAAGCATTCATAAACATCTGATTCTCTTTCAAACAAGTATGTCCACAGGAGTGGGAGAGTGATTTGGTAGCAAGAATACACTCTGGCCACTAGACCTGAATGAGTTCTCATCGTGGCCTCTCCACTAATTAACAATATGATCTCGAAGGCATTTTACCTCCCTGAGTCTGTTTCTCTATCTGCAGATTGGGACTAGTGACACTCCTCTGTATTATTTTTTTATTATTATTATTATACTTTAAGTTTTAGGGTACATGTGCACAACGTGCAGGTTACATATGTATACATGTGCCATGTTGGTGTGCTGCACCCAATAACTCGTCATTTAGCATTAGGTATATCTCCTAATGCTATCCCTTCCCCCACCCCCACCCCACAACAGTCCCCAGCGTGTGATGTTCCCCTTCCTGTGACCATGTGTTCTCATTGTTCAATTCCCACCTATGAGTGAGAACATGCAGTGTTTGGTTTGTTGTCCTTGCGATAGTTTGCTGAGAATGATGGTTTCCAGCTTCATCCATGTCCCTACAAAGGACAGGAACTCATCCTTTTTTATGGCTGCATAGTATTCCATGGTGTATATGTGCCACATTTTCTTAATCCAGTCTATCATTGATGGACATTTGGGTTGGTTCCAAGTCTTTGCTATTGTGAATAGTGCCGCAATAAACACACGTGTACATGTGTCTTTATAGCAGCATGATTTATAATCCTTTGGGTATATACTCAGTAATGGGATGGCTGGGTCAAATGGTATTTCTAGTTCTAGATCCCTGAGGAATCGCCACACTGACTTCCACAATGGTTGAACTAGTTTACAGTCCCACCAACAGTGTAAAAGTGTTCCTATTTCTCCACATCCTCTCCAGCACCTGTTGTTTCCTGACTTTTTAATGATCGCCATTCTAACTGGTGTGAGATGGTATCTCATTGTGGTTTTGATTTGCATTTCTCTGATGGCCAGTGATGATGAGCATTTTTTCATGTGTTTTTTGGCCGCATAAATGTCTTCTTTTGAGAAGTGTCTGTTCATATCCTTCGCCCACTTTTTGATGGGGTTGTTTGTTTTTTTCTAATGAACTGTACTGTTATTTCAAAGATTAAGTCAAGGAATGTGCATCAAAGGGACTGTCAATGCCTGACATGTGGGAGGGACTCAATGAATGGTAACTATAATATTGCCACTGACTTAAGTTGTCACATCAGCATTAGCACATGGCCAGGGCACACATACCTGTCTGCTTTGTAATATAGTCAGAAGTGTACACCAGATTCTCCCCACACAGCACACATAACCCCAGCATACAGCCAGTGACCAGAGGACCAAAGAGATCTAAGGGAAGTAACAAGTTTTATATCACAGCCACCAGCATCCATCTCCCTTTCTATAGGTTCCTTTGGGAAACCAGCTGTCCCCTACATTTAGTCCCTGGCTTTGTGACTCTACCCCAGTTCCAGGATGGAGCATGTGACCCAAACCTAAGTCAACTAATGCACTGCATTTTCCTGGCCAAGGTGATTGGTCCATGGATGGGCACATTTTCCTTGGACAGGGAAATGTAATGAGATACTTGCCAGAATGGCCGAAAGACATTTTCTACTAAATGTATATATAAAGGCCTTTAAGACTGGCCCTGCTGCAGCCAGCTCACCCCATGAGGACAGCCTGCCCAAGAACAGACCTAATGCACAGAGAACAGAGCTCAGAGATGGGAAGGGGGAACCCAGCTTCCAATGGCATTTATGAGCCTCCGCATCAAGCTAAACCTAAAACCAGAACTATCTCTTGAGTTCTTGGTAGTGTCTTAAAGCTCCTTTTTTTTTCAATCAGTTTTTTTTCAATCAGTATTCTGTCTCATTACACTGGAAGAGTCCAGACGGGTACACATAGCAAGGGTGTTCATGGCTGATGAGAGGTTTTGGGGGAGCAAGCAGAGACACCCAGATAATGCTTGGTGAACCATGATTCTACTTCTAAGCCAGGAGCCCTGATTCACTGTAGACTATAGAAAAGATGCTCTGAAGAAGTGGCTGGGCCTGAAAGCAAATTGGAAGCCCCTGGGATGAGTGCTGCTAACCTGGGGACAGCACCCTCTAAGCCTGAGAGCCTGAGGTCTGCCCACGGGGTCCAGCTCAGGTGTGATGTGTGCTCCTGCACATGCCAGCTTCTGACTTCCTAGTCTTCTCATCCTTCCAGGTAGGTGGGAATGTGATATTTACAAGGGCCATGTTCTCTAGAGCACGCTGTGGAAGTGCCTCATAAATTCTACTTTACTATTTCAAAGAAAAAAAAAACACTTGATTAAAACACACACCAGAAAAGGTAGACAGTTAGGGGCCTTTCAGTCTCCAGCTGTCATCACTGAAGGAGATCTTGATCCCGGTTTGTTTCAAGAAAGGGGAACTGGAACAGTTGGATGACACGCCCTCTTCCACTGCACAGGTGCAATGCATCATTACCTGACACTGGCCGCCTGAACTTTTCTACTGAGCCCTTCCTTCTGACCCCTTCCTGGAACTCCCCAATAAACAGGTCTTCACTGAGAGAGAATGCTGGATAATAATTAGTGCCACACTCTGAGGCTTCAGAACATCCAGGGCTGGCTGGATTCCTGACCCACCCTGCCACTTCCTAACTATGACCTAAAACAAGACATTTTACCTATCTGAGCCTTCAGTTCTGCACCTGTGAAATAAGAATAACTGTAGTACCCCTCACCAGGTTGTAAGAATTAAGTGAGGAAGTCAGGGATGCAGTAGATCTTACTTCAGTTTTACTTGTAAGAAGGCTAAAGCTAGGCACGGTGGCTCACGCCTGTAATCCCAGCACTTTGGGAGGCCGAGGTGGGTGGATCACTTGAGGTCAGGAGTTCAAGACCAGCCTGGCCAACATGGCAAAAACTCGTCTCTACTAAAAATACAAAAATTAGCTGGGCGTGGTGGTGTATGTCTGTAATCCCTGTTACTCAGGGGGCTGAGCCAGGAAAATCACTTGAACTTGGGAGGCAGAGGTTGCAGTGAGCTGAGATCACACTAATGCACTCCAGCCTGGGTGACACAGTGAGATTCCATCTCAAAAAAAAAAAAAAAAGGAAGAAGATTGAGGCCCACAGTGGCTGTCTGACTTGCCCAAAATCCTAGAGCTAATAACTGCAGCATCTGGGACTCACATCCTGGCCTGACATCAGAGCCCTCATACTCTGCCCACCCCTCCACGGGACCATAGGCCTGATCCCTCTGGCACTCCACAACTCTGAAGTCAACATGCACATCTGTGATGCTGTCTTCACTGTCTCTATTCATGTACTCGCTGCACCATCCAGGCCACAGTCTCCCCAAGGGGGAACAACTTCAAGCATTATGTTCTGCACGCGCTTGGCAGACACTTTATGCTCTGCAAGGCAAGGTCTCAGAGACAAAAGACAAGTTCTATCCTCTCCTAATGTGCATGTTTGCTCAGAGTGCCTTGCAGGCACAGTATAAATGTAGTTATATTTTAAGATCTGCTCAGAATAAACAAAACCTATTCCCAGAGACTTTACTCTTCATAAGTGTCAAGAAAATCCAGCAAATCGAACAGGTGTCTCACTGTACAAAGAGAATCAGGACGCTGCCAAGGAAGATGGCTTAGGCCTCACGGATGCAGTCATGTCTCAGGTTTGAAAAAATGATAGCAAAAAATAAAAGCAAAATGAAATATGTCACTTGGCTTTTGAGATTGTGCCTACTAGCACAGAAGGACGTGTGTGAACTAAGAGTTTTACAGGCTGATTACATATTTTAAACAAAAATTATCTTACTCACTCATTTGTTCCATGAGTTTTTACTGAGCTTCTGTGTGTCAGGCACTGTGGTAGACCCTCAGGCTATACCCCTGAATAGGACAGATACAGCCCTGGCCCTCTTGCTGAGAGTAGAGACGACACTTCCCAGCATCCCCTGCCAGTCACTCAAATAGGTTTGCAAAAACTCCATGTTTACAACGATGTGGGTAACAGCTAATCCCAGGAGAAAATCATTTCATACAGCAACATCTCTAAAAACTTGTTCCTTCTAATAATGTGTCACGGGAAGAAAACAAAAAGCTTTTGTAGCCAAATTACCTGAGAATGAGTGGTTTTAAAGCTGGCAAACTGTTTTCTCTACTGCAGGACTTCTCTGATCCTTTACCATGTGACTGTGCTCGGTGACTTGCCAGAGAGCGCCAGGGCTGCGGTGTGTGGGTACACAGGCCTGCCCAACTCCAGGAAATGAGCAAAGCCTTGCAAACATGTATGTGATCAGACATACTCTCAGCAAAGAGCGTTTTGATGGACGGTGTTCCACAGAAAGCACTTCAGAAAGACACCTCCGCGGAGGATAGTGTCTGAGTTAGACCTACTGTGGAGATGAAATCCCAGCCTCACCTTGGCCCTCCTTGCTAGGTATGCCATTGCCCTGATGCACCAATACAGAACTGCCAGGTTTCCTTCAGAACAAGAATCTCTTTCAATGGAAGAAAATAAAATTAAAAATCTGAAAGGTATTTTATTCTTTATGTCACTAAAAAAAAAATCTTGTCTTGGGCATTTCTTTCAGCTCACCCCATGGAATCGGTCACTATGAATAATTGAAAATATAAATAAAAAATTCATTTGGTAGCCCAGCCAATCTCTGCTGTGTCCGTGGAGGGTGGTAAGACTTGTTGTCTCAAGAGGAATTTCCATGACCTCTTTCCTACCCATTCAGGAGCAAATAAAGTCGATTTCCACTAGAAGAATGTCAGGCAGAAGTGTGAACAATAGTGGTGTTGAATGACAGAGACAGTAGGTTCCTGGAAGAAAATGAGGGTCTTCACAGGTTATTTAAAATAAAGAAATCTGGCTAGAGTTTCAGACTAGAAGAGAAGAGCAGGCTGAAATGGAAGATGCTCAGTTATTCACAGAAAATTACCTGTGGTTGAGGAAGGAGTCAGAGAACCTTGCCCTTTGGCAACACCGGAGAGTAGAAACTTATTTTGTCTGTTCTGGTCTCCAAGTTCGGTGCCCTTTTTGTTCCTCCTGGCTCTTTGTTCCACTCTTTGTTCTTACCTGACCCTTTCAGAAGTACAATATCTATATTCTCCTTTCCCAGTGAAATCTGATCTCAGGAAATGAGCTGAACCTCATTCACACCAAAATGTAATGACTAATGCTAGATAAATGATCTGATGCCAGATCAAGTGTTAAACCAAAAGAACTGTATTCCCAAAGCAGGCTTTCAGGCATCAGAAGGCTGCTGGGTGACTGTCTTTGAGCAGAAGGCCTTCAATCAAGTGCAAGTACATCCCGACACTTATCCACTCCCACAGGTGTCAGAGTAAGCCACAGGGGCCTCAGTCACAAAGGGGAGGTCTGGGAGGGTTTGGCTGTCCCCTCTCCAGTGTTCATGCTGATGCAGAGACTAGCTAGACCTGCAGACCTTCAGGAGGGGACAATGAGTTAGACTGAGGTCAAAAACCATATATCATTTCCTTTCCTTCCCTACTGAGGACCCTCTTGTCTAGGCTCACCCAGAGCAGAAGAGGTGCATAGGCCAGCTCTTCTCCCCACAAGGTCCATCCACACAGTGATGCCACTTTCAGTGCCCTGGAGATGTCCAAGCTCAACACTCCCATTCAACAGTGGAAGAAGGGCCCCAAGAAGGGCAGACGCTTCCCCAGGGCTGTACAGAGGACCTGTGGAAGAGCCTTGCAGAAATCAAGCACCTCACTGCTTCCAACCCACTCAGCTGCCTCAACTCTAGCAACCATCACAGCCACCTGTGAAGCTCAGCCTCTCAGCCCCGTTGTATGAAATCCCAGATCCAACAGGAAGCATATTCACACAGTTCCTCCTTAGGGTCAATCCCAACCCTCTACTTTTAGGGAACAAGAAGTCAATCCCTTCTACAATACCCAAGGATTCATCCTGCAACATGTTCCCTGGTGTTTGGCTATTCCTGTGTGGGGCACTCTGTTTCAGCATGAGAATATCAGAAAGCCTGTAAGGTGCTGGGGGCTACTGACATTCCCCCAGTTAACTGACTTCCAGTGGAAGTGTTAAGTCCAAGAGGTCACCTCTGGGAAACCCATACCAGGTGCCATACAGGAGACTTCAGCTCCCCATCATAGAACAGGATCAGCAAGTTTCATTTAACCAGGCTAGGGTCCACAGGAATGCCCAGTGAACTCTTTTCCCCACAGTGAGTATTGTCTATAACCTTTTGGGAATAAGTTTTCTGTACAAAAATATAATTGACACAATAAACAGCCCCTTCCCACAATGGAAAAACCTAATAGAATTTAATTATCGCAAAGAGATTCTGGGAGAAAAGAAGTTACACTTCTCTCTCTTGATCCCTCCCAAGAGGCTCCCATGCACCAGGAGTCTGAGCCAAAATAGCTGCCTGAGAAAGGCACAGCATGGCCCATGCTCAAGTGTGGGGAGTCCTTAATTAAAGTCCATCCTGTATGACTTTCCCTGATGACTATTTAAAAATCAAAACAAAGGTCATAAAGCCAGAACGTTTTATTCTACTTACAAGTCCGAAGTCATTTCACATTTGCGTGAATAACCTTCTGTGAAGACAGGTGTCACATCTTAACTTTTAGTGACCCTGTGGCACTTGCTGTCATTGAAGTGGGCTAGATGTTCACAGCACACCTCAGGGCAGCAGTTCTTAAGCAAAAGTGATTTTGCCCCCTAGGGGACATTTGCCAATGTCTGGAGATAATTCTGATGTTCACAAATGGGGAGGGGGCGGTGCCACTGACATTTAGTGGGTAGAGGTCAGGGATGCTGTTAACCAACCTATACTGTGCAGGACAACTGCCTGCAACAGGGAATTTTCCAGTCCAAAAGCCAATACTACCAAGGTTGAGAAACCCTGCTGTCAAGCAATGGTTTTAAACAACATTGGGCATAAGGTTTCACATAAAGTATTTAGTATAAACGCAGGTTTCTGGATTCTACCGACAGAGATTGTTTCAGTTGGTCTGAAATGGGAATTTGCCATTTTTTAAAAAAACAAAGACTGTTCCCCATTCCCCAAGGGATTTTGATGCAAGTGTTTCCTGTATTTCCAAAATGATGGGCTTGCAATTCCAAAAGCTACCACCAGGCAGCAGTGCTGTTAGCTTGGGTAACAAAAGCTTTATAGAAGGTTCTTAGGCAGAGTCTCAAAGAACCACACACGCTCTACTTCTCCACGAAAATACAATCACAGGTAAGTAGAAACATGGACTAAATATAGAAAGTGAATAAACTCACACAATATAGATCAATATTTAAAAAGAATGCAAACACCAGACGTTAGGGGCACCCTTCTAACAAATATTCATCTCTGCCTAATGTAACTTGTATGGAATTGTTTGGAGCCAAGTGATTTCAGAGCTGGAAGGACTAAAGTCATCCAGTCCCATAGCCTCATTTTAGCAAAGAATATGACTGCCTTTAAACGACCAGTTTCTAGAATTTGAGACCTTGCAATGCTGTGCCCACTCAGTCCCAATAGTGAGCACTTCAGAATCCCTTCCCTGATGAGCTCTTCCTGTTTATGGGGTGAGCCTGTGTCTGCCTCTGAAACATATCCCCAGCTGCTTGCACCTCTTGCAGTAAATACTCCTCCTGCAGAGATGGGCATTACCTGGATTCCATACTTCAGTGTTAACCAAATTTGCTCTATCCAAGAATCACCTAGGGCTTGGTCAAAATACAGGCTTTCCCTCTGAAGAGTCCCACACAGTTGTTCTGGAGCAGGGCTGACCATCTGTATTTTTAGCAAACACCCTGGTCTAAGTGGCTCTTTAGCTCTGGCTCTATTCCAAAACTTTCCCAAAATGTGGTCCCTATAAAAAATCAACTGGGAGCCATTCCAGACCAATCACTCTCTCTAGGGGCTGAGCCCAGGAATGTGTAACAAACTGCAGGTTGAGTATTTTACACATTAAGGTTGAGGCCCCTAACACTCTATATAGAAATTACTTACAGCATGATGCCCTCCCAGATCTTAAGGAAGCCTCATCTCTAAAAAGGCAGGGAAGAGAAGGCTACCAGATAGACACACATGTCTCAGCATTACTGCAGGCACTCCAGCAGACACTGCAGGCACCAAAGAGCACTGATCTCTGCCTCATCTGGGCCTCAGACACCTGTGTGACAGGGCTCATCACTGCCATCTTATCAGACAAAATAGATTCGGAAAAGCGAAGCAGCTGCCCAAGGCCATGGGGCTGAGTAGCTGAGTCAGGGTTCAAACTCAGGTCTGTCCCACCCAAAGCCCCTGTCTTCCTTTGCACAGGCTCCCTCTCAAGAGGCAATTCTGTTAAGGCCTCAACTCTCCTTTCTCCTGCATCAGATGCCCTTTGGCTTCCTCTCCCAGCACACAACAGAATAGACCCCAAAGAATGAGAAGCCCAGGAAGACCGGGAAGTTGCATTTCCTTGTGGGCCCCTCCTGCCCTCATGAGCTGGGCACCTGGAAGCTGGGGTCACAGAACAGGAGTTTGCTCCCCCTCCTTCCCTGCACCCCTCCTCCACCCATCCTTTATCCTGAATGGCTAATTTAAATGGATAGGATTTATTTGACTCAACTCTGCATTGTCTGACCCCAACCTGCTTCCAGCTATAACTCCCAAGTCAAAAGGCAGGAAGTCAGAACAGGGAGGAGAAAAAGACCGAGATAATCAGCCCTTGATTAACATTGAGCTGTGAATGCACAGCCTTTTCTAAAGCTGCACAGAGGGTGAACAGGAGGAATGCAAATGAGGTGGCAGTTACGAAAATGATGCCTGAACTGTAAAGCGCCATATAAACAGGAGGTACATTCAAATTTAAAAGAAACAAACAGGGAAACATGGTTTTCCAGACAATTCTCCTCCGAGGCTTGCCTCCTTCTACCAACGTTCTCCCAAAAAGGAGTTTGCAGCTCAGAAAGACAACTCCTGATAGCACTGTGTGCCAGGCCCAGTGTTAGACACTTTAAGTCAAACAAAAACGTGCAATACGTGAGCCCTGTCTTCAAAAAACTGATGATCTGATAAAGAAGGGAACTGAGAAATACCCCAAATCTACATGGTGTATGCCTAGTGGGGCAGACTCCAGAATGTGAGAGTCAGAAAAAGTTACTCAGACCTCCTGCAGGATACCAGCCAACGGCACCTCCTAATGGGCCTCTCCCTTCTCTGTTACCTCCAGGGTCCTTCCAGTTCTGCCTCCTAAACATGTCTCAAAGGCACCACTTACCTCCCCTGCAGCGTCATTACCTTGGTCCAGGCCTGTCCTCTGTATCCTGGGTAGCCCTCCACCCTCCCTTGCACCAAGCCATCACCCACATCGTAGCTGAAGTGATTTTTCTTCAATCCAATCATGTTTTCAAATCAAATAATGTTTAAATGCCTCAGTGGCTCCTTGTGACCACCTGGGGAAAGTTCAAACTTCTTGTTTTGGGACCTGAAGCCCCTCTCTGCCGCCCATGTTGCCCCCAGTGCTCTGAGCTCAAAGATTGTAATTCCTCTAACAGGGTGTAATTTCTCACGCGTCAGAGTTTAAGCACACTGCCTGGAATGTGAGATCTCACACAACCACCAGTCTCCACCTGGTTCATGCTTCTTTGTCCTTCCAGTATCAACTAAAACAGCCTCTTAGGCCGGACATGGTGGCTCATGCCTGTAATCCCAGCACTTTGGGAGGCAGATCACCTGAGGTCAGGAGTTCAAGACCAGCCTGGCCAACATGGTGAAACCCCATCTCCACTAAAAATACAAAAAATTAGCCGGGTGTGGTGGCACGGGCCTGTTAGCTACTTGGGAGGCTGAGGCAAGAGGATCACTTAGAACCTAGGAGGTGAAGGTTGCAGTGAGCCAAGATGGCACTGCTGCACTCCAGTCTGGGCAACAGGGCAAGACTCCATCTCAAAACAAAAAACAAAAAACAAATCAAACAAACAAACAAAAAAAAACCAGTCTCTTGCTTCGAAGCCTCCCCAGAGCACCCAGAGCCACGCCTCCTCTGGCACAGGCGTAACGTGATGGCTCCTCTTAGAATGCCCTACACGTGCCCTTCCTGAGCATTTTCACACTATATTTGAATAACCTGTTGAATATGTATGTCCTCTTGTATAGGAATAGGAATCACCTGGCCATCTTGTTAAAATGCACATTCTGATTCAGTAGGTCAGCAGCAGGGCCTGGCTTGCTGCGTTTCTATCCAGCTCTCAGGTGATGCTGCTGCTGCTGGGCTGTGGGCCACACCTGGTGTACACAGACTGGACTTTGCTGCCCAGAGACAGCAGGGCCAAGTTTGTCTTGTTCACCGAGTATCCCTAGCACCAAGCCCAAGCCTGGTACATGTTGGCACTAAGTAAGTTCGTATAGAATGAACAAATGAAGAAGGTAAACAGGTTAGAGGTGGACATTCAGTAATATGGGGTTCAAGTAATAGTTTCATCAGGGCCACAGGGGATAATAACAATGACAATGTCTGCAAAATCAGCACCATCCCTTACAAATCAGACCTGACTGACAAATATTTATCCATTTATAAAGTTGATTATTGGCCTAAATCAAATCCATACAGCAAGTGCATGACCAAAATGGAACATCTGAACTTGGTGATTTTGTACCCTTTACCAAAGCTAAACAAATTGCTACTTGCTGCAATCCCAGAGGGGTGGGGGTGGGGGTGCGGCAGGGGCATAGCGCCTGTGCTTAACTGTGAGTTATTAATGTGAAAGATTTGCATGTGCTTTTTATGATTATAGCTGACTTTGATGTCTTTGTGCCCTGCTCAGGGCTTCAACATACAACTATAATTTATTTGCAAAAAAAAAACAATGTGCATAGACCAAGTATCAGAAATATGTTGAAGTAGTTATAATATAAAATAAAACTGCAACAATTACATTGCTCCTGTGTTGCCAAGGGTAGTCCAGAGGCTCTGAAAGGATGGAGCACACGGACTTGTTCAAATCACTGTCTAGAGAAAAATAGCACAACATCTCTTTGGAAACCTGACTCTTAATTCTGCAAACTGGTGATTTCAATATCACTGAATGGGAAAAATAGAGGTAAGCATTTGCAACAACTTCAATAACCCACTGCAGATCAATACAGCTCTAACACTGCCCTCCTTGCCCTAAGCCGTCCAACAAGCTCAGCCAAACCTCCGAGATTGGTTACAAAGATCACATTGTTTGACTCAACACACTGGTGCTGCTCTTACACAATGTTGGAGAAACTGGTCAAAAGAGAACTTTTAGGTAACTCTCCCAACTCAAGATCGATAGTTCTCTGAAGAATTGAAAGGCAGGCAAGCTGCTGAGTCCTTATTTACATACATGTGGCTCTCAATAGATGCCTTCCCCATGGCTGCAAGAACAAATCAATAGTTTCTCTCAGGAAACCTCAAGTACAGAGGGATGGGATGGATATAAAAGATGTTTGGGGTTTGCATCTCTCTTTAATTCCAATTCTGCATATCCTCAGGGTAGTAACTATAATTGCCAAAAGACCTGCAATATTTGAAAGCATCTATTTAAATAGTCAATATTATTGAGTTCCTAACTTCAAGCCAGCCCAATTCTTGGGACTGAAGATTCAGGTTTCCAGCTTGATCAAGTGGAGAAATTGGGGAATGACTTGCTGAGACCAGGACTAGAGGCGGAAGATCAAGCTTACAGCATAGATGGTATAGGGGAATATCTTTGTTTCCTAGAGTAGTCACACAAATGACCAAAAACTGAGTGGCTTAGCACAGAAATTATTGTCTCACAGATTTGAAAGCTAGAAGCCCAAGATGGAGGTTGGCAGGGCTGGTTCGTTCTGAGGCCAGGAGGGAGAATCTGTTCCATGCCACTCTCCTGGCTTCTAGTGGTTTGCTCATCTTTGGCATTCCTTGACTTGTAGATGCATCACCTTGATCTCTGCCTTCATCTTCACATGGTGTTCTCTCTGTGTCTTCACACTCTTCTCTCTCTGCATGTCTGTCTCTGTGTCCAAATTTCCCCTTTTCATAAGGACACCAGTCGTACTGGATTAAGGGCCCACCCTAATGACCTCAGAGTAACCTGATTACCTCTCTAAAGACTCTATTTCCAAATTCTGAGGTACTGGGGATGAGGACTTCAACATCTCTTTTTGGGAGGATACAATTCAAGCCATAGCGTGGAGGGAAGGGGGATGTTAAGCCCCATTCTCAGCATGTTGAGAGTGAGCTATCTATGAATGCCTGGGTGCTAAGATCAGAAGAAAAATTTGCCCAAGAGATATAGAGCTAAGAGACATGTTCCTCTAGCAGTTCAAACAGAAACAGATGCTTGAGAGTCAGGTGCTGGTGTGGATGGCATTGCTGAAGCCACAGACAGGAATGAGACTGCCCCCCAGAGAAGTTACAGTGCTATGGACAGAAGGAGAGCTGAGAAGAGGAGCTGCCAATGAGGTGGAGAAAACCCAGGAGGGCAATCTCAGTGAAGCCAAGGGAAAAGAAGGTCTGAAGGGAAACATCACTGGTCTAATTACACTGTCCCAGTTATCTATTACTGTGTAACTAACTACCCCAAAATTTAGTGACTTACAACAACTGCCACTTATTATCTCTCACAATTCTGTGGCAAGGCTTGGCTGAGCAAGGCTTCTGCACCACGTGGCGTCAACTGAGGTAGCTTGGAGGAGGTTCATCTGGGAGAGGGATGAACTCATCTGGAGGGTACAACACTGCTTCACTCCCATGTCTGGCACCTGTAGGAGTGAGTGCAGGGGAAATGTCTAGAAGGCTGGACTCAGCTGCAATCATCCAAAAGAGTGCACACACATGGCTTCTCCTGCTTGTTGGTCTCAAGGGCAGGGCTGAGGGCAGGACTCTTTCTAGTTCATGATTCCTCATCCTCTTGTTTTCAGTGGAAGCAATCCTCAGCTGCAAGATGAATTTGTGGGGCCTAACACAAAATGAAAGTGTGGGAGCCCTTCTTCAAAAAGCAGGAAGGAATCATATAGGGTTGTGTGTGTGTGTGTGTGTGTGTCCACGCACGTGTGCGTGTGTGTGTAATGTAGCATCAAAGTGGGCATGGAAGTACTACTATGCTAAGATCAAGTCTGATCAGTTTTCAAGGGACATGAGTTTCTATTTTATCAACATACATGCTTCCCATGTGTTTCACATGAAGGACATATTTCATTCATGATTCTACATGACTCAGCGGAATGTAGGTAGTCACAATGTCCAACTAGGGCTCAGTGGCAGGTTCGGCAAATTCCACATCTGTTTCAGAGAACAGTTATAAAAACAATCCTGACCCACCAAGGACCATAAGCACTTGAGATAGCCCAACAGCCAGAAGAATCTGGACGAAGAAAAGAGCATCAGAGAAGCAGCATGCTGGGTTGGAAAGGTAGACCTTCTGCACTGGATCCCCACCTCCCACCAGAGCAGATGGTCCTTTAGAAAGAGCTCAGGCACATCCGCTGACAATGCCACTCACTGGCTGTGTGCAGCTGCCCAAAGTGCTTGGCCACTCAGGCTCCTCGTTGATGAAATGGAAACAAAATGCCCTCTTCTTGCTAGGTGGTTGTATCATCTACAGCTGATTAGCGGGAAGCACCCTCTAAAGGAGATATTCTCATCATTCTGCTGATTCCAAGGGTCCTCCTGAAAACCACAATCCGCTTGTTGTCCATCTCCTCCTGACAAGGAGGGGAATGGAAGGTG
The DNA here is from genome assembly GCF_000001405.40 of Homo sapiens. Taxonomy (NCBI): domain Eukaryota; kingdom Metazoa; phylum Chordata; class Mammalia; order Primates; family Hominidae; genus Homo; species Homo sapiens. Next base: position 137,351,505 of record NC_000005.10, read on the forward strand.
AGACAGAACCCAAGGAGTATTGCATTCTCCATTCCCAGAGTGGGAGAAAACGCCTAGATTTTACTCTCCAGGCCCTCCCAGTTCTGTTTCACAGCCCACCAGCCATCTTGCAAAGGGGCCTGACATCCAGTGCTGTAAATTTGTAGCCAAGATAGTTGTATGTTTTGGCCACATCCAAGGGCAGTACATTGCCACAATCATATGGTAACTAAACATTTCAAATGTCACCACCTTTCATGCATCCTTTAAGATAGCACCCTTTAAAACACAAAAAGGACACATAATGTTGTCATATAGATCAGAATAGCCACATAATCATGATGGGAGTAGGGCCCATGTAAACTAAAATTAAAGGATGGGCATGTAGGAGCATGAATCCCAGCTCAGCCTCTCATCAGCCTTGCTCTAGATGGCACAGTGGAGAACCTACATGAGAAGCTACTTTTCTGGAGGCTCTAAAAGATGTTAAGGCCATTCTGTAAGCAAGGATATGGACAGAGACTCAAAGGGCTCCAGCTCTGGAATCAGACAGGATAAGGTTGGAATCCTCTCTACAATATATTGGCTGTGTGACCTGGAGCAAGTGTCTTAACTTCTCTTCCCCCTCATGAGTAAAATCCAGACTTGCCAGCCTGTTTAGAAGGCTTGAGAAAATTGTAGAGAAATATCTAGAATAAGAGCTGATATACTGCAGGCCGCCAACCAGCTGCAGTTACTATCATTGTTATTACCATGCCAGTAAATATTTTAATAGACTAGATGTTCTTCCTCAAGGCACAGAACTAAATTTCACCCACAAAGGCATCTCTGTTAATCACTCTTTAAATATTTAGCAAGCCCTTTAAACAGTCAACTATTGTGGGGGCAGAAAAACAAATAAGGCACACCGTGCCTCACCTCAAGGTGGTTATAACGCGGTGACTGCTGAGGATGCCGCATTCTTGGACATATGATTGCTAAAGAATTTTCTATCTTTTTCACCAAGTTGTTATCAATCTTTTTTGCATATGACTGTCCTTCCCTGGAAGGATTAAACCACATCTGTTACAGAGCTAGTAGAGTGCCTGGCACAGCTCGTATAACAGCTCAGCAAGAAGCCATGGTGGAAAGACGCAGGAGGAGGAAAAGACGAGGAAGAAGGAGGGAGGAGTGGAGGGAGAAGAAAGGTGGGGAAGAGGAAGGGGTGGAGGAGAAGGAGGCATTTAAGTCAGAAATAACCTGAAAAGGCAGCCAGAACCATGCAGTCATAGACCTTGATAAGCTATAGCTAAGGAGAATTTGTCATCTCTTGTAAATGCTAGTGAAATAACTTCTCTAGTTCAAAACAAAGATAGGCAAAGAGTGGGTGATGTTTCATGTGTGGTTGCAGAAGGTGGACACTGCAGTGACCCGTCTCCATATTCTTTTCTCTCTCAGACACATACAATTATTTTCTATATTTCCAAAAACACACAAAGTCCTTTTGATGGCTATCATCTTTGCAGTTCTGGATTTACCAAGTACCACTGCAGTACTGGTCAAGTCAGAGCTGACAAACTGAAAGAAGACAGAGATGAAAAACCTTTCAGAACCCTTTCCTAAAAGTGACACAGGAGCCAGGTGTGGTGGCTCACTCCTGTAATCTCAGCACTTTGGAAAGCTGAGGTGGGCGGATCGATAGAGCCCAAAAGTTAGAGACCAGCATGGGCAATATGGCAAAACTCCATCTCTGCAAAAAAATACAAAAATTAGCTGGGTGCGGTGATGTACGCCTGTAGTCCCAACTACTCAAGAGGCTGAGGTGGGAGGATGGCTTTAGCCCATGAATTCGAGGCTGCAGTGAGCAGAGATCACATAACTGCACTCCAGCCTGGATGACAGAGCAAAACCCTGATTCAATCAATCAATCAATAAATAAAAATATAAATAAATTGTGACACAGGCTAAGGGAACCCACTGCCGCCTTCTTGATGAATCAGACACACAGCCCAATCACAAAGCCTCTGCTGACCCCACACCTGCCACCACACACCTCGGGATGGGTTATCTTTACACATCAGAAACAAATGTCTCTGCTCAGATAACAGAGACCTCCCCATCAGTTAAAGTGGCACCTTCAACAGAGACTAATTACTCAGTCCATTCAAATTCTGTAGCTGCTGCCAGCTCCCTCCAGGAAACTAACTTTACACTCTGACCAATAGGGACTGCAGTGATATACAAACAAATCAAGAGTCTCAGAACACAGCTAGCACACATTCATGACCTAGAACTCCTTCCTAGATGGGAGGTTCAGCAGGGGCAAGCCGAGGTGTCCCCTCTTCAATTTTCTGTCCCCAGTCTCTCCCTGGCAGACCCATCCACTTCCAGAAGGGTAACACCTAAGTTTCCATTCCTTACCCATACCCTCCCTCTACAGATACTTGCTGGCCTCCCCAGCACCACATGACAAAGCTAAACACCACATCTTCCCTCCTCAACGGCATCACCAGCTTAATTTCCTGATGTCTGCCGAAAGTGGGAAACTCTCACATTTGCCCTTTCCTTTCCACTGCCACCATTTTCACTCACGTTCTGACCCTCAGAAGCTCTGAAATCACATCTCCCTGACTCCAACATCTTTCCACTTACTACCGCTATCCCCACACTCATCCCGAAAGGTGTTTCTTAATCCACTGCTGCGGGAAACCCAGTGGTGGTTCCCCAGCCCTCGCCACACTAAGCACCAATCGCTGCTCCTGGCTTCTCCCTTCCTAGTCTCCTGCATTCCTATACTTACATCCTTCAATGCAGCCAAATCTTATCAGAATAGTGGATGTGGATTTCTGCCCTTGCGAGGCCCTGCCCTCATTGGTCCTCACCCCACTCCTCAAGAACACCTCAAACCTGGCTCCCACTGAGGCTTCTCCAAGACTCCCCAGGATGACGTTGCACCCTCCCTTGACCCCCCCAGGCAGCCTCCTCAGTCCCTCCCTGGGGACACACCCTGTCCTGCGTCACCTGCATACTCGACTTCTCTCTGCCACCCCCAACTGTGAGCTCCTTGAACTCAGGACTGAGGGTATCTGCCTCCAAGCACATCTCTCATGGTGCAGTTTTACACACCATAGGCTTTCTATCAATATTTGCAGAACAGACTGTCTAATCAATCCACAGAGCATAAAGTTTAGGAGCAAGGGCCCGGCCATCAACTGCAGGTGTCAGGTACTTTGTTTGTTGACTGTTTTGTGTCTCAGCCACCAAAATGTAACCTTCCTGAGGACAGAGCTGTGTTCCTCATTCCCTGCTGTATCCCAGCACCCAGGAAAGGATTGGCCCGTAGGAGGTATTGAGTGAATATTTCATTAATTGAAAAACCTGCTTTCAGGTATCACTTATTGACTGTATCACCTTAGGTAAGTGACTCACTCTAAGTTTTGTTTTTTTTTGTTTTTTGAAAAGGCATCTCTCTCTCTGTCTCCCAGGCTGAAGTGCAGTGGCACAATCTCAGCTCACTGCAACCTCCGCCTCCTGGGTTCAAGTGATTCTCGTGCCTCAGCCTCCTGAGTAGACGGGACTACAGGCAAGCACCACCATGCCTGGCTAATTTTTTGTATTTTAGTAGAGATGGGGTTTCACCATGTTGCCCAGGCTGGTCTTGAACTCCTAAACTCGCAATCCACCCACCTCAGCCTCCCAAAGTTCAAGGATTACAGGTGTAAGCCACTGTATCTGGCCTGTTTTTAAGAGTTTTGGTCTCACTCTTGTCATCCAGGCTGAAGTGCAGTGGCACTACCATGGCTCATGGCAACCTCAAACTCTTGGGCTCAAGTGATCCTCCTGCCTCAGCCTCCAGAGTAGCTGGGACTACAGGTGTGTGCCACTACACCCAGCTAATTTATTTTTTGTAGAGGCAGGGTCTCACTATGTTACCCAAGCTGGTCTTGAACACTTGGCCTCAAGTGATCCTCCCACCTCAGCTTTCCAAAGTGCTGGGATTACAGGAATGAGCCACCACACCCAGTCCTGACTCTAAGTTTTAGTTCTCACCTCTGAAATGGGAGAACAGGATAGTATCATCTCAAAGAGCAATCACAAGGAGTTGAAGTAATCCAGGATGAGGGCTTGGTATGGGGCTGGGCACCATGAGTGTTTGCAGTGACCATCCTGGAGAGGTGCTGGACTGTCTCAGCATTCCCACCACACCTTTTTCACTCAGTTTGCATCAAGGACCTGAGCCGTTCCAGATGTTTTCCACAACACCCCCCCACACCACTCTTCTCTGATAGCTTTTCTTGCCCTCATGCCTCCCCCTCTCCTTCTCTGGCTCAGATCATAGCCCAGCCCCCAGGTGGAGTCCTGCATGCCTCCCTCACAGTGTCAAGAAGGCTCAGGCAGCAGCTGCTGAACACCGCAGGCCCAGTGGAGCAGACTCCAGCCTGGTAGCTCAGCCACCTTGGACACATCCTGCTGGAGGAGAACCCGCTCCTCCTGGGAAGCCACAGACTCGGGGAGAGGCTCAGTTCTTCCAGCCGTCACTTCCACTACCCTCCTGTTGGAAGGAACCTATGTACTTCTGAGAGAATAACAGATGCCTGAACAGCCCTGCCCTGAGCTCACCCTCAGAGGGTGGGCTCAACTGAGTCAAAGCACACCAAGCTCTGCGACCTCCTTACACCTGCTCTGCCTCATCAGTGCAGGTTGGATTAGGCTGACCATGCCATTTCCATTTGCCTAACTCTAACTCGGCCCCAGCCTAGCCTATCAAGCCCACCACCAAAAAGCCCACTTATTACTAAGTTGACTGCCAAGTGAGGTCAATTTGTAATTTAAATCTGTGCTGCATAATGCATAAGAGATCTTGGTATAAATTATTCACCCGCAAATTGCCATCTGGACATTTAGGAAACTTAGTGGGAAATCTAAAAGGGAAGTGGGCATTTGCCCAGCATCACCTTAGTAAGCAGAGAGTGCTCTTTTGTTGCTGTTGTCATTTTATTTGCCAGGAACCCAAGCAGATGGATACCATTTACCTCCATTTTAGAGGCAGGGTGCGGTGGTTCAGGCTTGTAATCCCAGCACTTTGGGAGTCCCAGGTGGATGTATCACTTGGGGGCCAAGAGTTTGAGACCAGCCTGGCCAACATGGCAAAACCCCTGTCTCTACTAAAATACAAAAAATAGCCAAGCATGGTGGCACATGCCTGTAATCCCAGCTACTTAGGAGGCTGAGGCACGAGAATCACTTGAACCCATGGAGCAGAGGTTGCAGTGAGCTGAGATCATGCCACTGCACTCCATTCTGGGCAATAGAGCAAGACTGTCTCAAAAAAAATAATATATATATATATATATATATATATATATATATATATATAGAGAGAGAGAGAGAGAGAGAGAGAGAGAGAGAGAGAGTATGCAGACCAACCAGGGGGCCAGCTACTTACTATGTTTCCTCTCCCAGCCCCAGATCCTAGAGCCAAGCTCCAGCTTAATATAGCTATAGGGCACCTTCTTTACAGGAGCTTCTCCTGTCTCCCAGGAACACAAAGGGAAGTTGGCCTACTGCTGACCTGGCCATTAGCAAAGACTCCCTTCCCTTTCTCTCATGTCTATACAAAGAACTGGTTTCTGCTCTCCCATGGCTCCATCTTCCCTATAGAAACTCCCCTGAACAGGGTATCAGAGCTTACAACAGAATCCAACAAGAGGACCACTCATGGAGTTTGCTATCTTACACTAGTCCATCCTCTTCTTAGGCCACCGTGCTAACTCCATCCATTCAGCTAATCATAATTGAACATCTATAATTATGATTCAGGCACTAAGGACAAAGGGGTGAGTAGAACATGTTCTCTGTTGTTAGGGAGTTCACAGACCAGAAGGGTAGGTGCTCATGCAAACAAACCACTACAAAACAAATTAGCCCTGATGCACACTTTGTTCTAGGCACAGGGTGAGGCATTGGGGGATGTGGGAATGAGAAGTGGAATAAATACATGTTCAAGGTCAGTGGGAATATAAAGGAGCTCATGATCAGCTCTGCTTGTGGAAGGAGAGGGTCAGGGAAGGCTACGCAGAGAAAGAGATGCCTGACTGGGTCTATAAGAACGAGTAGGAGTTGCCAGGCAGACATGTTACACCCACATGCACATATGGGGAACGGCAAGCAGGTGAGTGTACACAAATGCTTTAAGGATCATGATGCAACCCAGCTTGTACTGCTGGGACAAGCTGAATATAGACTACATATTTCCTTTAAAGAGATCAGTGTGTTTCCATTTGTGACAAATGATTCTCATACAATCTTTGTGAAGTTGGAAGGAAATGGAACTTCTCTCATTCTGTCACAGCAGAATAATTGGAACCCTTATAATTCCCTCTTCTTACCTTCTGTTAATAATCCACCTTTCATCAGAATAAAATATCATTACCCTAAGGTACCATTCCATTTAAACCTTATGGATCTTCCTAGGAATCAAGAAATCATTGCCAGGCTCACTTCACCCTGAGACACAAATGAGAAAAAAAAAGACCAGAAATTTGCCTTCTGACAAGGACTTCTGGAGTCCCATTTCCTTCCTGAGGACTGTACCAGTCACTGCAAATCCTGAAGGTTTTTCTATGCAGAAGTCAGAAAGCACCAAGTGATGCAACTAGCCTGCTTAGGGAGGAGGAGTAGAGTAAAGGTGTTTTGTGGCTGCTATGTGTCCATGAGACACATCACTGAGCAATGACTGAACAAATCAGTCACTTTCCCAAGGCCAAAAAATCACTCCACCATCCTTCATACCTGCCAAGCATCCCCAACAGGTGATGTTCATCCAACACCACTGCCCAACTCCCAGAAGAGGACACAGCCTTGACCCAGGGCATCTCTTACCCCTGATCTGTACAACACGTTTGGCTCTTATTACCTTCATGACGGAAAGGAAGGAAGGAAGGAAGGAAGGAAGGAAGGAGGAAAGAAAGAAAGGAGGGAGGGAGGGAGGGAAGGGGAGGGGAGGGGAGGGGAGGGGAGGATGGAAGGAGGGAAAGGAGAGACAGAAGGGAGGAGGTGGAGGAGTGGGGGAAGGAAGAGGGGAAGGTGGAGGGGAAGGGGAAGAGGAAGGGGAAGGGGGAGATAAACTTCCTCCCTCTGTAATATCTCCCCAGACAGCCGTATCTTTCCACCAACCATGACAAGAAATTGAACCTATCCAACAGGTCTTCAGCAGTTTCCTGCAAACCTGGAATGTTCCAGGTGGCTGTGCATCTAAGAGACATTTTCTGTTGGTTTTTGAAAACTGTTTATATCAGAGTTTGATATTCTTTGGCTAACCCCTAAGACTCTGTCCAAACAGATTAAACACTCAAAACTTTGAAGGGTTTTTCTATGCCTCCTGGACAAAATTTCAAGACTTACATGATCAAGTCAAGACTCTAGGTACCCTGAACTCCAATTTAATAGGCACTTTTGGATGGTACTGAAAGTATGAACTCATCACAAAGCCTGCAGTATAGAACAGAGCACAGCTTCTTAAGGCATCATTTCTGGGATGAAGGCTAAAAATTGTCTATCACAGCCAGTTAGCCTCAAAGGGAGTCTAAATAAATCGAGCCCACTGGGGAGTCTGTGAAATAAGACCTATATTAGGAGCAATCTTTTGAGCATCATGTCCATATGAAGTAAGAATTCTCCCTCTAACTGGGGCACAAGACCCTCTTAAGAATAAAACTTTGGATCATTTCACAGTAATATGACTGTATCTTAGAAAGCAATCTAGGGATTGAACTAGAAATTTGCATGATACTCTCATTTGGTTATAAGACCCCTCTCTGGCTGTTCGTCACTAGGAAAGCAATTGCCCACGGGAAGGTGAGCAAGATACAAGGCATTCTCATTATCACCTCCCTCTCTGATTAAACACCAAAATATGTTTGATCCAGAGCATACAAAATCAATTAAGAGAGTTAACACATGTAAAGCATGTTGAATCCTGAATCAAAATTAGCTATTATATCAATAAAAATAATAGCTTCCATTTATTGAGTATCTACGACAGGGCAGACAGTAGGTTAGCACATGTGCTCTCTAATTTAATCCTAACAGCCAACCCTGCAGGATAGTGCTAACTCTCACATTTTACAAAGGTAAAGAAATGCAAATTGTGTTAGTTTCTGCCTTGCTTGCAGGCCTTTGCTAATGAAAAGTCATTTTTACTTTTTTATAAAGCACTGCAGTCCATACTAAGGAGCAAATGCAGTCAGCATTTGTATATGCTTGCCCAAATTGGATAAAGATAAAAAGTCAAGAAGAAATACATAGGCAGATACATTTCCTGAACTGGATTTTTTTTCCTCTAGGATGGACATAATATAGCGTGGAGCTTTCTCTACATCACTTGCACATCTATGTGGGTTACCTATCCACTGCTGGGAGATGGCTGTGGTCCACAGATTTGTCCTGAAGCAACTTCAGAGACCCTCGTGGTGACAAATGTACTACTAAATCCCCACAAGGGTGTCCCTGACCAATTCCATCTCCTGATCACCCAAGTAATTAAGAGGGCCAACTTCTATTTCAACCACTCAGAGAGGATTTAAGACCAAGAGCAATTGGTGCCATTAGTCTCTTGTTGCAGATGCACAAGTCTAAGCCCAGGTCAGCTGTCAAACATAAACATGCAAGATCCAACATGCAATCAGTTTGCCACACCAGCCATCTCTCCCTGTGTCATTCCTCATGGGAAACACATAAAAACAAACACACAGGTAACAAGGCAAAAGGAAGAAGGCAGGCATTGTGTGCTCAGAACTTGGGAAGAGTGTTGGTTTGAGTTTTGCCCTTGCTAAAATGTTGTGTCACCTCACATCTTACAAAGGCACACAGTCTTGTCCACATTAATCCAACAGTCATCTGGACCCACATGGACCTTGAGCATCCCTAAAGTCGCCAGAAGGCAGACAGGATCCGGGATCTCACAACAGTGCTGCTGAACCTTCAAAAGGCAAGAGTACTTCCAAATATACCCTTCCTAGGATGCACCCTTAAGTCAATGGAGGTGATTCTCTCTGGAACATTGCCTCCTATTTCAGGAATAAGTCCAGCATTTCCAAATGAGTCTGCGCACTTTGATCTCTGCAGTGCCTCACTTTATTTCTAAAGGGCTTTATTTTAGGAAGATAGTCTTGATAATAATACAGCACAGTGATATTTGGGGTTCCACCACTCACAGTAACTACTAATTTCTTTTCCTTCCATCTCATTTAGGTGCACATTTCTCAGAAGACTGTCTACCATCCCAAAGAAAGCTGGTAGATCAGGGTTTCTCAAACTTCCTCCAAAGAGATGACTCAGAGACTGGGACTGGCTTCCTCTGGGAAGCCTTCACTCAACACTTCAAGTGAATTGATGGGTCCCTTCTGTACATGTTTCTACATATCCTCTACTTCCCATTAGGGCATTATCATATGATGTCTGTTATGGATTGAATGTTTGGGTTCCCTCCTAAATTCACATGTTGAAAAAGAACCCTAGCCCCCAGTGTGATGATATTTGGAGGTGAAGTGTTCGGGAGGTAATTAGGTTTAGATGAGGTCATGAGGGTGCTGCCCCATTAAGGGATTTGTGTCCTTATAAGAGGAAGAGACCCCAGAGTCTCCTCTCTTCTCTACGTGAGGATACAGAGAGAAGTTAGCCATCTGCAAGTCAGCAAGTGGGCCTCACCAAGAACTGAATCTGCCAGCACCTTGACCTTGAACCTTCTAGCCTCCAGAACTGTGAGAAATAAGTGTCTTTTGTTTAAGCCACCCAGTCTATGGTATTTTGTTATAGCAGCCTGAGCTATGACAATGTTATAATGATTAATTATCTCTCTATATGCCCTACTAGACTGTGAGCTCTGTAATGGGAGAGATAAGGTCTAATTTACTCACCACTGTATCAGAGTCACCTAACAGGGTCTGGGATATAAGAGGCACTAAGGAAATATCTGTTGAGTGAGTGGATGCATGGGTGGGTGGAAGCATGTGTACGTGCATAGATAAAAATTATGGTTTTAAAGAATATCAGACACTAGAGGAAATGCTTTATGGCATAAGTAAAAATGCAGGAAATAAAATTATTTAAACAATGTGATTTCAATTATGTAAACATTTACACACGATTAGGAATCTGGAAGGAAATATGCTAAAAAATGCTAATAGTGGTCATCTGGGTGGTAAGATTTGGATGACTTGTTGCCGTTGTCTTCATTTCCCATGTTTCCACAAATTGCGTATATTACATTTATGATTCAGAAATAAGATTACATTTTTAAAAAGCAAATTACTGAGAAAAAAACTTGTCCTCACATTTTAGGAGGTTTTCACCTATAAAAACAGGGCAGAGAGACTCGGGAAAGAAGTCAAGACTCTGGGTGAGTTCATGTTCCCAGAGTTTAGGAGCTCCTGCCTCTCCCAATTTCCCAGAAGCATGAGGGACCCTCAAACACAATGATTTTACAGCGAGCTTCCCCCTTAAGTGTTCCTCTCAGCCCCAGCCACTCAGTAAGGCGAGCTGTTCAGAGATGGAGGTGGAAGAAATGCCACCTTTTGAGGACAGATCCAAAACTACGAGGGATCAAGAGACCAGAAGAAAAAGGCTGGGAAGGAATTCCACCCAAATCTTCAGAGCCATCAAGACCAAAACCAAGAGAAGCACAAACATGTTCATCAAGCATTGAGAAGTTCCTCCCAAAACTCAAAAGTACAGAAGAAGGTCACTGCTTTAAAAGTGACTTATTTAAGGGTTAGAAGGGGGGTGGTGAAATTATAGATAATGACAATAATTGTAATAACCACTGCAGTTTACCATTTATTAAGGACTTAACACAGACGTCAGCAACCTTTTTTTTTTTTTTTTTGAGACAGAGTCTCGCTCTGTTGCCCAGGCTGGAGTGCAGTGGCATGATCTCCACTCACGGCAAGCTCCTCCTCCCAGGTTCACACCATTCTCCTGCCTCAGCCTCCCAAGTAGCTGGAACTACAGGCGCCCGCCACCACGCCCGGCTAATTTCTTTTTTTTTAGTAGAGACAGGGTTTCACCATGTTAGCCAGGATGGTCTCGATCTCCTGACCTTGCAATCCACCCACCTCAGCCTCCCAAAGCGCTGAGATTATAGGCATGAGCCACCGCGCCCGGCCAGCAAACTTTTAATGTAAAGGGCCAGGTAGTAAATATTCTCCACTTTGTGAGCCATATGACCTCTCCTCAACTCTGCCATTGTAGTGCAAAGACAGCTATAGATAATACATGAAAGAATGAGCATGGTTGCCTTCAAATAAACCTCTATAAAAACAGACAGACAGGGCAGATTTGGCCTGAGGGCCACAGTTTGCAACCCGTGGCTTAACATGGGCAGGCATTGTACTAAGCTCCTGACTTAGCACTAATTTAATTCCCACAACCCTCAAGTGGGGAAACTGAGACTCAGGAAGATTAAATCACTTGCCAGGCTATACTGTCAAAAGGTGGCAAGGCTCAACTCAACCCTAGGTTAGTTTGACTCCAAAGGGGACACACTTTTTCATGAGGTTATTCAGCCTCAGAGGCCCTCATGACAGTAATCAATCCTCCTTCACCACATGAACACGTACGGAGCACATCTTTGTGCCAGTATCAGGCTGAGTATGGGAGATCAAGGATGAATAAGATCCAGACCTTGCCTTCCAAAGTTCATAATTTGAGATGGGCATCTGCCCTGTAAGTACCTACCTAGCTCTCCCTCCCCAATACAAGTATGTCCCCAACAGAATAAAATAGGTCCAGGGATACCAAAAACTCACACCACAGACATGCATTAAATGCACCTCATTTCTTTACAAAAGGATTTTATGCTCTACACAAGACACTGCTAAGAAGTGACCCCACTCAGAACTTGTAAATATTGGCTTACACATCCATAAGTCCGGAGTGCGGAGGCCAAGAAACAAACTGCAGCCTGAGAAGCTCTACCAGAAATTTACTGTACTGAGTCACAGTTCAGCTTGATGGTTAAGGGCATAGAACCTGAAGACAGACCTGGACTGGAATCACAGCTCTGCATCACCTTGGGTAAATGACCAACCTGCTCTAAAAGCTTCAGCTACCTCACCTGTATACAAAAGTTAAGAATCCTTACTGTCCTAGAGCTGTCAGGAGACAATGTAGGGTTGGAGGACGGGGACTAGATTTGTCTTATCCATCATCATATCCTCAGCACGAGGCAGATACCAGGTGCAAAATAAATACAGGGGGATAAATAGAAATGGAGACTTTTTGAAATAACTTCAGTGAAAGGAAAATAGGACTTACTTTGCAAAGAACCTCCCAATTAAAGAAGTCTAGCACTGGAAGCAAGGTGCAGGTGTCCTGCAGAACCAGCCTGGGCAAGCCAGTCACTGGGGACAGGCTTGAGATGCACAAATCCATGCTCAGAATGGGCCTGGTAGGCCCTTCTCTGCAGGAAGCAGGGTGGATGGCAGTAAAAGTGAGCAGTGAGGTTCAGGTGCATCTTCTGTTTACCCATCTCTACATAAACAGCCTGAGATCCCAGGGCCCTGCACCTGCCCCAGCCCAGCCCAGCCCTGCTGCTCATTTCCCCCTAGAAGCTCATCTCCTGCTTCTGATTCTAAATAAACTCTGATCTTATTAACCTCCATCACATGGGGGAGTGAATACCCAGCCTGCCCCTTCACAGGCCTTTCTGACTGAGGCTGCCTCACTGGAGAAGGACAGAGGTTAAATACCGAGATTTGCAAGCAGTTTTCCCTAATACCTAAGCACCATCTGCCCACCTGTGGCTGCTTCATCAACCTCAAAGCTAGAGGCAATGATGTTGGGGAGCGGGGTGACGTTTTTTGCAGCTGTCATGTGCCAGGCACCATGGGGCTTAACACTCAAATTACGAGTGATTTATCTGCCAGTGGAAAGCTAAGTGACCTGATAGAAGAATCTGCACAAAGCCAAAGAAAAATGGAGTCATTTTTACACAGCCTTTGGATGGGGTAGATAAGCACAAGGCTGCAGAACAAAGAGCTTTTTGCATGAGGGTCCCACAGCCCTGGTGATACCTGAATCCAGGTGACAGGAGCACCTATAGTTCTGCTTTGCCTCCACCTATAGCTTCCCCACCTAAGACAAGGGCAATTTGCCCATTTCCCTAACAAACAACTACAGTGGGACTGTATGAAAAGGGCAAAATCTGAACCTGCCCCCCCGAGCCTATATTGTGGGACAGTGCCCAATACTCACTGCTTACAACACCACAGCATTAGCTATCATTTTATACCAAGGATAGAGCAGGATTTAAGAGCCAAGACTTGGAATTAGCCAAAGCTGTGTCCTAGCTGAGGCTCTGTCACTTATTACCATGTGGCCTAAAGGTTCCTCATTTGTAAAATGGGGCTAATAATAGTGCCTCCCTCAAAGAGGTGCTATTAGGATCAGGTGACTTAGTTGCATGCAAACTGCTCCTTCATACTCACTGCAGGACACTGTCATCTCCTCATTTGTTGTCCCAGATGGAATGTGAGCTCCTCACAGGGAGGATTCATGTCCAAGTGCCCAGCATAGGTGCTGGCACACAATAGGGCCTCAGGTCATACTTCTGGTGAGGATACCAACCCAAGCTTGTGGGATGCATCTGCAGAACACCCAGCTTTCCACAGCTGCTCCCCTGCTCAGTCATCCCCTCTCCTCCCAGGCTGCAGTTCTCAGTCCAGGGATCTCCACTAAGACCTTCCTGAAAGCAGTGCTGTGGCCAGTAAACAAGTGAGGAGAGCCCCAGCCATTCTGTCCATCCACACGGGAATCTCTGACCAACTTGAATTAAGTTGGTTTCTTCCCAGCTGTCTGGCACATGCCCAGGATTCAAAGGTTCACCTTCCAAGGGGCAGTTCTGGCTTTCTCAAGCCTTTCTAATTGAGTCAGGTTTGGGAGGAATTCTAGAGTCTACTCCAGAACTGACAGAAGCAGGTAGCCTCTCTTCCCTAGAAGTAAGTTTCTCTCTTTAAATAGAGGACTCTGAGAAATTGCCCCTAAAAGGAACACCAATGCTGGGGCAAACCCTCTCTTTGGAGGGTCTTGGTTAGTCAGCTAAAATTCTCCCTTTTGAAAAAACAATTGTGAAGCAATCTGCCTCCTAATCCATTCATAAATCAGACACTCAAGTCTTAGAATAATTTCCCCATAATTCATGTTAATCATTCCACTCTCGTAATATGAATCATCTGTTTAATGGAAAACTTTCACCAAGACGGGCAAGAGCCACTGGATCTTGCTTTAAAAATCTCTTCAGAGCTCAGAAGGTTTTCTATTATTGATAGAAAAGTTACTATATTTTTAACAGGCACTTTAAATATTACTCATGCAATCAAAGCTGTTTTTGTAACTCAACTTACACAGTTTTCAAACATGTATTATGTTTGACCTTATTAAATATTCTGTAGTACCGCTTACACACAACGACGCACAAAAGTACAGTACCAAAACTTCTGGCAGCACTGGAAAAAAGCAAATCCTCATGAATTGCCCAAAAGGGTGCAGCAAAAGCTCTGAGCATGGCATGGACTCCCAACCAGTGCCATGGGAGGCAGGGACAGGGGACAGGTTCCCAGAAGAGCTCTTTGCCCTGAAGTTCAGTGAGCAGGAAACAGACAAAAATCTGGGATTTTTGCACTTTAGTCAAGAATTTCACTGAATCTTCTCCAAGAATACTCCCCCAGTGCTCCAAGAATAAGACAGCACTGTTCAACCTTATTAAGATCCAGGATGTCACATAGGAAACAAGACAATTTTGATGTTTTCAAAATAGAAAATTTGGAGCTGTCTTATCAAAATCTATAAAATAGACAATAATACCAAAAATAGCTACCATTTACTGAACACTCAGTACCAGGCATTGTGCTAACTAATGTAAAGATAGAAGATCTTGTTTAATCCCCACAAAAACCCTAGGAGGCAAGTGTTATCTTCATTTTTCCGACAAGAAAAGACAAACTTGCCTGTGACCACCCCACCAAAAAGTGACAGAGCAGGCTGGGAGCAGGGGCCTGTTGGACTCCAATATCTGTGCCCTAAATCCTTCCACCAAACTTGCCTAGGAGGTCAAAGCTGGAGTCCTGCCCCACCCCACCCACTATGGTGTAGGACTACATTCAGGTGAAGTGAGTTAATGCCATTTAACACTAACCAACTGCTTGTCAGAATAGCTTAGCTGCTTCGAATGGGAAGGGCTTTGAGTCCTGCCAAGATATAAGTGATTAAGTAGGAGTTTAGTCAAAACAGATGCGGCAAGGGAGTCTCTCACCGGCCTTGTGAAAGTCAGAACCAGAGGGAAAAGCATGTGGCTCTAAGAGAAGGTGAGAGAAAGAGAACAGGGGATGGATGCTCCAGCTAAGTGTGGACCAGTTGTCAGCAAAACAAGAAAAGTATCAGACCAAGTAACTGAGAAGAATAACAAACAACTATGGTTGCAATTTTTAAATACAAGGCCTTAGACTGCTTCAATTGCTGAGCCAGAGATGAGGAGACAGAGTGCACTGTGACAACTGAGTCAAATGGCAGTGATTCCAGTGTTTTTGTTTTGTCAATTCACATGTTCACATATCTTAAAGTACGTGAAGTATCTGGATTACACTTGCTTTAGATAAGCCCTGGATTCAGGGAACTGAGTGCCTATAGTTCTGCTTTGCCTCCATCAATGGCTTTCCTGCCTAAGCTGATGCCCTTCCTTTGCTACTTGAAGTGAAACACTGACAATCACCAGGTGGCAACAACTGGTACAAAATGCATGATTGACAAGAAGAGCCCTGGTCTGGACTCTCCGTAAGCCTTTACCATCCCTGAACAGTCACACCCACCCCTGCAGTCAACATGCCGCAAGAAGCAGCGCTGTTGAGCACTGTGCACGGAAGAATATGAAGTTCAGGTTTACAGAAACCAAGTCACTGAGTATTTCTAGAGCAGCTCCAGGGGTTCAAGGCCCCAGACAAGGCACCTGGGGGACACTTTCCTGTAAGAAGTTTACAACTTAATGAAAAAAATATAAATAACTCAATTTGAGACATGCCTCAGGAACATTAAATTTGAAAGCAGGCATGCAGTGAATAAAGCAAAAGTGCCAACACACATGATCTATATTCCCCATGGCTATCCCATGTTGAGCCCCTTCTAGCTCCCTGTTTTTCTTTGCCCACACTCTTTAATGCTGACCCACATAAACCACACATCCCAACAAAGCAGCTCAGGCTAAACAGTTTGGAAATCCCCTGATGCCTCTTCTCTTTCACGTTGGAACCAACACCATTTAGGCACCAACTACCTGCTGATAACTGGGCCAAGTTCTTGGGATGCTAACATAAAATGGGCATCCCTGCCCCCAAAGTCAGAGGAGCTATTGCTTTGGATGCAGAAAAAGGGCTGTAGCCAAGGCGAGGGCAAAGGGGGCTCAGGTCCACCTCTAGTTAGGAAACTGCAGTGGAAATATCAGCCCATATGCTCTCCACACCAGGCTTCCTCACCCCACTTATACTATCCAACCGCCCCCAAAAGGCAGTTTCACTATCACATGACCCTCTCTTCAAAGCAGTTTCCATTAGATTAACCCTGATCCTAGAAGACACACTCACTAGCCCAAATTAATCCAACCACATTCCCCCTCAAACATCTGTACCTAACAGTCACAAAGATTGTGGTCAGCTAATTATGGCTTTTGAACCAGATGATGTTGAGCCAGAGCTGGGAGAGTTGTTTCCAGGCATGAACATATGAAAAAACAGCCAGGGAAATCCAGTTTACTTAGTGAAGCAGAATAACCCAAGTGGACAAAAGACATGGGGAGGAGGGTTACAAGTTAAGGTACAATGACAACTGGACCATGCCACACAGAAAGGGAGCACAGGGTCCTGAGAGGGAACAATGGGCACCTGTGACCTGCTTTGGGGGTCTGGAAAGGTTTCCACAAGCAAGTGAGACCTGGAGGCAGAATGGGAGCTAACTAGGCAGCAATGGGAGAGGCTGATCCAGGTAGGGAGGAGGGCATATGCAAAGGCCCTGTGCAGCCCCAAATACAGCCAGCTAGGCTAGAGGACAGTGTGCATGGGGGACACACGCAGCATTTCACACACAGCTTCAAGGCATCTTCAGATTGCTAGAAACCTATCCTGGATCCAGGTTTAGAACCCCTGTCATTATGCGGCCCTTCCTCCCAGGAAGTGTCTTGGGCTGGCTTTTGTCTGGGGCTGCTGGCCCTGTGCCTCCCTCTCCCTTCCCCACAGCCCTGTCCCCACTGCTTCCACATCTCCCATGTGTCTCCCTTCACCACTGCACACAGGACTGTGTGTTCCAGAGGAACATGTGGTCCGCTCCCTTATTAATCTTGCTGTATCTTATTAAAATGGCCTCATGCCTGCCTGGTATTAATCTGCACAGAGCAGCGGGGTTCGTGCAGCAAGCTGCAGCTAGGCAAGCTGTATTTCATTTCTTTTGTGTTGAAGGAATGACCTAGATGCTGCTCTGTACAACAGACTCATACTTGCAGGCTTTAACTCGTTCTTTCCCATCCGGCCTGGTGCTCAGATGGAAGCAGAGGTTTGGACTCCTACCATGGTGGTGTCAGTTGAGCTGACAAGTAGGCTGAGTTGGACCCATGTGGGAAAGAACAGCTTGAGACCCTTCAGAGCTGCTCCTGATGACAAAGGCAATGCTCCTTGATGGGTGGGTGGGTGTCTGGACAGCAGAGGAAACTTCTCTGGGAATCCTTATTTATGCAAATTCATACACAAGACATGAGTGAAAGGAGAAGTTGAGTGACTTGTGGCTTCCTCCATCTATCTACCTCTTTCCTTGGTTGGTTTCCATCCCGGGCTGTCATATTCATTCATTCACTGTGCTGTTATCTATTCAATGTCTACTCTACACATGGCTTTGCAAGGGACCCAAAAATAATGACAGGGCTGTAAGAGATCCTCCTGAGGAGAACATATATAAGCAAAACCCCAACAGGCAATATCCACACAGGGGTCGAGAAGTGCCAGGGAGACAAGCTGTTATCCCCAGATTGACCTGGGTGTGCCACTTACTAACTGGGAGCTTATATAAGCTTCCCAAAGTTGTGAACTAGAACTAGGACCACTGTCTTAGCTCGGGTTTCCGTAACAAAATACATTAGAGTGAGTGGCCTAAACAACAGGAATTTACTTCTCACAGTTCTAGAGGCTGCAAGTCTAAGATCAAGGTGCTGGCCAATTCAGTTCCGTGGTGAAGGCCCTCTTCCTGGCTTGCAGATGGCTGCCTCCTGGCTGTACCCTCATATGGCCGAGAGAGAGAGGAAGCAAGGTCTCTGATGTCTCTGCTTATAAGGACACTAATCCCATCATGAAGTCTACACCCCCATGACCTAATCAAAACCTAATCACCTCCCAAAGGCCCCATCTCCAAATACCATCACACTGGGGGTCAGAGCTTCAACAAAGGAACTTCGGAGGAACACAATTCTATCCATAGCAACCACCAACCCCACAGGATGAGTGCCGTGATTTACTGGGATCCCACAGGTACACCTCCTTATAAGAATAAGCCTAGCTGGCCCGCTTATTCTGGTAGCGAGTGATGCAAGGATGGTGCCTAGGGTGAATGTAGGTAGAATTCGTCTCCTAGGACCTAGGCTGCCTCTCAGCACACTCAGGACCAACCGATTCTGCACCCTTCTCACCCGCTGCCTACCTCTGCCGAGCCAGAGCATGACTCGGAATTGAACTTTTTCCCTCCAGGGGTATGAAAGGAAACTGAAAACACAAGAGATGTGATTACATGCTGAGCTGGTCATCATGCCACGATCAGACAGTCACACGCCGACCGAGTCCGGTGATTTTCCACCTCTTAATCACGTCCCTGCCAGATTTAAAATGCAATGAACATCAATGAGAATAAATGCTAATAAGGCTCTAACAGGCATTGGATGTCAAGAGGTGAGGAATAAACCTTGCATATTTTGACTGAAAGGGGGTCAAAGAGGAAATAACTGGATACTAAATAGAATTCTTCTATTCAAGAGAAAGGCTCCTTGAAAGGCAGCTGCTCCAATGAGTGACACTCGCTCATTAAAGAATGCATCATTCAATGTCCTGCGGCAACAGAAACACCCAACCCAGTGACACATATCTTTCCTGGAATTTAGCTAATGTGGTAAAGTCACCAGCAAATTTATATCAGGCCTAAATGAAAAAGAAGATCCTTTTCTGACACATGCAATCATTAGAGTTTTAGCTGTACTGAGATTTCTCTAAGAAAACACTGTGGCTTTGGAAATGTTATATCACATGCCTCCTTTAAGCAGCGTTGGCAAAGTTAATGCATTTGTCAAGCATCTCTGCCTCTCCAGGGTCTTGGGAAAGCCTCTGGGGTGAATGGGCCTCAGGTCCATGAATGCATCGTATAAAATCTGCCTGTCTGACACAAAGGGACAGCCTGAGACCAGGGCTGTGCTGCTCTCACAGCTGGTCACAGTAGCTGGCCATGCCTGTCAATGGCCACCATGTACTGCACTCTGGTTCCAGAACCCAGTTCAGCCCTGGCCTGAGGACTCAGCCATTTTCTGGGCTTATGCCTTCAGGCTTACACCCTCTCCAGTGTCTCAGACATTCTGAAATACCCAGTGTGCTGCATAAGGTTTCCTGATTAAAAGAGACTCACTTTTTGAGTTCTAAGGAGGCAGAATGAATAGTGCCACAACTTGAGAATCAGACTGACCTAGATTCAAGGCTCAGCTCCCTCACGTCCTGGCTGCAAGATGTTACTTATGCTAAGTTCTGCTTCCCTCCACTTAAACTGGTGGGGCCAGCACTTGCCTTGGAGGGCTACTGTGAGCATTAAATAAAGAAATACATGAGAAGCACTTAGCATAGTGCTAGGCATATGGTAAGCACTTCCCAAAGGTTAGCTATTTATAACTGGCTTCATGAAAACCTGATTTTTCACTCCATTGCAAGAGTCAAAGTAGCTTGGTAAATAAATAAGCCTCTGGGGATTCTACAAAGCAGTTTGCAGTGAGCAGCCATCCCTTTAGGTAACAGGATTTACCATGAACTGCATACACAGCCTTCCATTACCAATACAAATGAGGAGCCAAGGGGATGAGGATTACTTATAACACCAGAGAGCCCCAAATCATAAACAACCTCCTAAGAAGTTGATAAGTTTACCTCAAACCACAATCCAGATGTCTCCACCCCCAACTTTCTCCTCTTAGCTTAGGTTTCCACCCTGGATGATAAGATGATGATGACGATAATGTCAATGATGATCATCTGAGGCTTTGTAAATACTTACTATATGCCGAGTACCAAACTAAACACCATTCATCTATTCACCCATTTAACCCTCACAGCAACCCATGAAGAAGGAAGGGGCTGTTACTATCCTCAGGTGAGATCAGCACTATCCAATAGAAATATAACGTCAACCACAAATGTGAACCACATATATAATTTGAATTTCTGGCGGTCACACTAAAAAGCAAAAACAGGGAACATTCATTCTAATATTTTATTTAACCCAACATATCCAAACTATCATTTCAACATGCCATCAATATTTTAAAATATTAATGATCTTTCATCCTAAGGCATTGAAATCTTGGTGTTTTATACTCCCAGCACGTCCCACTGTGAGCTAGCCTAGTTTCAGCTGCTGAGTAGCCACATGAGCCTGGTGGTTACTGTACTGGACTGTGTAGGTCTAAAGAATGATAAAACAGGAAGAAACTTCATCAGTTCCTCATGTGGACCCAAACAGTCTGTGTCCACAGCCAAGCTCCTAACTACTGTGCTCTTCAGTGTCTCATTTGCTGAATCCACTGAACCCCACATTCTGCCAACCAATACCCTCCCTGAGCAATAGAAGCTTGATCTTTCCTTATAAGGATTGGATGCAAACCCCTTCCTGCATGCTGAGGGAAAGTGTAAGGAGACACCTGCACTGTAACTTTTAAAGAAAATATCTTGACAAGGCACCATCACTAAAACTTGCTAAAAACGACCCCAGGGTAAGAAACAGCTAAGAGGAGACAAGCACTTTTTCAACAGCACCCAACTGATGTCAGAGGGTAATTCCAAAACTGTCACACACAAAAAATGGTCTAGCACTGTGTCAGAAATTCCAAGAAAGGGTAAAGAGAGTGTTAAAGAGATTAGATACAATTAGGTAAGGATTCCAGTGTAAAATACCAGAAGATGACAATGCTAAGCACAGAAAAATATGGAATAGAAGAGGAGCTAATACATACTTAAGTGGGAATGGGTACACACACTTAATGGAGATAAAGAAAGGACAAGCACCAGGCAAAAAAAGCCTGGAGGTGAGCGGCCACTCTCCGCCTGCATCTCATCTCATAAATCTTCAGTTCTTCCTCCAAGGATGTAGAAATGATAGCAGAGAGGAACTCTTTGCAGCTACAGTTTGTGGTATGATGACATTGCTATGGTTTGAATGTGTCCACCCTCATGAATGGATTAATGCCAATTCTAAAAAGGCTTGAGGCTGTGAGTTCCCTCTCTTGTTCTCTCTGTGTATGCTCTCTTGCCCTTCCACCTTCCACCATGTGATGATGCAGCAGGAAGTCCCTCACCACATTTAGGCCCCTGGATCTTGGACTTCCCAACCTTCAGAACTTTGAGCCATATGAGTTTCTATTCATTGTAAATTACCCAGTCTCAAGTATTCTGTTATAGCAGCACAAAACATACTAAGACAGGCCTAATGCTAATTACCTGCTACCAACTGTACTGTGAGTAAAAGTGCATTTAAAAATCAAAATGGCTTGAAAAGCCTCCATAAGATTAACATGATCAACAGGGAGTTTCCTACTGAGAATACCTAGAGTTTAAAAAGAAGATGAAAATCCCCAAGCATGAACCATCATTGCCCTAAGCACAGGACTGATTCAAGACCTCTGTCAGACAAGGGTGGGTTTCACCTCCTGCCCCACCAATTCCCCTGCAGCATCCCTGTAGAAGGATCCAGGACAGGAATATCTGCCCAATGCCTGCAGAATCCTGGTGAAGGGCCAAGATGGAAGTCCATCGCCAAGTCCTCTGCCCTGCCAGACTGGGGGCAGCCAAGACCTGGACCTATGCAGGTGAGGGTCCTGAATGACCCCACCTGGACGGCAGGTGGCACATCCCATGTGTACTCGGCAGCATGCTGGGCTCATTATCACAGGTACATATAAACACTGAGCTCAAGGTAAAATCCCTCTCTCTCATCCCATCCTTTCAGGAAGGGTCTCCCCTCCAACTCTTGTACAGGAGGACAGTTACCAGCAGGAGCTCAGAATCAAACAGACCTGGCTCAGCGTCTTACTAGCAGTGTGATGTTGGGTGGGTCATTTAACTGGTCTGAGCCCCAAATTCTTCTTCTTTAATAGAAAGAATCATTCATTCATTTTACACATTTATGGAGCCCACACTGTTTTAGCTTCTGGGGATACAACAGTTAAGAAAAGAAAAGAAAATCTCTGCCTCATGGAATTTAATTCTAGTTAAAATGGGGAGATGCCCAGTGGGCAGATCAACACATGTAACTGTACCTATCTCATAGGACTGTCGGGAAGATTAAATAACACATCTAATGGAGATTGCATGCACTAAATAATTGTCACCTATTGTTATTACAAACAGTTATAATAGTAATAACTAATCCTTCCAGCAACACATGGGCCTGGGTCTGGGCCTGGCTCCAAAAGACCAATTTGGCTGGAAGCCAGGGTAGAATAAAAGCCTGAAAGTAGCTCCATTCTTCACATCATAACCTCTTTCTGGATTCACGCCACAAGGACATCCTGTCACAAAGATGAAGCCCCAGGCAGTCTTTATTTAGCAGACTCAATAATCCCAACAAGCCCAGGTACATAGTGAAAAATGGGTATGAGAACTAGAGCTCTAGGAGGTCCAGTTCCACTCGTCAAGAGAGTGTCAGCCTTCTGCCATTCCCATGATGAGCGATGCACCTGCTGACCACAGGTTCCTGCACTAGCAGGGAGGAGGGCCTCAGAGGCACTCCAACACGCTGTGGCATGTCACATCTTCACGGACTGGAGGGACAGTGAGGGCTGTGATTCTGCTACTGCCATGAATCCATGGCTTTCTGATGGTGCCCCAGGGAGTGCTAGGGCTCTGCAGAAAATGACACTGACTACAGTGATGACAGCGGCGCTCACCACACCATTTATGACACCCTTGCTGAGGGGAACACAGCATGCAGTGCTTTCCTTGCACTGCATTTCTTAATGCTTTCTAGAACCCTGCAATGTAAGGATTTTTTTTTCTTTTTTTAAAATCTCCATCTCACAGATAAGGAAAGTGAGGTTAAGTAATTTTTCCAAGAATGTACAGCAAGGAGAAATTAGGCAGGCAGGCAATCCAACTCCAGAAGCCAGGTCTGAACCAACAAGCTAAACTGCTTCACCTAATGGCCATCCTATAGGGATAAGAGAAAGCAAAGAGGCTGGGGGCTCCAAGCCACTCTCCCCCATCTCAGTTGCAGCCGTTCACATTTTATCTGTTTCCTATGAATGGACTCTATATGAAATTTCCTTTGGAAAAAAAGAAAGATCCACTGCTAATTTTTAAAAAAATCATTGGAATAAACGATGGCCAACATCAAAAGATGGTTTTTGATAAGCCAAGCTTTAAAAAAAAGTCAAGAAGTAACAAGAAGTAAAATATCCAATCAACAGAACAGATAAACTGTAGTAATAAACTCACAAAAAGGAATAAAACACAGCAATGACAAACAACGACTTCTAGACACAACACCATGGTAATCCCATAGACATAATGAGTGAAAGAAGGCAGATACAGAAGAATATATACTGGATGAATTCACTTTATATCAAATTCAAAAACAGGCAAAATGAACAGTTGGTGATAAGTTAGAACTGTCATTACCCTTGGGAAGGGAGCACTGTCTGGGAAGGGCACTAGAGGGCCTTTGGAAGTGCTGGAAGTGCTTTATATCTTCATCTGGATAAGGTGATAAGGTTACAAATGAGTATTTAGAGGTAAACATTTACTGAGATGTAAAATTAAGATCTGTGCACTTTTTCTGTACGTGTATTATACCTCAATAGAAATGTAAAATAAAAACTCAAAAATATCTCAGTAAATTATTTAATCCAGGATTCTACTGTTAGGTAAGAATAAGGCCAGACTCATTTAAGAAAGAGCAATTGTGTCTCCTCCTTGTAAAAAACTAAAAATAAGAATTTTTTTAACTCCAAAACAGAAATTCAGCATCAACAATAAAACACTTGAGCAACAGAACCGGCTAATGGGAGCTTTGTGCTCCAAGTCTGCACAGGCTATGCGTGACCTCCAGCTACCCCAGTCCACCCTGCTGGGGAGATCCACAGCTTGATTCTCAGAAGATGTGTCTGCAGAGAACAAAGTCCACGCCTGCCACTTCAAAGGGGCTTAGAAGAATGCTCCCTTCCTCTGCGCCTAGGAGCATCAGGCCTTTTAAGAAGGCACCATGAGAAACTCAAAAGCACTGAATGCAATAAAACTGTTGCTGGCTATCTCAACAACCAAGTACATGAAGTAAAATGGGCATACATGACAAAAGGAAGCCAACAGCCCACCAGGCTTTCACCACACAGTAGACAACCGCAGGCATGCTTGCCTCTAATTATTTCCAGGTCTGGGGACAGGTAGGGCCTAGAATAAAAGCCCCGGGATCCGCCCAGTTACACTCCCAGAAAGCAACCCAGAGCCCTGGGTCTTTCTAGTTCCAAGAAGAGAGCAGCACAAGCACCTCTTGCCACCTACCACCCTCCTCCTGCAGACAGCACCGGCTGCCCCGCCCTCTTGTGCTACCCTGCCTATTAAAAGGGAAGCCGGCCTGCCAAGAATCACAGGCTAAGTGTGCTGGGCTTTGCTCAGTGTCAATGTGAGTGGTTTTGATGCAAGAGGCAAAGGAGTAATGAGAGTCACTTGGTTTGATCACAATTGCACTCTGATTTGAAATGCAGTTCAGCAATTACAAGGTCCTCAGCCGTAGAGCTCCCCAGGGATGGGGGCAGAGGGGGGCCTTTTAAAAGGGAAATTATATCCACCATACAAAGGTTTCACTTTTTAGCTCCTTGTAGAAGATTCTTTTTCATGAAAAACCCCTTCTGGAGCTGAGGGAAAAGAATAAGCCTTATGGGAAAAGTAACTCCTGGACTTATCTTATTTTCAGGCTCTTGTTTTTTTTCTCTTCATGCCAGTTTCTTCTTTAAATACTGCTGTATACTGACTCTCTGCAAGCTGTCTCCAACCTTTGTCTATATAGATGCATAGAAAAAAAGATTAGAAGGTCAACAACAAAATATTAACAGCTGTTAAGTATGAGTGGAAGGACCATGGGTGACTTGTGCCTTCTTTTTGTGTACCAATATGTTAAAATAGTACATTAAGAATTTTACTGGTATCTTCTGTTCGTCTGTTTTTGCTGCAATATGGCACTTCGCTTCCTAACTCATGAAGGAAAGACCAGCTTTGAACTTCCTAAGGTCTGGGCTCTCATTGCTCCACAAAAGAGTAAACATTATTATTTGTGGGTTTCCAAATGTGAGGGAGGAACCGACGGGCAGTGGATAAGCCCTCCTCCAATTTTTTGTCTTCAGTTTGTTGGCCCAATGAGGCAAATTAATTGTACCAGCACTTCCAAATAGGAGAGATGAAGGTATGCGCTTCAAGCACTGTATCAGGAAATGGCCCCACACAGGTTACTGGGCAAGGCAGTGATGACTGAGCTTATGGGGCCTCCCCTGGGAGAATCTGATGCCTCTGCAACACAGGACTCTGACAGGGTAGAAATTTGTGTGGGGAAAGACAGGGAGGTACCACTGAGACAGGAGCACTCAGTGCTGGAAGCTGCAGAGCCTTCTGGCCATCTCCTCTTCCTCCTGAGTCTTATAAATTCCTCCTCTCAAGGGAAGAAGCCTTGAGGAACACCTGATACTGGGCTTCTTGTCTATCTCAGCAAATTATGCTTAAAGTTGATTTAACTTTAGAAAAATATTTTAATGTGTGATGTCTTACTCCCCAAGTATCAAGGAACAATTTGTTCCTGTTATTTTTTTTAATCTACAAGGAACATGTACTACTTGTGGAATAATAAATTAAGTTTTTGGAAGAATGCAAGACATAAGCAATTCAATAAGCTGACAGATAAATCGTGGGAGGGGGCCACTTCTTATGCTCCTGCATGACCATCAGCTGTAGAAGGATTCCGGATTCTCTTACCAGGTGTTCAGAAGAAACCCCTTGACATTCTCTACAATGGACAGGTTCCAAGATCAACAAATGAATCAAATCAGTCCTGAATGGAATTTCTTGTCCTAAAGAGAAATCAGACAAGGTCTAAAAGAAATCAGGCAAGCCTAAATGCAAAGCAGGAGACAGAGCTGGCAGAAATGCAATACAATCACTTCTTCCTTTTTTTTTTTTTTTTTTTTTTGAGACAGTTTGCTCTTGTAGCCCAGGCTGGAGTGTAATGGTGCAATGTTGGCTCACCGCAACCTCCGCCTACTGGGTTCAAGTGATTCTCCTGCCTCAGTCTCCTGAGTAGCTGGGATTACAGGCATGCACCACCACATCCGGCTACTTTTGTATTTTTAGTAGAAATGGGGTTTCTCCATGTTGGTCAGGCTGGTCTCGAACTCCCAACCTCAGGTGATCCGCCTGCCTTGGCCTCCCAAAGTGCTGGGATTACAGGCATGAGCCACCGCACCTGGCCTTCCCTTCCATTTCTTAGCTTTGTTCTGCATGAGAATTGCTATGTGAGGGAGACTCAGATGCTTGAGTTCTCACAGCTTTACAGCTAGAAGAAGAATGAAGAGAACAGGTCTAGTAGGAGGTAAGAAAGAAGTGGCATTGGGGATACAGGTAGGACAGGCATAACAACTCCAGCTCCATACACTGTGGACATGCCAGTTGATATTGAAAAACCACCTTGAAGGTTGAGCTAAATGGCGGTAACTTGTCTCACACATGGATGGCTGCAGTCTCTGAGCTAGATACGCTAATGAACCCAAAGACCCTTCATGGGAATGAGGTTGGAAACCCCACCTGAGCCAGAGAGGAGCCTAAGATGATGCAAAGAGCTACACACTGACAGTTTTCTTTTTGAGCAAATCAGCTGGACAGAGTTCCATGGCCATAGGTCAGCATGCTTGGTACCAGGCAAACATGCCTGGCCTAAACTAGCCAGACCAGGGCTTGGCGCCTGAGGCAAAGGCTGTTTTATATAGACTAGCTAGCAACAGGATCACTTACAGCAACTCAGTTTCCTTGTGGGGAGTTTGAAGTGGGGCTTGAAGAAATGTGTCAGTAGCTAGAGAGAGAGAAGAAAGCAGCATCAGAGGGGTAAAAAGGCACCAGAAAGGCAAACTGCTAGGCTTGGAGATAGCCATGGAGCCAGACGTAGGAAATCACTGCTGTACCCTGAGCCACTTCCCAGGGCTCCACGGGGTTGGCTGTTTGAAAGGCTTGCCTTTCATACAACTAAGACTATATCTTGAGCCTCTTCATCTCCCCTGGGAGCCCTGCAGTGCAACCCAAGCCACACTCTTCTCCAAGAGCCTAAACACTCTCCCATCACCAGCTAACCTCCAAGGCATGTCTACAGGGATGGGGGGATGCTGTAAACTACTGTGGGCCAAGGAGCACTTGCCACCCTGCCCCCACCCCACAATCCCCCAAGCAACCCCCTCCTTGGCCCTGCATGGAACTAATAATGTCAGGATCATGTTTTGAAGCCACCAGAATGAAAACTTATTCTAGCTTTCCATCACAGAAAAGACAGAATAACCATTTGAAAAGAGTTTCATCATAATGATTCTATTTTAATCTCCTTCAAACACGAGAGATCAAACATATACAGATTTATTTTTACCGAAAAGAAAAAAAAGTCCTGGGTAATATGCGAATGCATTTCTGAGACATCCTGTGGCTTTAACAAAAAAGGAAGGTTTAATGTTCAAAAAGATACTGCTCAAGTAACAAGATCTCTTAATACCCACCCCCCCACCCCACCACCACCACTCCTAAACACCCTGCAAATGCTCCTGAGCAACATCCATTGCTGACCAGAGGGATTTGGGAGCTACTTAAAAATCACACAAGACAAGTCAATGATTTCAAACTTTACTATTGTCTTTGACTTAACAGCCATAAATCACACATGAAATCAGCATCTGACTTGAATGTGAGATTTTGCTCTGATGAGCCAAGACATGCTTGGCAGTGCCACCACACCAGTCACCAGCCAGGGCTTGATGTGACAATAGAAGCTGTAAGGTGAGTGGGGCTTAAAACTATCTTCTCTTTCCAAAGTCCAAATAAACTCATCTCTCAAGTCATTCAGACCTTAGGGGTGCATTAATTCATGAGCCCCCGTGGTGATAGCACTAAAACCAATTCCCCTGCACAGACTGAATCATCAAACTAAATATTGCCACTTTAACACTTAGTGAGTAAGAATTAGAATGTCAGGGAAGAGCTTTCCAAGCATTCATCATTCTCCTTTTTTCCCTCTAAGATATTCATACAGCAACTCCCTAAGACCCACACCTAATAAACTCCAGACCGACAGCTTGGTGGAGCAAATGCTGTGTGTGTGAATCACGCTCCATCTATGGCATAATATATCTGCCTGCCACCAAAAGGACTCACTAAGGGCACAGGCAGGAGTAGAGATGGTGGCGGCCGGGGGAAAGGTGATGTGACAGGTTAGACAACATCCAAAGCTAAAAATGAATGCAATGCAACAGAAAACTCATTAATGCAATTGCTTTATTGGTGTAGTCACCACAATAGCTTCTGGGTACATTTTCCTATGCAATATAAAGGAGACAGAAGGTAATAAAATGATCTGTGTGTATCTAATGTATGAGTGTGAGCTTCTGAAAAAGTCTCTTGCTTAGGAAGAGGAATGCTGTATCAGTCCATTTTCACACTGCTATGAAGAATTACCTGAGATTGGGTGATTTATGAAGACAAGAGGTTTAATTGACTGACAATTCCATGGGCTTAACAGGAAACATGACTAGGAAGCATCAGGAAACTTAACAATCATGGCAGAAGATGAAGGGAAACCATCTTCACATGGTGGCAGAGGAGAGAGCAAGGGGGGAAGTGCCAAACACTTTTAAACCATCAGATCTCATGAGAATTTACTCACTAATTCGAGAATGGCAGGAAGGAAACCCGCCCCTACAATCTGATCACCTCCCACCTGGCCCCTCCTGCAATTCAACATGAGATTTGGGCAGAGACAAAAATCCAAACCATATTATTCCATCCCTGGCCCCTTCCAAATCTCATGTCCTTTCTTGAGCCTCTTCAGCTCCCCTGGGAGCCCTGCAATACAACCCAAGCTACATTGCAAAATACAATTATCCCTTCTAAACAGTCCCCCAGTCTTAACTCATTTCAGCATTAACTAAAAAGTCCAAAGGATCATCTCCCACTAAGAGCCTGTAAAATCACACACAAGTTATGTACTTCCAAGATATAATGGGAGTACAGGCATTGGGTAAATGCTCCCATTCCAAATGGGAGAAATTGGCCAAAAAAAAAAGTGGTTACAGGCCTCACGCAAGTCCAAAACTGAGCAGGGCAGTAATTACATCTTAAAGCTCCAAAATAATCTCCTTTTGACTCCATGTCTCACATCCAGGCCACACTGATTCAAAGGGTGGGTTCCCAGGGCCTTGGGCAGCTCTGCAGGGTACAGTCCCCATGGCTGTTTCATGGGCTGGCATTGAGTGCCTGTGACTTTTCCAGGAGCAAAGTGCAAGCTGTTCATGAATCTACCATTCTGGGGTCTGGTAGACGGTAGCCCTCTTTTCATAGCTCCACTAGGCAGCGCCCCAGTGGGGATTCTGTGTGGGGGCTTCAACTCTATGTTTCCCCTCTGTACTCCCCTAGTAGAGGTTCTCCATGAGGGCTCCACCCCTGCAGCACACTTCTGCCTAAACATCCAGGCAAGTCCATACATCCTCTGAAATCTAGACAGAGTTTCTCAAACCTCAACTCTTGTCTTCTGCACACCCACAAGCCCAACACCACATGGAAGCCACCAGTGCTTAGGGATTGCACCCTCTGGAGCAATGGTCTGAGCTGTACCTTGGTCCCTTTTAGCCATGGCCAGAGCTGGAGTGGCTGGGATGTAGGGCGCCATGTCCCAAGGCTGCACAGAACAGCTGGGCCCTGGGCCTGGCCCACAAAATCATTTTTTCCTCCTTGGCCTCTGGGCCTGTAATGGGAGAGGCTGCCACAAAGGTATCTGAAATGCCTTTGAGGCATTTTCTGCATTGTCTTGGCTATTAACATTTAGCTCCTCTTTACTTATGCAAATTTCTGCAGCAGACTTGAATTTCTCCACCAAAAATGGGTTTTTTGTTTCTACCACATGACTGGGTTGCAAATTTTCCAAACTTTTATGTTCTGCTTCCCTTTTAAATATTAGTTCCAGTTTCAGATAATCTCTTTCTTCACACATACGAGCATATACATTTAGAAACAACCAGGTCACATCTTGAATGCTTTGCTGCTTAGAAATTTCCTCTTCCAGATACTCTAAATCATCTCTCTTGAGTTCCACAGATCTCTAGGGTAGGGGCAAAATGCCACCAGTCTCTTTGCTAAAGCATAGCAAGAATGACCTTTGCTCCAGTTCCCAGTAGGTTCCTCATCTCCATCTGAGACCATCTCAGCCTGGACATCACTGTCCATATCACTATTTGCATTTTGGGCAAAGCCATTCAACAAGTCTCTAGGAAGTTCCAAACTTTCCCACATCTTTCTGTCTTCTTCTGAGCTCTCCAAACTCTTCCAACCTCTGCCTGTTACCCAGTTACAAAGATGCTTCCACATTTTCAGGTATCTTTATAGCAGTGCCCCACTCTCCTGGTACCAATTTTATGTATTAGTCCATTTTCACACTGATATAAAGAACTACCTGAGACTAGGTAATTAATGAAGAAAAGAGGTCTAATTGACTCACAGTTCTATAGGCTTAACAGGAAGCATGACTGGGAGGCCTCAGGAAACTTACAATCATGGCAGAAGGTGAAGGGGAAGCAAGGACCTTCTTCACATGGTAGCAGGAGAGACAGAGTAAGGGGGGAAGTGCCACACACTTTTAAACTATCAGATCTTATGAGAACTCATTCACTATCATGAGAACAGCATGGGGGAAATCCACCCCCATAAGCCAATCACCTCTGACCAGGCTCCTCTTCCAATTTGACATGAGATTTCGGAGGGGACACAAATCCAAAACATATCACATGCCCAGGAGGACAGAGCATACAACATTACCCAGCTTAAACATATTCACCTTAAAAAGAAAGCCTGTGATGTGACAAGTTCTCAGAAATTTGATTAGTTGCTGGGCCAGGACTGGTTAAAATGATGAAATAAGTAAAAAATGGCCTTTTTGTTTTTCCAGTCCCTTTCCACAATCTCCACGTAGAAGAGCCAGCACCAAGCAGCCCCCTGAGGGCCCTGCCTGGTCTGTACCTCGTGCCTCAGAAGTAGTAGGTAAGGGCGTGGCCTTTGGAGTCAGAAAGACTCCAGGTTCAAATCCCATCACTGTCATTTACTGTGAGTCCTTAGATTAGTCACTTAAGAGTTAAGCCCTCAAACCCTTTTTCCTACCTATAAAATGGAGACAGGAAAATTTATCTCAAAGAGCTGCTGTGATACTTAAGTTTAAGAAAATCAGGGAAAAAAAAATCTTAAAGTCTTAGCATACTGCCTGGTACTTGGCAGGGCTCAACAAATGGCAGCTCCATTTGCCCTTCCCCTCCCCACATCCTGACCTACCCAGCCCTTAGTATCTACTGCTGGCCTGAAGAGTTGGTCTTTCCAACCACACTAGCAGCTAACTGGCTAGCTGAGTTTCAACTATGTCTGTTCCCCATGAAGACGGGATGGAAACAGATTTGTGGGGAAACTTTAGAAGCTAATAATGATCCTTACCCCCAAGAATGCAGCCAGCCTGTGTGAAAGGCTGACCTTGCAAGGTGACCTAGTCAGGGTAACTTCCTCCTTCCCTCTAGCTAGTTAAGATGGAGCTGCAGTGAGATAAACCAAGGCAGTCTAAGAATGAAGAGGGCAGTGGCACAGGCTTTGGCCAAATAGATGCAGCCACTGATTGAGATGGAAATGATTGATGGGGGAAGTCCAAGAAACAGTTAACTGCGAGGTCCCTGTAGGCCCAGACCATCCTTGCATTGACAGTCTTTCCACAGCTGCAGCTCTCAGGACACACTTTCACTCTTTCAGGCATTGGAGTCTATTCCACCTCTTTTTCCCCCTTGGGGAGTCCTGAATCATTTGCAATTTAAAATGAAGCTCCCGGTAAAACTCAGCACTGGCTCCCACCTCATCAGCCCAACCAAGGTCACTGTTCTTTCAAGGACCACAAAAGGCACACACTGTTTTCCCTACCCCCTAGACCAAGCATGGAGGCCTCTGCTTCCTGCTATGTCCACAGCCTGTGCCTCAAATGCCCAGTCCAGCTCCAAGCCACATTTTCCAAGGCTGCCCTCTGAGTCCCCAGCTGGCATAAACCACATGGGCTCTGTTCCAGGCACAAGGACTGTCAGCACAGCATGGACATATGACCCAGCAAGCTCCCTATGGGGATTCCACCTGGGCCTCTGTATACAGGAGGCAGATGGGTGCTTGCCCTTTGTGGCGGGAACAAGGCCTCTGAGGAATAAGCACAAATGCTCACTTAGAATTGACAAGCAGAGCTGCCCAGTGGGACTCTGCCCAAAACATTTTGTTAATCAGGTTCCACCATATCTGGAACCCAAACCCTGCTCTACCAGTCTAAAGTAGACTACCCTATCAAAGCTCTAGCTTCAATTCAAAGCTCTAGCACTCACCAGGTATGCCACCATGGACAACTAATGAAACTTCCCTGGGTAAGGTAATAATTGTTTTCTGCAGCTGCCATCACAAATTCACACAGACTTGGTGGCATATACATACATACATGCATGCATGCATATGTATATATACACACATATACATACATACATATATATATATATATGTATGTATTTTTTTTTCCCCCTGGAGGCCAGAAGCTCACAATTAATGTGCCCAGCAGAGTCCCTCTGAAGTTTCTAGGGAATTCTTTCTTACCTCTTCCAGTTTCTAGTGGCACCTGACATTCCTTGGTTGCGGCAGTAAAACTCCAATCTCTCCCTCCAACTGCACATGGCCTTCCCCTCTTTGTCTCTGTGTGTCAAATAACCCTTTCCTTTCTCTTTTAAGGACAACTAATCATTGGATTTAGTGTCCACCCTAAACCTAGGATGAAATCATCTCAAAATTTCCAACTTAATTACATCTGCGAAGACCCTCTTTCTAAATAAAGTCACATTCACAGGTACTGGGGATTATGACTTGACCATAACTACTGTAGGATGGGGGGGGCGGTGCATAATTCAGTCCTGCAGTGTCTATCACATAATCACATGGAGTTATTTAGATTAAAAGAGATAATGTCTGCAGCATGCTTTGCACAGTATCAGGCACATTGTAAATAATAAACATTACATGTTGCTTTTATCACAGTCATAATCTTCACCTCCCTCTCCAGGAAGCCTTCCTAATACCTCATTCCAAAAAGAATTTGAGGCAATTCAGACTGCCACTCTAGATCACAATCACCTTAAGAGCAGGAACCATGCTTGTTGATATCCACTTCCTCTGTATTACTAAGAGTGTGTGGTACATATAAAGGTCCGTGGTCTCAGTGTCAAGATCATGGGCTCCTGTATCAGATAGACCCATGCTTGGAAACTGGCTCTTCTGCATTGTAATGATGTGATGTCAGATGTGTGAATCAATGTCTAAGCCTCACCATTACCATCTGTAAAACAGGAATATGACCAGCTTTGTAGGAATGTTAAACACACTTCAGACTTTGCATACATAGCACCAAAGAGTAACCAGCAAATAGTACATGGTCCAAAACTAGAATAATGATTCATTATTGTGCTTGGGAATTGTTTTGTTAAATAAATGTCTAATAACTAAATAAATGAACACCAACAGCCACTCCTCCTCACAGTCCAACAGAGGTGTCAGATCACCATCCACACTCCTGCACAGACTTCTGGTCCTCAGAGGTAGTGCTGAGATTGAGCCCACAACTTTACCTCCTCCACATCTCCTAGGAGTGAACACCCCACCTGCAGATTAATAAACCAACCCATTCATCCATTCTACGGCATTCACTGAACACATACTCTGCCAGGTTCCTACCATCTGCTAAATGCCTTCTGAATGTTCTTGAGCAGGGATCAGAAAACTTTTTCTGTCAAGGGCCAGATAGTAAATATTTTAGGCTTTCTGGGCCATATGGTCTCTGTTGCAACTACTCAACTCTTCTGCATGAAAACTGCCACAGACGACATGTAAACAAATGAGAATGGCCATACTCCAGTGCAATTTTATTTACAAAAGCAGGTGGTGGCTAATAAGCAATTACAGCAAGGTGGCAGGATACAAGGTTAATATACAAAAGTCAATTGCTTTCCTATTTGCCAACAGTGAACAAGTGGAATTTGAAATTAAAAGCACAATATCATTTATATTAGCACCCAAATAAATGAAATACTCAAGTATAAATCTTAAAAAAGTACAAGATCTATATGAGGAAAACTACAAAACTCTGATGAAAGAAATCAAAGAATTAAATTGAGAGATATTCCATGTTCATGGATAGGAAGACTCAATATTATCAAGATGTCAGTATTTCCCAACTTGATCTGGAGATTTAATGCAATCCTAATCAAACTCCCACAGGTTATTTTGTGGATATTGACACACTGATTCTAAAGTTTACATGAAGAGGCCAAAGACTGAATAGATAATGCAATATTGAAGAACACAGTCAGAGGACTGACATTACTCAACTTTGAGACTTATTATAAAGTTTCCATAATCAAGACAGCACATAATAGAGAACTAGAAATAGACCCACATAGATGTAGTCAACTGATCTTTGACAGGGAAGCAAATGGGTAAAAGGTAGTCTTTTCAACAAATAGTGCTAGAAAAATTGGACATCTACAAGCAAAGAAAAAATCACAGACTTTACACCCTTTAAAAAAATTAACTCAAAATGGATCACAGACCTATGTGTAAAATACAAAACTATAAAACCCCTAGAAGATAACACAGGAGAAAATCTAGATGGCCTTGGGTTTGATGGTGACTTTTTAGATATGGCACCAAAGACAGAATCCATGAAAGAAAGAATCGATAAGCTGGACCTCATTAAACTTAAAAATTTCTGCTGTACAAAAGACAATGTCAAGAAAATTAAAAGACAAGCCACAGACTGGGGGAAAAATATGTGCAAGACATATCTGACAAAGCACTGTAATTCAAAATATATAAAGAACTCTTAAAACTCAACAATAAGAAAATAGACAACTTGATTTAAAAAAATAAGTCAAAGACCTTAACAGACAGTTTACAGAAGACATACAGGTGGCAAATAAGCCTATGAAAAGATGCTTCACATCATGTCATTAAATTTGTTTTAATACAAATAAAACAACAATGAGATCCCATACACACCTATTAGAATGGCCAAAATCCAGAACACTGACACCACCAAATGCTGATAGGAACTCTCATGCATTGCTGGTGGAACTGCAAAATGGTGCAGCCACTTTGGAAGACAATTTGGTGGTTTCTTATATAAGTAAACACACTCTCACCACACAATCTAGCACAAGTGCTTTCTCCTTGGTATCTTTCCAAAGGAATTGAAAATGTATATCTACACAAAAACCAGCACATGGATGTTTACAGCAGCTTTATTCATAATTGCCAAAACTTGGAAGCAACCAAGATATCTTTCAGTAGGTGATAAACTGTGATATATCCAGACAATGGGATATTTTTCAACACTAAAAAGAAATGAGCTGTCAAGCCATGAAAAGACATGGAGGAACTTCAAATGCATATTTCTAAA
Source organism: Homo sapiens (assembly GCF_000001405.40). Lineage (NCBI taxonomy): Eukaryota > Metazoa > Chordata > Mammalia > Primates > Hominidae > Homo > Homo sapiens. The sequence continues at coordinate 137,387,523 of NC_000005.10, forward strand.
TGAAAGAAGCCAGTGTGCAAAGGCTTACAATACTGTATGAGCACAGGGGATTTTTAGGGCAGTGAAACTAGTCTGTAGGACACTATTAATATAATGATGTATACATGTCAGTATGCACATGTCCAAACCCATAAAATGCACAACACCAAGAGTGACTGTAGTAATGTAAACTATAGTCTTTGGATGATAATGATGTGTCAGTGTAGGTTCATCAACTGTAACGAATGTGTGACTTGCAGGGATGTTGATAATAGCTCAGGCTGTGTAGGTGTTACAGCACGGGCTATATGGGAAATCTCTGTACTTTCCTCTCATTTTTGCTGTAAATTTAAAACTGCTAAAAAAAAAAATAAAGTATATTTAACAAATAAAAGGCAGTGAGCTATATACAGTTTGTAACCCCTGCTTTTGAGGATACACAAATGAGTAAGATGCAGTCTCCATACAGTGATAAGAAAAAGTCACAGAGAGAAGGGACAGTGCTGAGAATAGAATCCAGGTTTCCCATTCCCATAAAAGCTATTGAACTAAGTCCTACCTTGTCCACCTAGGGTCAATTAAAAGTGCATTTAAAGGGAAAAATAGGAACAGTTATACCAAAACAATTTGTCAGATGGCACAGAGGAAATATTTATAATACAAAATCCAATCAACAGATATGAAGAGTCTGTTCACACACACATTTAACTAGTATTTACTGAGTGGATGAGAGTTTCATCTCCTGGGTAACAGCATTGTGCTAGATGCTAACTGAAAGCACGCAAACTATATAAGCACATGGCAGACCAAGAAACCCCACTGAAAACAGATACTCTTTCAAAAATTGTGCCAAGTTCTTGTGTTCTCTGATGGCATCTCCAGGGTAAGGGGTATGTGGCGGGAGGGAGGGGGGGAAATGATGTTGAATTTACAAGACATTGTATAACAAAAGCAAGGTCACAAAACTATGCTCTATTTTTCCTGATATGCAGCCAGATGTCTAGAGTGTACAGGTCTATGATGACCCGTACCATCTCCTGCCCTTGAAGGACTTCAACCTCTCATTGAAGTCCACATGGTATGATGGCATGTAGGGCCCCAACCCCAGAGGCACCCCTCCAGTTCAGCTCAACAGCATGGATGGACACTCTCACCTTCCAGCTCTCCACAGATGTGGACCCAGTTTCTGGATGTGGCATTCACACATCACACCGAACTAGAAGCTTTTAGCGCCTCTGCCAGGGCTCCAGATTCTGTTCTGCAAAACACCGCAACTGCTCAGCAACCTCTTCAAAACAGTCAAAATTAATTTTAGACAAACATTTAAGAGGAAAAGAAAATCTATCTGAGGGATCTTGCCAACACTCACAGCTGTGACACTGACAAGAAAAGGGCTGCAGAAGAGAGAATTTGCCACAGACCATTCACTTGTCATCATATACAGCATTTTGCACAAACTGGCATAATTTAGGTAGGCAAGAAAATAGGCCAACTACAGCAAAACACCTAAGGCTCATTCCAAAGACCAATCAAGACAGGATGAGAGAGGTACAAATAAAGCACACTGCCACACACTTCCTGGGAGATGGTTTTTATCACAGGCTTACAAATGATAATCCAAATAAGACACATAAGTTCCAAGTATAACAACCCTCTTTAAAATAGCACAGAAGCATCTCCAATTCCTCACAAGCTCTGGTGTTGCACAAGACTACCAGAAGGGCCAAGAGCTTTCTAGGCTTCCAAGAACACCTTGTCCTGGTCCTGTCTGTCCCCTCAGGAGCTGATATGCCCTGTCCTCTGTTGAGGACTGCCTGCCTTTGTGGATCCCAAATGTTTGAATCCCCACTGTCTAATACTACTCGGATTTGTATTAAGTTTTTGACAATACAGTGCATCACTGCACAAAACATCCTTCATCAGGGTTCAAGATGTCATTGCTGAAGTGAACCAGAAGCAGGAGGGACCCCTGACTTTGTGGATTTGACACATGGTCCCAACACTTGATGAAGTGATGAGCAATCCAAAGCTGGTAGTGATGGCAAGAGCCACTGTTCCTGACTACCATCATGTGCTGAGCTTCCACAGAGCACTTGCAGGTCTGTCCTCAGCACAGTGACATCCTCATCTCACAGACTAAGAGCCACAAAGCTGCAAGAGGCAGAGCTGGTGTTCACAACCAGGTCTCCAAGATGCTGAGGAACAGATCTGAATCAAGTCCCTCATGGTTGGAGTGTGGAAGAAAAACCAGTTGGCCACAACATCTCGAGTTCCATGCAGCTTAGCTGTGTTGTCTCTTTAAGGTTCTGATGGGTACATACAGGTTTCAGACATGCTTGATGGCATTTTATGGGGAAAATCCTAGGCTACTAACAATATTAACCAATTCTGTGATGTGAGTCTGTCAAGGGCATATTCAGCATGCAGGGATACCACCCCCGCCCCATCCTACTCCACCCACAGTGTCCTGTCCACTCTGGTCCATGTATGTGGGTGAGGGAGGATCTCTACCTCCACCCAGGTTCAAGCAGAACTTCACATTCTTTCTTGCTCTGACATAAAAATTCCCATGTCTTTGTCCTATGTTCCCTACTAAAGGAAATCCTGTCTCCTCTTCTCTCTAAAAGGGACTCTGCAACCTGGGGGTACTTGGGGATTTTCTATTTAATAAAAAGGGCAAAATACAAGACAACTTGGCAGTCAAAAATCCCCTATGGTCTGAAACAAGGTCATGGAGAAGTCAATCTGGGGAAATCATGCTTGCCTGGAAGCCGTATGTATCTATAAGCAAATAAAGGACATTTGTTCCGTGGCTGCTAATGCAATGACCCCTGGGACCTGAACAGCCTCCCAGCCTAACTCATATATATTTTTAATGAAAAATTGCAAATTAGATTAGCTTAATTTGACCACATCTGCCTTTTTAAATAAAGGAAATTACCATTTTAATAGGAACACCATCTATTTGTCTTGAGGAAGAAGGTCCTTGTGAGGTCTGCTTTGCCCGTTCTATTTCCGTTTTTAATATGAGAAAAGGGGACTGAGGACAGCTGCTCAGGCTTGAAAAACACACAGTGGTTCTCCTGGTGAGCATACAAAGAGATTGAGAGAAACACCAGAGAAATCTCCACCTTCATAGATGTTCTCAACTACCAGAGGCAAAAAGGGTTTCCCTCTGCACATTAACATGGCCTGTCTCAATTGCCTTCAGAAAATCTGTTCTGAGCCCCTACTGCCAGCAAGGCATGGTGTCAGGGCCAGCACTTCCAGAGGAGTTCAGGAAAGAAGCCAGAGGTCAACTGTCTGAACCAAGGCCTGCAGTTAGGGAGTAGCTGGTGGGGGGGTGTGGCAAATGGAACAGAGCTGGCGGGAGTGTGTATAAATATATGTATACACACACATACATACTTTAAGTTCTGGGATACATGTGCAGAACGTGCAGGTTTGTTACATAGGTATACATGTGCCAAGGTGGTTTGCTGCACCCATCAACCCGTCATGTAGGTTTTAAGCCCTGCATGCATTAGGTATTTGTCCTAATGCCCTCCCTCCCCTTGCCCCCAACCCCCCAAGAGAACTGGGTGTGTGATGTCGCCCTCCCTGACGTTTCTCATTGTTCTATTCCCACTTATGAGCGAGAACACGCAGTGTCTGGTGTTTTGTTCCTGTGTTAGTTTGCTGAGAATGATGGTTTCCAGCTTTATACATGTCCCTGCAAAAGACGTGAACTCATCCTTTTTATGGCTGCATAGTATTCCATTATGCATATGTGCCACATTTTCTTTATCCAGTCTATCACTGATGGACATTTGGGTTGGTTCCAAGTTTTGCTATTGTGAATAGTGCTGCAATAAGTATACGTGTGCTGGTGAATATTGAGGGAGGGAGTGGCTGGATGAGGCTAAGGAAACGCCAGGAACCCCAACATGAAGGGCACCCAGCAATACAGGCTACCTTAAGGAGAACAGACTTCAATCCTGAGGGCAAGGGAGATCAAGAATCGTTTTATTTTCAGAATACCCTCTGGCTCCTGTGTAAGAAGCTGTAACTGCAAATACAGCAATGGTGACTACCCCATGACAGAATGGGGCTTATCCTTTTCTCCCAGCCCCACCAAACCCCCGATTCACTCGGTGCCTCCCCAGGTCCTTCCACACGTCTCTCCCCGCTCCCCTCCATGGTCAATTCCTCCTCCTCAGCTGGTTCCTGGTCTGCATTTTTCACATGTCCCCTGGGATCTGCTCCTGCAATTAGGCCTCTCTCTCAAGCATCCTAAATCATCTCCAACTGCTTCCTCTTGAGCTCCCAGTCTCTACAGCACAGCCTTCTCCCCTAGCCCTGCTGCCCAAAACAAAGGTCCTGGGCTTGGCTGCCAATCTCCCTGAGTGCAGGCTCTAAATCTGACACTCACATACTGCCCTCCAGGTAGCTATGCAACCTGCCTTCTATTGCCACAGCTCCCTGAAACTGCCCTCTCCAACACCTTCACACTGACCTCCACACTGCCAAATCCTAGAACTCTTCTCAGTTTTCTTCCTTGTGGCTTTTCCCACACTTGACCATACCCTATTCCTCCAACTTGAAACTCTTCTCCTTTAGTCTAAATTAATTCTATCCACAATATCCACCTACCTTTCAGGTCACTCCTTCACTGGCTCAACTCTCTGTTTCTAAGTGTACACTGGCCTCAAAGCTCCATTACCAGCCCTCCCTGCTGTTTATATTTCCCAGATCCCCCAAGTCCACGGCTTTACCACTGCTTGCACCCACAGTCCATAGACATCCAACCGCCCAATGCATATCCAACCTCAGCAACTTTACAATCCCCAACGCCAGCCCACAACTTGACTTTTATCTACCTTTCCTAATTCTGTCCAAAGTATGACTCCTATGACTGGAATGTTCAGTTATTTCTATAACTTATCTCTGTCCCTCTTTTCTTCCATCGACAATTACCAAGTCTTAGCAAATCTCACTCAATGGTATGTGCTGCTCCCAGGGGTGATCTCTGGAGTTACAGTGAAGGGTTCAGGCTCTGGAGACTGACTGCATGGGTTCACACCCAGCATAGACATGAGGTGTCTGTGTGACCTTAGACAAGCTGTTTAATTGCTATGCCTCTGTTTTCTTATCTGTAAAAGGGGATAATACGAGTACTGTTCTGAGGATTACAGGTAAACACAATGAGTTTGGCATAGTGCCCAGCATACAGTAAGAACTCCATTAATGAAAGCTGCAATTATTAATCTGATTGCTTTTGTCCATCCCTTCCTTTCCATTTCCTTCTACCCCAGGCCTATACTTGAATTATTCCAATACATAGTGACTTGGTTCCCTTTCTCCAGCCTCTATTCACCCAAATGTGTGCCAAATATCATTTTTACATTTACTTTTTGAGGCCCTACCCTTATTGTATCATCCAGCATTACTGACAAGATAAAGTCCAGCCTCTTTCTCCTAACACATGATGCCCTGTGACTCTCCTCTGCTCATAGAAAATGGGCAGACCCAGCCCCAACATCCAGTGCTTTCTCCACATCTTTTCCAATACATACCCTTTGTCTTAAAATTCCTCTGCCCACCCCCTGCATCTATAGACACATGATAGAATTTTGTGCAGCAAGCAAGAAGGGCAATGAGGATGTATATTACAGTAGATCAATTGCATTAGGGGTCCCAATTCTTCACCCCTTCCTGTATGTACACTCTTGGCCATGTCACCTTGCAGAGGGCTTACACTCTGCCATTGAGCCCATCCATGTGACTTGTCAACAGATAGGACACAAGCAGAAGCTTGAAAAAACACTAGAGTGTTTCAGCTACTGCTCCTTTGCCTCAGCCATCACCATGAGAACATGCCTGAGCTAGCTTCTAGGAGATGAGACACATGGAGTTGACCCAGCCAAGGCCATCCTGCATCAGCTGACAGCCAGTGGATGCACAGGCATGCCAGGAGACCAGCCAAGGTGAGTCAACCCTAGCTAACTACAGACATAAATGCTTATTGTTGTGTGTTTCAGTGGCTGGTCGATTTGCAACAGATAGCTGGTATATACATCAAATGACATCAAGAAAAGTTCACAGCACATTAGAAAGGGAAGATCACAGACAGCAGAGCAATAACATGGTCCCAACTGTGTATGTGTGCTTATGTTCATAGGAGGTGACACAGCTGCAATTACATATTTCTAATAATTGTTCAACTAATGCTAGGCTGTTTCCCAGCCTAGCTGACAATGTTCTTAAGAAACAGTATCTGCTTTGTTTACCATAATAAACTTAAGTGCCTAACTCAAGGCCAGGAACATTGTATACACATAATAAACACTATTAAGTGAATGAATGTCCATGAAAGTGCATGCATCCACAGATCTAGAGGGTTCACACCAAATGGTAAAAAGTGGTTATCTCCAGATGTTCAAATGATGAGTTATGTTTTAGGGTTTTTTTTTCAATAAGTATTTTCTATTTTTCTACAGTTAACATGGATGACTTATATAATAAAGTAATAAGAGTAAAGTAATAAATCCTTCAAAATGAAGGTTCCTGGATTCCAGGCAGAGGCTTTCTCAGTCAGCCAAACCCCAGGCAATGCTTCCTTCTCTGAATCCTTGGTGTGCATTGTCATTCATTCTTGCATTTTTATTTACTTTTTTAGTGTCATTCATTCTTACATTCTTATTTACTTTTTTAGATAAAAACTCCTGATATTAAGAGTTGTACAGTTTACTGGTGGATCTTTATCTCCACCGGTAGACTGTAAAACTCTTTATTAAGACTTTTACACACTACACACTACACAGTCCCGTAGTACTTAATGTCAACTTTTAAAAATTAATTCACTAGCATCTCTGAATTTTATGACAATTCTGAAACAGAGAAAGTCCTAAAATTGTTGTACATTTGAAGAAACTGAGGCACAGTGAGTTGCTTAGTATCACAAAGGACAGCATTATAATTCATCACAAGGCTGGAATCAGGTCTCAAACCTTGACCTTTTCTCCAATGTTGCTGCCACCACGCCTTATAGCCTTCATCAGCATTAGTGCTGGTGACCACATGTGAAGCCTCCCACAGGCTATACCCTTTAAAGGCTGGGTATGAATCTCATTCATCTTTGCAACTCTCCCATCTGAACCAGAGCCTTACATGCAATAAGTGCTCAATAAATATTCCCTGAGCTGAACCAGGAGGCAGAGACCACAAGAATGAGAAAGCCAGCTCCAAGAGCCAGCTCTTGTTTCTTCCATGGGAGAAGTGTTATAAAGTGTAATAGGGTTTTAAGATAGTCTCCAGAGCAGAGTGAGTCTGTAAGGCTCATTAAATCTGGGGGTCCTTAACCCAAGACCCATGGATGGACTTCACAGGGTCCATCAAGTCCTGGAACTGTGTGAAAAATACTTTTTGGATATGTACAATGTTACTCAGGGAAAGGGTAAAGCTTTGATCAGAATTGGAGTCCATAACTCAGCAAAGCTGAGGTCCAGCAAGACCAAGTTACTTCTGCCCATTGGTGCATGGTGGCCAATGGGCAGACCTGGGGCCAAACCCAGACCTCCTCATTTCTACCCTGGGGTCTTCTCTTCCTTGTAGGCTGCCCAGCATGTGGCATGTGTACACCAATGACATGGTCCCAGAACACTGCATTTCTGCAGCTTGGAAGGATGGTCAGCTTTGTAGCTTTACTGGATTTTGTTGCCCGCAGACCACAATGTTTTGTAAGGGTAAAAAATTTCTGACGTGATCTGGATACATTCCTCTAATTCATCAGGAATTCATACAAATGTCAGGTGTGCCAAAGTAATTTTCTTTAAAATGATTTATCAGCCATACGAACACAAGCCATCCCACCTGATCTTTGGAATTAAAACCACATTTCTCTTCAGAAGGGAATAAAAGTGCAGTCTTGACAAACAGGACACATTTTCACTGGTCTGGGATGAGCTGGTCTCCATCAGGGAGCAAAGTGGTAAACAGGAGGACATTTTATCAGGCCTGTGAATCTTCCCCACATCTCATCCACACCAGATCTGGCACTTGATACCTGGTGACTCATTCCCAACTGACTGTGTTTAATAACTAACATAATCACCCAGCTACCAGCCAAACTGCAGGCAGCTGCTACATTATGTGTGCCCTGGAATAAAGGAGAAGGCAGGGCTATGGTGAGGTGAGGTGGTTGATGGAGCAGAAATAATGTTCCTGCAATGCAGCTTGGAAGAGATACAAGTCAGTTCCTGCAAGGCGTGGAGCTGTATTCTTGAGAGGTGAGGAGGTAAGCTCAGCGGGCCAATCCAAAGCATGCTGTTTATCCTGGGTGGGATTCTATCCTGCATGTGCACTTACCCTCTGAGAAAAGCCTAGATGGGAATAGCTAACCAAGGTCATTCACTTAGTTTCCTCCCAGAAAGATCCCAATCCCCCCCAATACAAATAGAAAGGCTACAACTGCCTACTAATGGCACCCATTCGTAACTCTGAATCTCTCTCCAACATAAGTTACGTTTCCTTGCAGCCAATAACATTACTCAATATTTTGCAGCTTTTTGAAGGACTGCCTCAGTTGAGGCTCTTGGGTTCCACTATCTAGAGACAGATGGAGATTTTAAGCCTCAGAACCCAGACACCAAACTGGATTTGGGGTTCCTCACTGAAATTCAGCCAGTTCTGTTCCTCAAATTTCCTGGGATAAAAAATTCCCTCCACTAACCTATCTCCAAAATTCCTTGAGTATTTCTTAACGAGAAGTAACATAGAAAACACCACCAGCAAGCATGACAAGTAGCTCAAAGGCATTTGACTAGCACAGTGTTTTTCAAAGTATGATACAACTAAGGATTTTGGAAAATATACATATATTTTTATTTAAGTAATTTACATGAAGGTGTATTAAACCTGTGGCTTCAAATGGATTATCCTTTAAAACTAAGTTAGGGGTAAAGAGGAATTGATTTTTTAAATATTTCTACATTAATTCCGGTGTCTGATAATGTGGCAGGAATCAGGACTGTGGTACCCACAAATCTAGGAAGCACTGGATTAGGTATGAGACTGGAGACGCCTGCCTAGTGCACCTGCTGCACCTGCAGCTACCTATGAGCACACATCTAGGTTGTGATTAGGGGAAGGCAATGAACATTCTCTGGTTATCTACTCTGTTTCAGAAGCCATTTATGCACTGTCTCACTTAATTTTCCTAATAACCCTATGAGGTAAAACTCAGCCTCCTCATTTTATAGCCAGGAGAAAAAACCCAGATACATTAAGTAGTTGTCCAAAGTAGTATACTTATTAATCTCATGTGCATTGAGTGACTTATCTGGCCTTGACATGTGGCTGAACCAATTCACTGCCACCCAAGAGAGGGTGTCTCAGGGGCCATCTATCCCCCTTAAAAAATATAACACTAAGAACTCGCTCTCCAAAGAGCCTTACGCGTTTATACTTTGAATGCTTAAAAAAACTTTTGCAACCATCAACACCTGTGTACCTTGTGGTATTACTTGAAACAGGGCCCAGAGATGTTGAGCAAGTTGCCCAAGGTCACTCAGTAAGTGAGCAATTGAGGCAGGATCAGAACTGAGACTTCCAGATTCTTGGTCCAAAAGCTCAACACCCTGCTCCATGATCCCACCATGATGTCAGGCCAAAGAGTCAGAGCCTTACCAAAGAACTCATCCAGAAGTGGGATGCAGGGAGCTCCATGGATGACCCTCTAGAACAGCAATGGCATCCCACCTAGCAAGGGCTGGTCCAAGAAGTGAGTGGAGCCACGCACACTCCTCCTCGATGTTTGAGGACTGGGTATGTGTGGATGCCAGTGGTGATGGACCGCTTGCTGTCATCTCCTAGAGATCAACATCTGGGCTGTACATGTGATCGTAGTTTTTATTTCTATCAAACAGAGCTTTCCAGCTTTACCTTCCTAACTGGATCATAAACTCCTTAAAAATCTTAAGGACAGAGATCAAGTCTGTCCTTCTCTTCACCATAAGCTCCTCTCCTCTCATAGAGGCAGCCCTGGATGTCAGGTTTATTCATTGTCCTCTCGCTCCTCACAACTGTCTCCTTTTCCTTGCCAACACTGGGTCAAATTGTGGACTTTACCTGTCTGTCCTCTGCTAAAGAACAGTGGTTGAGCATGGGAGCTCTGAAGAGAAACTTCCTAAGTTCACTTACTAGCTCTTGACCTTGAGCAAGTCACTTACCCTCTCTGAGATTCATGTCCTTCTCCATCAAGTGAGAATAACACTAATACAGACTACTCAGGGCTGCAAGGGGCTTAAGTCATTTCAGCTGGCTCTCACATATTCAAGATTCAGCTCAAACATCGCTCCCCCAGGAAGCCTTCTTGGACACACCCACCCTCCTGTCCACAGAGGCCAGCACTACACTCAGCATATACTTGATGCTTAGTAAATATTTATCAAGTGAATGTTTGAAGAAAATTTCCCAAAGAAAAGAGAATCATCAGAACCTAAAAGAAGGAAGATGAACTACTAGGATGGCGATGGTAGGGTCAATCCTCGGTAGCCTGGAGAGACTACCCAGGACACCGTCTGGGCCATACCAGCCAGCCACACCATACAGGAGGCTGCCAACACCACCGACACCTGAGCCCATTCCACTGGCCCACAACACTTCCATGAGGCCTGCCAGCCAGCCTGCCTGCCATTTCTGAGCATCTGCAAACCTTAGTGAGGAAGCCTCATTAGCTGATGGGTTGCAATGAGGTGGCACCATGACAATAATTTGTGACTTTGAAATAATTGGTGCCTAGAGACTAAGTGTTCAGTCCAAGATAAAGCGGCATGAGGCAGAGGCAGATCCCCATCACCCTGGGAGATGGGCCAGAGAAACCTGAACTGCAATCCATCCTCAGCTTCCCCAGGAAAAGCAGAATGTAATGTGATTGTATCTGGCATTAAGCAATGTATCTGGCCTTGGATCATTAACTTATATGGTTCACGAAAATATAGTAACAAGTTTGAAATATTTGCTTAATTTATCTCTGACTCAATCCCTTCAAGCAGCTTCTGATAGGATATGCAGAACACATTCTTCTCTCAGGAAGAGAGAAACAAATCTTTGGGGGAATTATGAGAGTAAATAAAGCAGGAGACACCCAGAGACCACAGCTAAACAAATACTCAACAAATCTAATTGATTCTCTAATTTGAAAATTTGGCAGATTAACAGGGTTTTATGGTGATTTTATGGATAATATTTCCATAATTTCTTCCTAGTTAAGTGATCGATAAAATCTAATACTATAACACTTGTTTATTCCTGCAAATGAACAAGCTGCATGAAAAATACTTTATGGAAGATGCCAAATGCACCAGCCTACCATAATCTGCAGCCCACAAAACAGGGCAGAGAGACTAACCCAATAGGTATACAGCATGCACCACGCCAATTGGATTTTCCAAAAACCTGACACTGCAAGCAACTAGGGAGAACTGAAGAGGGCCAAATGAATTGGAGTGAGGAGGACCATCTGTATACAAATGACACCATCCTAAAGCTTATGCAATGAAAGGCAAGGAGATAGTGCATGCCACCCAAAAGATAGGCACTTCACATTTATATTATAATAAGCCTTTTATTTTTCCTGAAAGTTCTACTTTTCGAGTCACAGTAGCCTATGTAGCGTGCCAAAAGTAATGCCAGAAAAGTTTTGAAATATGTCAGCAGTGGGGACATTAAGGAAACCTAGTAACCTTAATAACTAATACTGAGGACTAGGCATTGCACGTGGCAAGTTTTTGCAGGCATGAGCTCATTTAATTCTAATAAACCTACTAGGGGATATCCAGGGCACAGCTTCTTCACTACTGGGCTATATTGCCTCTTTATTGTTTGTTGTTGTTGTTGTTGTTGTTGTTGTTGTTGTAATTGCTTTATTGAGGTATGACTGACATACAAAAATCTGTCAGCGTTTAATCTATATGACTTGGTGAGTTTGCAGATAAGTATATACTCATGAAACTATCACCACATTGCCTCTTTAAGTATTAAAAAAAAAAACAACCTGTGACTTTGTCTCCATCATCGAAAACATTTATTCCATGCAGAGATTGACCACCACCACCACAGCTCCCAGCCAAGAGATATGGGTGAACCCCAAAGACCAGTGTAGACCAGACGTTTGCACGTAAAGAGAGACCTCACCAACACAGAAGAAAGCTTTGTGCAGTGATTAAAAGTTGACCTTTTCAAACTATATATTTTTTAAATTGATTGCTTTTAATTGTAAAAATTATTTTTTAAAAAAAAACTAGTAAGTAAACTTAGGAAGTCTCTCTTCAGAGCCCTCCTGTTCAACCACTATACCTTAACAGAAGACAGACAGGCAGACTCCACTATTTGACAGCGTTGGCAGGGAAAAGTGGGAGACATTTGTGGGAATAAAGAAACCACTAGGCTTGTTAACTCTGGGAGAGTTAAACTTCTTTTCTGGACTTGCTATCTCTGAGGTCAACATTTCCTGAAAATAAACAGAATTGCTATTTAATCTCAAAGTTTTCTACCCTAAAGCAGGTCTCATCCACCAAACTGCAGAGAAGCTGATTCATCTGCAAAAGCCTGGCTTGCACACATGGGCGTTAAGTTAACTGGGATATTCTTGCCCCTCTGCAGTCAGTGTGTGCATCATAAGGTTGCGATCACTGTAGCTTCTGGCCAGCTCGAGTGATCACCAGACCATAGTGTGGAAGAGGACAGTATTCCAAGTACAGCCTCATACAGGCTGATTCTTGTAGCCTGTCACCACAAACAGAGACTGTACCAAGCCAGCCTATGCAGACTCTGCAGCTCCCCAGGACAAATGCAAATGACTTAAAGAAAGACTATAGGAGTCTTCGCAGAGAAGGGGCTCAAGCCATCTCTGTATGGGAACATCCACAGGTAGATAGGAGACCACTGAAGTCTTCCAGGAGACTACGTAGAGTCTCTACCCACATGTACACCTGAGAGAGGTCTCATCTCTCCCTGTTCACCCCACCCAGTCAGCACAGCAAATCTGCAAGCTATGCTGTATTTCCTAGAAAAAAAGTGCCTTGGATCATAATATATTACTCCTGCTTTGAGGAACCAAGTGGAAGAACTCTCCGCCTAACTAGTCTTCAGGGTTTTATGGAGTACTGTGGCAGTGTGGTCAGCACAGTTGCCATCAAATGGTCCTTGCAGGGCCCTCAGCACACACAGCACTCAGAACTTTAGCGGGCCCTTGAGAAGACTTAAGTGCTTCTCCCAGCCAAGGAGCTCAATGCTGCATGGGCAAACACCCAAACACAGATGGTCCAAAGAACAGCTGGCAAGGAGGGAGGAAAAGTGCGGATCAGAGAAAAGAAAAGGCCAAGCTACAGACAAATCAGGGGTGGTTCCCACTACCCAGAGGGCAGCTCTTCCACAGCCACTTTCAGTTTTACCCAGCAGAGCACCCGCTGGAAACCCCTCTCCCGCCCACCCCTTCATGTGCTGCCTTTGCCAGAGCCAGAGTCAGTGGACAAGCATGGGGCCAGTGCACAGAGAGGGCCTGTCTCTCAACAGGGGCTATCAAGCATCCTTGTACCAAATCCAACATACAACCAGAGGCGAGAAACCAGGGGTCATCCCTGATGGTTCCAGCAGGTCGAGTAATAATGGACTAAGTCATCAAGAGAGGTGTACACCAGGTCCCACTCATGGAAACACTTCAACTGGAGGAAAAGTAATAGTGCTTAAGGAGTTTATCTTTCCATCATTCCAACAGGGACAAGAAAGAGTCTTGTGGGGGGCAGGGGGAAACTTAGCAAAATGATAGCTAATAAAAGCTAAAATTTACTAAGTGCTTATCATGTGCTAGTTTTATATGCATCATCTTATTTAGTCCTCAGGTTGACCCTATGCAGCAGGCACTATTAACATTCTCATCTTAAAGCTGGGTATGGTGTATGGTGGGTGTGGTGTCTCATGCCTGTAACCCCAGCACTTTGGGAGGTTGAAGCAGGAGGATCAGTTGAGGCCAGGAGTTTGAGACCAGCCTGGGCAATATAGCAAGACCTCATCTCTACAAAAAAAAAAAAAAAAAAAAATGTAAGTTTAAAAAAATTCACTGGGCACGGTGGCACACATCTCTAGTCTCAACTACTTGGAAGGATGAAGCAAGAGGATCACTTGAGTCCAGGAGTTTGAGGTTACAGTGAGCATGATCTCACCACTGCATTCCACCCTGGGTGACACAGTGAGACCCTGACTCAAAAAGAAAGGTTGGGAAATGGAGGGTCAAAGAGGTTATATAATTTTCTCAAGGTCACACAGCTTGCACCAAGGAAAATCTGCTCATGATACACATATGCGTGATGTGCACAAACTCCCCACACCTTCTCTCTCACCCACCTCTCCTTGGGTCCCTGCATCTCTTTCTTTTAGGGGAAAGCTAAAGGTGTTTTTACTCAAGAAAGCCTTCTATTTTGTCTAAGATATCAGGATTTTAGTCTCATGTTTCTCTGTAAGGAAAGGGGCACTTTGAAATGATGCATTTATTAGTGTTATCTCAGAGGCATTCTATCTCCCTCTCAAGGAGCAACAAGGAGCCCCATCTGTTCATGCAGATTTCACCTTCAGGCCAGCACCAAAAAGCCAGGGAAGACAGGTTACAAGTGCAAACCTGTCGTGTCTTGAAGAAAATAGGCCCATTTATTTCAGTTCCCCTGAGTCAGAGGAGTTTTCATTTGCTTCAGTAGAAGCTGTTAGGTTTCTCTTGGAAAAGCTTTCAGGAAAAGATACAACCATTGTAGATACTCTAGTTCATCGGAGGTTAATATGCTTATGGCATTATAACAAAATAGACTTGCACATCTTCCCAAAAATGAATTTAAATTATGGAAGAAAGCATTTCACAGACTTTAATTTAGTCAGCATTTTTAAATGTCATTTCTTATTGACAACCATTTGGAGTGGGAATGAGATGTGTTTTGTGTCACTTGGCTGAGGCAATAGTTGGCCTATATCATTTCATCTTTGACTGAAATTAATTCCTTTTAGTAAGAATGGCAGTGAAAATCTCAACAACTCCATTAATTACACATGACGGTGTGAATGCTGGGGTTGCAAAAGCAGCCCCCGGGGGTTAGACCTCAACCTGCTCCCCGCCTTCCCAGAAGGGATATGAAAACCACAGCCCAGTAAAACAGCTCTTTGAAATCACGTCATATTTCACTGAGTGAGGGGAAAATATCTGAACCCAAAATGGAGTTTCTAATGAAATCTGAAAATAAGAAAAAATATGTTTTTAATAGCATTGATTTAGATTTAGGAAATAATTATGGATCCTACACAGTGCAGATGAGAGGCACAAATAATTTTACTTAAAGTTTCTCCTGCTAAATGTGAAATACAGTCAGTGTGGGTCAGGACCTTCTTAGAACTATTGATGGCTTACAGAGTTGTGAGAAACCTCAGAGAATTCTCCAAAACAACAGGCTCATCTCATAGATGGTAAAACTGATGCTCAGAAATGTGCCAAAGGTCACACAGCTGATGACTTCAGAACTGGAACCATCTAAACTTGTCCCTTCACCTTCCTTCCTTCCTTCTCCATTTACTCCTTGCTTTATTTGACAGATACACTGGCACCTTAATTCCCATTTACAGAGAAAGAGATAAAAGAGCTAGGAGACCACTACGGAAGATGATCAAGGAAAACTGCTAGGATTCCGGCCCTCACACCTCCAGTTGAGAGCAGTCACGCTGCACTGCCTCTGCTGAGCTTCCCTGCTGGGCAGTATGCACCCAGATAGAAAGACAACCTCCAATTCCCATCATTTTAAGGGTTAAGCACCTGGAAACACTCAGAAAACGGGAACATCCAACAACACATATTTATTAATAGCCACTCTGTGCCAGGCATGTCTCAAGATGCTTAGGATAAAATGGTAAACAAACAAACAAAAAAATCCTTGCCATCATCAAATTCACATTCTAGCAGACAGAAGTGGAAAATAAGAGACATGATAAAGAAAGCATCTAATGTGTTATTAGGGAATAAATGCTATGGGAAAATGAAACTGTACAGCAGGCTGAAGGGCTGAAAAATGCAGGCGGTAGGGTGTGGCCAGGTTGTAGTAATAAATGGGATGGTGAGGGAGGCCTCCTTGGTGAGGAAGTGAGAGAATTGGCCAAGCAGATATCTAGAGGGCATCCAGGCAGCACGGGCACAGGAACTAAGGTCTGGCTTGTTCAAAAAACAGCAAGGGGGACGGTATGGCTGGAACAGAGCGAGTGAGGCAGAGAGGAGGAGGAGGAGATCAGCTTGGAGGGGTAACAGGAGGCCTGTCATGACAGCCTGCGAGACGGGGTGGGTACTTTGGCTTTTCCTCTGAGGGAAATGGGGGCCCATAGCAAGGTTTGGAGCAGAGGAGTGATACGCTCTGACTTAAATTTTCAAAGGCGCAGTCTGACTTCTGTGCTGAGCATTGACTCAGGCTGGGAGGAACAGGGAAGATGCAAAGGTGAGACAGACAGGCCTGCTGGTAGATGTTTGTGTCAATCCCGACCAGAGATGTTAGCTCAGGCCAGGATGGTGCAGCAGAGTTGACAGGCAATAACTCACTGAGCGTATCCACACTCACTGCTCTGATCCTGGAGTCACCAACTCAAATGCGCATATGTGGCCAAACTGATAAATTAAATAAACAAAGAAGATCAGGTAGAAACAGAAAAAAGCTGCACGGCAAGTGCACACCAGCCCCGTCAGAAGGGGCAGCTGCTACGACAGCCAACTGTCTCCAAAAGGGATCATGGGCTGGTGTGCTCAAGTCTGAGGATTTTCCCAAAGAATCAGGCAATCCAGATGTATGGATTTTTAGATGTTTTTAGATGTCATCTTCTATTTTTTAAATGTTAACAACTAATTCAAAATGACTTTTTTTTTTTTTTTTTGAGACAGAGTCTTGCACTGTCGCCCAGGCTGGAGTGCAATGGCGCGATCTTGGCTCACTGCAAACTCTGTCTCCTGGGTTCAAGCTATTCTCCTGCCTCAGCCTCCCCAGTAGCTCGGATTACAGGCCCTGCCACCACACCCAGCTAATTTTTTTTTTTTTTTTGTATTTTTAGTAGAGATGGGGTTTCACTATGCTGGCTAGGCTGGTCTCGAACTCCTGACCTTGTGATACACCTGCTTCAGCCTCCCAAAGTGCTGAAATTACAGGGGGAGCCACCGCACCTGGCCTAAAATAACATTTTAAATATCGTTGGTACAGGCCAAACAAACCACATCAAGCCAGAGTTAACCCATGGGTTTGTCACCTCTGGTGCTCCCATGCTAATTAGTTTGATGAATCACTGAAAAACTAGCCTACTGATATATAAAGAAATACACTGCATCAGCACCACCCACAAAGTTACGTTTCCAGGTGCTTATTAGTTTTTATGTTTAAAAATACTCCATCCTTCCATTCAAATCTGGCTGCCAATGCAGCAAACATTCATACCAGGAGCCAGCAGGCTGAAGTCCTCCCAGGTGATGCTCTTAATAAATATTTAACAATTAGGAAAATAAAGACAACACAACCGTATCAAAGATGCACGAAGTCTTTGGTCACCTATAGCGCCAGAAAATTTCCTGAGAAACCCCACCTAAGACAAGCTTGTTACAAAGCAATAGGTGCAGAGATCAGAAGTTATTCTGAACTAAAAGAAGCTAATGTCTAAATTCATCACTGTTTAGGTCAAGAAAGTGAAATCAACCTGAAATGATTTTGCAAGCATCAAAGGGAAGGAACAGGGAATCCCCTCATCAATTCATATAATTACTGACAGCTCACATAATGAGCTTATCTTAGTCCCATAAATCGGCTGAACTGCAAGTTATTAAGTCTCTGAAGGGAGAGAGCTTGGGGTGCACTTCCTGGGAGAAGGGCCAGAGGCAGGAGGTAAAGCTGGCTGCCCGTTTCTCCTGTGTCCTATTTTCCAGTCAGAAACGAGGGTCCTCCTGCGGGTAGCCCAGGGCTGAATGCCAGGCACCAACTTCACCGTCCCACCTCTGTCACCGTGAATAAGCCAAGAACGGGCAGACAGATCCCTACTGGGCCATAGAGGGCTCTTCCTGTTTCTCCTTCCCGAGTCCATCTGAGCTCCAGATCGCCCCCAGCTACACAAGTGAGAGGTACCAAGAAGAACAAACCCACCGACAACATCGAAATTGCAGAGGGCAAGGGAAAGAGAAAAGGTTGGCTAATTCCTTTCCCAGTCTAGCCAAATATTTCCATTCCTAATTTAAGAGGATATTCCTTGTGGTTAGAAAAGTAAGCAAGGGACCTCAGAGCTGTGCTGTGGATCAACAGTACATCTTCGCCACACCATCCGGGAACTCAGACCAGGCAAACAGAACCATCCCACAGGCTTCCTGCAATGGCCGAGTCTCCACCTCTCCTCTGTTCACCCATTTGGCCCACGAACTGAGGGGAAAGAGAAAACAGAAGACTGTGGCTGGAAGGCAGCCTGGCTCTGTCACACCTTGATTCAGAGTCCCCAGGCAAGCTGTGGCTCTCCAGGTTGCTGTGACAGTCCAGCTGAGAGGACATCCCAATTTCTAGGGAGTCAAAACAAGAAGCTGTAGGCTCCCTGCTAGAGAAGCCCAGCCTCCTACAGAGGCTCACCACTAACAGATACTTATAGCCCAGGAGCCAGGCATCCAGACAGGGGCAGCCTCTCACCAGGACAGTCATACCTAGGGACACATAAAAGTGGTGTCAGCCCCTAGTGCTTGACGCCAGTGCCAAATGCTGTAGGTGCCAAAGTCATCGGAAGGAAGAGATTAATTCTAGGACTGAGGTGTGTATCAATGAGCAAGGACTCCCACAGGAGCAGTAAGGCCAGGCAGGAGTAGATGCATGCCCACGACATTGAAGGCAACCAATGGGCCTGGGGGTCTGGGCAGAACACCAATTTTCAGACAGCCTTACCTTGTCAACATCTAATGGCTTGACATGCAGTCTATCCCGAGCACTGGATGCCAAAGAACTGTCACCATCAGCAGAAAGCCCATTTGGATTCAAAGCTTCTGCCCTTCTACTTAGAAGTCTTTCAAGAGGGCAACCCTTCAGAACTAGAGAAGAATACTGACTACATGCCAGGCACTGTAATAAGTGCAATGCACACATTTTTCCATTTAAGTCTCACAGCGGCCCTCAGAGGGAGGTTCTATGGATAGCTCTAGTTAGGGGCCAAGAACACACACTCTGGCTTTAAATCCCAGCTCCTCTACTTTCTAGGTAAGTGGCATTGGGCTAGTAAATGAACCTCACCCCAGTGTTCACACCTGTAAAATGGAAATAATAATAGCATTTGCCATGTAGGACTGTTAAGAGGACTCAATGAATTATTCAAGCAAGTGCTTCAATAGACTAATATGAATGTTCACTTCCATTAGCTTCTACCATTATAATTTTATATTGAGGACACTGATGCTCGCAGGAGAAAGAAATCTGCCTAAGGCCAAAAAGTAAGTGAGTGGCCAAGCTGGGTCTTGAACTAAGGTCTTGCCCTTAACCACTGTGAGGCATTAACAGCATCCTGGAATGCTGCTAAAACATGGCTGAAATAAACTCAGAAAGAATTAAGAGCTTAATTATATCAGTGAAATATGTACTGCAGCAGGACATAATTTCATGGTCTGGAAAAAATAGATATAAGATTTTTACTTCAACTCCATAGCTGTCACTTTAAACCACTGCTGTCCGAGGAGAATGGGCAATTTTAGAGCAATTGATCTTTTTTCTCTAGGGAAATGTGACAACGCTGTGCTCTTTAAGCTGCACTTCACAGCTGGGGAGAAACTTGGGAAGAGACAAGAGGCAGAGAAAGAGCAGCACTAACAGGCTTAACCCAGAGGGCAGGATGTTATGATAAAAATCAAACCTTCCTGAGACACAGGAACCCAGGGTTCTTGCAGTCACTCACCAGCTTGGTGTACCTGAGAGGGGGGAGTGGTGATCAGATTAGGAAACTATTCCATGGTAGCATTCGGTAGTGACCCAGGAATGCTTAAATCCTGCCTGAGCCCATATTCCCTTCCTCAAGGTCCCTGTAAAAAATATATATAAGACAAAAGCAGCACAAAACACCACATTCTTGAGTCCAAACCCCAACATAAAATGCCAGTGATTCAGGCTAGACCATAGAGAGAACTCCGATCACCCAGGCTCACATAAAGAATCTCATTCTCCCCCCAACACAAAACAGAACCTCAAGTCTTTCTGCTCTGTAAGAAAACACAAGCCACTGCGCACCTATCAGCAGAGCCATAGAGACAGAGAACATCTGAAACCTATGTCAGGTCACATCATTTCCTAGATTAAAACCCATTGGTGCTTTCCCCTATGCCTAGATTGACATCCCAGTCCTGCTTCCAAGCCACAGGGCCCTGCAGGGTCTATGCTTGCTGGCTGCCTCTCCCGCCCCCACCCCCACTGCTCACTTGGCTCCAGGCACAAGGGCCTCCTTGCAGCCCCTGCAACAGACCAAGCTCTGCACTACCTGGGACTCTTTGTAGATGATATTTCATCTCCCTGGAAGATTTTTTTCACTGCATCTTGACTTATTTCCTTCACAACACTTATCATTAACTGAAAATAGATGATTTATTTGTTTTCTGGCTTAATGTCTGTCTGTTAGTTCTACTAGCCCACAAGGCCCATGAGAACAAAGACCTTGGCTGTGGTATTCAGTGCTGTGTTCCTGACACTCCCCATATATTATAGAAGACAGAAGAGGCTAGGTGTCCCTCAACCCCACCATGGATGGTGAGTGGTATGGTCTTACCATCAGATAGTCAGGAGTGGGGATGTGGAGGGGAGAGAGACAGACAGGGACATGTTTCCTCTCATATAGGCCCAACCATGATGCCCAGCAGACTGAGGCTGAAGAAGAAACACCACAGCCCTTTGCTGTGATCATTCCTGCCTTGCCAGTGCCACCTCTAGCATGCAATACCTCCTAAGTGCCCTTGAAACACATCAGTTCTTGCCCTCCTTCTCAGGGATAAAAAGCTTATCTTTGTCTCTAATCCAAACCCATTCTTGAGAAAAAGTAAGGGGAAAGGGGAACAGCTTAAGCTCCTAGCTGTGGCCAACGTGAAAGGAACATGTTTACCCTCTCTGGACCCCATTTACTTTATTTTTTTTAACTGCATAACTCTTAAGGCTACCTGCAGCTCATTTTCTAATGTTATGTCATGGTAAAGGACACCAGCCTCCACCAACAGCCAATTCCCCCTGGAAATCAGAATAAGATGTCAAGGAAAGAACATGAGACAGACCAGGAGCAGCCCAGCTCCACCACTTACTAGCTGCATGGCCTTGCCCATGCTTCTTAGCCTCTGGGAGCCTCAATTTCCTCAACCAAAAAAATGGGAGGATAACTCCACTTTCCTCACTGGGTGAGTGGGAAGACAGCCCTCAGCACTGTGCCTAGTGCTCAATTTATGTTTCACGAAGGTCAGTCCCATCTCCCTCCCAAACCCCTTCCCCAAACACACATTTTAGAGCACAGCCTATCAGACTCCTGGGAAAGAAATCCAAGTCTGAAGGAATCCAGGCCACCTCCAGTCCCCCATACAATCTCCAAAGTGTCATGACCACCCACCCCTGACTCCATCCAGGAAGCACAAGATATGGTCCCCACCTCCCCATCCTCAAAGGGGGTTTTCCCTTTCTTTATGAAAAGCCTGGAAGGAGGCAATACTGTTAGAGGCATTGAAAGTGTCTGTACCAATCCTATTTGTTATACCCTTCATAGGAGACATAAGCTTCATAACCCTAGGCAGGCAGGCTGAACCAAAGCCATGGGTTTGGGGAATCGCAGATCCATAGGCAGCATGCAGGTGGAGAGGGAGGCTGCCATGGGATAAGGCTGAAGAGTGCTGGGCTAAAGGAAATCTGGAGGAGGAAGTCTGGCCTAGCATCTCAGAGCACAGGATCTAGAGTCAGACAGCCTGGGCTCATATCTCAAATCTGCCATGTGCTAGCTGTGTGTCACTTTCTGTAAAATGGCATAATGATAGTACCCATCTCCTAGGGTTGCCCATAAGGATTAAATAAAATTAGCCTTAGCAGCATTTTAACACATGATAAATTAGCAATACTTGGCACATGATGAATATTACATGGGTAAGAGGCACATGGCAGCTGCCATGGGAGACTAGCTATTGTGCCCACAATGATTGGGTTGAGAAAGTTAATTTTGTTTTTTGGTTTTGACTTTCCTATGTTTCTGTTAGGTTAGAAGGATATACATACCAGAACTCCATTCCTTCCATCATTTGACAGCTATTATATGCTAGGCTCACTAATAAGTGCTGAGCAAAATAGACATCTAGCCCTTAGGGAACCTATGGTTGAATGGAAATTCAGTTTAGCTTGGTTTAGCATTTACCAGCTACCTCCTATGCTTCAGGCCAGGGCTGAGTACTGTGGTGGTGGGAAGGAATGCCCAGGCACATCAGATATGGTCTAGCAATGGCCACCATGAGCCACCTCCCACTGCCACCACATAGCTGGCCTGGGTCCCAGCTGTCTCCTCAAGCTGTGAAAACTTCACATTCTCCCTTAGCTTCACCACTTCCCAAATCATCACACCACAGACCTTATTATCTTTGCAAGCCTTCCCATTTTATGCCTTTATTATCATGCTCCTGATATTCGGCATTCACAGGCACTTAATCAAGGTGCTCTGCTGGTTTATTACAACATCTTTCAGCTGATCTATTTTCCCTTATCTAGACACTCCACCACTGCCTGTTAGTGTTTAAAAGGATCTTCCTGAGGTATCATTTGACTTGTTCCTGATGATAATTAATTTTAAGAACTGATCAAGATGTTAAGGGGAACCAGCCCTTGGAAACTGATGACCATGTAGGTTTATCATGACAACAGAGCCTTTTTAAGATGTTATGAGCAGGCTGGCTGCAGGAAGCCAGGGAAAGGCTGTTTGTTGATAATCATCTCATTGGCTGCATGGATCACGGCTGTCAGGTTCTGTTATTGGTTTCATTATTCCAAACAAGTTCCGTTCTGTGCCCTTTGGATAATTGGCCCAGAAGATATCCCTGCATTTTAATAAAGTCAACAAGTATTAAATAGGGACTGCACCCCACGCCACTGGACAGCTCTCTTTGCCTATGGCATATCACAAAGATTAGGCAAGCAAGATTCACACCTGTGAGCATGAGCTCGAGTTCAGAAGGGAGTGTGCCACACCAGCTCTCCAATGGACACCACCCAATGCACAGTCAGAGACATCCCATGCACAAAGGAGACCTGCTTTCCCTCCAAGGAGGCCCAGATGGAGAGACAGGCAGCAATGCACTGGGAGGGAGGAGGGGATGCAAGCCACAGAAAAGGCAGAAATACCACCTTGAGAAGAGCACCAAGCCTTGCAGATGAGCACATCAAGTTTGGGGACCTCAGGAAAGTTTGTTTCCTAGTGTCCTGCTTTAGATAAACTCCAGAAGCAAGTGACAAATGCCCATGCTTCTCAGGACCAGTGGCATCATGGGTTCCAGCCAGAAGGTCTTTACTTGGCACCCTCTTACGGACCGGGCACTGTACTGGGCCCCAATGAAAATACAGTGGGGAAAAGGACAGGTGCAGTCCCTGCCCTCACAATCCTATCACAATACAATGGAGTAGGGTGCAGTGTGAGCAGCTGGAACAGACAACTATTTAACCCAGTCTGAGATCTAGCCAAGACTTCCCAGATAAAGGGAGCTCTGAGCTAAGGCCTATAGGATGGGACCTAATTATCCACAGAATGAGGACGGGTAGAGAGATGAGCAGTTACAAGCAGGAGGCAAGATGGAGGGTGTTCTATAGGATCACAGCAAACACCTGAAGAAGGGGAGAGCACCAGTGATGAGGATGGAGGGAGAGGCAGGGCCAAATCACCAAGGACCTTGTTGGGCATGTTGAGTTTGGGCATCACTCTGAAGTTAACAAGGAGCCCCAAAAGATTTCAAGAACAGTAAAGACATAATACTATTGGCATTTGAAGACAATCCCTCTGAGTAACCAATGTGATGTTCTGGAATGCACCTTGGACTGGAAGCAAAGAGACCCCAGGCTTCTTTCCACTCTGCCACTTCCCAGCTGTGTGTTTTTGGATGTGCCACCTCCCCTCATGGGCCTCACTTTATCTTCTGTAAAATGGGGTTAACAACTTCTGGGTCTGTTTATCTCACCAGGGCCTTGTGAGGCTCCCATCCTGCAAATGAGAGCATGGCAAAGTGCAGGAAGTTAAATAAATGCAATGGATAATGACAGCTCTCCCAAATACCA
This sequence comes from Homo sapiens, assembly GCF_000001405.40. Lineage (NCBI taxonomy): Eukaryota > Metazoa > Chordata > Mammalia > Primates > Hominidae > Homo > Homo sapiens. The sequence continues at coordinate 137,411,822 of NC_000005.10, forward strand.
AACTTTCACTTCATCCCATAGCTTCAACCTTCTCCAAAAAATTTAAAAATCTATTTAGACCTTGAAAAGGAAAATGTTGACTGTTTTTCCACTGCATTTCCTAGCCCTCACCTACGCAGTAAAGAAAAGGTCCGCGTGGCTATCACAGCAGCCAAGGCGAAAGAAGAATGAGGGGAGAGAGACACTCTAGGACTCTGATGCAGAGCCCTCGGACTCCAGATAAACAATCCACCCACAATGTGAAGAGTTGAGGGGAAGAGCCACCTGTCATGGAGATGGACTGCACGAGCCCAATGCAACAGTGTCCTCATGTATTACTTCTCTCACCAGACAATCATTTTCCAGGCCCACAAGCCCCACTCCACTCAGACAAAATCTCTAATTTGTCAGAGCACAGGTTTGCACTCTGCAGGCCCATTCTACCTCACTGACAAGGGGCAGGTATAGAGCTCCTGTTGGCACCCAATTTCTGCCAGCTGGAGTGCCTTATGCCAAAATGAACATCTGGCAAGCCTATGGAAGTTGAGCCACAGTGAAACATTAGCTGAACTTCCCTTCTACAGCTGACAGGCCTGAAAAAGGCAATTCATGGGAGATGGCTAAGTATGGGTAGATGTTTTCCAAGTAAAATGTGTCACCTTGAAATGTCAGTGAATGAGAAAACAACTGCATAGCTGTCCACTTTGGTTTAGGGAGGGACACAATGGAAGCGCAGGGTCACTGTCTGGGAAACATCATTCCTAGGCCAAATGAAAGGAACCAGGTTGACCCACTCAGAGCTCCTGAAGCTCAGAAAGAGAAGCAGTCCCTCAGACAGAAAGAGAACAGTATTGACTCCAATTCCCACCTCAGAAGAAGCCTTGGAACTTCAGTGGAGTCTTCACCTGGGCCTGTGATCCAAGGCAGGGACTGTGTTGCCCTTCACAGGCCTCAAGAACAAGTGACAGAGATGTTATTCTTCAAAGCTAATAAATAAATAAAGCAAAATAAATGTGCAGGAATGTTCTCTACTGCACTGTGAGAGAAGACAAGTGCAGAGGACCTAAATTTCCTTCAACAGAAGACTTGGAAGATAAATGAGAGTCCAAGTGTACTCTGATTATCTGACTAGATCACTATGTTCTAACAGAGAAAGCTGTCCCAAATCTAGTGTTAAGTGGAAAAAAAAAAAGGTACCTTTAAAAACAACATGTAGCATCTAATGCTATTTTTATAAAATCTTAAAAGTAATTTTTGGAGGTGCTGTATCAAAAACTTACAGTCATAACCTTATTTAGTTCTCTATGAGGTAAAGGCCACTATTACCTCATTTTAGAAATGAGGACAGTAGCTCAAAATTCTTTTCTTCTCAGTCAACTCTGCTGAATGAAGAGCTATACTTTGCTTCTCATTGACTCTTCGTCTATTTTGGGTTTTTTTTCCCCAGAATTATACTGCATTTAAATATAAACTCATGGAATAAAATATAGAAATACACAAACACTAATTCTCTTTCACTGATGACAAGCAAAATTTTTAAAATCATGAGCAAAAACAAAAAACCACACATGCACCATAATCTGTGATTTTACCAACTTCTCTTATTTCAAAATTGGCTTTGGTATTAAACTGTTTTAATAATAATAATAAGCAGATAATTAACAGCTGAGTGGATAGATGAATGGGATTTCTATTCACTTACTAGGGTAGTTTCCCCCTGATCTTGTCCTGCCTTCCTGGAAGATCTCAGCCACATCTATTCCTTCACAGCTCCTGGCATGAACTCCATCCCACCTGAGCATAAATCACAGCCCTCAAACCAAGACCTGAGCTACACTCCTGGCTTCTCTGAAGGCACGACCTTTGGAGGGAGCAGTACCATGCCCTATGTCACATCAGGGTATAATGTGATGTCACAACTCTATTTGGAAGGCTTCTGCCTCTATACAAACTTCAGTCCCAAATACCTGATTAAACATTTATCTCACATAATCAAGAAGTACCAAACTGTTCATAATGAGCCCCTACCTGTTCCCATCAACAACTAGTTTGTCTATCACAAGGGTTCTACCAGGTATATTCATGACAAGAATCTGAATTTCCTCAGCCCCACACGCACTTTTTTAAAACAGAAATTACCCTCCCTCCACCCACCTGTTCTCCTGAAACAAATATATGTGCACTTACAGGTCAAATAACCTGTCTCCCAACTATTGGTTCAAGAAAATATCATCTATAGACAAACCGTGATTGGTAAATGATTCCAAATGGAAACAAAACACACACAAGAAAATGTTTTGTCCTGCTTATAACCATATGAACAACTTTAATACAGAAGAGCAAAAATATAATTCTTAGGGATCAGACAGATTCTGCTTACTTCCTATTCCTCCTCTATCCTTCACTACAGTGTCTGCAATCACAAAGCTTCCCCTCCAAGCAAGTACACTGGCTGGGTGAGAGGGGTGAGCAGGCCAGTATTTCTGAGTGGCAAAAGAGAGTGACCAGACATGCCTGTCCTTTGTCACTAACCACCTTTCAAGCTTCCCCTTCTGCTGAGCCATCTGCAGGAAAATGTCAACATGTGCTGCAGGGAAAAAATGTATTTGTTAATTTATGTGCTGGGTAAATTCACTTATTCAGTAGAATAATAAAAATGTGACTGCTTACCACCTTTCCCTTCTAGAGTAAAGACATCTTTATTAATGATTTTAAAGCCTGAAGAAACAGGAATGCTTGCTCTGTTTACATTTCCCCATATTAAATGGAAGACATTCACTTGCTGGGGGCGAAACATTGAAAATACCCTTCTGGTCATGATTTATTGCTGGAGAAATTTTACTAAATTGGGATGTGACCATGTATCCACCTATTAATAACATTGCTGGGAAAATAAAATAACAGAGATTTACATTTTCAGTAATTCCTGAAATAAGCACTCTGTGTTTCTGGAAGGTATTAAAAAATATTTTCCAAGACTTTATATTTTAGCACCTAAGATCTGGAGTTTCAAAAGCTGCATACTCTGAAGCCAAAAAAGTCATAGATAATCCCAAGTATGTCCCCGCCCACCCCCCTTACTAACTGGAGGATATTACATCTTGTCCCTTAGGTGCTATATCTTTGCTGATCAAAGCTTTTTCCATCAAAGACCTCCCTGAATCTGAATTTGGCCTGAATCCACAAATGAACATTCAATTAGGACTAGGGAAGCATTCCAATTTAGGAACTAGCACAGTTACAAGTAAGCCAGAAGAGGAGATACAAGATAGTATTTCTAAGTCCTACTTAAAGGATACAAGCCATTTGGGGGATTAAATTTAAAATTGATGAGAAAAATGTATTTCAGAATAAATGTGTAAATAGAGATTTATGAATAGTTCCTCAATTAGGGAGGAAGGTGAGATAAATAGAGAAGAACCCATATAGTTTGAGATTCCGATCACAAAAGGCAATCCCTTTCTATTACAAGCACACAAATATTTGTGAGCTAAATCAGTGCTACTGGTAATTCTCTGGGCTGACTGTTTAAATAGGATTTGTGAGGGAGGAGGAGAAACACAAGCCATATGTTTGTGTGACTAATGAAGGCCAGTGGTTAAGAAGCATACTGTGAGCTACAGAGGCCCAAGGTTGAGGGACATGCACCCAAAGGTGGTAGGAAGGGTCCTCTAGGATGAGGTCAAGATGACAGCCAGGTCCTTCCCTCTCCCTCCATTGTGAAGAAGAATGAAAACTGCTTGGATCCCCATTATGGGGTAAACAGGCAGTTCCCTGGTTCAGAGGAATTCTTCAGCACATTCCAGAAGCGTGATTCCAATAAGCACTGAGCCAAAAAGCCACAAATGGGAAATCTCTACCTGGTCAACTGCCCAGATGAATAAAAATTTAAATGAAGGTCCTTATTTTCTTAACCAAGAGTCTGGTGGCAAGCTCACTTAAGGTTTCTGGGAAAAAAAGAGAAACTTTTGCTGATCTATATCCACTTACTTACCTGCTAACTTAATTGAATGAAAATACATTAGCTGTCACTGTTATCTTGGCAACCCTGAGAAATCATATCTTCCTAAATATCCCAAAAGCTCAAGTCACCTTGTTAGTTCTTAGAAACCTAAGTAGATAAAAACTGTAAACCCACAGATCCAATAATCTCAATGAACCTCAGTCACAGGAAACAGGAAGAAAAGGATACAAAGGCTCATATCAAATTGCTCCAAACCAGTCATAAAGAGAAGAAGTCATAAAACCTTAAAATCAGCCAGAGGAAAAATAGACATGTTACATACAGAGGACAATAGAAAAGGAAAAGAACACATTTCTTGCTGAAAACAACGCAAGCAAGACAGAAGAGCAACATCTTTAAAGTACTGGAAAAAAAAAACTGTCAACATAAAATTCTATACCAAGCAAAAATGTCTTTCAAAAGTTGCAATAAAGACTTTTTCAGACATACAAAACCTTACAGAATTCATCACCAGCAGATCCTCCCCTCTGAAAAAAAAAAATTAAATGCTTCAAGCAGAATAAATATTATACCAGATGGAAACCTGGATCTACACAAAGATATAAAGAACTCTGGAAATGGTAACTACATGGGTTCTCAGAATCAACATTAGTTATATATATTAGCTGCTTTTCCTACAGTAATTGTCTTTTTAAATATACCTATCGCATTCTTTGATATTACTTTTAGTTAAGCAGAGGAGCAAAAGTGATAGCCTTATATAATCCTCCTCAAAAATAATAACGGAACTTGAGAAAACCTATTGCTCTCCCCAAAGAGCCATAAAACTGGGGGAAATAAAAGATACAGTGGAGGATGTAACTGTAACTGTAACTAAGAAAGAATCAGAAGGCTATCAAAAATAATATTAATAAGAAACTGCCAAACACTTTTCCAAAGCAAGTGTAGCATTTTACACTCTCAGCAACAATCAGTGAGAGTTCCACATCCCCACCAGCACCAAGCATTGCCAGACTTTTAAATGTTAGCCACTATCATGAAGGTGAAATAGTATCTTCTTGTGATTTTAATTTGCATTTCCATAAGTACTAATTTTGAACATTTTTATGTGCCCACTGGCCACTTATAGATGTCTTTTTGTGAAGTTTTTGTTCAAATATTTTGAATATTTGATTATTTTGAATATTTTGTGAAGTTTTTGTTCAAATATTTTGTCCTCTCATTGTGAAGTTGTAATATTTCTTTATGTATTTTGGGTATAAGTCCTTTGTCATACATATACATATCCACATATATAGATATATGTGTACATGAATGTTTATATGCACATGTGTGTATATAAAATATTTTCTCCCAGCAGGTGTCTCATCTTTTCATTTTCTTAATGGGGACTTTCTAAGAGCCCAAGTTCTTAACGTTAATGAAGTTCAGTTTTTTTTCTCATATGAGAATGCTTTTTGAGTCCTATCTAAAAAATCTTTGCCTACTCCAAGGTAATGAAGATTTTCTTTTAGAAGTTTTATAGTTTTACATTTTACTCTGACGTTCAGGTGTGTATAACCCATTTCTTTTTTTTTTTTTTTTTCATTTTTTTAAAAAAATCAATTTTACTGAGGAAAAATTACTGTCAAATGCACACATTTTAAGTTACAGAAGATGACTTTTGACATTCACATACACTGTGTAACCACCACACCAATCAGTCAAGATATTATAGGACATTTCCATTACCCCAAACAGTCCCATCATGCTCCTTTGAGTCAGCCTTTCTCTCAGCTTCCACTCCAGGCACTCACTGATCTCATTTCTGTCACAATTGATAAATGTTACCTGCTCTAGAACTTTACATTAAGAAAACATTAAAGTCTGTACTTTTTGTATCTGGCTATTTTAATTCAACATATTTTAGATACATCTATTACCAATAGTTTGTTCTTATGCATATCTCAAAAATTTATTCCTTTCTAATTGCTGGCTAGTATTTCAGTTTTTTTGGAAAGTTTTTCTATTTTTTTATCTTTATTAGTCAGTTTTTATGTTTTATTTTCTTTTATTATACTTTAAGGTTTAGGGTACATGTGCACAACGTGCAGGTTTGTTACATATGTATACATGTGCCATATTGGTGTGCTGCACCCATTAACTTGTCATTTAACATTAGGTATATCTCCTAATGCTATTCCTCCCCCCTCCCGCTACCCTACAACAGGCCCTGGTGTGTGATGTTCCCCTTCCTGTGTCCATGTGTTCTCATTGTTCAATTCCCACCTATGAGTGAGAACATGTGGTGTTTGATTTGTTGTCCTTGTGATAGTTAGCTGAGAATGACGGCTTCCAGCTTCATCCATGTCCCTACAAAGGACATGAACTCATCATTTTTTATGGCTGCATAGTATTCCATGGTGTATATGTGCCACATTTTCTTAATCCAGTCTATCATTGATGGACATTTGGGTTGGTTCCAAGTCTTTGCTATTGTGAATAGTGCCGCAATAAACACACGTGTACATGTGTCTTTATAGCAGCATGATTTATAATCCTTTGGGTATATACTCAGTAATGGGATGGCTGGGTCAAATGGTATTTCTAGTTCTAGATCCCTGAGGAATCGCCACACTGACTTCCATAATGGTTGAACTAGTTTACAGTCCCACCAACAGTGTAAAAGTGTTCCTATTTCTCCACATCCTCTCCAGCACCTGTTGTTTCCTGACTTTTTAATGATCGCCATTCTAACTGGTGTGAGATGGTATCTCATTGTGGTTTTGATTTGCATTTCTCTGATGGCCACTGATGATGAGCATTTTTTCATGTGTCTTTTGGCTGCATGAATGTCTTTTTTTGAGAAGTGTCTGTTCATATCCTTCACCCACTTTTTGATGGGGTTGTTTTTTTCTTATAAATTTGTTTGAGTTCTTTGTAGATTCTGGATATTAGCCCTTTGTCAGATGAGCAGATTGCAAAAATTTTCTCCCATTCTGTAGGTTGCCTGTTCACTCTGATGGTAGTTAATTTTGCTGTGCAGAAGCTCTCCAGTTTAATTAGATCCCATTTGTCAATTTTGGCTTTTGTTGACATTGCTTTTGGTGTTTTAGACATGAAGTCCTGCCCATGCCTATGTCCTGAATGGTATTGCCAAGGTTTTCTTCTAGGGTTTTTATGGTTTTAGGTCTGACATTTAAGTCTTTAATCCATCTTGAATTAATTTTTGTATAAGGTGTAAGGAAGGGATCCAGTTTCAGCTTTCTACATATGGCTAGCCAGTTTTCCCAGCACCATTTATTAAATAGGGAATCCTTTCCCCATTGCTTGTTTTTGTCAAGTTTGTCAAAGATCAGATGGTTGTAGATATGCAGCATTATTTCTGACGGCTCTGTTCTGTTCCATTGGTCTATATCTCTGTTTTGGTACTAGTACCATGCTGTTTTGGTTACTGTAGCCTTGTAGTATAGTTTGAAGTCAGGTAGGGTAATGCCTCCAGCTTTGTTCTTTTGGCTTAGGATTGACTTGGAAATGCAGGCTCTTTTTTGGTTCCATATGAACTTTAAAGTAGTTTTTTCCAATTCTGTGAAGAAAGTCATTGGTAGCTTGATGGGGATGGCATTGAATCTATAAATTACCTTGGGCAGTATGGCCATTTTCACGATATTGATTCTTCCTACCCATGAGCATGGAATGTTCTTCCATTTGCTTGTATCCTCTTTTATTTCAATGAGCAGTGGTTTGTAGTTCTCCTTGAAGAGGTCCTTCACATCCTTTGTAAGTTGGATTCCTAGATATTTTATTCTCTTTGAAGCCATTGTGAATGGGAGTTCACTCATGATTTGGCTCTCTGTTTGTCTGTTATTGGTGTATAAGAATGCTTGTGATTTTTGCAGACTGATTTTGTATCCTGAGACTTTGCTGAAGTTGCCTATCAGCTTAAGGAGATTTTGGGCTGAGACGATGGGGTTTTCTAGATATACAATCATGTCATCTGCAAACAGGGACAATTTGACTTCCTCTTTTCCTAATTGATTACCCTTTATTTCCTTCTCCTGCCAGTTTTCCCTGGCCAGAACTTCCAACACTATGTTGAATAGGAGTGGTGAGAGAGGGCATCCCTGTCTTGTGCCAGTTTTCAAAGGGAATGTTTCCAGTTTTTGCCCATTCAGTATGATATTGGCTGTGGGTTTGTCATAGATAGCTCTTACTGAGATACGTCCCATCAATACCAAATTTATTAAGAGTTTTTAGCATGAAGTGTGTTGAATTTTGTCAAAGGCCTTTTCTGCATCTATTGAGATAATCATATGGTTTTTGTTGTTGGTTCTGTTTATATGCTGGATTACATTTATCGATTTGCATATGTTGAACCAGCCTTGCATCCCAGGGATGAAGCCCACTTGATCATGGTGGATAAGCTTTTTGATGTGCTGCTGCATTCGGTTTGCCAGTATTTTATTGAGAATTTTTGCATCAATGTTCATCAGGGATATTGGTCTAAAATTCTCTTTTTTTGTTGTGTCTCTGCCAGGCTTTGGTATCAGGATGATGCTGGCCTCATAAAATGAGTTAGGGAGGATTTCCTCTTTTTCTATTGATTGGAATAGTTTCAGAAGGAATGGTACCAGCTCCTCCTTGTACCTCTGGTAGAATTCAGCTGTGAATCCATCTGGTCCTGGACTTTTTTTTGGTTGGTAAGCTATTAATTATTGCCTCAATTTCAGAGCCTGTTATTGGTCTATTCAGAGATTCAACTTCTTCCTGGTTTAGGCTTGGGAGTTTGTATGTGTCTAGGAATTTATCCATTTCTTCTAAATTTTCTAGTTTATTTGCGTAGAGGTGTTATAGTATTCTCTGATGGTAGTTTGTATTTCTGTGGGATCAGTCGTGATATCCCCTTTATCATTTTGTATTGTGTCTATTTGATTCTTCTCTCTTTTCTTCTTTATGAGTCTTGCTAGTGGTCTATCAATTTCGTTGATCTTTTCAAAAAACCAGCTCCTGGGTTCATTGATTTTTTGAAGGGTTTTTTGTGTCTCTATCTCCTTCAGTTCTGCTCTGATCTTAGTTATTTCTTGCCTTCTGCTAGCTTTTGAATGTGTTTGTTCTTGCTTCTCTAGTTCTTTTAATTGTGATGTCAGGTTGTCAATTTTAGATCTTTCCTGCTTTCTCTTGTGGGCATTTAGTGCTATAAATTTCCCTCTACATACTGCTTTGAATGTGTCCCAGAGATTCTGGTATGTTGTGTCTTTGTTCTCATTGGTTTCAAAGAACCTCTTTATTTCTGCCTTCATTTCGTTATGTACCCAGTAGTCATTCAGGAGCAGGTTGTTCAGTTTCCATGTAGTTGAGCGGTTTTGAGTGAGTTTCCTAATCCTGAGTTCTAGTTTGATTGCACTGTGGTCTGAGAGACAGTTTGTTATAATTTCTGTTCTTTTACATTTGCTGAGGAGTGTTTTACTTCCAACTATGTGGTCAATTTTGAAGTAAGTGTGGTATGGTGCTGAGAAGAATGTATATTCTGTTGATTTAGGGTGGAGTGTTCTGTAGATGTCTATTAGGTCCACTTGGTGCAGAGCTGAATTCAATTCCTGGATATCCTTGTTAACTTTCTGTCTCGTTGATCTGTCTAATGTTGACAGTGGGGTGTTAAAGTCTCCCATTATTATTGTGCGGGAGACTAAGTCTCTTTCTAGGTCTCTAAGGACTTGCTTTATGAATCTGGGTGCTCCTGTATTGGGTGCATATATATTTATGGTAGTTAGCTCTTCTTGTTGAATTGATCCCTTTATGATTATGTAATGGCCTTCTTTGTCTCTTTTGATCTTTGTTGGTTTGAAGTCTGTTTTATCAGAGACTAGGATTGCAACCCCTGCCTTTTTATGTTTTCCATTGGCTTGGTAGATCTTCCTCCATCCCTTTATTTTGAGCCTATGTGTGTCTCTGCATATGACATGAGTTTCCTGAATATAGCACACTGATGGGTCTTGACTCTTTATTCAATTTGCCAGTCTGTGTCTTTTCATTGGAGCATTTAGCCCATTTACATTTAAGGTTAATATTGTTATGTGTGAATTTGATCCTGTCGTTATGATGTTAGCTGGTTATTTTGCTCGTTAGTTGATGCAGTTTCTTCCCAGCCTCAATGGTCTTTACAATTTGGCATGTTTTTGCAGTGGCTGGTACCAGTTGTTCCTTTCCATGTTTAGTGCTTCCTTCAGGAGCTCTTGTAGGGCAGGCCTGGTAGTGACAAAATCTCTCAGCATTTGCTTGTCTGTAAAGGATTTTATTTCTCCTTCACTTATGAAGCTCAGTTTGGCTGGATGTGAAATTCTGAGTTGAAAATTCTTTTCTCTAAGGACGTTGAATATTGTCCCCCACTCTCTTCTGGCTTATAGAGTTTCTGCCGAGAGATACGCTGTTAGTCTGATGGGGTAACCCAACCTTTGTCTCTGGCTGCCCTTAACATTTTTTCCTTCATTTCAACTTTGGTGAATCTGACAATTATGTGTCTTGGAGTTGCTCTTCTAGAGGAGTATCTTTGTGGCATTCTCTGTACTTCCTGTATTTGAATGTTGGCCTGCCTTGCTAGATTGGGGAAGTTCTCCTGGATAATACCCTGCAGAGTGTTTTCCAACTTGGTTCCATTCTCCCCATCACTTTCAGGTACACCAATCAGACGTAGATTTGATCTTTTCACATAGCCCCATATTTCTTGGAGGCTTTGTTCATTTCTTTTTATTCTTTTTTCTCTAAACTTCTCTTATCGCATCATTTCATTCATTTGATCTTCCATCACTGATACCCTTTCTTCCAGTTGATCGAATCAGCTACTGAGGCTTGTGCATTCGTCACGTAGTTCCCATGCCTTGGTTTTCAGCTCCATCAGGTCCTTTAAGGACTTCTCTGCATTGGTTATTCTAGTTAGCCATTCGACTAATTTTTTTCCAAGGTTTTTAACTTCTTTGCCATGGCTTTGAACTTCCTCCTTTAGCTTGGAGTAGTTTGATCGTCTGAAGCCTTCTTCTCTCAACTTGTCAAAGTCATTCTCTGTCCAGCTTTGTTCTGTTGCTGGTGAGGAGCTGCATTCCTTTGGAGGAGGAGAGGCACTCTGATTTTCAGAGTTTCCAGTTTTTCTGCTCTGTTTTTTCCCCATCTTTGTGGTTTTATCTACCTTTGGTCTTTGATGATGGTGACGTACAGATGGGGTTTTGGTGTGGATGTCCTTTCTGTTTGTTAGTTTTCCTTCTAACAGTCAGGACCCTCAGCTGCAGGTCTGTTGGAGTTTGCTGGAGGTCCACTCCAGACCCTGTTTGCCTGGGTATCAGCAGCAGAGGCTGCAGAACAGCAAATATTGATGAACAGCAAATGTTGCTGCATGATTGTTCCTCTGGAAGTTTTGTCTCAGAGGAGTACCCAGCTGTGTGAGGTGTCAGTCTGCCCCTACTGGGGGGTGCCTCCCAGTTAGGCTACTTAGGGGTCAGGGACCCACTTGAGGAGGCAGTCTGTCTGTTCTCAGATCTCCAGCTGCATTCTGGGAGAACCACTACTCTCTTCAAAGCTGTCAGACAGGGACATTTAAGTATGCAGAGGATTCTGCTGCCTTTTGTTTTCCATGCCCTGCCCCCAGAGGTGGAGTCTACAGAGGCAGGCAGGCCTCCTTGAGCTGCGGTGGGCTCCACCCAGTTCGAGCTTCCTGGCCACTTTGTTTACCTACTCAAGCCTCGGCAATGGCGGGTGCTTCTCCCCCAGCCTCGCTGCTGCCTTGCAGTTTGATCTCAGACTGCTGTGCTAGCAATGAGCGAGGCTCCATGGCAATGGACCCTCTGAGCCAGGCGCGGGATATAATCTCCTGGGGTGCCGTTTGCTAAGACTGTTGGAAAAGTGCAGTATTAGAGTGGGAGTGACCCGATTTTCCAGGTGCCATCTGTCACCCCTTTCTTTGACTAGGAAAGGGAATTCCCTGACTCCTTGTACTTCCCGGGTAAGGCGATGCCTCGCCCTGCTTCAGCTCATGCTCGGTGTGCTGCACCCACTGTCCTGCACCCACTTTCCAACACTCCCCAGTGAGATGAACCCAGTACCTCAGTTGTAAATGCAGAAATCACCTGTCTTCTGCGTCGCTCACACTGGGAGCTGTAGACTGGAGCTGTTCCTATTCAGCCATCTTCATGTTTTTTTCCATATAACCCATTTCAAGTTTATTTTTGTATATGTTGTGAGGTATGAGTGAAGATTCATTTTTTTTTTCCATACAGATACCTGGTTGTTCCAGCAATATTTGTTGAAAGTCTATCCTTTTCTCCAGTGATTTACACCTTGATATCTTTGTAAAAACAAACAAAATAAGCCAGGCATGGTGGCGCACACCTGTAATCTCAGTCTTTTGGGAGGCCAAGGCAGGAGGATTGCTTTAAGTGAAGGAGCTTCAGAACAGCCTGGGCAACACAGCAAAGGCCTATCTCTAAAAAAAACTTTTAAATTAGCCAGGCACGGTGGCATGCACCTGTGGTCCTAGCTACTCAGGAGGCTGAGGTGGGACGATCACTTGATCCCAGGAGTTTGAGGCTGCAGCAAGTTATGATCATGCCACTGCACTCCAGCCTGGGTGACAGAGCAGGACCTTATTTCTAAAAACAAACAAAAATTCAACTGACCATATATGTGTGGGTCTATTTCTGAACACTCTATTTTGTTCCATTGATCTATAAATATGACCCAGCAATTCCACTCCTAGTTACTTACCCAACAGAAGTTAAAAGCATTCATTGCCATGAATGCTCACGGCAAACAAAAGCTCTGTACATGAATGCTCATGACAACCCTACTCATAATAGTCTCAAGCTGGAAACAATCCAGATGGCCATCAACAGGTGAATGGATAAGCAAGCTATACAATGGAAAGTAGTCAGCAATAACAAAGAATTACTGATATACACAAGAACATGGACAAATCTAAAAAAGATTGTGCTAAGGGAAAGAAGCCAGACACTAAAGATTAAATACTGTATGATTCCACTTATACATAAAATTTATCTACGGTGACAGAAAGTAGATGAGAGGTCTCCTGGGACTGAGGGACTGAGTATAAAGGGGCATGAGGAAAGTTTGGGTAATAAAAATGTTCTAAATCTTGATGGTGGTGGTATTTACATGCGTGAATACATTTGTTAAATCTCAAACTGTATACTTTAAATGGATGCATTTTATTGCATATAAGTTATTCCTCATTAAAATTGATCTTTTAAAAAGCAGTCTTCCCTGTTATCAATACAAGCTTCCCATTCTAGAACTTTACCAAAGGGTTTGTCTACATTCATAAATATGAACAACACAGTTATAAATATAAATATTTCAGGCTGTCCCTTGTTTCTATTGACTACTTCTAAAGTGCTTTCACAAGGCTAATATTTTAAACCAACACTTAAGATTGGGCTTAGTACAATGGCCTTACCTAGTGGAGATACACTTATTACTAATGTACTTATTGATCTGCTCTGGTTGTTTATTTTCTGGATTCCCATAAAGCATTGGTATGGCAAAAGACTATGATCCTGGAGACATGAGAGAATATTCAACAAAGATATATCCTACTGCACATTATCTCCTGCTCCCATGTGTGGCTTTTCATCTGTGTCACGTCAAACATCCTCCACAACCTGCCCTCCAAAAAAGAATGACCTGAAATCCTGCTGACAAATTCATCTCCAAAAAAAAAAAGAGAATACCACATGCATTTTCTGAAGCAAATGACAACTCTAATAATGTTGCTGAATCACAATATAACACAGCACTACAAAGAACTGAAGCTTGCCCAGATATCTGTGTTTGCACGCCAGTGTCTGGATGCTGATCACACATCTACAACCTCTGGTTTAGCAAACTATATATCAAAGCTTCTCAAGCTGGGACCTGCTTACCTCTATCAGTGCCCTGCATTTTACCAGAGAGTACAGCAAGCCACTAAATAGCATGGTGCATATTTTCTTGAGTGTCAATTTTACATGGAAATTTAGAAAGGATAAAATGAAAATGTTTTCATGGTAAAAGAGTCACACTATATTATAGAATAGAAAGCCATATTCACAAAATTTATTAAGATGTTTAAAAAGACATTTCCTACTGCAGTACATGCTTCTAGTTAAACTCCCCAAACCCTCAAACCCCCTTTGGGGTATGCATTCATCTTCTATATTGTTAAGGGTACATTACAGAAAAAAAAAAAAAAAAAAAAGGTTGCCAGAAGTACACCAACTCATTCTAGCTTAGCGTCTATCCAGAAATTAGGTACTACACCCAACAGCTGGGCTCCAACCCTGGCTTGGCCACATCTCTACAATATGACCTTTGAAGGATTGCTATAGTTTTTGCATCCATAAAATAGACATGACAAGAGTACCTGGCTTATAAAGTACTGCACAGTTCATATGCCTGGCCAACAGTAAATGATCAATTAGTGTTAGCTGCCTATCATCATTGCTGTTATTTGACTGTTGCTTTTAATCTATATATACCATGGCATAACTTTTTTACATATCAACTGCAGTCCATTTGGTGATAAGATTATCAACTGCTTACTCCCCAATGCAGAGGGAGGCAATGAGAATTCTGGACACCCAATGTGAACGCACACCTTTTCAGGAACTCTTACTCAGGTACGGTATACTCTTTGGATACCAACTGACATCAACAAAAGAAATGAGGGCTTTTCAGGGCTGAGCTTTGACAAATTACCTGAAGCAATCTTGATGTTCGACATATTTCTAACAAGGGCAGCCTGGTGAGTTATTCTCCTACATTTGTAGGATATTTCTATGGAACGAATGTGGATCATCTCCCCTAGAAAAACTCTGGAAAATTCTTATTACATGTGACCTGAGTTTCCTCAAACATCATATACCTATAGGCCTTGCTCTAACCTATGGGTGACTGCCTAAACATGATGTAAGAACTCCTGCTACCAGAAGTGCCACCCAGTTATTTCTGGGAGTCCCCAGAAGCAAAAACAAGAGTTCACAAGGAATCCTTCCCAGTCTGGCACCCCCATTGCTCAGTCCTACCCGCACAACACCCTGAGAGTGCTGACATCTCTGCCAGGGGTCACAGATGCCAACGGACTTCCATAAGGTGCACCACAATATTGCTGTATGTGGCACAGAGTGAGTGGTCCACCAACCATTCACATTCTCCTTCCAGAGTAGATGCACTGCTGGGAAGCAGCTTCCAAGCCAAGGACTTCATTTCCCAGACCCCTCTGCATGTAGGTGGGACCATGTGACTAATTCTTCCTAATGAAGTGACTAGAAATAATGTGTGTCACTTCCAGGTCGAACGGTTAAGAGAGTGGGTATGCCTTCTCATATTCTTTCCCCATTTGCCAGTGGATTCAGAGAGAGCAGCTGCCCCCAGTAGCCTAGGTCCCTGAATGATGCCAAGAAGCAGAACCCTCCCCCAACCCACTGAGGTGCTGGGATTTCTCTCCTATAGCAGCTAGTATTATCTTTACTAAAAGCACTGTGTTCACTGCTGAAGTGGAGAGAAGCCTTTCTCCACAACACTGGTTGATACTTTTATGCTTGGGCCCAAAAGCAGTGTGGGCTGTGCTCATGTATCTCACCAATGTCCCCATAAAAACACAGTTTTTTTCATTTACTCTGGAAGAAGCAGCTAAGCAGGGCCAGGGTTAGGAAGAAGCCAAGGGCATGGGCAAGGGCTGAGCTCTATGTGGTCTCCCTTGTTTTCTCACAAAGGTGCATCCAGAATCCCCCATGGAGTAAGATGCCTACCAGGCCAAAGATCTCAGAACTATGATCTCCCTACTACTCCACTCTGGGTTGGAACCCAGAAACAACTTGTCTTACCGTAAAAGGCAGTAACTGGCTGGGCACGATGGCTCACACCTGTAATCCCAGCACTTTGGGAGGCTGAGGCGGGTGGATCACAAGGTCAGGAGATCGAGAACATCCTGGCTAACGTGGTGAAACCCCACCTCTACCAAAAATACAAAAAATTAGCCGGGTGCTGTGGTGGGTGGCTGTAGTCCCAGCTACTCGGTAGGCTGAGGCAGGAGAATGGTGTGAACCCAGGAGGCGGAGCTTGCAGTGAGCCGAGATCGCGCCACTGCACTCCAGCCTGGGTGACAGAGCAAGACTCCGTCTAAAAAAAAAAAAAAAAAAAAGGCAGAAACTTTGGCTACTCAGCAAGTCATTGTTACCCTGGCCAAGTCCTGTTTCCATGCTCAAAGGTACTGCTGTGCCAGGAGTAAGCTCCCTTTACTTGTACCTGCACTGTAGAACCCAGAAGTTTTCCATTTCTGTCCACTTCAGGACTTTCTATGGATAAGCCAAGCCATGACCCAGCACAAGTCACTCCCTGGGGCCACTGTAGACATACCAATCTCTTTGTAACCTGGCTGGACTCAGGTTAAAAACAAGTTAGAATGTGTGAAGGAAGGAGAAAGTGGAGAGGACAGTAGTAGGAGAGAGACTGAGAGGGTAGACTGTATCCTTTATACAACAAAGAACCTTCATTCAGCCTTTTAACCTCTTAAGCAAGAGGTTTCTGAGACACAGTCACATCACTAGGAGAGTCATGTAGGGAAAATGGAAAGGCAGGGAAGCCCAGTTCAGAGGCAATCACAGCCAACCAACCAGGCGAGATGGCCATGGGAGAGCCAGTCCCCAACCTGTCCTTCAAGGCAACTCCACCGACTCTTCCTGGAGTTACTCATGGTTTGCTGGACCTCATGGAATCTAACTTCCTTTCACTGTTTGTGTCAACCATTTTCATTCTGCATCTTTCCCTGGAAAATTTGTAGACTCTGTCTACTCACTGAATGGAAATGTTGCGTTCTCCCTCAGATAAGCTTTCCAGAAGCACTAGTTCATCCCTGTTAGGCATTAAGTTCTCCCTCAATGTCCTGCTGCCAAACTGTGGGTCCCCTCTGGCTCTCCTCACTGGCCTCTAGCCCACCCACCCGCAAAGACAGACAACCAGAATTATGGGAGTTGTCCTAACACCTCCCTCTTCCTAATTCCTCCACCTTAAAGTAAAACACTAAATCCTATCCATTCTGCCTCCTGAGTTTCTCTCAAGCCCTTCAGCTTCTCTCCATCTCCACTGCTGCCATCATCCAAGCCAATAACAGCTCTCTCGCATGGACTGATGGAACTCCCTCCAACCTGAGTGCCCTTGTTCTTCCCCAACCTGTTTTCATCCTGCAAGAAGAATGATCTTTTACAGACTTACATCTGATGATGGTACTCTCGCCCTACCTTGAGTGGTTTCCCTTTATTCTTTGGATAAATACCAAAATTTCCACATGGTTTTCATGATGCTGTGAGGATCTGGGCCCTGCCTACTTTTCCAGCAGTCTTTGCTTTTCTCCTATTCACTCATTGTTTTCCCACAGATTGGTCTCCTTTCAGTTCCTGAAATGCAGCAGGATTCTGCTTTCTCAGGCTGCTGTGTCTCTGGAAATAGACGTGACTCTGCCCCTTGGGATCACATATCCCGCAAAACATAATCCCACAGAAAACTTACATGTACCCTTCATCTCTGTTTAAGGCAGAACTTTCTCTGTGAAATGTTTCCAGCTCACCCCCACCCCCATTATATCAGGTCTCTCATTACATAATACATTATATTATACTTTCCTTTACAGCACTTACCACCACTGTAATTACTACTTACTTGGATAAGTATTTGTTTAATGGCTGTCACATTTGCTGAATGTAAGCTCCATGAAGGCAGAAACAAGTTCAACATGCTCAGTACAACGGCCTCAGAGCCAGTGCATTCCCTAGCTCATAGTAGGCAATCAGTAAGTATGATTTGGCTTAGCACATTCAGCATGCCCACATGAACTGAGAAGAATAAACTGAGGCCTAGAAAAGGAAAGGGGATTTCCCAAAGCCTTGTCTTCTTTGGCAGAGCTGTGGTTTATTAAACCCTGGACTCTTAATCCACAGTTCAATCCTTAGCCCATACTGATACTGAAGTCACTGTAGACCCAAGAGATCAATCCATCTATAACCCAAAAGAGAGGAGAAAAACTAAACTGTGGAGACCAGAGATCTCTATTCAAATCCTGGATGGACTGACCACTTAAATCTTACAACACTATGGCAGAAATTAAGCAAGCTGATGTGTACACTATGATTGGTGTAGAATCTGGCCTGAGTGGTCTCTCCAGAGACGTGGCTGTTCTAGGACACCTTGTGAAGTGTGTCTTCAATTCCTGTGTGTCCACCTCAATCCAGGCCAGAATAGCAAGTACTTGGGAAGGCAGGAGAGCATTTCATATTGAGCAGTTGCTGCTCCCCCAGGCAGCTGGTAAACAGCGTTTGATGAGGATGATAAACACATGATACTAATCTTACTACACAGAGGTGTGTTCAACATTCTAGCACACAGAGCCACATGGCAGGTGATCCATCTTAAAAAGATGACATTGCTGGCTGATTTCTGCCACAGTGTATTTACTTGGAATTTAAATTTAGATTTAAACCTACCTATAGCATTATTATAGAATATACCAAAGGCTCTATTCACAGGTGGGCAAAAAGACTATCCATCACCCCAGCTCATACTCCGCAATTCACAGACAGCTTCTTCCTTCATCCAGGACAGCTGGGTGTCCTGGAAGCTTTTCTACCACTGGCATATTAAAATGATGCTTCAGCCAATTCTGTAATCACCTATTTATTTTGCCCATGATGTTTCAGGCCCTGTGCTAGACCCTGGGGATTCAGCAATGATGAGACACAGCCTCTGCCCCAGGAAGCTCCCAGCCTAGCAAAACTACATTTGCATAGTCCTTTACAATCTACTAAGTGATTGGACTTAAACCTTTTATCCACCTCTCCTGGTATTTTCATTATCTTTGTATATGTCTTCCTTGGTTGGAGAAGATTTTGACATAAAATTTGTTTCCAGTTAAAATGCGGCAGAGGAACTTAATCACTCTCATTTTGGCTTTAGAATTCTAATTAAGGAAAAATAAACCCTGGATTCCTCCAGAAATGTATACCGTAACTGACTGTTGAGTGGCTGCCCAAAAGCCACGGCAAACACCTTTTCCCTTGCTGCCTTTCACTGCAGAGATGGCAGAGTCACCCATCCACTTGCCTTCTTTACACTGAGGGGTCATCACATGATCTAGTTCTGGCCACAGCGATGTCTGTAGAAATCTGTTCAGAGGCTTCTATGAAAGCTTTTGCTTTAATTTTTTATAAAGACAGTCCAAGCTAGTTTGGCCCTTATTTCTTCTCCCCATCTTCATCCTAGGTGTAATGTTTGGGGCTGTAACAGCCACCCCACAAACAGGAAGCAATGAGGGAGCCATACGGGAAAGACCCAGAGAATCAGATGTTAGCTCTGATGTTGTTGAGCTAATGAGGCAAGGACAGCAGCTATAGCCCTTCAGACTAGTTATTAAGTAAGAAAAACAAACTCCTCATTCTTTAAATCAGTGTAGGAGAGGTTTTCTGTTACCTACAGCCAAACAGTCTTGGAATGCATGGTTCAGGAGATGATTAAGCACACAGCCTTTGAACTAGACACACTTGGGTTTGTGTACCAGCTCAGTCACCCACTGGCTGCGTGGGGCTGGACAAGTTATTTAACTGCTCAGAGTTCTGTTTCCATCTTCCATGAAATGAACATACTATAACTGCCTTTTTCACAGGCTTGCTGTTAGGAATAAGTGAGATGGTATATGCCATGATTTGGATATGGTTTGTTTGTCCCCACCAAAACTCATGTCTAAATTTGATCCCCGGTGTGGTGGTGTTGGGAGGTGGGACCCAGTGGGGAGTGTTTGGGTCATGAGGGTCTCACCCTGGTGGGTGGCTTGGTGCCATTCTGGAGGTAGTGAGTGAGTTCTTCCTCTGGCAAGACTGGATTATTTCTCAAGGAAAATGTACTAGTTCCTGCAAGAGTGGATAGTTACAAAGCCAGGATGTCCCTTGTGTTTTGTCTCTTTGCATGTGTCCACTTCCCCTTTGACCTTCTCACTATGTTATGATGCAACTTAAAAGCTCTCACCAGAAACCAAGGCCATGCCATTGAACTTCCCAGCCTGAAGAACTATGAGCTAAATAAGCCTCTTTTCTTTATAAATTGCCCCGTCTTTGGTATTCTATCACAGCAACACAAAATGGACTAAGACAGTGCATGTAAAGAGTTTTTGTGCAATGTCTAGATAAATAACTACTCAAATGATAAACTGCAGCCAATAAGCACATGAAAAGATAATAACCATAATCATTAAGTAAATGCAAATCAAAACCACAATGAGATACCACTTCACACCCCTTAGGATGGTTATTACATAAAACAAAAACGAACCCAGAAAATAACAAGTGTTGGTATGAGGATATGGAAAAATTGTGCACCACTGATGGGAGAGTAAAATGATGCAGCTGCTATGGAAAAACAGCACTGAGGTTCCTCAAAAAGATAAACATAGAATTACCATATAACTCAGCAATTCCACTTCTGGATATACACCCAAAAGAACTGAAAGCAGGGACTGGAGAAGATATCTGTATACCCATGCTCATGGCAGGATTATTCACAATAACCAAAAGGTAGAAACAACCCAAGTGTCCACTGACCAGTGAAAAGATTTTTTAAATGTAGTATATAATACAACGAAATATTATTCAGCCATAAAAAAAGGAAATTCTGACATATGACACACCATGAATGAATCCTAAAGACATTATGCTAAGTGAAATAAGCCAGACACACAAAGACAGATGCTGTTAGGATTCCTGCCTGACTTATGTGAGGCACCTAGAGTAGTCAAACTATTCACAGAGACAGCAAGTAGAATGGTGGTTGCCTGGGGCTGGGAGAAAAGGAGAACAGTGCTTCCATTATGCAAGACGAAAAAAATTCTGGAGCTAGACAGTGGTGATGGTTGCACTACAATGTGAATATACTTAATGCCACAGAAGTTCACAGATTAAAATAGTGAATTTTATGTTATATTTTATTGCATTTTTAAATAAATTTTTAAAATAAAAATGAAATAAAATGATGACCTGCATTACTGATCCTAATACTGATATTATCATCTTACTGAGTTTTCAGTAACTCGGTAAGTTGTCAGACAATACCACTGGCTGGGTACAACCCTGGGTCAAATGCTGAAATGCTTGCCCCCATTGCATATTTGTCCTAGATGAACATATCTAAAAGGCATTTCATCCATGCAGCAAACAAGCATATTTACTTCTTTCTCTAGGAAACCAAAGGTAAGTCAAATGGTTTCCTGCCCTGTGGAAGGCAAAAAGATGTTCACAAATAGCCACACTACAAGGTAAGATGTAGCACCTGCCTTGAAGACAAATGCAGAATCTTCAGAGAGCAAAGCCACTGCTTCTGGCTTTGGGGTTTGAGGAAAGTTCCAAAGAAGAGACGGAAATGGAGCTGGACTTGAAAAACCAGAACCTTTATTGCTGAAACAGAAGGAGTGTTACAGATGATTCCAGGTAGAAATAGCAGCAATGTGAGCAGAGACAGCAGAGCATCTTGTTTGGTTAGAGGGAACTGTACATTAGGGTGAACAGAAAAGACAATAGCCAGTTCACTAGGCAGAGAAGCCATGTCTTTATTTCATGGAGGAGGGCAGGAGATAAAGATGTGTTTGCATCCACAGCACCTAGGACTCTCTTAGCACACATCAAGTTGTCAAAATTGTCAATTCAATCATTGACCAGCAGATAGGAAGATCTGTAGAATCCTCCAGATGTCTAGCATTGATGCTCAGGAGAGGCAGGCCCCATTTGGCTGCCAAAACCACCTCTTTCATGTCACTATTGTCTAGGCTACTTCCCAAGAGATGGAGAAGCATAGCAAACGGGCGAACATCTCAGAAGGCCTTTGGTTATTGATGGACACCACAGGCCAGTCCTAACCTCCCAAAAACCTTTATCATGCATGCTCCCAGATGGAATCCAACCAACTAGAACAAAGCTTCCCTTCCAAAGGAACACTGAGACTACCCTCCCAGGACAACTTGAACTCTGGGCATTGTGCCCTTTGAAAGCATTTTCCATGTCCTTATCTAAATGGAAGGCAAGTACACTAGCACAAATAATTGAGGGGAAAAAAATGGACAAGGAGACCCAATCAAAAAAAAGTATTCAATTGAGTACCATTTTAAGGAATTATTTCAAAGTTCTAATCACTATAAGTGATGAAACAATTCATGACAAAAATTGCAATTACCAAAGAAATAATCTGTTCTGCAACAGCAATTTTAGTGACATTTATAACACACAAGAAATCATGAAGCTTAATTATTTGAATTTATTGAGGCTACAGATGCCATGTTTAAATCTAATTAAACAGATCCACCAAAACTGACCATCTGAAGAAATGGCAAAGTTGCTGAACCGAACACTGGTTTTTAAAAGCAGTTCGTGAACAGCCTCCAAATAGGCAGTGAGTAATGATCTATCTTTCTTCCTCAGCTGTCATTTGGGGAAAAAAGAGACATTTCTTTATTGATCTTCAGTCCTTCACAATAGAATTTACCTCAACTCCTAAAAAACATCCCCCATTCCAATGATCTTTGATAGATCTGCAGGATAAATGGGGACTCTCCTACTATTACCTTTCAGGTCTCACACTCAAACTATATTAGATCTCAAGGAAGTAGGTACAAATCCTTAAAAGTGATTGAGAAAAAGATTTCCCTTCTCCATTTCTTTTTTTTCTTTTTTTTTTTTTTTTTTTTTTTTTTTTTTGAGATGGAGTCTCGCTCTGTCACACAGGCTGCAGTGCATGGTGCGATGGTGCGATCTCGGCTCACTGCAAGCTCCGCCTCCTGGGTTCACGTCATTCTCCTGCCTCAGCCTCCCTAGTAGCTGAGATTACAGGCGCCCGCCACCACGCCCAGCTAATTTTTTTTTTATTTTTAGTAGAGACTGGGTTTCACCGTGTTACCCAGGATGGTCTCAATCTCCTGACCTCGTGATCTGCCCGCCTCGGCCTCCCAAAGTGCTGGGATTACAGGCGTGAGCCACCACGCCCGGCCTCCATTTCTTAAGAATGTTAACTGGTAAATATCAGTAGCCTACAGAATTTGTATAATTCCTGAAATATCAATGAATTGTTTGCTTAAATAATAAGTATTCTATGAAGCAAGATTCTGATTATAAAAGTAATAAATGTTCAAAGAAGAAAATATGGAAAACATGAAGAAACAAAAAGAATTAAAATTTCCAACAATCCCACTAACCACATATGATCACAATTAACATTTTGCACTTACTTCCAATGTCATTTCTAAGCTTACATACTTTTATCACAATGCGAACATGTTATATTTATAATCTTACATCTTGTTCTACCATTAAACATGATATCAAGTACATTTAATTTCTTTAAGTAACCTCTCATTGCTGGATTTATAGCTTGTTCCCAATTTTTAAACTTTCATCAATAAACTGACTTACATTCACATAGATAAACCTATGGTTGCATCTCTAATTAATTCCTTAAGAGAATTCTCAAAAATAAACTCTTGGGATGGCATTCATTGACTCGTTAAAGTTCTAATAAGACCTGCCAAATTGATTTATCTAAAAGTTATACCAATCTACATTTCTACCAATGGTATAATAAATAGCTCAAATTTAAAACTCTTTTCTTTCCTTTCCAACAGCATTACTTAACTTTCAGTGAATTTCTTACCAATTTTTTTGTATGTTTCTCTGTTTTACAGATTTTTGATACACTATTTTGTCTCCTGTTGTTTCCACTTCATATTAAACTCATTTCCTTAGGATATTAAGAGTTCTTTGAAAACATGATTTTCTTAAGGGGCACATATAAGCCATCCTATAAAATGTATTTCTTTAAGTAAAGTGGGAGGCATTGAAAGGCTTAAGATTTTTTTCGTGTTTATTAGCTATTTGTATTTATTCTGTTAATTGCCATCTTACTGCCTTCACCAATTTTCCCACTAAGGTTTTAGTGTTGTTCTTATTTCTATATTAACAAAATTAATGCTTTGTTGCATGTGTTTTTCTTAGATTTTTTTTTTTACCAGCATCTTAATTTTAATTTCTTGGGGGAGTTTTTTTACTTATTAAAACACTAATTTTAGCTGGGCGCGGTGGCTCACACCTGTAATCCCAGCACTTGGGATGCTGAGGCAGGCAGACCACCTGAGGTCAGGAGTTCAAGACCAGCCTGGGCAACGTGGCAAAACCCAGTCTCTACTAAAACATGTAAAAATTAGCCGAGTGTTGGTGGCACATGCCTGTAAATCCCAGCTACTCAGGAGGCTGAGGCAGGGAAAATTGCTTGAACCCAGGAGGTGGAGGTTGCGGTGAGCCAGAATTACACCACTGCACTCCATCCTGGGTGACAGAGTGAGATTCTGTCTCAAAAAACTATATATATATTAATTCTGTATGGAGAAATGAGTCATTTTCCTCCAGTGATATTTTGTTTCTGTTGACTTCCCTAATGTCAGAGTTAACCACAATTTTTCCTACTTTTCATTTTTTATTATTAAAATTTTTGCATCAAATCAAAATTTATTTTGGTATATAGGGTGAGGAAAGGCTCTAATCCCATTTTTTCCAAATAGTTAACTTAGAATATATTAAATAATTCATCCTTTCCCTCCATCATGTACTAAACCCTCTTTCACATTAGGCTCTGTTTCTAGACTATTCTGTTCCACTTACTGGCATGTTCCTGCAATAATAACCACGTGGTCTTAATTAGCATCATTTGAGTACATTTTATATCTGGAAATGTAAATCTCCTCTATTATGCATCATTTCCAAAAATTTTTTGGCAATTCCAGCTAGCATATTCATATTTGAGAATAATTTGACACAATCCAAAAAAAGAAAGAAAGAAAGAAAACCCCAGCTGAGATGCTGATTGGAATGGGGTGAAATGATACATTACTTTGGAAAGAACTGACATCTTTATCACACAGAGAGAAACTGGCAGCACATATCTCCCTTTATTGAAGTCTCCTTTTATGTCATTCAGTAAATTTTTGTGATTTTCCTCATAAGGATTCTGTAACATTTCCTGTTATGCTATTCCTGTGTGTTTTATACATTTTTACTCCTAAGTAAACTACACCAAGCAAAGAAAGTCTGAGATTGTATGCCTGAATTTCAACATCACATCATGAAATATGTGCCTGTCTCTCTTTAGGGTCTGACAGAGAGGGCCCAACATTTCCGGAATGAATGAGTGACGAATGGGTCCGAAAGCCCTAGTATCAGGACAGAACTGGGTGGGCTACACTGTGTAGCAGACTCACAATTGTTCTTTCATGCTCAGTGCCAATTTTATATTTTCAAAGAATAAAAAATCATCTTAAAATAATCACACAACTACCTCTGATAGTTCTGCCATCATGGTACACTTTCCCGCCACTCCTCATCCTCCATCTCATCCCAAGAGGTGGGTACAACCAAACCAAAGTCCTTCTAGGGAACTTCAGTTTGGGACAGAAATGACTAGCCTTTGGAGCTGAGCCAAGACAGAGATATCTCTTCATGAAAACCATCTCTGAATCCCTGTAGAGGAGCACAGAGGAAACAGAGGTCAGCCCTGATGGATATTATAAAGCAGGTTTGCAATAAAAGAGATTAAGTTTTTTAACAATTTTATTGAGATCATCATCCGTATACCATACAATTCACCCAATTAAAGTGCACAATGGGTTTTAGTAGAGTTGTGCAACTATCACCACAATGGATTTTAGAACATTTTTATCACCTCTAAAAGAAATCCTGTAGTTTTTTTAAATTGTGGTAAAATATACATTAACTTTCCCATCTTAACCTTTTTAAAACAATTTTTAATTGATGTATAATAAATGTACAAAGCTATGGAATACATGTGATAATTTAACACATTCATATAATTTGTAAAGATCAAATCAGTGTACTTGGGATATCTAGTACCTTATATACTTGTCATTTACATATGCTAGAAACATTCAAATTATTCTCTTCTAGCTCTTTTGAAATGTACAGATTATTGTAAACTATAGTAACCACTTCTAAGTCTACAGTTTGGTAGTGTTAAGTCGATTCCCTGAAGCCAATCTCCAGAACTTTTTCATCTTGAGAAACTGAAATTTATACCCATCAAACAGTAACTCCCCATTCCCTCTCCCCACCCAGTTCCTGGCAACTGCCACCTTAATTTCTGTTTCTGTGATTCTGACTACTCTAAGTATCTCATATAAGTAGAATCATAACAGTATTTGTCTGTTTGTGACTGGCTCATTTCACTTAGCATAATGGCCCCAAGGTTTATCCATGTTTTAGCATATGTCAGAATTTCTTTCCTTTTTTAGGCTGAATACATTATGAGCTTTTTTAAAGAGAAGAGAAGGGAGGGAGAGGTAAGGGGGCAGTGAGGGAAGAAGTAGGGAGCAGGGAGGGAGACCAGAAACTGGGGGCTCCTGCACAGGTCCAGGCAGGAGATGATGGCGGTCTGCCCTCAAGGAGAGATGGGAAACTGGATGGGAGTAGATGAGTTCAAGATATATTTGGATTAATATAATGAAAGATAAAATGAGAGGACTTGCAGATGAATGGGATATGGGAAAGGGAGAGGAATGCCCAAGGGTGACACCTTGCCTAATAGAAGGAAGACTACAGGGAGCAGAGAAAACCCAAACCAGGCAGCTCCTGGGTACACCTCCTAAATAACCCAAAGGAGAAATGCAAGTCCTCAAAGTAGTGAATGCAGTTCTGCCCTGGAAGGGAATATCTACAGCCAATTCCCCTCTTAGAATCTGCCCTGGAAGGGAATATCTACAGCCCAATCTATCACCACTGTGTGCCTTTGTAAGAAAACTTCATTTCTAAAATTTCATTTGGAGATATTTGCATATGCACACACACACACACACACAGAAGCCACCAAGCTGAACCTGATGACCTGTTTGTCTGAATTCCCACCCATAGGTTCCAAAAGGAAGGTAGCATCTCTTCTCAGCCAAAATGAACTGGCAGGCAGGCTGCTGAATTGCAGAGAGAGCAGTAGGAGGTAGACTAGACAGACTCCCCAATCACAAGGAAAATAACCATTACTTAAGTTTTCCAAGTCAAGTCAGCTGTAAAAGTCCATGATAAAAGTAAGTAAAGTTTTCAGATCATTTGGGTTCGTTAGGCAGGGCTCAACAACTCAACACGTGACTTAAGAGGGTGCAATGCATCAGTAAAGCACACACTTTGGAGTCAGATGCTGGTTCTACCACCAAATAGCTCTGTGGCCACAAGCAAATTATACCATCTGAGTTTCAGTTTCCTTATTTGTAAAATCAAGATAATCAAGCCTAATTCATAGGATTAGTGTAGCAGTCACACGAAACAGACAAGGGGAGGACAGGAGATGAAGAGACAGAGGATGGGGATGTTGCATGTGGGTGTGGCTGTGACACAGTGCTGAAGTACACAGGATAGTTTCAATGCTGGATGAAGAGTCAAAAGACCCAGTTTCTATGCCAGCTTCTGCCCTAACTAGTTCTATAAGGACAGACAAGCCACTTCCCTTCTCTTGCCCTAGGCTTCCTCACTCATTAAAGTCTCAGCTGACCTGAGGACACCAAAGTGTAAACTAGCACAGGGAGAGCTAAGGACCAATCCATTTAACACTATAAGTCCCAAAAGGCTGAAAAGCTCATGCTATTATTAATAGATTCCTCCAGAGGTAGGGGGTGAGGGGGCTAAAGTAAAAAGAATTGATTGCAATTGTGATCAACAAGCAGTCAGGCCCCTAGACTTCCTCTGCCACTCTGCACAACAGAGCTGCCTGCTCCTTCTCTACCATGGCAAAATACAGGAGGTTTAATAACTGGTACCTCACAGGGTCTGTTAATTGAGGGCATAGGTTTAAGGCTGGGGTACCTCATTTAAAGTAGGAGTATTAAACAAAGGGAGATGCCAAGACACACACCCCACCACACACAAACACAACCCTCTCATCTTCGCTGGCTCCCAGTAAAAATGGCAGCTGGCCATTCACTCTACAGGTGGCAGATGATAAGCATCTTCTCTGAAGTCTGAGAAGCCTAAGAGGAAAGACCTGAAGATACCAACACTGATTCTTAATCAAACAGCCCAGCCAGATCACCCTACAGTGAAGCTCAGTGTCAACTAGCCCCACCCACACATCAAAGCGTCCAAACAGCTTTGTAGTCCCTCTTACAGATGAACAACAACTGAATATTATCAGAGATTGGAGGAAAGCCTTTCACGGGAAAATGGAGATCAAAACAGAGGGGAAAAGAAAGTAAAAAGCCTGGAGAAAAAAAGACTCTGCAGGGAGGGGGAAAAATCTTTAAAATGATTACCATGAATATCTTTAGAGAGATAAGAAATGATAGTAACCATGAAATAGTAATTATAGACAAAATAAAAGAACATCTGGAAAGAAAAGAAAAAAGGCCTGGAAAGTTACATTTATGTATTTGTGTATATTCACAGACATGGAAAAGTTAATAGAGAGTTGAAAGATAAACTTGAGAAAAGCTCCTAGAAAATAGAGAAGAAAGGAAGGAAAGAGAAAAGACAAAGACAAAGGAAGAAGACAGAAAGGGAAGGAAGAAATAAGTTTGCATGGCCCAAGAATGTAATGGTAGGGAAGAGTATGTACAGTTAGCTTTGGAGGGATGTTCATTAAAGAGCAAAGCCAAGAGCTACAGGAATGATTACACAACAAACTCTCATAAGTGAAATCTGATTATGTCAAGGGTTAACCCCTGCCACTTGCTGTTCACGATCTTTTTAAAATGATCTCTCCAACTTAAGCACCATCCAGTGGGTATAACTGTACCTTTGCTACGAGCAATCATCTTACAGAACTCAGAATCAAATTTTGAGTCTAAACCACATTATGGTGAAGTGTTGATATAAATGGAAATTGTGTCGTGATTTGGTTCCCTGGAAGTTATATTTTATTTTTTATATCTAAATTTGATTTAAGCTTTTATTCTTATAATCTGCCAGTTTTATTTTTTCCCCAAAGCCTACTGCTTCAAAAGCAAGTTCCAGAAAAAATAAGCCTGTCTAATATGAGTAAAGAAAGATGAATGTCTTATGAAAATAATGTCTATTGACCCAGATCCTGCTGAGAGAGCAAGCAAATCCTTAGGTGCAAATGAGGCACTTATTGCTGCCATTCAGCTTCAGGAGGCTTCACTTATTACATGACTGTTGGAGGGCAGTAATAGTTCTTTAATAACCTGAAGAGTAAAGGAGTTTTCTCATAATGACAACTAATGCTCGTTCACTTGTCTGCAGGTGATTGAACATCCGTCACAACTCTTCCTGTGATTCTGGATAGAAATAGGTGAGTCACAATCAGACGTTCAACATCAGAGTGGCTGAGAAGAAACTCACCAACAGCCACTGGAAAACTGATGAGGTTTCTCCAATCTCTTTATAAACTTCTTTTCCAATTTTCTCAGGCAATAGGACCAGCCTTGGAAGCATTTGCCATGGAGACATCTGAAGTGGTAGCAGAGAAAAATCACCAGGGTATGAGGCAGAGGGCCACTGCCTCAGCTGTCACCTCAGAGTCTCCTCAAGACCTAGCCAAGGAAATCACCACCTTTCTCCAGCCTTGGTGTTCTCCTTTGGGACTGGACCAAGGTTCCTTTCAGCTTTAAGTCTATGATTCCAACTTTTATCAAATCATACTATTTAGTAAGATAAATCAAATCAGCCATCTTAGCCACCCGCCAGGCTGAAACCACTGCTCACCACAGGCAAATGAGCAAATGTGTATTTGCAGGGCTCCCTGGCATGTAGGAAGGGAATGGAAAAGTGGCTGATGGCAGAGCTTTGTAATCACTTTGGAGGCTCTGACCCTTGGGTCCCAGTCACACAAGGCTGGCAGCTGTGTCTTATGCTGCACGGATGGCAACACCAATCCATTGAGCATGGGCCATTGACTCCTGGGTAATTCATTAGCAAAAGAGCACAGACCCACTCTGGTAACAAAAGAAAATCCATAAGCAAGAGATCTCAAACAAAGGGAATGTTTCTGTCTATGTAGTAAGACATTGGCTTTTAAAAGGACACTCACTCCAGCTCTCTGAGGATGAGCAGTTACCTACTCACAACTAGGCAGGTGCAGAACCCCCAACAGAGCCAGAAAGCATGTCCCCTGCAAGAATAAATGGTCCCAGAGCCACCCCTAAAGGCCACAGGGTGTTTGATAGCATCACAATTTCTTGAGTCTCAGAAACAACCTCCTTCCACTTCTAAAGAGGCAAAAAGAACAAAGTCTGTCAGTGACAGGCCTGGAGTGTTCACTTACTGATGACATTCTGGCAGATCTTGATCCATTCCTCCTGGGACTTCAGCTAACGCTAATCCCAAGACCTCAGCTAGTCCAGCTGCAGACTAAGGCCTCTATATGGGTTGTTTGAAATGTTTTGGGTCATTCAACCAGTTACTTTTTAAACAGTCATGCTAGCCCTTACGAGTCTTCAAGAACAATCATAGTTCGGGGACGGGGGAGCGGGGGGAAGATGCAGGCAAGGAGGCTCTGACTTGGATAAAACACCAGCCCAGAGAAGATGTAGAGAGTAACTGGGAAGGCCAGGGAGAATTGGGTTCAAATCTCCAATTTGCCATTTATCAGCCATGGGATCTTGTACAAATTGCTAACTTCCTTTAGTATTGTTTCTGCACTGGTGAAATGACAATGATATTACCTAACTCACATGGTTGTGCCAAGAATTAAATAAGATAGTGCGTGTACAACACTGAAGCCCACTACCTTGCACACAGAGTAGGTGCTCCATAAATGTCAGATTCAGGTGTGTGCCCACACTCACACTAACCGAGGATCCCACAAACTCTTTACAATGTAGCTAAACAATTCTAACACCACTACCTTAGATAAAAACTGATCCACCATGTGCACTCAAGGAAGGAAATATTAAACAGGGAGGCATGTGCCAACAAGGAAAACAACAGAAATAATTATAGTAGATCCTCTGTGCCTTGTGCCCAACAGAAAATGAGTTTGTTGCTAGGTTCCTTTTCTGGCCACAATTCACGGTGCAATTAAATTCCTGGCATTGTTTTTCATGTTCCATTTTAAACAGCCTTCTTGTCCAGGTCCCTGTCATGTGACCTGCTCAGTGGGGCCAACAGAGAAATGAGCCCAGTGGGCCTCCCTCTCATTGGCACCTGTAATGCTCAAGTTCCTCCAATTTGACATCTGCCCAAGTTACTGAGGTCCCCTAAAGGAGGAGGTTTTCTGGACTCTGGAGCCTCCATCTCTGCTACCACCACCATTCCCATGGGGTGGAAAAGAACATGGGCTTTGGGGAAAAAGAAAACACAGATCTGCCACTTTGGCTGGACAGCTAAACTTGGACATGTTATTTAAACTCGGAGCCCCTAAGTCATGGCTAATTCCACCCACCTGCAAGACTGTTGCAGATTTACAAAGTGAGGGACCTGGAGTTCTCAGCATAGTATGTGAATCATAGCAGACCTCCAATTCATGGTAACAGCTATTCCTGCCATGCCCTTAGGTCTCCTCCTCCCTCTTTCTTTGGTCCTTCTCAGTGTCCTTTGTGTGCACTCATTTCTCCTTGCCTTTTCCTTAAACACTTGTATCCCTAAACAAAGGCTTAGTCTTTCATTTTCTCTTCTTCTGTGACACCACTCCCCCTGAACAGTAGCATCCACACTGATGGATCCAGTTCTCACCCACAACCGAATGACTTGCAGATGGCTGTCCCAGGCCAGTCTTCTCTCCTGGGCCCCAGACCACTACTTTCAGGTCCACACTTGACTCCTTGTCCGGCTTCCCCATGACCCCAAACCATAGACCTAAAACAAACTTCAACTGCACCCCTGCCAAAGCCTGCCCTTATTCAGCTATCCTCACTAGCCCCTCTCCAGACAGCCATGGGTTCACCAACGGCTGTGGTCTGTACCTCCTTGCTAGCTTTCACATGAGCACTATCTTACCCCGTTGTATTACCACTGCTTTGCTCAGGCCTTTCTCTCTAAGCTGGCCTCCAGGCATGCTCCTGTCCCTCTATCCTCTCCCCTGCCTCCTGAATCATCTCCCTAACTTGAAATCTCACCCTGTCCCTTCGTTGTTTAAAATCCTTCAGTAGGTCCCATCATCTAAAAGTAGGACAAAGATATTTCTTATTAAACCTGGGCACTTTTGAGAGTGAAAGAGGGACACCGTTCATCATTGTACCAGGATAACAGGCATAAACAGGCATAAAGCGTGACACAGTGAGATGTACAGTCATCCTACCCATGAAGAGCGAGCCTCAGCCAGGCTCCCAAGGCACTTTGTGACCTAGCTTCCACCTGTGAGGGCAACCACACCTCCCTTTCTCTCTCAAATGCAATCTGCTCTGGACTTCTCCCTGCATCCCCTGTGTCATGCTCTTCCCCACCTGACACATCCTTCTACCTCTGCCTAGATGCTCCCCCTGTCCACCAGGCAGTTGCCTACATCCAACCCTACATCACCTTCCCTGTGATGTCTTTCTGCTCCCTGGAGCACCCTGGCTCCTCCACTCCCACCCTCTCAAGTGCCTGAGCATGCATCATATAGGCTCTGCCTGGTGTCACAATAGGGTTGGGTGCAGAATGCAGTGTAGGTGTCCAAGGTTTACCAGATAAATACATAAGCTTCCAACCAATGATCCCCTCTCTCAGGTGCTGAACTCAGAATGGCCAGATGTGCTAAGTCACAGCAGAGACAACATACTGACCCAGGCACACTAGGACCAAGCAAGCCACTAGACCTGGCCTCCAAGGAGATCAAAACCAAACCTCAGCAACAAGCTCCTGAGATACAGCCGGACTCACTCTGCTTCCTGAGACTCCCTTTATTCTTAACACTCTTAGAAGCAAGTAATAGAGCCATCTTCACTTCTCCCCAGAGGAGATTGGGGACCTGCGGAGAATCTATGCTGCAGCCACAAGAATATTGACATGAGTGTGCACGCAGGGCTATAGCCAGGCCCTACAACCAGGCAAGGCCCTAAGGACTGGAAAATCACCCTCTGCTGACCATTCTCTTCCCCTTGTTCAGCCTCCTGGCAGATACCAGGTTGTCCACCTCCCAGCTCCCAAGCTCACATGACACAAACCCAGCTACCTAAGTTCCTCTCCCAGCTCCTAGTCCAAATACCCAGGAAAGAGGCTCTGATCTTGGGTTAGGGGCTTGTCCCTAGCTCAATCAACTGTAGGTATCTGGCAGGATGCTTCCAGACAGAATGGCCATGGAGGAGCCCACTACTACAAATGGTGGAGAACGAGGCAGAGCATCAGGGCTCACATGAGCCAGGTAAACACTCCAAAAGGAAAGTCCACTGCCCACCTCCACCCTAGACATTGCGTTTTCTCCTCCCCTCCCCCTTCTCTATATTTCCTTCTTCCTGGGTATGCTATTTTTCCTCTACTATAATTATCTTCACAAATTCTCTGCCCATTCTTCAGAACTGAGACCAAATTTCACCTCCCCATGAAACTGGGTGTGGCTAATTCTAACTGGTTACAAAATGCTATTCACATTGCATTAGGAAGCTGCATTTTATTTGTGATCATACTTTTCCTTCAACCCTATGAATGGTCTACTTAAATTCAGTACAGCCAGATTGAGAAGAGAAAAAAAATTTTAAAACTCCCTTCCATGTGCTGGGCACTCAGAGGCAACAGGGAGGCTTGGGAAGCTTACAATCTCACAAGAAGTAATGTACAAGGTCCCTGAAGAGTATCATACAAGTGTAAATGAGGAAAGGGAAGAGGGAGTCAAAGTTGAATGCAAACATTATTTCCCAAGAAAGGTTAATTCAAGGATGATTTTTGTCATGTTATAGAAGAACTCTTCCATTTTCAAAATGATTTAATCCAGCAATCCTCTAATAGCCAGCTCCTTGGAAGCATTAAGTTCAGAAGTTGACTTTGGCACAGAAGCACTTATCTGGGGTAAAGAGAAGGCAACTGACATAGGACTTCAGACATGGTCTGAAGAATTTATAAACGGTATAGCCACTTCTCACTGCTAGCAGACTGGACATACAATCACTTCAAGCTAATAGATATATTATGCTCTAAAATGAATGGTATTCAGATCCCTGGAACTAGATATAGTTTTCTAAATTCCAAGGGGGTGCATCAAGAAATAGAGCACAAAATACAAACTGTGACCTAAGACTGATTCCAGCTTTGCCATTAAACACTTTCCTAATCAGGGCCCCAAATTCCTCCCCTATAAAAAAAGGAAGTTGAAATTAAAGCTCTCAGAAATCCCTTCCAGCACTAAAATTCTATGCTCTACATTAAATTATATATATGCAGGCTCCACAATATCCCTTTGGACTTAAATGTCACACCAAAAAACAGTGCCAGGCATTTATTAACAATAAAAATTCAAATGATATGGAAAAATAATTACATTTTATCTTTTGGGGAGACAGAAGCACCCAAAGACTTTTTTCCTGCTGTACCTTGTAAAAATCGTTAACAGCAGAGTCACTGCAATTAAACCAAACCTAATGATGCAACTAATCAATGCAGCTGCAGAAAATGACAGAGTTTGGATCTCCAGAGAGCTGTTGGGCCAGGAAGAAACAGATTATAGATGCTAAGAGACAGGAAGAGTAGACACCCACCACAGCAGTGGCCCAGAGGCAAAGGCAGTCTTCCCTTTGGTCTCAGCAGGATCCCACAGGTGAGAGATCCCAGAACAAGTCTAACCTGGATTCTGAGGAATTCCCATAGGAGGAAGGTATGTGAGATGCACAGTATGAGAAAATTGGGAAGGTGCCCGCACCATGGAAAAGACAAGACGGGCACAAGTCAACATGGCTTAGAAACTAGAAACGCGATGATTCTTTTTATTGTGATTTTTAAAACAGAACAAAAAATTTACCATTGTAAATTTTTAAGTTTACAGTTCACTACTGTTAAGTATATTCACATTGTTGTGCAACCAATCACCAGAAATTTTTCATCTTGCAAAACTGAAACCCTATACTCATTAAACTATACCCCATTTCCCTTCCCTGCAGCTCTTGGCAACGACCATCCTACTTTCTGTTTCTATGCGTTTGACTACTTTAGATACTGCATAAAGTGGAATTATACTGTAGTTGTCTTTTTGTGACTGGATTATTTCATTTAGCTTTATGTCTTCAACTTCCATCCATGTTGTAACATGTGATAGAATGTCCTTGCCTTTAAAGCTGAAAAGGATTCCACTTGTATGTATACACCACATTTTCTTTACCCATTAATCCATCAGTGCACTCTTGGATTGTTTCCACTTCTTGGCTGTTGTTGTTAATGCTGCTATGAATATGGGTGTACAGATATGGAGATAATTCTTATAAGTAGATTCTCATAAGCAGAAATGTCTGTTTTGAACAACAGGTCAGCCTAATGTTTTTCATTGTTTCCTAATATAAATTATTGCTCCTTCTTGCCTAACGTGGAGAAAAGGAGGGCAACAGCTGACAAAGCCCTTCACCAGCAGAGGAGAAGAGTGTCCACACTAAAGGACTGTCGTGTGTGCTACATAACGAATGCCCCTGAATACACAGAGGAGACCATGACCTAGTCACAGGGATGTAGCTGTTCCCCAAACCAGTGGTCCTCTACTAGTTCTGTTTCTGTCTGAGGAGACTTTCTCAAATATCTAGAAAAATCTTAATTAAAATAGGTACACTGTGACAAAAAGCTACTGGCAAATCAGAAGTGTTTTGAAATAAATCGGTATTATATTACACTCAATCACACACAAGTAAAAAGCAAAGCTTGGCAAACACATGGATTTACCAACTTGAAATCATTCCCCCCCCCAATATATGACCCACACCACCACCATACCTACCACCTCTCCCAGGGGTCTGAGAGCCAGAAGTGGGGAACGCCTCCCTAAACCATCCCTACTCACCTGTTCAGGCATCTGTAAACCTATCACCATACCTATAAGAGAAATGACTAGGATTCAATCTATGCCTGCAAGAAAATCCCTAAATAAATTTAATCCACCTCTATAAAGCCAGCCAAAAACATCAGCAACCTCGAGGTAGGTGATATAATCCGGCTATATTCAAAAGCCCAGGGGCTTGATGCCTGGCTTTCCATAATATTACCATTCAGTCTCTAACATCAAATAGGCATTAAGCATTGGTATTAAAAAATAAATACAGCCAGGCACAGTGGTTCATGCCTGTAATCCCAGCACTTTGGGAGGCCAAGGTGGACAGATTGCCTGAGGTCAGCAGTTCGAGACCAGACTGGCCACCATGGTGAAACCCCATCTCTACTAAAAATACAAAAATTAGCCGGGCTTGGTGGCAGGCACCTGTAATCCCAGCTACTCAGGAGGCTAAAGCAGGAGAATCGCTTGAACCCTAGAGGCAGAGGTTGCAGTGAGCCAAGATCGTGCCATTGCACTCCAGCCTGGGTGACAAGAACAAGACTTCATCTCAAAAAAAATTTTTTTAATTAAAATTAAATACATACCCACTCGCTGTTATCTCAGTAAGAACCACACCTCACCTCATGTTTGTACTAGAGAGGGCACACAATCTGAGAGCAAGTTAGGGTCCATCCTCCTTCTACCAAACATCATCTGATTAGAAACCTGGTGGTTTCTTTGGGGCTCTTAGACTAGGGAGGACTGGACAGAATTCTACTGTGAAGTGCAACCCCAGAGATCCCCAAACACCTACAGATGCCACCTGACTCCCTGTGTGCCTGGGCTACAGCGGCCAGGACTCAATGATTTCTTTTCATTAGGTATAGCCACTAAATGGAATTCAAATACAGGTAAGAATGTATGAGTGACAAATAATCAGATTTTTTTAACTTTACAGTAAAATTTCCTTGAACTTGCATTTGCAAACAGCAGCATATCAAAGACATTTTTCCCCATCAATCAATTTGAATCATTCATTCAGAATTAATTCAATGATGATTTCAAACTCCAAACATCAGGTTCTCCGTTGTTTCATCTTTCTCAGAGTTAGCAGACACTTTGTACAGAGACATCCTGCACTTGGCACCTGCTCCACTTTCTGTGCCCTCCCAACTTTCCTCCTCCCGTGGGGCAGGGCCCTATCAGAAAAGCCCTGCCTGAGAGAAGAAGGTCTGCCCTTCAGTAGGAATCTGGCCTGACACCTGATTTCCACGGAGTTGTCAGTGGGGTGCCAGGGAAGTGAGACAGCACTCTTCGTTCAGGTGTCACTTCTCTTCCACAATCTTCCAGTGATCTCCCTACCCTCAGGCCCTGCTTCAAGGCATCAGAACTGCTAAGAAGCCAGGAAGGAGATGCTTGGCTTCAGCCCCCAGGACAGTTGCAGGACCAGGTGCCCTGGCACTCTTTCCAGCCTGCTGGCTGGTCACAATCGCAAAGTAGAAAATGATTTCTTCTCAACTGACCCAAGGGCCCAATACCTTCTGCCCAGTGCAACAAAAAGAGAGATAGTCTCCTTGACCAGACACAGGCAATCCTGGACCATGTGTCAGGAACATGTACCACCTACACAATAACTTTGACTCAAAAACATCCTCTGCTCTACCCCACCTCTCTCCTCTCAGCCTAAATAAAATAACCAGTTAGTTTCCTCAGAAAGTAGTTTTAACATTAGCTCTGCTACAACTGTGTTTTTTCAGTCTTAAGCAGTTCTGATTGTCTGTGTTTCCATGGCCAGCAAAGAGAGGCAGCATCACAGAGATGGGCTCTGCCAAGTAGATACTGTCAAATTTTAGAGCCTCTTGCCTCTCTAAGTCCCAGTTTCCTTATCTGTAAAATGAGGCAAAACCCATGTCTAAGATTAAACAAGGAGCCTGGCACAGTGGCTCATACCTGTAATCCCTGTACTTACGGAGGCCGAAGTAGGAGGATGGCTTGAGCCCAGGAGTTCCAGATCAGTCTAGGTATCACAGTGGAACCCCATCTCTATGAAAAATAAAATAAAATAAAATAGCCAGGTGTAGTGGCAGATGCCTGTAGTCCCAGCTACTAAGGAGGCTGAGGTAGGAGGATCACTTGAGCCCAGGCTGTAGTGAGCTATGATCATAGCCACTGCACTCTGGCCTGGGCAACAAAGTGAGATGCTGTCTCAAAAAAAAAAAAAAAAAAAAAAAAAAAAAAAGAAAGAAAGAAAAAGAAAGAAAGGAAACAAAATAAAAGGTAAATAAGAAACAAATGAAATAATTTTTTAAAATTAAACAAGGTGGCATTCATAAAAAAAAACTCTATAGAAGAGTGTGTCCAAACACACATGGTAGATACCTCCCAAAAAGGGCAGGATCTTCTTTCCTCAATGCAAAAAAGCCCAGGGAATCTTCAAGCTATAGCCTTGGGGGAGTGAGATGTTGAGGTGGGGAAGGGCAAGAAGATTGAGGACCTTTCTTCTCAACTTTAATAGTTTTCACTCAAATTGCAATTGATGACAACCATCAGAGGACTTGTGTCTCCACACCTGTTCTAGGGAATTTATCACCTTTGGTAATGATAGGTGTTAACCCACTGGGATAGAGTGGGTTCAGTTCCACTCAAAGACTGCTGTGATTCTTGTCCTTTTCAGCCCTGGTCACCACTCTGTGGCATCCTGCACCAGTGCATGCAAATCTGCTCTGAGTTTTCACTTGAGCATTCCAAAAATGGGGGCAGGTGCATCTCCCCAGGAAAGGTGTGGGGTGTACATGCATCTCAGCACCTCCAGCTCAATCAGGGCTGACTTCATGGGTGTGTGACCTGCGCATTCACATAGGGCCCATGCTTAGAAGGGCCATGCTCTGCTATTGCCATCTTGAAATTCTTAGTAATTTTTTAACAAGAGGCCTCATATTTTACTTTTCTCCAGGCCCTGAAAATTATGTAGACAGTCCTTAGCTCCGAACTTCACAACAATATTCAGCTTCTTTCAAAACTGTTCTCCCTCTTTTTTCCTGATAATGGCACCATTATCTCTCCTATTACCTGGGCTTGAAGTCATAGGCTCTCTCCCCTCACTAGCCCTCTGCATCTGAAAGCTGCTAGATGCTGCCAATTCTATCTCCATGCTGCATCCGTGTCATCCCATCCATTCTCACTGTGGCTGCTCCACCTCTCTCACCCAAACTATTAAAATACCCTCCCGACCAGTGTTCCCTCTTCCAAACTCCTCCACAGCTCATCTTCCCTGCCCACCCATGCCAGGCAAATTTCACCAAGGCAAGAGCAATCATGGCATTCTCCTGCTCAAAGCTCCTCAGTCTCTCTCAGTGTAGCAGTTCAGTTGCTCTGAAGCCACTGATAATCCCCGCACCTGGCCCAGTCTAGGAACAGACCCACCCTACCCAGGACTCAAACTTTTCAGGTAAGCCACAGGCCACAGGGTAGATCACCTCTCCCTCCTTGATCCTTAGTCTAAAACAGAACAGTTTTCCCCTTCTTAGGTAATGCCATTCTTATTATACTCCATGCTCCCGGCAGCCAGGAGCCATGCTTGATCATTCCATCTCTGCTTACCCCCAAACACTCCTGCACAACGCAGAATGTTTTTCAAAGTGACTGTCACAATACACAGTTTCTCCCAATGTTGCCCCAAGCTCACGTTTCAGCCTTAGCAGGGATGAACTCAATGCAATCACAGTGCTATTTACAATGTATTCAATTTTGCAGGACACCTGTCACTTCCTTTTCTTCTTTTTTTAGTGACAA
This sequence comes from Homo sapiens, assembly GCF_000001405.40. Lineage (NCBI taxonomy): Eukaryota > Metazoa > Chordata > Mammalia > Primates > Hominidae > Homo > Homo sapiens. The sequence continues at coordinate 137,451,471 of NC_000005.10, forward strand.
TAAACACCAACAGAAGAATTACATTAAGCATAAACAGACTCTTGAAATCTACCTCAAAGTAATATGAAAGATCTGCACTAATCCAGCTAATGTGCTTTCCCTGCAACACCACGTAAACCCAGCTCTCATTTGAATATTTAACAAGCAACATCTTGGTAAATCTCATTCCCTTGATCTATGTAGAAATAAAAAATGGATTTAGCCCATTCAGATTGTGTTTGGTCCTGCACATACATTTTATGCCTCCACTTGAAATCTTAATCCTATTGCAGCACACTAATTCTGGCTTGTATAAGATGCTGCCAGCAGAATCCATTGATTTGCTTCACCCATTTACATTTGTATCCTTCAGCCAGTCCTGTAACGTTTTAGCTCAGTAAGTAAGCATGTATATTTTTGAGTTCTACAAATTAGGGTAATTTTAGACCCTAAAGGTTGAGTTTCCCTTATCTAAAATGCTTGGGACCAGTAGTGTTTTAGATTTTGGATTTTTTCCATATTTTGCAATACATGCATTATATACTGACCTTGGTTAAACATCTCAAATTTGAAAATCCAAAATGCCCCAATGAGCATTTCCTTTGAGCATCAGGTTGATGGCCAAAAAGTTTTGGATTTTCCAGTGTTTCAGATTTTGGATTTGGGATGTTCAATCTGTATAACAACTACATACTTTAGACCACTAACCATGTAGAAAACCTTGAAAGTATGTTTTGTAAAACAAGCCAAAATTTAACTATTTACATTCGTGGTATATAACTTCACCATCACATGCCGTGTGTTTTGTATCAAAATGATATGATTAGATGAGCTTTTTTGCCAATGAAATGTATTTTTATACCAATTCTGCTGGCTTGTTGCTGTACATACTAAGAAAATATGAAAATGGAGTGTTTTGCCAAGTCATTATGAAGCCGTCATTTTGAAAGGGCGGGGCTTACTGAATCCCAAATTATTTAGTTATCTTTTTCCCCATTTGCATTGACTATTACCTACTGCCACCTGGTAAAAGAAAAAAAGTGAATCTGATTCAAGGTTTATAACATAGTAGTTTTGAAAGAACTCATCTTTTTAATTTGAATGTGTCTAACAGACATCCTAAAAATTGAGATTGTAATGTGCATAGGTGACATGTCTCATCTAATACCTCATGTAATAATTCTTGTGAGAAAATAAACAACAAAAACAAATCCCAAAGCATAGTTATGACTACAATGGTACTTGTATTTTTATTACTTGCATTTCAAATGCAAAAGCTATAGTTTCCCTTTTGCTTATGTGGCATCCTTGGCACATGGGCAGTTATCTATCCTATGTCTGTTTCCTCCACTGCTCTATCAGCTCTATGAGGGCCCAGATGTAAATTCTCAAGAAATATACATTAAATCCAATATCGCTTTTGGTCCTGGTGCTAGTATCAAAGCGGCAGAGCTACCTGGGTGGAGAAAAAAGCACTCTCTTGTTTCCTAAGAATTTTCTAGGGCACTAGCACCCTAAGAATCCAGGACACCTTCAAGTCCATGAATCTGAGTTTTAGAAAAAGAGAAGATGAATGTTACTTGACTTTTAAGTCTTTTTCCACTTTATCATGTTCTTCACCTCATTCAAACCAAAGGCAAATATTAGAGAGCTGTGTTTTCTCCAAATGTCACAACTAGTAGGTTTGCTTAGAAAAAATAAGGCACGCTTCTGAAATAAAACTAAAAACCAGAGCCCACTTGGTCCTTCCAGAAAGTGATTATGAAATTCGCTGTCAATGCTAATGGTACCAGAAGTACATCTCAAACTCCCTGATTCCACTAAAAAGCAGTGCAGGAAATTCAGAGTAAGAAGCTGCTTCATATACACCTCTCATTAAAAATAATTGTCAATTCCCTGTGTGCTCTCTGTGATACTCTTGGGTAGCTACAGGAAAGAAAAAATGAAAACACGAGCTTTATCTACCAAAAACAGCCCAGTAGTAAGAAATTCTTCCAATGTCTAAGACCAAGAAAACTTGGGCCCAAAATATCAAGGCACTGAAAGCTAAAACCATTATTTTGGCTCAATCTAGTGAAACAATTGTCCGCAATTTTCTATTTCATTCAGTATGGCAAAGCCCAGCCACGGGAATCTAGAGCGCTAATTTCAGGGAGCAAAAGGTTTCATTCCATCCAAGGCTGCACTCTTGTTCAAGAATAGTTTTCTTAATAAGCCTATCAGCACCACGGACAGTTCCAATTAGCATTGCTGAGATACATATTACCACTGCCCCATAGGTATCTATGCCACAATAGTGATGCAATTTAAGGGGTAGAGCGAGACATGATCAAGGTGTCCTTGTGTGTTTCTTATTGCCCTGTTCTGTGGGGGTACAGGGGGTGCAGAAAATTAAAAGTAAATGAAAAATCAAGGTCTTAGAGGTCTAATGTGATTGTAGTGGAGTCCCCTTATTCCCTGGGTTTCACTTCTCCAAACTAAATTTAGCTGTTTGTGCATGGATAAATGCAAATGCATGCCATGCTCCCTAAGGACAAACATTATGATGTACAAGGATGTCACTATCAAGAATAAAAGACGGATACTACTTGGGATCAGGAAAAAAAAAAGAAAAGTAAGATTTCAGAGTCCATATATTGTATTCAAGAATAGCATTGGTGAGAATAGTGAAGATAAATCTCTACAGGATAAAATAGAATTGTTGTCTCTGTTAGTGTAGCCCAGCTCATATAACTTAAGGTGGCTCATCTAACTAGCAAAACCTGGGCCTAGATGGGTATTAATGAGCTCAACAACAGACAGAAAGCCAGACTTAAGAGGACAGCCACCCCTACACCAACTCTGGCAACCACAGGGTGGGTTATAAGTCAACTGCAAGGATCTCCCCCAAAATACCTAGAAGAATGGGAAACACATTCGGAGGATCACTGAGCTCCTGCTTAAGGTGGCTCAATAACATTCACATGAAAGAGCATTTAAAATCTCTTTTACATAACCAAAAGACCCTAAAGGAAAGGCCATATTCCTATAAATCCATACAAGTCCCTCAAAATCTGCTGAGGCTGGAGGGGAGGGGGGAACAATGAGATATAACTTGCTAAGGTAATGAAGTGAGTCCCCTAGAAGAATTCAAAATTATTTATTCCAGCAATGTTTGAGAGAGGCTCACAGTGATTTGTATTCTCATTCAAAAATAGATATTGATTCCTCTATGGAAGGATAAATAAACATTAAAGTTACATGATTGGCATGATGAGAATGTTTTCCCTTAATTTTGTTTTGGCAAAGGACAATGAAACCCCTTGAACAATTAATCACAATTGTTGAATCACAGCAATAAATGACAGCTCTTATACAATCCAAGACCAAGAATGCTGTCAAATCATATATATGCAAAAGGGGAGTTGCTTTTAGATGCCAGCTTTTTGGAAAGCTGTCATGCATAATTTGGAACATTTGAATATGAAGCATATATCTATCTATCTGTTCCATTGTTTTTTACCAAGAAAAAATAATACATGAGAAAATGGTCTCTCTTTTCCAAAGTAAATGTATCACCAAATAAGACCTCCATTGTCTTAATGGGTAAGTTTCTCCAGATACATGTTCAATTCTCAAACCTTTGGGTTATCAGTTCACTTAGCTAGGAACTGTGGAGAAATGGTGCCACATTTTGAGGCTGTAACAAGACTTTGTACCTTACACAAGAGAATGCACCCATTTATCATTGGGATAATATTACTTCACTTTCATCTTCATGAGCATGTTTCCTTGATGGATCTGGGTCTATTCACAAATACCACCTTATCTTAAGGACAATAAAGTTATCTGAGGCCAGAAAAGGTGGAGGGACTTGCCCGGAGTCCCACAGTAACTCATCAAGAAGGAAAGATCCTTCTTTACAGACGGTTTTGTTTCCAGGGCACACTGTAGGCACCAGGCTGCCTGAATCAAACTAAGATAGTTTCTCTCAGAATATCGAGCATGTCTCCTAGGAGACAGGGCCCAGGCTGGCCTAACAGGGTATATGAGAAGAATAGCTGCTTCTTGGAGCCTAAATAAAGACAATTCTAAAGAGACAGCAGCCAGTCAAAGTCATAGCCCTGAGATGGCCTGGAATAATAGCAACCATTTACCATGGGAATCTGTGCTGATGTGGTCTATAGTAACAGGTTGCTTCTTGTCTCTAATACCTGCAGCACTGGGGATCTGACACACTTAGAGGATCTTCTCTTAAAATGGAATCATTCCTTCCTGTCAGCCACCAGCTTTCTTCATGGCTTAAGATTCAGAGACTTCCTGGGCACAGTGGCTCACACCTGTAATCCCAGCACTTTGAGAGGTCGAGGTGGGAGGATCGCTTGAGCCCAAAAGTTCTAGACCAGCCTAGGCAACATAACAAAACTCCACCTCTGCAAAAAGTAGAAATAAAAAAAAATTAGCTGGGTGTAGTGGTGCACACCTAGCTACACGGGAGGTGAAGCAGAAGGATCACTTGAGCCCAAGGATCCAAGGGTACAGTGAGCTATGATCACACCACTGCACTCCAGCTTGGGCAACAGAGTAAGACCCTATCTCTAAAATGGAGGAGGAAGAAGAAAAAAGGAGGAGAAGGAAGAAAGAAGAAAAAGCAGGAGGAGGAGGAAAAGAATTCAGAGACTAATTTCTTTTCCCAGTCCAATTTAATAAGTGAGACTGCTCATATGAGGGTCCACAGCCTGAATCTGAGAAACTTCTGTAGCTGTCCACAGTGTTTAATTATCACCGCCCCTCAGTTGCTTCTCCTATTTCTCAGGAGATTCCTGCTCGATCCAGTGCTCACAGCTTTCCTTTGGACAGGAGGAGAAACAGGATTCTGTATTATTACAAAACTAACATAACCAATAACTCATGTGTCATAATTCATGGAGCTGTTTGTACATACTTTTAATACTTATAAATACAATGATTTCTTCTCTCCTCTTGGCAAACTGAGAAGAAATGTGCCCTTTATAACTTCTAATTCTCTAACTATATTAAATGCTAAAGAATCTTGGTAATTCCTGATCCCAGATTGTATATTTATATCCAACGACCCAAGGGTGTTTTTGACCCATCAGCTTAATTAGAATTTTTGATGTATTTATTCAGTCAATGAACACTTACTAAACGATATTATGTTCTGTCACAATTATCACCACTGGGAATGTATATGAAAGGAGAAAGTCTTTGTCCTCAAGGAGGTAATAATGAATGATGAAGGAAAGAACCCATAACCAGTAAAATGATTGTCTATAGGGACTATGACAGAAGTCTGTAATGGATACCGTGGTAGACTGAAACAATAACTAGTCACCTAGAACCAATGGGAAATTTATATAAATTTTATCTATGAAACTATAATCATGATACCAAACAGACTACTTCAATACAAGATAGCTTGACACCTACAGAAGAAATTCATTGTTAATACACACTACCAACTACTATACCTCTGCTAGTGGGTATATTAACCTTTGTTTCAAGAAACTATTCAGTAAATCTGAAGTAAGTCTGCAAGTTGTTTGGCCAACTCATGTTTTCCAATAGTTATCCTACTTAATGGTCTGGGGCTCTCAGTTTAGCTTGATATTCAGTAGAGAATAAATTGAAATTTGAAAGCAACTCATCAGATAGATAAATCACTAGCTAAGATGAGGCTTCACTATCAAGAAGAAGGAGTTTCACATATGGCTGGTTTTGAGCAGAAACCCACACATACACAGATACCTGCAGAGGTCCTTATAAATTTTTCAGAGGAAGATCAAAGAGAAAATAGACACGAATGGGTTGGATCAGAATGATATAAAGTGGAAGCAGTGCCAGTATGGATTAGAATTTAGATAAAGTCTATCCATGCAGGATGAGTCTGAGCAGAATACAATATTCCTAGGCTTGAGGAGACTGATGAATAATATCAGTGTGGGGCAGTGGGAGAGCATGAGCAGCTTTCAGACTCAACGTCACTTTTCGAGATTTTTGTTTTCACCACGCCAAGAATCATGGAGCCTTTCAAATCTCATACTCTGGATTGACTATTCCTTCTAGACAAGGCTGCTACATTAGGCTGCACAAGCAGGACAGTACTTGTGCAAAGATGCCCCTGGAGGTATGCAGTGTGGCAGTCCTCTTTCAATGAGATAAGCTAATAAGGATGTGTTGGGGTTTTAAATCAGTAATTCAACTAGCCTTGTTTGAGTACCAACTATGTGCCAAATAGCGTGAAAGACATTGGAGATGCAAAGATTAAAAAGCACTGAGCCTACCTTCACAGAATTACTACATTCCTTTTATTTCAACAAGAACATATTGGCTTGTCTAATCATCCCAGAGGGGAAAAAAGGGGAATTTGTTCCTCGAACAAGGTAACTCTCCTTCAGTTTTAAACAAAGTGGGAGCTGCATATGGGGGATAAACCAAAGGATACAAAATGAGAAAACCCACAGAAATGACTCAATTCTGTTTTGTGGTTATTAAAAATAAAGAAAACAGTGGCAGCCAGTGCACTGCTAGGAAATACAAGCAGGGACTTAAAGGAATGTTGAGGTGTCTTTTAAAGAGAGGTGGTTTCTTTATGGACGACAACATCATCATTCCAGTAAGCTCTCGTTCTAGGTTAGGCTGGACTCTTCTTGGTAAGTCAGAAAAGCACATTTCAGAAGGAACAGGCTATGGGAGAGACGACCTGGTGAAGAACCCACATAAATAGACACCAGTGTCACTTTCTTGTGACATATGTTTAAGACATAGGACTGGCCAGCAAATGCTCCTGAAGACATCACAAGCTTTGCTCATCATTTCCAAACCTGGGTCCATAATCAGGTTCTCTTGACCAGCTAGGAAGGGTCTTAGAAACAAAACAAAACAAAAGAAAAAGCCAAGAGTTGACACTATTTTCTAAATTTTCTACAATAAACATATGTTACTATTGTTTTTGTAATAAGAGAAACAAATTTTTAAAATACAGAAAGTATTAAATACTGCCTGGGGCAACATCTTTAGCCCCTAGATGCCTTAACTTTGCAAAATAATTCACTCTTCCTGAGAAAGTCAGTGAATCTTGACCTTCACTCAAGCTTTTATGGTAAGATATGGTAAAAACTCATGTGCTACTAAATTTAAGAAACATTACTGTTCAATTATCCCATTTTGCTCCAACGAAATTTCTCCTAGAGTAAGGGTTCCATTTCTTGTTTGTTCGTTTTTTTTAGCTTTTACCAATAAAGGCAAGAAAACATCTAACATTCTTGGGTGTATCACATTGTCCCTTTGAGAAAACACATGTGCTCTGTGGGCAAAAGGGAAGCACTTGAGCATCAAATGACAATACACAGATTAGACCCTCAGCTAAAATAAAATACTATAGAAATACTCATGTCAAAATAAATACTAGAAGCAACTGTTCTGGGGTGGTTTTATCATCTTCTAAGCCCATAAAGATGGGCCACCAATTTGGATGTGCTAAGTTGGAATGATTTTACCAACAGGGAAACAGAGAATATACACAAGAAGGAAAGTCTGTCTGTATCTTACCATTTCCCAGTGAAGGTGCACACACAATTCCATGTGGTCAGGTGGTCCAGTGAGTGAGGCTGGCAGCCCAAGTCCAATGCCCTATATCGAGTGAGTGTGTTGGTGACTACATGTTGAACCAGACAGGGCCTGCTCTTGCTCAAACTGAGTGGGTGAGGATGTACGTGTCGTGTAGTCTTCTGCGAGCTAAAAACAAGACCTATTATTGAATTCAAGAGCAGGGGAAGCATCCTCAAGTCTGAGACAAAGAACATTTATCAAATCAATGCCAGAAGCAACAAAGCAGTCCCTGTGACCAGGTCCACCTATCTCCAGAGCTGACCTTCCCCCTCAAACAAAAATAGGCAACTCCCAACTCCAAGCCTTAGGGGAACTTTCCCATCAATGAAGAGGTGGTTCCAAGAGCAGAATGTCCTTGCCTTCTACAAACAGAGAGAGGCTAATGAAAGGCTTTTTTTTTTTTTTAATTCATTGCTCACAGCTGGAGTTGCGGGGAATTATTTCAGCCAGGGACTTCTTTTGGAAACTATCTGAAGAGCTGACCGGAACACCAAGAAATTTAAGCAATGCTACTCCATCTTTCCGGACTATTTCATGGGGAATATACTCCCACCCTGACCTGAAGGAGGTGCATGTGGTTTCCAGCTTGTTCACAGATTCTCACCATCTCTGAGGCTTTTCTCGACACCATCAATAAACCAAGTGCCCTGCGCTCCAGGAGCTGACGGTACACTGGAGGAGATAAAAAGGTAAAATAACTACATGGTGAGGCCATTACAGACAAAGACTGTAAGCACTAGAGCCATTCAGAGGTATATGAAAGATACTCATGAATTAAAGCAACTGGGGAAGGCTGCCCAGAGGGGCAGGTTTGGAACTGGAAATTGAAGGTGTTCCTGGAGTGCTAGGATAATGGAAAAGGTATGCTAGGAGAAGGGGCTTGGCATGTACAGATGCAGACAGGATAGTGGCATTTACACATTGTGGGTAAACATGTACAGTATGGGAAAGAATCTGTGTAGGAGAAGTATGAGCGAGAAGGATGGGGCAGTAAGTAGGACTAAATGGTAAAGGGCCTTGAAATCCAAGCTAAGAGGTGTGGATTCAATTCACTGAATTGAATTAGTTTTTAAAGCATCTGAGCAGGTACATTTAAGGAAAATATGACAAATATGAATCAGGCAGTGGGATGGTCAGAGTGGTGTAGGCCTGTGCTGGAGAATGAGCAATGGCTCAAGAAGTCTGGGAGATCTGGCTTCTACATCTGCAAGGTGAGGAGTCTACTGACCAGGACTCCTCTGAAAATCTCCGCCCCTGTATGCTTAACAATCTTCACTGCAGGGGAGTAAGCCCTTAGGATATGACGCCTCCAGGGAGACTCTTCCAGGTCAAGGTACGGGATAAGGACCAGCCTGTTTAATGCACTTAGGGAACACAGAAGAGCCAAGGAGTAAAGCTCAGCAGCCGCTCCCTGCCCTCCTCCTCTGCCCCAACCCTACAGGAGACATTGAAGTAAGCTGGTCCAGCAGCCAGCAGATGCAGGCCAGGCTCCAGGATGAATATTGGACAGACAGAGAGGACAATGGTGACTGTCTCTAGCAGAGAGGCAAGTAACATGAAGTTGCAAAGACTCTCCAAGCAAATTCACTCTGAGTTTCTACTTGTTAAACTTGATGAGTAGAGAAGGTGATCTCTAACATCAAATAGAATCCAATTCCTTACACTGATCTACATGGCCCTGTATGATCTACAAAGCTCTACATATCAATTCTACCACACTGCTGCCCATTGAATGTACTCCACACATCCTTCTTTTATTCCTCAAACACACCATATTCATTCCCACCTCTGGGCCTCTGCGTTGCTGCTCCCTCAACCAGAATGCCTCTTCCCAGATCTTAAACCAGCTGCCTCCACTCAACTTTCTACAAGGCCTTCCTGGCTGCTCTTATTTAACTTTTGTGCCCCCAAGGAGGCATATCACATGTATCACATCTCCCTGTCAGGTCTTCCTCTCTGGACGTAGCTCTATCAGAAATTCTAATATATGTACGTGGTTGGTTTGTTGTCTGTGGCCCTATTAGAATATAAAACCCAGGAGAGCGGGGACCTCTTCCGTCTTGCTCAAGTCTGTCTCTCCAGGATCTATAAATGTGCCTGGCACATATTAGTGCTCAATACATTTTTGTTAAATAAATGGAATAATTAATCAGTCCGTGTCTTGGGAGATCCACGAAACTTTACCTCCCTGGGTAGAAAATCTGTTTAAGGGTATGTGATGCTCAAGCAGATCTTAAAGAGACTGCAGCTACAGAGTTTCTAGTTTCTTTTAAACCATCTGCATCCAAGACACTGGCAGCTGGGTATTGTGTATGCTCACATCAAATGGAGGAAAAACCATGGGGAACCAGCTGAACACACAGTCAGTGAGAAAGGATACTTCCAGAAATGTCTTCATTAATGAAGCAGCTTTTGGGGGCAGCCCCTTGAAATGCTGTCAGTGTTGCTAATAAAACTCCCATAACCACGGACTTAAGGGCGGGAGAGACAAGGGTAAGATCACTGGCATTCCACTGTGATTGAAATAAGAGTCTCCTGGAAAGCTTAGGCTGCAAGTCACAGTGTGCTCCAGGGCCTGCATTTTTGTTCTGCCCGTCTCTGGGCTCTAATGAGGCTTTATGAAAAGCAGAGCTGCCTTTTAAGAAAATTTCATCCTAACCTAGAAACAGCAAAATGCAGCCAAGTCTCACTTACTGGTACTAACGAGATAGAGAGACAATAACTGAAACTCAGATAAATCAGAAGTATCTTCCAGCAACCCTCTCTATGATCTAATAATAAAAACTACCCCCATTTCTGTAGCATTTGATTACTCACAAAGCACTTTCACATCCCATTATCTCTTGTGATCCTCAAACTCCCCATGAAGCCAGTGTTAACATCACCAGATGAAGAAACTGAAGCTCAGGAAAACAAGGAGACTCATCCAGAGCCCCAGATAAAAGGCCAAATGAGGACTCAAGCCATGACCCTCTGACTATGCTGAAGGGGTTAACGCCCAACCTGTGCCTGCACCTGCTGGCAGTTAAAGCCTTAAGCGAGAGGAAGTGGGAAGGTCCTGATGGCCCCCTGTGCTTAGCCTCTGGAGGCCACCAGGAGGCCACATCTGGGCAAACCCCACACCCTTACAGCCACTTTATTTTCTTTTATTTTTCACTGATAGAATTTCCCATTGTTTCTAGCATGCACATTTCTCCTTGACAGCCAGGATCCAGAAAGACCCCAAAGGCAGGAACCACATCTGCTTTTCCTCTGGCAGCAGCCAGAGCCTGGAGCTTCCATCCATTCAGGCATTCAGCCCAAAGTTTCACTGCAGCTGGATACAGACAAGGCCATGGCTCACACTCCGAGGTGAGAAAGGTTTCCAAGGTCAGACTAATTCCTGCAAGCCACAGACACTGGGCAGCTGGATCGTGCACTGGCTAAGGGGCAGGTTCGTGGTCAGACTGCCAGGCTTGGAACCCCAGCTCCGCCACTTCTCATCTGTATGACCCAGGGCAAGTTATCTTGCCTGTGCGTTGTTTTCCTTATCTGAAAAAAATGAGGATTATAGTGGTATTGATGACATGGAGCTACTGTGAGTATTAAATGCAAAGCACTTAGAATGGTGTCTAGCATATTAAGCAGGGGCTTAATAAATGTAAGCTATTGTCACTAATTGCTCTTATTTCAGATATAATGCCCTTAAAAGGTTAAGAGAGTCTGCAAAGAAAGGGATGGGGAGAAACATGTCCATGTGTCAGAATGTAGCATGCTGAATAGTATCTCAGAGAGATGAACAAAGAGCCAAATACAAAACCAAAAATTCACTAGAAGGAACAGGGAGGGCTTCACTGAGAACAGCAAGTTCATTCTAGCTTCAACAAGTGCTGATAGTTTCGGTACCATTCAGGGAGTGGAAAAGGATGAGGCTGAAGAGATGAGCAGGAGCCAAATCATTCAGGGGCTTCATGGGCCACAGTAAAAATTTGGAATTAGTCCTGAGGACAACGAGGAGTCATCACTGAAGCATGTTAAGCAGGAATGTAATAAGATCAGATTTAGGTTTCAGAAATATGGAGCTCAAAGCCAGGTCCATATGGAAGGTGGCTTAAAGATGATGTGCTCCACTACTGGGTATATACCCAAAAGAAAGGAAATCAGCATTTTAAAGAGATTCTACACTCCCATGTTTGTTGCAGCACTGTTCACAATAGCCTAGATTTGGAAGCAAACTAAGTGTCCATCAACATGTGGTACATATACACAATGGAGTCCTATTCAGCCATACAAAAGAATGAGATTCTGTCATTTGCAACAACATGGATGGAACTGGAGATCGTTATGTTAAGTGAAATAAGCCAGGCACAGAAAACAAAGACAAACATCACATGTTCTCACTTATTTGTGGGATCTAAAAATCAAAACCATTGAACTAATGGAGATAGAGAGTCGAAAGATAGTTGCCAGAGGCTGGCAAGGGTAGTGGGGGGGTGTTGGGAGGAGGGAGGTGGGGTGGTTACTGGGTGCAAAAAAAAATAGAATAAATAAGACCTAGTATTTGATAGTATAGCAGGGGGACTATAGCCAATAATAAGTTAATTGTACATTTAAAAATAACTAAAAGAGGCCGGGCGTGGTTGCTCATGCCTGTAATCCCAGCACTTTGAGAGGCCAAGGTGGGTGGATCACAAGGTCAGGAGTTTAAGACCAGCTTGGCCAACATGGCAAAACCCCATCTCTACTAAAAATAGAAAAATTAGCTGGACACAGTGGCGTGCACCTGTAGTCCCAGCTACTCCGGAGACTGAGGCAAGAGAATCACTTGAACTCGGGATGCAGAGGTTGGAGCAAGCCAAGATTACACCGCTGCACTCCAGCCTGGGCAACAGAGCAAGATTCCATCTCAAAAAATAAAAAAATAACTAAAAGAATGTAACTGGATTGTTTGTAACACAAAGGATAAATGCTTGAGAGGGCCAGGCATGGCGGCTCATGCCTGTAATCCCAGCACTTTGGGAGGCCAAGGAGGGCAGATCACTTGATCCCAGGAGTTTAAGACTAGCCTGGGAAACATGGCAAAATTCCATCTCTTAAATAAAAATACAAAAATTACCCAAGTATGATGGTGCAGGCCCGTAGTCCCAGCTACTTGTGGGGGCTGAGGCAAGAGAATCACTTGAGCCCAGGAGGTTGAGGCTGCAGTGAGCCATGATCATGCCACTGTACTCCAGCCTTAGTGACAGAGCAAGATCTTGTCTCAAATAAATAAATAAACAAACAAACAAAGGCTTGAAGGGATGGATACTCAATTTTTTGTGATGTGATGATTAAACATTGCATTCCTGTATTAACATATTTCATGTACCCCACAAACATATACACCTACTATATACCCAAAAAATTAAAAATTATAATTTAAAAAAAATTAAGAATATGGAAAAGATAGTGTGGCAAGAAATGGTATGGGCCTAAATTAAGAGACTGACAAGAAGCCAGTGAAGATGGGTTGAGAGCAACTGAGGAGGTCAAATGGACAGGCCTGGGTGGGGTGGGGTGGGGTGGTAGATAGCAACAGCCTGCCAGTCTAGGTGACAGGATGAATGGCAATGCCACTCACCACAATGAGAAGCAAGAGGAAAAGGAGCAGGTCTAGGACAAAGAGGAACTCAGGTCTGCACATGCTGACTGTGGGGTGACAAGGTGGAGGGGCCATCCAAGTGGAGAGGTCGCTGGGCAAAGGAACGAGTGTGTCTTGAACCTAGGAGAATAACCTGGACTGGAGACACGTATTGGAGTGTGAGCATATATGTGGTAGCAGAAACATTCCTAGTGAATTAAATTATCCAGGAGAGATTAGTAAGGTGAAAAGAGGTCTGAGGACAGAACCCTAGAGAATCACCAATATTTAAAGGTTGAGAGAAAGAATATGACTCAGACAAAAAGACAAAGCCAGAGATATCAGAGAGAACGTGCAGAAAACCTTGAGAGAACAACGCTATAGAAGCCACTGGAGAGGAAGGGAGTGCCAGATAACACCAGAGTCCAGGATTCACGACTGAATGAGAAGTAATCAACAAGCACCCACGGCCATCAATTTTGGTTATATTCATAAAATACCTCCACAAGGAAGATATAAGATCGCCAAATAAGTGAACACATTTCTCCAAATTTAGGTTGTTGAAGAGACTACCAAATCAAACACACTTACCAAATCAAACACACTTGTGATCTCACTGAGGTTAGAAAACAACTCTAACATCAGAAAGCTGCCAAAATCATGACAGCTTTAAAAAAATTAAAATCATGACAGCTGAACACCATGGGCAAAGCAAAGCCTTGGAATATAAAATCCAAGTTCCATTCAAATTCCTTCTCATAACAACATTAAGACTAATATATAAGCTTATAATTTCTAAAAATTGTAAACTCGTCTTTTACTGAGAGCCTCAACTTGATTCTTGTTTAGCTGGAAAAGTTCTATTGAACTGTCAGGGATTTTTGCTACTAGATACACAGGCACATCTCTGCAATACAAAGTCTGATCTGAAGCAACATTTCAAATAGTCACACACTCAAGACACATTTCATATCCAACACTTATTTGCAATCTGTGTCTGTATATGCCAGGTTATTTGGCAATCACTCAAAATTAATCTATTTAGGTAAGCAATTATCATGCAACCCTACAGTACTTAAGAAGTTGCCAAAAATCAATTCTGAGGCAAGAGATATAGAATCACACCAAAGAATAGAAAAACAGACAACAAGAGTCTTGGTCTTCCAAGATTTCTAACAAAGAACATATATTCCAGAATCCAGGGCTCAGAATCACAATGCATACAAAATTACAGCACAAGGTCTTAGAACCTCATAACCTAAAACCATAGTGATCATACACAACATTTATCTCTTCCCCCAAACATCTTACATTCTTCTGTTCATTACATTTTAAGATCTACAAATAAATGAGATAAAATGGAACATAAGCTTAAAGACTTTATTACTGGTTTAAATATTCACAATGCCACAATCTGCCTCAGACAAATCAGAGTCATGTGGTTAAATGTGCAAACAATTACTCGATTTAATTTCATCTTGCAGAAGTTGAAAACAAGCTGTAATCACAGTGGATGCTGCTCATTTTATTCCAAAAGCCACCATCTTTTGTGTTCCTGATTGGATTTTATTCTTGGACACAAGTGGAGTGACTGACCAGAATTTCTTCCTGGGTTTCCACACTAAGCATGCTAATTCATAGGGTATTAAGAGGGTCATGCCTAAATAAAACAACAGCTGGATCTCTCCTAAAGGGGCTTATTTCAGCTCCTTAAAGAGACAGGGTCCAAGCTGAGGCACTGCCCAAATCTTCATACTGAACAGTTGGACAACTTACTTGCATTGAGTCCTGGAAGCTCATAAAGTCAGGAGCCCTGGTCTTTAGGTGAGGACAGAGCCCAAAGCAATTCCAACTCATAGTCTACCTTCAGATTGATGGGTAAAAGCAGACTCCAGGATCACACTCCCAGTGCTCTGCCAAGGCCTTAGACAAGTTATTCAATCTCTCTTTGCCTCATTTTTCTCATCTGTAAAATTGACATAATGGAACTTACATGGAGTTAATGTGAGGAATACATAAGAGTGTGCATCTTAAGTGTTTAGCACAAGACCTTGCCTGTATTAAGTTCCCATGAGCATCATTTGTAGCTAAAAACCTAACAGGGAAAAATCTGTGTATGAGTTATCTATGGCTTTATAACAAATTACCCCCAAAATTAGTAGCTTAAAATAGTGAGCATTAATGATCTCAGATTCTCTGGGTCGGGAATATGAGCACAGTTTTGCTCAGTGCCTCTGCCTCAAGGTTTCTCACAGGCTGCAATCAAGGGATCTGCCAAGGTTTCACGGGAAGCTTGGATGGAGGGAGGAGCCACTTCACAGTCCACTCACATGGTTGTTGGCAGGATTCAGATCCTCAGGAACTACTGGGCTGAGAGCCTCAGCTCCTCGCTGGCTGGCAACTAGAAGTTTCCTTTGGTTCCTTGCCACATGGCCTAGGCCTCTGGTAGGGTAACTTACAGCATGGCCACTGGCCTCCATCAGGGCAGGCAAAGAAGGGAGTGAGAGAGGGCACACAAGCTGGAAGTCACGTTCTCTGTAACCTAATTTCAGAAGTGACATCCTATAATTTTGCAATATTCTACTGGCTAGAGATGAGTCACTAGGTCCAGCCCATACTCAAGGAGAGGGGACTACACAAGGGCATGAATGTCAGGTGAGAATATTTGGGGATGTTCTTAAAGGTGTACCTATTGCAATCTGAAAAGCCAAAGTCTTCACGATGAGCTTCCAACTCTTCCTTTCCTTCTTTCAACAACTATTTGAGTACCTACTTGGTGCCAAGCTATGTGCAAGAGCTTGAAAACATATTAAAGAAAATAGACATACCTCTGCTCTCATGAAGCATATAACATAGAAGAGGAAACAGATATTAAAGAAATAAAACAAATCATCATTGACTTAAAGGTGTGACAAGGGCAATGAAGAAAAAGTACATCTGATAACACCACAGGAAGAATGTGATCTGCTTGGGATTCAAGTAAGGCTTCCCTAAAGAAGAGAGCCAGGCTGAGACCAAAAGGATGAGAAATAGTTAACCAGGTAAAGGGCAGGGCCGGTAAAGAGACAGCATTTCAGACACAAAGGGAATAGAGTTTATGAAGACTGTGAGGTTGAAGGTATCTTGCACATGGCAGGGGCTCAGCAAATGGAAGGGTGGAGGCAGATATGTGCCCAAGCAACACCAAATAGAAACGTTTCTAATTGGCCCTTGTTCTCAACTAAATTAAATTCAACAATGTACTTCAGGCAAATTGACCCTCCATGGTTTAGGTTGGATCTACAAACAATCCAGATAAACAGAGTTAATAAAATCCACTTTGGTTTCAACCCTCCACACTTTCAGAACCTCCAGTGCCTTCAGGGCTTAGAATTATTTTAATAATTTTTCCATTAAAACAGCTTTATACAATAGGACACACTGTCCCTAATCAAAATGAGATCTCACTCCAATGGATTGCTGCTAACCAAAAGACACTCACTTAGAACAATGAAGACTCCTTCTCATTCCATTTCTTTAAACTCAATCAATTTTTACATGAGTAATGCTACTTAGTGACTCCTGCAGTTAAAGAGAACAGAGGGCTGCCAATACATGGCAGAGATAGACTGAAACACTCAAAATAAAGATGCTTTTCTTTTGATTCCCGTGCTTAAAGGATAAACACAGAAACAGACACAGACCAGTGGGTGTTTAAAGAACTTTCCTGCAAGGCATTTGAATTCTGCCCAGCGCTTTCTCCTGCTTACCAGCAAGCTGCAGGTTCAAGTACCAGCCATAGAATGACACATTTCAATACATCTGAAATCTGATGTATTTGTACAGGAAAAGAAATTAACAGTTGCTCATTATAGCCACATTAACCTGGGCTAATATACTTATGACAAATGGCCAACATTGTAATCCTATTGACGAAGGACCATCTTTTCTATTGATGCTGTGAAACCCCCAAGTACACTGTCAGTAGCCAATACATACATAATAATAATGCAGTGGAAGTTTGGGGGGCCGGTAACACGTTTTTATTATGCTCAAAAATTGAGTGTCAGCTGAAAGTCAGCTTTGGGAAAAGCCCGCCTTCAGCCCCACTTCCAGGATGGAATTCCCAAAGTAAAAGCCACAGGGAGAACGAAGCAGGCATGATCACAGTTACATGCTTTCCTGGGTCAAGAAGCTGTAGTGAGATAAAACTGAGAAAGAAGGGCCGTTCCCCCCAACTCACACACACATGCCGACAACTGTCCCCTCACCCACCTCATCACAATTAAGGCCCATGATAATGGGTGAAGGGGAGTCAGGAATGATGGGCCTACGGAAAACTACTTAATAAAAGAGTTAACCTTTTAAAATAGTTTTGATAAACTGTAGGAAGCTGGAGGGCCCTAAATTTAGAGTTTGTGGGCTGACAAAACAAGCTTCTGGCTGGAAGTTGAAAGAACTGGATTCCAGCATCAACTAATTAACTCTTTGGCCTTTAACAAACATCTTCAATCAGTCAATTAACAAGTCATTATTGAATAGCTATTACATAGTCAGTGCTGAGAAAGCTGTGGGCTTGATACAAAGGATGTTAGGATTTCATTGCTTGCCCTCAAGGAACTTAACATTTTAACTCAGGAAGGAAACACGAATATGTAGTCAGCTTTCCAGAACCCGCCAGGAACAACTCTGTTATTCAGTCCTCCAAGAGTTGGAACCTTTAAATTCAACAGCTTTTTAGCAGTTAAGTGCTTTTACCATAGAAATCTTTCAGAAATATACTATCTCACCATTCCCAAAGTTGTTTTTTTTTTAAGGCACAGACCATGGTTCTTATGAATATTAATAAGAGTTATGCAAAAAAGTAGGGAGATCCCATGGTAAGTTTGGGAAACAATGAGTTGAAAAGTTAAATAGGTTTCTTTAACTATAGAACACCTTGGAGCCCTTTAAAAACTAATGTGTACTGCACATATCTAAAGGGAGTATATTATGTACTTCTCCAGAGAATCATTTATTCTCATTGGATTAAAGTTCAGTGCAACGTACTTTGGAAACACTGTGATATACACACCCCGTTCTCCTTGAGTAAATGCTCCTGATGGCTCAGAACTGTCTTGTCATGGACCTCCATCATGGGGATGGACTGGTGATATGGATGAGCTACTGCATGGAAATGCCTTCATTGGCCACCCCCACCCAAGAGGCTATTTCATGGGTGGAAGCTGTGGACACTACTCAGTCATGCTCCACTATTGACTATGCTGCTATGAGGTGGGCTTTGAGAGCAGCCCAAATTTGACATTCCCATCTGGGACCCAGAGGCTGGCTGTGAAAAGCTTTCAGGACCTAGAACACTCTTCACTCCATGATGCTGCTACTATAAGTTATCTCCTACCCTTGAAGCTCCACCTCCCTTAGAAAGACTCTAGGCCACACTGATCTCCTGCTCCACTGAGACCACAGATGGCCTGCATGATGTTTGTGGCACTCACCTGGGCTCTGCCTTATGGATTTCCATCCACAATGAAATGTATTTGGCCATTTATTGTGGACGGATTTGTGAGTGCATCCTCAGCTAAACAATATGTTCCACAAGAGCAGTGTCTGTGTCTCCCTGTGGCACTGAGAACATACTTTTAAATTTTTGCTGATTGATCAAGAAAAATTTAAAGAGAAATGCAAGGTATTTTTACGAAAAGAGGTCAGTCAAGCTCAGTCAGCCATCCTGGCATTGGCCTTCTGAGATAAGAGTTATGCTGTTTGTCTTATCCACAGGCACAGTGTGGGAGGTGAGGCTGTCCCCACACTGTGGTGATAGTATTAATAAGAAGTCCAAACCCAGACAGAGGTAGAGGAGGCTACAGGGACATCTGGAAAGGCTTCTGAAGGTGTGGCTGCTGAGCATGGTGCCCTCGAGACCCCACCATGCCCTGAAGTGGTCAACCATCTCCAAGTGTAGTCTGGTGGCTCATGCAAGAGCCATGCACTCTGCGGCCCATGGAGACTGCCTTTGTACCAAGCCCACCAAAGCCAGAAAGGAAATCTGCTTTCTTAAAATCACTGGTCACCAGTGAATCACTGTTTTGATTTTGGTGAATCACTGTTCACCAAACAGTAAACAGCAAAAAATTCTGGCTGCCCTCTCTCCA
Organism: Homo sapiens; assembly: GCF_000001405.40. Lineage (NCBI taxonomy): Eukaryota > Metazoa > Chordata > Mammalia > Primates > Hominidae > Homo > Homo sapiens. Next base: position 137,470,791 of record NC_000005.10, read on the forward strand.
GTACTAAAAGGGAGAATCTGTCTGGAGGATGCTGCCCAGTGTCTGGCAGAATTTCCCCAGCCTCACGGGAAGCAGATCAGCCAGGTCTGAATCATGGCTCTCTAGTGGGTTAGTCATCCAACCTTGGGCAACATGGTTAGTGTCCAGGGCCTCAGTCTTCTCATGTGTAAATGTAAACTGGGGGAAAACAGTTCTTTTTCATAGGGTTGTTGTGAGAGTAATACGAGTTAATTGTAATATGAGTTAACGGTGCAAAGTGCTCAGCCCAGCACGTGGCATGCAGTAAATGCTCACTAAACGTTGGCATTATTGATCAACAGCTCCACCTGCTCTGTGCAGGACTTAGCTCTGTCCAACTCTCCAATCCAAGCTGAGGTCCCCAGAGCCACATAGGGTGATCCTGGGCTGATCTATTCAGATGACATAGGCTCAATAAGTGAAATTTATTTTTTACATAATTAGATTGGCAGATTTTGCTGCCCTCCCCACCAAATCATAATACTCCTCAAAGTTAAATTAGTTGTGTATTTTTATCTTTTTTTGTTTGTTTGTTTGTTTTTGTTTTGCTTTGACACCCAATAGCTGTGAGGATTTGGGCAGCTTCCTTATCTGTAAAAATGGAGATGATGATGGCACCTACTTCATTCAGTTGCTGCAAAGGTTAAATGGAATACAAGTAACATGCTCAGCCCATAGTAAATTCTCAGTCAGTAGTCACCGCTATTCCTATCTGTGCATCTACATTTGCCAGAATCAAGAGAAAGATCCACCACCACTGCTTTTTCTGCCATAGTGTGGCTAACAAACATTGCTGGAGACTTCAGGACCCTGGTGACTATTCTAAAGTAATGTGAAAACCCAGAAGCAGTCCTTTCCTACCCAGCATAGATAATGATGGTTCCTGGAGGCCAGCAGTCAGCAGATCAGACCCACGGCAAAGTGCACCATGCCTAGGAGGGCAAGGTCTCAGCAGCCAGAAAAGGAGCATCTCCCAAGAGCAGGAGGAACCCCATCACTCCCTCCACTTCTCAGCAGGGAAATAAGAGGCTGAGAACAAGGTGATTAGGGAACTCCACAGCCTTGCAATCAGCAAAGAGGTAATCACATGCCCATGGGACCTGAGGGCATGGGAAATAATAGGGCAGAGTGACTTCACTCAGGTAGACTGCGCAGGAGAGGAGAACAGAGCAACTGACAAGGGTGAGCAGAAATAAAAGGGATGAAAACATCCCTCAAGTCACAAACTGTTCTTCCAGAGTCAGACTCTCCCTCCACTAAGAAATTCATCTGGAGGGTGGCTCGCCAAAGACTCACTGCCACGAATTCTTGGGAGGACATGCCCGGGGCCCTGGCCCAGTGCTGCCAGCAGACCCTGTACACACTTGGAGTGGACCTTAGGAACAGGGACACTTGATGAGGGCTTTAGTCTGCGGCTGCAATTCTCCAGAGACAGAGTTTCTGGTCAGACAGGAGCAATCCCCATCACACTATCTTCTCTTCAACTCCCCCATCACCACCTTATCCAGGAAGAAGTGATTCTGCCAGGAAAAAGGGGGCTCAAACCTTAAAAGAATGTATTAGGTGTACAAAAAAAAAAAAGCTCAGTGCAAACTAACATTTCACTGAGATCACATGTTTTTCCTATCAGGACAAAAATCCAAAAGGCAATCACTCAGTCAGTCGGGAGAAAATAGGCACTCACGTGTGCTGCTGGTGGGGGCTTTAACTGGGGCAACCCATGGAAGGGGAGTGTAATTTGGCAACATTCATTAACATAACTAATGTATATGCCCTTGGACCAAACAAATTCGTTTCTGAAATTTAACCTACAAATACAGCTGCACACGAGTGAAATGAGGCTTCCCTAAGATTATTCATTACAGCATTGTTTTTAACAGCGTAACACAGGGAACAACCCCAGTTTCCACCAATAGGAGACAAGGCAAATAAATCAAAGTACATTCAGACAATGGAATATACGCAACTTTCAAAAAGAAAAAGAATTAGAACCCAATAGAAAAATGGGCAAAATTCATAAAATGTCCACACAGAATATTTGAAAAGATGCTCCACTTCACTCATAATGAAAGAAATGCCAATTAAAACTACACTGTGATACCATTCCTCACCTATCCTGCTTGCAAAAGCCCAAATGCTTCATCACATATTCTGTTGGCAAGGCTGTAGGGAGCCAAGCACTGTTCTATGTTGCCGGTTAAAGGGCAAAATGGTTCAGCCCCATGGAGAGGGATTTGGCAATTGCTGACAAACCTGCATATGCTTCTGCTGTGACCCAGCAATTCCCCTTCTAGGAATTTACCCCCAAAGATATACGTCTCTGCAAACATGAAACAATAAATGCACAAGATTATTCACTCACCCTCATGAATATGCCGGAAAATGTTCAAACAACCTAAATGCCCATACATAGGAGACTGGCTGAATAAACTACTATAAATCCACACAATGGAAAAAATTCTGCAGCCCTATGAAAGAGTGCGAAAGATCTTGATAAATTGCTATAAGCTGTTTCCATGTATTGTTAAGTGGAAAACAGCAAGGTACGCAAGTAAACATGTATACATGTATACACATGAGAGAGTAGGAAACAAAAACATACGAATATACATCCTTGTTTTTGTAGAAAGAAACACAGAAATAATAAACTAGCAGCTACTAGAAATGGTTCCCACAGTGGGCAGGATAAACAGGGTGGGAAGGACAGTAGCAGGGAGTAAAATTTCTATTCCTCTCTATATAGTTTTGATTTTGAACATAAATGTTTTATATTTTCAAGAAATTTTAAAGTGATGAACAAAGCATACCCTAAAGTTGAATACAAACAGCAATAAGAAAACCTAATCGTATATTAACATGGAAACAAAATCACTTTAAAAATAAGAATTTGTCCAAGTAATTTTCAAAACACTACTCCTTTAAACCTTTACTGGGATATAGTGTAGGAACAAAAAGAGCTAGCTGTCTACAGCACCCGAATTATTTTCTTCGCACTGTTAGGATAACCTCACTTCAACAATTTTAATAAAGCCAAATGCCCATCAATCAATTAGTGGATAAAGAAACTGTGGTGTATATATACGATGGAATACTATGCAGCCATAAAAAGGAATGAATTAACAGCACTTGCAGTGACCCGTATGAGATTGGAGACTATTATTCTAAGTGAAGTGGCTCAGGAATGGAAAATCAAATATCACATGTTCTCACTGATATGTGGGAGCTAAGCTGTGAGGACACAAAGGCATAAGAATGATACAATGTGACTTTGGAGACTTGGGTGGAAGAGTGGGAGGGGAGCGAGGGATAAAAGACTATGTATACGGTGCAGCGTATGGTGCACCAGGATCTCACAAACCACCACTAAAGAAGTTACATAACCAAATACCACCTATACCCCATATAACTTATGGAAAAATAAAAGAAAAAAGAAAAAAAAAGAAAATTTGAACTTTGGTAGGTTTGTTGTATTATCAGTACGGTAATTCCTAGACTCTTGTATACACCGTAGAATACAATAAATAAGTAAATGTATTGATATTATTTGGAATTAGGTTTCTCACTGTGCGAAAAATAAAGAGCCTATTTTATGGAGTCTAATGGTATGGTGTTTGATTTACACTGAAAGTATCGATAAGAGCTCATAATTTATAGCATTCCTGCCTCTGTGCATTTAAAGTGGCTCAAAGTAATGACAAGTGCTGATAGCGACCTGCACACCCAGCCCCCAGATCTTGGTTTATAAATACCAGTCCTCATTAGAAGGAACCAGGATTCTTTGGATCTGATTCCAGGACTGGGGAAATGCAAGATAAGCCTAGAATATCTTATTATGCCAGAAAGTGAGTGAGTGCTCAAAAGAACAGAAAAGCAAGCTTGAAAGGGCTCCCATCGTCAGATTTGGGACAATTAGTGCATCAATAGGCACAGTGATGTCCATGACAACACACTGAATGGTAATCACTGAACTGAAAGAAAATCCAGGAGTCCACAGTGTTACTAACAAGGTGGGAGAGAGATGAAGCTCTTCTTTACTAAAAAATACTAGCAAAAAAATATGGGTAATATTGGAAAATCATCACTTTGCAATGTAATACTATAGGAAAGGACCATTAATGCATGCTAAAGTATTTGGGTAAAAGGTCTTTTGAGGAACAGGATATTCACATGGTCTCAAACTTCCATCTCACTGATTATTTATTGGATACAAAGGAAACAGGGTGCCTTTACACTGAGCTAGCCGGCAGACACCCCCTTAACCAAGTGATCAAACTAAGGATCCCAAACAGTGAGACAAGGCGGCATGGCATCTTATGTGATACAGTGGGAAGTATAATACAGACCATCACTGCTGTGATCTTCCTGGCAAAGTGTCTGATCAGAGTCCAATCGTGAAGAAGCAACCAGACAAGTACAGATGGGGTGACATTCAACAGGACAACCTGCCTGAACCCTTGAAAAATAACAATATCCAGAAGGACCCCCCTCGCCCCCAAATGGTAGCAGTACTCTTCTCTTTTCTAGACCAAATGTGACATAACAACCAAATTCAATATCTCACAGATCCTGGAATGGAAGAAAAAAACAGTTACATACAATGTTTTTGGAAAGTAAGAGGAAATGTTTTTCAACAAGGTTCTAGCTAAAGTAAGAAATTTTAATGCAAACTTGATATCATTATTATATTAATGTTAAATTTCTTAGGTCTGATCATTTTGTTACTGAAAACATGAGATAATTAATGTATCACCTAAAGTATCTTTATTTATTTATTTATTTATTTATTTATTTTGAGACAAGGTTTCACTCTGTTGCCCAGGCTGGAGGGCTGTGGCACAACCATGGCTCACTGCAGCCTTGAACTCCTGGGCTCAAGCCATTCTCCTGCCTCAACCTCATGAGTAGCTGGGACTACAAGCACACCATGCTGGCTAATTTTGTTTTTTGTAAAGATGGGGGTCTCATTATGTGGCCCAGGCTGGTCTTGAACTCCTGGCCTCAAACAATCTTCCTGCCTTAACATCCCAAAGTGCTGGGATTATAGTATGAGCCACCAAACTCGGCCTAAAGGGTATTTGAACATAAAAAAAGATGAAGATGTTGTCTCTGTTCTGATTATTTTTAAAGTTTCTTCATTATATTTTATGTTTAAAAAGGCAAGCTAGAGAACACTGTGTATAGACTTCTACCTTGGGGTAAAATGTTGGGGAGGGGGCAAATTATAGGTTTTTTTTTTTTTAACTTTTAAGTTCAAGGGTACATGTACAGGTTTGTCATATAGGTAAACTCATGTCATGGGGGTTTTTTGTACACATTATTTCATCATCCAGGTATTAAGCCTAGTATCCAACAGTTATTTTTCCTGATTCTCTCCTTCCTCCCACCCTCCACTCTCTGGTAGGGCCCAAATTATACAGTTGCTTATATGCACATACACAATTTCTGGAAGAATATGTAAGAAATTAAAAAAGATGGTGACCTGTGGCAGGTAGAAAAGAGAAGCAGAGAACAAAACAGAGCAGATAAGAAACACAGGTGGGAGCAAGCACATCAGCTGTACCCTTTTCGAAATATTTTGAACCATGCATAGGTACTATGTACTAAAAAAAGAAAAAGTCAGCATTGTGTTTTAGAAGAGAAAAGTGAATATCTAGAAGGTGGAAGGAATAGGTCAGTGAAAGAACTAAGAACTTTGAGACCTTAAGGGAGGGGACCTTAACATTTTCTAGGGGTGTCAGTGATGTCCTTGGTATCATGAAACATGACCTTCTCAGGCTGAGTGGGGCAGGGCAGGTGTGCAGCTCAGCAAAACACATCAGAAGTCTTACATTTTTGGCTGGACACGGTGGCTCACGCCTGTAATGCCAGCGCTTTGGCAGGCCGAGGCAAGTGGATCACTTGAGGTCAGAAGTTCAACACCAGCCTGGCCAATATGGTGAAACACCATCTCTACTAAAAATACAAAAATCAGCCAGGCATGGAGGCAGGTGTCTGTAATCCCAGCTACTTGGAAGGCTGAGGTGGAAGGATCGCTTGAACCTGGGAGGTGGAGGTTGCTGTGAGCTGGGATTGTGGCACTGCACTCCAGCCTGGACAACAGAATGAGACTCTGTCTCAAAAAAAAAAGTCTTATGTATTCTTATTTTGCAGCAATTCAGCAATTCTTTTACTAAAAATATATGCCAAGGAAATAATAAAGATGAACAAAGATTTAATCACCGAAAATGTTCATCACAACATTGTTATAATAGGGAAAAACTAAAAACAGTCCAAATGTTTTTAAAAGCCTTATTTAAATAAATTATTGGACTATCCACCCAAAGAAATACTAGGCAGTCATGCTCAAAGTATATGCCATGACCCAGAAAGATGTTTATGTAGCATTTTAAAACGAAGGGGGCATATACAGCTCATGATTTCATTTAAAATTGTGTATGTGTGGATATATAAATGTATAAAGCAATATGGCTATCTTGGGGTGACAGGATTACAGGTTTTTTTTCTTCTGATTAATTTTCTCAAAAAGTGAGGCTTTATTTTATGTTTTGTTTTTTGTTTGTGTTTTTTTTAAGTAGTGAATTTATTGTTGTAAGTGGGACTGGGAAGGCGGTTGCAGAGAATTCTGGAGAGGCACAATCCAGATGCCCTTCTCATCAGCTTCAAGGTTGGGAAGACACTTGCAGACCACTCAGTTTGGGTATAGCCAACTTGCACCTCTAGCTTCTGAAGCATTTCTCAGTATAACTTGCAGGGAAGCAGAGGGGGCCAGCCTTCTGGCTAAGATATCAAAGCAAACCTGTCAACCTACTGACAACCCCTAAGAGCAGCTAGAGTAGGTCAATGTCCACTGGACTGTGACGCTTCCCCACTTACTCTCCAGGGAATGATCACATTTGAGGGGGAAAACAGAGCTGCATTTTAACAGAGCACCCCTTGCTAAGCTCCACATGTCAGCTCAGACAGCACCTGAAGCTAAGGACCACTGTAAAAAGCTGACAAAAGCAGCTCCCACACATCAGCATACCCTGCTGACTCTGGAAAGAGGGACGCTTGGCTTCATGTAAGGAAGCTGAAAAAGTCCTGGTTTCTGTCAACTTGCTGGCTGCTGAGCCAGTGAACAGAATGAAGTGGACTTCATTCAGCAACACAGCATGCTGGAGAATGCAGGTTTGGGGTCAAACCCAGATTTGAAGTTCCCCTTCTTTTCCTTAGCTCCTCTACTTGGGCAAGTCACCTCCTCACCCTATGTTTCAGGTTCCTCAGGTATATAACGGAGGTAATGGGATTTTCTAGCAGAACCAGGAAGATTAAACGGGCTATGTGTAAGGCTTGGATAGAAGTCCAGTACATGTGTAGGTGTACACATGCATGGGAGGATGGATAAACACGAGGAAAATGGTGACAAGGCCATCTTAGAATAGCACCTGGCACAGACTAAGTCATAATAAATGCCAGCTGTTATTATTGCTAGAGCAAAGATTAGTGAGCTGGAGTCACCCACCAACAGATCAGATAACCAAGCATGAGGGCCTGAGACACAATCTCTTGTAGCAAGATTCAAAGTCTCCAGGAGACAAGCCTGGCATTGGTATCCCAAAAAGGTGAGAAATTACTGGATTTAAAGTAAAAATCACATCTGAGTCCCACATGTCAGAGACATTCAGATTTGAAATAATCACTGGTTTTACTTTAAATGCAACATAAACTAAATGACCCAATAAAATGTTTGTTTTTAGAAATTAAACAAGCTTTCCCCCCAGCCCCTAGTACATTTGAACAGAAAAAGAAATTTGTGTTCAGTAAAAGTTCCACCAAAATAAGCTAGGCCACAAATCTAAAGGATTTTAAAATTGGTATATATTAGTAAGATTTCCTATTTATCAATAAACTACTACGTTTCCAAGCAGAGAGTTAGGTCTCTTATACCAGACTCTATTGTTTAAATGGGACTTTGTATTCACCACCACCCCCAACCCAAATTTGACTAAGACCAAAGTTCAACACCAAATTCCTGACTATTCTAAAAATAATAATAATAAGGAAGATAGGGGTAGGGGGGCAGGCAACAAGCTTTCAGATGTGAAACAATAATTCTTACCCAGAGAGCTTCATAAAAGGGGTAGAAAGAACTAATCTCTACCATTACTCCACACCAGGCCTCCCTGCTCCCCCAGTCTGTATAAGAAGAAAACCAAAGGGAGAAGGCGGTGGTCACCAGCCTTTGGGGTCATGCAAGGTTCACCAGGTTTTCCCACCGAGGTGTGTTCCCATTCAAGTGCCGTGTAAGGGTATACTAGATAGGAGAACTGCTCAAAAACTGGAGCACCTGCAAGAAGAGAAGATTTGTTTCTCCACTTGGGCCTTTTCTCAGGCAGCGAGCTTGTTTATCTGTCCCGTGACTAACGGAACAGAGAAAAGGAAATTCAAGAAGTCTAGCCAAATTGAGAGAAGATGCAGCATTAGGGAAGTCTCTGTCCCCATGGGTTAGTAGAGCAAGGAATGAGAGTTTAGGGAGCATCATAAACAGTAGCTCAGCTGGAACCACTGCATGCATATCCATCCGTCCATGAGGACCACCTATAGGTGAGAGGACTTTAGCAGCATAACTCTGCAGGATAGATCCCCAGAAGGGGATGCCCTTGGGACAGTATTAATACCACTGGCCAAGCATGTGACTTCTCCACCTCCTAGGCACATGATAGCATCACCTTTAACTGGCCCATTGATGGGGTGTCTGGCCATGTGACCTACCTGGCTCTCAAAAATGGCATCTCCTCTAAGAAGATGCACTGAATTGCTAATGCAAGGCCCCACAGCACACTCTTCCTCCTGCACAGTGATTGTGAATGCACGGAGATGGAGCCTTCATCAGCCTGGTGTCCTGGGACAACGCAGATCAGAGCCCCTACCAATAATCCATGAGAGATGTGTGGCATGAGAAGAAACAAACCTTTGTTGTTTTAAGCAAAAGTGTGATTAACATGGAGTTATTGGTTACCACAGCATAATTTAACCCGTCCTAACTGATAAAAGCGGGATAGGAAGGAAGAGGTTGACCTGGATTCAAACCACTGCATCAAGAAATTATATAGTAGGCAAGTCCCCTGCCTGGCCCTCTAGAGGGCATACCTTGATGGTAAGCCTGGGAGGAAGAGGGTTAAATAATCAATCAGACATTCATCCCCACTCAGACTCCTCAAGCCACAAGTCAAGACTGTGCAGGGGAACAGGAAGAGAAAACCCCAAATCTGATGTAAGATGGAAGTTGTAAACTCAACTGGACTTACTTTTAAGGCTAAAAATGATAGAAAATTATGCAATCTGCCAAGATGTTATTAAGGGAAAGCAGCAATTAAAAATAAACAAAACTGCCTCATGTTTATTTCCCGAACTGAAATTCCTTCAATACGCTGGCTGCCCATACATGTTTGGTAAACAAGGACATGTGTTTATGACTGGTCTTAGAAAGCTGCAGCTGTTCACGTTGCTCTCCTTCACACACACACACACACACACACACACACACACACACACACTCATTCACTTGTATTACTGAAATAATTTCCAAAAGACAATCAATATTGCCCCAAGACAATCAGTTCTAATCGGCTCTACCAACTGTGATATACTAATCCTATTATGTGGCCTTCCTGCTTCTCTTGGACATAGAGTTGTTTTGCTTTGCACAGAGAAGGTACACCCACTGGGAAAGAGAGATTAGGATGTCTGAAAATAATGTGTCCAAGAGAAGTAAGTGGATTAGAGCCCAACTATCATTACTGAGAGGATGGGCACTGAATGGCCAAATGGCCCATGAGTGTGACAGGGAGGAGATTTATTAAGATGTCAAGCTTCCCCAACTTCTCCCCACTCCACGTCACCCACCCCATGCCCTCTAAAGAACCATTGTATCTATTTCTAGCCTGGAAGTCAGGAGGGTAGAAGAGCACCTAAGAAGCCAGGGGAAAGTGGGAAGTATTTAACCAGGAGAGGCAAATACCTCCTGGCTAAGGAGAAGAGTTTTATGCTGCTGTCATAAGAGAGACTCCTGAGCATACAAAGGGACCAAAAGAATGAGGAGAGGGAAGAGGAAGAGGAGAAGGAAGAGGAGGAAAACAGAGCTTTTGAGAACCTTCATTGTGGGTTATGATTTTGAGTATTCTTTAATATTTTTTACTTGAAGTAAAAACTGAAACTTCTCACGAATTCCTTTGGCTGGTGGATGTGCACCTGTGAATGGAACTTTAAGCAAAGCCCTGGCTGTGTGAGGCTCTGAGGTTTATTTGGGTGACAGATTCTTCTGCATCATTCTCCCCCTCGCCCTCTTCCTCTGATACTTCTCCAAAAGGCATTTCACAATTCAGAGCAGATGCCTTCTCTCTCTCTGCAAGCCTCTCTGACCTCTCCACTGGGATTGTATGACCCTCCCTGAGGCTCCCCTGGTGTCCTATGCTTCCCCTCACATCAACTTGTATTACAGCTATTTACCTGTTTATCCAAGTATAGCCTTAGCTCCTTACAGCCAAGATTTAGTCTTGAATTTCACACCCCTGAGCCTGGTACCATGCCTAGCACACAAGTATTCAGCAATTAAGACAGTCTAGCATCTCTCAAACTCAAAATTTTACTAGGTCAAAAATATGGGAAGAAAATGATTATCTGCTTCCCTTGTCCCATAAAACATAAACCACATTTCTTGCCTGTGCATCAACATCTGTGTTATTTCTGCAGAAGCTCAACCATTCTGCTGGTCAGTCTTACATGCATTTCACATAAACACTAACTCTGTAGTGGGGAAGGGAATGGAGGAGAAAGATTTTAAAAACTATAACAAGTATCTTAAAAGGTTACTCCAGAAGATTCCCTGGAGTGTCAAGGTCTCTTGTTGGATGATGGGTCACGGAGTAGCAACGTCAGCTGCAGGTCTGTGTGAGCACCTCAAAGGATGGCGTCCTGCCAAGCTGCGGTAAGTGAGCAGGCTAAGGCTATGACATTACAGGTTTTCTTCCCTGTCTTCCATTCCCCCTAAAGTATGCCAAAGAGCTCAGTAGGCCTTTAAACTTTAACTCAAGACTGGAAAGGAGAAAGATACACTTTAGCTTAGAATTGCTCAGGAGTTACATTGGCAGGAAGTTAATATTTAAAGGGAAAGGGGCCTTTCAGACTGGACCCAAAAGACTTTTCTCCCATACTCCTACCCATGCCTAAGACATCTGACCTTTACCTGGCAAGTGACTGGCCAGGGCAGAGATAGCAACCCATGCTGGATGTCGGGGATAGAAATTGGGAGGATTTGAGGAGGGATACAGAATAAAAAGTAGGGGAGGGAAGGGGAAACTGCAGAAAATGCCCAAAGGAACTCTCTCTGCCAGCCATGGCATGGGCCACATGGTACACCACATAATGCTGGACTAAGACTTCACATCCATGAGCAGCAGCTGTAGAAACATCCAAATAGAGCAGAGGCATTTGTTCCCCATCTCCACTATCCTATGGACTTGATGTAGACTCACAGATGACTTGAACCAGAAGTAAAGACGTGATCAGACATCCTCTGAGAGGCTGGTGGGCTTGATCACTTTGTTATGGACCATGTCCCCTTTCCCACCCCAAGGCAGAGATATTAGAATTATACAGGGAAAGAGAAGATGCTCCCCCAGCACAGCCTCAAATGTATATTGACCATCTAGAGAGGCTTCTAGATGCCACAATACAGGAGCCAAGGCCTGGAACACAGGAGTTCACAATCCAAGTGTGCCTCAAACCGACCAAACGGGAACCAGGGTGAGGAACATGCTCCCCAATACCCAGCCATGTGGTACTGGCTGTCACTGCTACAGAATTCAGGGGACCGGGTCATTAAAATTTGCCATGCAGCAGATGAAAAAGAAGCAAGCTGTGAACAAGGATCATCGCGTTGGAAATAACAGATACTACCCAAGATGTGCAGAGAAACAAGAATCAAGGGAGAATACCCAGCCCATCCATCTGGAGACTGTCAGTTCTCTTGGGGAAAAGCAATATTTTTATGCTGCATTTTCCTACTCCTCAGGGTAACAAAATCAAACAGGCTCTCTGATTCACAGTGCAGCCAATTTACTGTAACTCATAGGTAAATAAACAACATCTCCCAGTGGCCATTTATCTTGGCAAAAATAATAAAAATCATACAGTCTTTATTATACCTGATTGGATGTAATAATCTGTCAAACTTCCTTGAGATATAAAAAGTAATGTATTTAGGCTGGGCATGGTGGCTCACGCCTGTAATCCCAGCACTTTGGAAGGCCGAGGCGGGTGGATCACCTGAGGTCAGGAGTTTGACACCAGCCTGGCTAACATGGTGAAACTCTGTCTCCACTACAAATACAAAAATTAGTCAGGCGTAGTGGTAGGCACCTGTAATCCCAGCTACTCAGGAGGCTGGGATAGAAGAATCACTTGAACCTGGAAGGCGGAGGTTGCAGTGAGCCAAGATCACGCCATTGCACTCCAGGCTGGACAAGAGTGAGACTCCATCCCAGAAATAAAAATAAAAAATAAAAAGTAATGTATTTGTTCAGTTAGCCCTCCCTTCTCTTGGCTCTGGAAAAGTCAAACGTCACAAACAAGAGGAGCCATATGCCCTAGAATGTAAGCTCCATAAGGGCAGGGAATGTTGTCTGTTTTGTTCAGAGCTGTGTCCCAGAGCCTAGGAGAGTACCTGGCACATGTATTTCTCAAATGAACAACACTCTTACCTTCATCCAGCTGGACTATATCTTACATTAAAAAATAATTATAAAAGGAGCAACTGTATCTCTAGGCCAGCATTTCTCAACCTTGACCCTAGTGACAATTTATTTTGGGGTTGGAGGGAGGCTGCCCTGTTCATTGTAGGCTGTTTAGCAGCACCCATGGCTTCTACTCACTAGATGCCAGTAGCACACTCTCCAACCAGTATGGCACCAAAAATGTCTCCAGACAGGGCCAAAAGTCTTCTGGGGCAAAATCTCCTGGCTGGGAATCACTGCTCTAGGCCTGCAGAGAACTCCCAAAGAGCTGACACAGACCAAGAGAACTGTTGTGTTTTCTGTCTCGTTCATGATGCTGAGACAGCACCCGGGGAAGCCCTTCTGCCTGCCTGCTCTCTGAGGTGAGTGCACCAGACAAGCCTGCGGTGGGAGGAAACATTGGGTAATGAAAATCAAGTAGATGTCTTGAACACAAATGAAGACTGAGATGCGGGCCCAAGCCTTGTCTGTATTCGACAGGAAAAACCACTTTACCGCTGTGGTGGGAATGGACTTGGTTTTCAATGATCCCCTCTCAACCTCCTCCACCACAAGGGCATTAAAACATCTATACATTGCACCAGGAGCAGGGCATCCATCAGCAGCAATTTCACTTAAAATCCAGCTTGGAGCATCTGCTCCTGCTCCTAATTAGGAACAAGGCTGAGATTCATTAATATCCCCACAACCAGTTCAAAGGGCTCTTCAGAGAACAGGCCCTGCAAAGCATTCCCAAGGCCAGGCACTAGCATGAGGAAGGGCAGCAGCTTCTGCTCCCCAGCTCTGGGTGAGCTGTGGGCTCTCACACCTGTTTCCCTGACAAAACTCAAGTGGGATCAGGAAAACATTCCTCCCAATCGGGACTCTGATGATCATGCATCACCTTACCTGTGCTGGTGCTGATTTAGTACTTGCACATAACCTGGCATGCCATGTTTCCCTCAAATTCTTCTTCTTTACCAAAATTCACTGATACCCGTGGCTGGAAAAGTTGCAGTAAAACACATATTCTACAGTTCCAAGGGTAGAATCAGTACCACGTGACAACAAACATCAATGCCCTTTAAAATACATGTGCTGGCACACCAAGCATTGCTACTTCTGGAAATATATCAAAAGGAAATCATTGTAAATGTAGAAAGACTCATATAACCAAAAATATTCGTCACACAATTATTTAGAATAGGGAAAAAATAGAAACAACCAATTGCCTACCATCAGATACCTTAGTTTGGTATACTGTAGCATATACACTCACTGGATTCAAAAACACCATTAAAATGTCATTTACAAAGAATAGCACCTTACTAAAATGTTTATGTTGTGTTGTTACATGAAAAAAGACGCGCCAAATCATATAAACAGCATGATAATATGCTGTTTATAATGATAAACAGCAATGATAATAAAACCACGAAAATAAAAATTTTAGTATTCAAAAGTCTACTGGAGGCAAATAGATCCTTCCCAAAAAGTGTTCAAGGTGAGTGCATTTTGGAGGGAATAATTTATTTCACTCTTCTGTATCTTCTAACTTCTTTTTTAAAAATTATCTATTTCTTCAAATTCGGAAAAGAACAATGTAAAGTCAAAAGAATAGTGGAAGACCCACCATTACAGCATAAATATATCCCCTCTATATTCCCTCTATACTAGGGTATCTTTGTCCCTAGCACTTAAAACCAACCATTGTATCTTTAACCGTGTTGCTTTTCTCCTTCAACTGGAACATAATTTTCATAAGGGTAGGCAAATGTCTGACACGTAATTGATACACTTTTGTTGAATTGGATGTATGAGCTAGATTATAGGATTTCTCTTTTTAATTTCTCAATCAGTGAATCAAAAAACATTGCTCCCAGTGAACCTTCATATATGAATGAAAGAGTAATTGGCACAACCACTTTGGAAAACTAGTTAACTGCATCTCTTTAAGTTAAACACTCACCTGTCTTACAGTGACCAGTGGATTGCCACACCTAGGTGTGTACCTGAGAAAAATGTGTACATGGGTTTACCAAAAGACATGCCTCAGAGAGTGCTATTATGTAATAAACAAAAACTGGAAACTAACTGCCCTTCAACAATATAACAGGTAAATAAATTGTGGAATATTTATACTGCAATGAAAATTTTAAAAACACACACACAAAAAAAAGTACAACAAATTTAATGTTGAAAAAAAAAGAAGCCAGACATTTAAAAGTACATACTTATTCCATTTATACAAGTAAGAAAATGGGCAAAACACACCTATGGTGTTAGAAGTCAGTGACTGCCAGGGGCATGAGATGGTCTTCAAAGATGCTGGTAATATTCTATCTCCTGATCTGGCTGTTTGGGTGTGTTCACTTTGAGAAACTGCATCAAGTGGGACATTTATAATGTGCACCTTCGATCTCTGTATGCTATGCTCCAATGAAACACACTCCCTACCAATCCAGGGCTGCTAAGGGCAGGGTATGTTTTCCATAATTATTCCTCCATTTACTACAGCCCTCGACCAACAGCCCTGACAAGGCTAAACTCACCATACTTCAGCATTTATGCACACACAAGTTCTGTCTTGTCTGAACTCTCCACCTTGATTGTACAGGCCAGCACCTTCCTGTTGGCCTGTTGGCAGTGTCTGTACCCATAAAATTGGGTAAAACGACAGAAGTTGCCCATGTATGCCAGGAAGAGTTGAGGCAAACTGAAGTGACCTGACCACCAGAAAGATTCAGAGACATGGCCCTGGATCACAAGAAGGACAATGCCTCTGGAAGCCCAGCTCGCCAGAACTGCTCTGGGCCATTTGCAGAGTAGGCCCTTTTCTTTGCAGAAAAATCCCCAACAGGTTTCCCTGACCTCCAAGCACCTCTTTCTCTTCACTTTGTCGCAAATAGAAAGCCTGCAGCCTGACCAGGGGACAGGAATCATGTTTGTTTCCCCTCTGCTACATCCTAAGTGCATAGCACGGTGCCTGGTACATGGTAGCCTGGTCAGTAAGTATCTTTGGTATGAACACACGAATAAACAAAACCTACTGAATCAGTGCACCAGGATCTGGTTTCTAAAAAGGCAAAGATCTAGGACCTGGATGGCCATGCAAAGAAACAAAATATTCCAAAAAACACATGAAAAGGTCTTTCTGGCATAGGAATTTTTAAACCAACAATTCTGGCATGTAAAAATCTCACAATTTCTCTAACAACAGTAAACACAGTATTATTTTATCTTTACTGTGGATAGAATTTGACCGTCTTAGTCATTGGAAGTGATGCAGGCCTCATTCCAGGTGGCTGGACAAAGGCTCCAGACCAGGTCCAGAGTCATGACAAGGCTGGCTGACTCAGATGGGAAGTGAGGCCTTGGCCAGATGAAAGTACTGACACAAGCCAACCACGTCCACAGAAGTCACAGGGAATCATCATGTCCAATAAGCATGGAAAGATCCAGAAATTCCCCATATTCCCCTAACAGTGGAACAATGGAAAGACCTCCAAATAGCCACAACAGTCTGTCCAACAGACTTAACTATTTTCTTCCTCTTGGCAATTTTTTTTAATCAATTTTAGGTGCCATGAATTTACCATTAATTAAAGGAAATTCAAGCAGCTGGGGAAAAGAACATTTGAGAGTTTGTTCAGTGGGAATAGAATGACTTCAGAATGAGGAATACTGCCAAGTCTGGTTGATGCTCATAAATTTTCTAAACTTTGATGAGTCCTTTTTTAGGGGGCAGGGGAGTGGATGCCTTCTGATCTTTCAAAAAAAAAAAAAAAAAAAAACCTCTGGCCAACCAAGAAAAGAACTGACTACACCAAAAAGAGAGTATCAGGTAATGTCACCATCTAGCCCCTGTGTCTCAGACTCCCTCTGTGGTTCCGACTATCAGTATCTGCATCTCAGTGCCCAAGAGTAAACATTCTTTATTACATCCACCATTCCTTGTTTGTTCCATACCCTTAACACCACTTCAGTTTCAATATTCTTTTCACTATAAACTAAAGCCAACGTCAGAGTCAATTTCCTTCATTTCGTCTGTGCAGAAAACATATCAGTTGGGTTAGATACAAAGTCAGGCCAGAGTTAGCTAGAATCAAGCCTTTTGGAGACAAATATGCTGAGATGATCCCCTGGAATTTCATCATGTAGAAGGTCCCACATCAATTCCACTGTGCTCATGTGTGCAAGCATCCCTGGGCCCTGGCAGCCAATCAAGACCCAAATGTTATTCCATTCCAGGAAAACCTCATGACAATAGCTGTTGCTGAGGCCTATGTTGAGTCACACATTGGAAAACAAGACCATTTTTTCTGATGTGAATGGTAGCCCTGTTGGCATAAGGGGAAAATACTGCACTCATATTAATTTATTGCAAGTCTTCAAAATAAAATGCTCATTTTGTCTAAAATGTTATTATTCATTGCAGCTAAATGGTGTTGGCTATTTGGGATGGATAACAATTCTCTAGGATTTTCCTAAAAATACAGTCTGAGAACTACCTACATCAGAATCACCTGGATTGGGCTGAGCACAGTGGCTCACACCTGTAACCCCAGCACTTTAAGAGGCCAAGGTGGGCGGATCACTTGAGGTCAGGAGTTTGAGACCAGCCTGGCCAATGCGGCGAAACCCCATCTCTACTAAAAATACAAAAATTAGCTGGGCGTGGTGGCGCATGACTGTAGTCCCAGCTACTCGGGAGGCTGAGGCAGGAGAATCACTTGAACCCAAGCGGCAGAGGTTGCAGTGAGCTGAGATCGCGCCACTGCACTCCAGCCTGGGCGACAGAGCAAGACTCTGTCTTCAAAAAAAAAAGAATCACCTGGACTGCTCATTTAAAATGCAGGTTCCTGGGTGCCACCTTTGACCTGCTAAAGCCTATGCTCTGGACTAGCAGGATGAAATCTGCATTTTAAATAAACCCTGACAGTGATTTCTCAAGACTGTAAAGATATTAGTCTGAGAATGCCACTCTAACAGACCGCTCTGGGCATCTTTTCTCTTTGTCTTGGCCAGGCCTCTCAGAATTGAGTTAGAGCGTGACTCCATTTGCACGGCGGGACAGACGAGTACAGCTGAAATAAAAAGTAGAGGCCTCTGCTCTCTGCATGTTTGTTTTCTCCATGTTTTATTTGGGCAAAGATTGCCTGGAACACCTGCAGTAAGTTCCACTTCCCTGCTCCAATCACAGGCGCCGACGGACTTTGCATAAATGCCTGCTCACCTACCACATAATTCTGCTGGGGAATGTTGACGGTGCCCTCTGGAGTGTGATGTGTCCCAGATCACACAGGAAGGGTTTCAGAAGCATTACAAATCCTTGTATAATATGTCCGCCCTTCCTCCCTTTCCCCAAAGAAAAGTTTGTTTTTGAGAATGAAGTGAGAGGGTCTCTGGGGGGTATATTTTCATAAAACCATGAGAAAAGCTACCAAATCAAATTAACTTGGATCTTAGCATTATCCTTCTAAAGGGATCCCCAATAATTCACATCACCAGTCTGTGAATGCATCTTTCATCTTCCCCAAAAAGAAACCATTATCCCCATGTCTGTCATAGGAACAATGGGCAGACTCAGACCCAAGGGCAAGAAGGTGCACATGCTATCCACACACTCCCCATGTGGTGCTGAAGTAAGTGCATGCGTGTCTATCTCTGCCGCTAAGCTGATCCCTTAGATGAATGTCTTGCTTTTCATCTTTAGCCTCAAAGTGACAGTGGAAGGGGAAAAGGTAAGGGGAGGAGCTGAAGGAGCAACCCCATGTATACTAGTCTCATTTTTAAAATATAAACTCCACAGATCACCACTCTGACCAAGAAACACTATGATCCTCTTATTTCTAAACAGCAGTAGGAACTGTAGGAGCTCTAAAGCCCAGGACATTTGACCACAGAGGGAAGGAGAAACTTCCAGACCATGGACACCAGAGGAGTAGGAAGGATTAAGTGGGGGACCAGAGTGAGGGATGTTTATACAATAGAGATGGCTGCAGAAGATGGCACAGAGAGGCACAAAGAGGAGAGGAAAAGAACAGGCCATCCTTCCAAGTACTTGGGCCATCTGTGTGCCTCACTTTTTGCAGTTGACTCATTCCCCTGCCCCCAAATGTGTGTTAAGTTGAAAATGTGTGAAGTGTGCTTTAAAATACACTAGGAGAGAGCTTGCTACTTAAGGGAACACTAGGGCAAACACATCTGATGGAAACACATCAAGGTCTTTCCCACTTCAAGACCTTTGGACCCACTCTTCCCATGGCCTCTCCTCACCTGGTTCACTGCAGTCCTCCTGCAGGGCTCAGCTTCAATGCCCTTCCCAGGGAAGCAGTCCCCAGCCAAAAAGGTTAATGGGTTCCTCCTCCCTCTTCCCATGACATATTCTGAGAGCATCGGTGCCTCTGCCTTGTAGTACTTTTCTCAAAGGAACATAAATGATTATTCCGTGATTGTTTGTCTACCATACTAGACCATAAATGCCAGGAAGGTACAAATGTGTCTATCTTCTTCACCCGACACCTAGCAGAGGCCTGGCACATAGCTGGCATTTGAAGAACATTTGTGTGACAACACATTACCCTACCTGCATTAACTATTTGTTATTGCTGGGTTTCTCCTAAGCCACAACCAACCTGCTTGGGCTGTAGTGAATGACAGGCCCTCTGACGACCCATAATGATCTGGAACTGAAGAACTGGGTCTTTGGAGAGAAGGATCAAAGGTCTGGCTAATCCCTACTAGTATTCTCCTTTGGTTCTAAAGCCAAATCTGGAGCTTGGGGACTGCCTGAGTGCCAAGAAGCAGGTGCTAGCCCCTGCAAGAACTTCCCCAAGTATAGTGATGCCAACATGATGCAAAATCAAGACCAAATTATGGGCACCAGACATACAGAGCGTGCTGAGAACGCCGCAGTAATACACAGGCCGGTTGGATCATTTGTCTCAAAATGGATCCCATCCCCTGGTGCCCATAAAGCCTGCCTGAGACCTCTCTGGCAGGACAAGATGAAGTTTCTACCTCTTGAGGTGAGCTGGAGGCAACTGGATCAGAGCTTAACATTAAAGTGACACCAAGTAGTGCTTAGTTGCATAACGGGGCTCCCAAGAGCAACCTTCGCATAACTTGGATTTCAGACACAGTTGCATACAAACCCCCTCCCAGTTACGTCATGATGAGAGTTGCCAGTTTTGGGGGAGGAGGTCCAGCAAGAATATAAAATATGATGGCAAGGTCTTCTGTGCCAGGAGCTACAACTGGAAAATAACAAAGAATGGGCCATATGGAACCTCACACAGCCTTCCAGACTGGCAAGAAATGGAGTGAAGACAGGCTCATGATCATGGAACTGACTCCCCCAACATGTTTCTAAGAGACAGAAAGCAGCATCTATAGCTGAGTGCCAACAACTCACACTCACAAGCCAGACAAGAAGCTCCCTTAAATTAAATGATTATAGATCATTACGAATTAAAATAGATATACCAGCCACTCAAAGATCACAAGTACCTACTCTGTGCCACGTGCTTACTCAGTCCTCCCCCAGAGCCCCACAATGCAAGTATCACCATTCCAGTTTTACAGAAGAAACTGATGCTCTAGCCAAACACCTAAGCTTAGCTTTGGCAAGACTGGAACGTGACCTCAGGTTAATAGTGGGCACTTACACCATGACATGACTCAGCCTCAAAGAGCTTTTCACGGAATCAGAGATTGTGCTGGAATTGCGAGGGGGGTTGCATTTCCCTGCTGGGTTCCCTCTGCCTCTCAACAGCACTGCATTTGTTATTATCCATCATCATTTTCAATTACTAATAGAGTGAGACATACACATTCGAAGCTAGTATGACTCACTCTGCCATGACAGCCCTCTGCAGTGAACCCCTCCACTTGCCACAGGTGTGGAAAGTTCTGGCCTGGGACAGTGCACTCAGCCATTCATTCATTCCAACATTCAATGAGCAGCTTTCTGAGTGGGGCTCTGTGGTAAAGGTCTGAGGACACCAAGCTATATACAATGGTGTATCTTAAAAGGAATTACAAAGGGGTGAGGTCCTGGCTTAGAGATAGGAGTTAGACTAAAAAACAGTTTTTCGATATGTGTGACCCTGAGAATTTCCACCTCTCAGAGACTATAAACACATGTGCCTAGTATGCTTCTAAAAGCTTTCCTTCCTCAGATTCATCCAAGAGGTTTGCTCAGGAGGCAATTCAAGTCAACAAAATGCTTATTGGCCACCTGCTGTGTGTGAGGCATGACAAGACTTAGGTTCTTCAGGAGGCATCCAACTATTAAATAAGCTAAAATGTAGATATATACAACTATAAATCAAGGAATACTGCATAACAGTGCTATAGGAATTGTTGATATTAATAAAAAGAATAGCCTCCACTTGCTATCTATGATGCCAGGCATTGTGCTAAGAGCTTCACCTGCATTAACCAACTTACTCTTCATGCTAAACCCATAAGCTTGGTCAACACAGTGGACATCTGTTGACATCTGCCCATCAGGCATCCATTTCCCCTTGAGAAATTACCCTTCTACCATCCATCAACAGTGGGATCCAATGAAACCCCTCCACCACTCTAGCCCTAGGCCCCAGCCCTGGGCACATAACCCAGACTTGGACACATAACCCAGACTTGGACAATCAGCACACTCTACCAACTTAGCCAAAGTGATTGACGGAGGAATGGGTGCCTAACGCCGGGAAATCTGACAAGTCTCAGTTCTGGGACTTCTGTTGGCACTATCGAGAACATGAAAACTATGATGATGCAGATTTGCAGTTGCCATGAGCCACTACATGGAACCAAACAACCTGAGCACAAAACCAACATAGGAGCAGGGAGACAGAATGAGACACACACAAACCCCTAGTCCTATGATGTAACTTGACCCCTGGATCCAGCCTTACATAAAACCACAGCTTCTTAGAATTTTTTAGTTATACAAGCGAGTATGTTTTCTCTTCCATTTAAGCCAGCTTGGACCACATTTCAGTCACTTGCAATCTAAAGTTTCACCAAAGGAATATTATTATCATTTCTTAACAAATGAGTCAGTGGCCCAGAGATGATAAATAATCTGAGATTGCTTTAAGTTAAATGAACTGTGTAAGTTTTTTATGGGGGGAGGGCACAATGAGAGTGTGCATGTAGACCAGAAACCTGCGAGAGTGCCAGACTGCTCAGTTGCTTGGACCATGTCTTTTCTCTCCATCCACCAATGGAAGGTGGAGACAGGCAAGTAGCCTTGCTGCAGCCCCTTCCCTTCATGGTGAGTTCATTTCTTGTTTACCTCTACACAGTGTAGCCCTTTGGAATTCCAGCTTTATCCAGAGGTCTATTAAACTCTTCACACTGGGCACTGTCTTACTCCTTGACGGTTCATTAAAATGGTGCATCTTACCATTGGTGGCATCTCACACCGAATGAAACATGATGGACAAATACTTATAACCTTAAGTGAATTACATAATCTCTTACAGGAAATTTATTTTGTTTGTAACTATCTCACCTGGAGAGATAAGACCAAGTATAATCTGGGTCTTATGAATTTTCCAAGGACCACAGGCAGTCACCTCACCACAGGAAAGGTAAAATGAGTCATCCTGAATGTGCTTGTGTTTAGTTATTGTGTTTGGTTTGAAACACATTATATTGAGTAAATCAATAAGAAATGATGATACATTATTTAATTACTAACATTATTTTGCCTCCTCAAGTAACAAAGTGATTGAGCGAATGATGAGGTCCCACTCCTCTAGGCAAGTATTACGGGTCCATTATCCATTTGGAGCCACTTCTTGGTTTTGAAACTGGCCTCATCAGAATATAGGAGAGCACTTATCCTCCCAGTGATACAGTTCTGCTGAAGTATCATGGAGAGGCCTGGGAAGGCCAACTGGGGCAAGGAGCTCTGCCATCTGAGAAGACTTAGCTTTTCTCTGGCAAGGGCACATTGAAGGTAAGGACAGAGAAGACAAGAAGGCTCTTAGGCCTATCAACTTTTAAACTGTCCCTTTATAATGATCCCTGTGAAATAATTATTTCTATCAATGGTCAGCTAGTACAGGGGATTTAAGATAGTGGGTTCATTAAAGAGAGTCAGGATCACAAACTCATTTAAGTCTCCTTGAACCTGTTTAATCAAAATGATTTTCTGCTACTCTCGATTACGGGCTGAGTTTCCGTGATGACAGATTAATGACTGATCCACTAAGCCATACCACCTCTTTTGTCACCAGCCCCACTGACTGGGCCAGCCACTATTTTATCAATAGGCTCCACTTGCCCTTGAAACTCATTATAGCTGATATGTTAGATCAAATGAGCAGATCAGATGCTCGCTGCCACCCCAGCTCTGCTACAAAGACCACCAAATCCCACAGAGCATGTGCCAGAAGGAAAAAGAACAGAAGTTGGTCCTTGTGCTCTTATTAGAATTACACACTCAGGTCACTCCACAGTAAGATAAATTCCAGCCAAGGCAGCACTTCTGATTCTTCAGGCCCGCTAAAGGTAATTATCCTAAAGTTAAATGTCAGGGTTTCATGTGTGCAAAAGAAAGAAAATGTCATGTTTGGTGTAAGCAACAATATTATTTTAATCAAATCAGAAGCTCATTATTAGAAGATAAGCCCTGACATGACCCCCACAATACACTGTGTCCAGCTGACTTCCCATCCCACTCTGTCTTAACCTAAGGCTGTTCACGGGTTGCCCTCATTCATAAAGCAGGAAAAACTTGCAATGTGCTATCAGTGGAGGCTTGCACCCCAAATCCACTCAGCCCCTGATTGGCTGTGGTACAGAGGGAGCCTAGAGTCAGATGGCATAGTTCCAGCCCCAGCTCCTCCACATCTCAGCTCTAATTTTGATCAAAAGACTTAACCTCCCAGGGTTAAGTACTTCTCTCATAGGATTGTTATGAATATTAAGTGAGATAATACATGGAAAGTACCTTAAACAGTGTCTGGCACACTCGATGCTCCATAAATGTTAGCTATTACCTATTTCTGCAATGTTTTAATCTTTTAGTTACAACCAGACTGTATTATGTTTCTAGAAAAAATATTTTTTAAAAGAAAACAGAATAAGTAGTCTATGACAGCATAAGTTAAAGAATTTCCTCTAGCAGACAAGAGGTTACATGAAAGAAGAGATTACATGTATTTATCTTGTTCACTCTTATAACCCAATGCCTAGTCAATGGTAGATAAATATTTGTTGGAATGAATGAAGGTACAAATGAACAGAGGAAAATTTCCTTATGGTAATGGTTATGGAAAGCCAAAGCCAAATCAGATGCAGAAAAATTAGGAGAATGGTTGTGGCATCTTGATCCCTCAACCTCAAGCCATGGAGGAGTTAAATGCATGTCAGCTAAAGATGGAAAATTATTGAACAACTTAATACAAAGATCTGCTTCTTCATCGCCTCCTTAACATTGTGTACAAAAGTCCAGGCCTCCATCTGGCCAAAACTTCCCAATTGCTAGTGTTTATAAAAGAAGAATGACAAAACTAACAGACCACAAATACATTTAGGAGCAATCATCTGAGCATTGTTCTATTTGTCCTGGATCTGTAACTCCAGGGAATAAGCCATGGAGTTGTTCTAAAGGCTTTACTTCTAAAAAGAAGGGGATAGGAAGTATTTATACATCTAGAGCAATAGGACACTTTTCAAAATGATAAGTAGAGGTTGCCAGGTCACCTCTGGCAATGTCACAGCACACCCAGTAGTCAAGGGATATGGAACACGCACCCCACTGTCATATTCATTTCAAAGTTGACCCTGTAACAACACCCAAGGGCTACAATCAACTCTCTAAGAGCAGCCCTTAGTTTTCAGTTTCCAAGTTTCAAAAATCACATCTGAATCTCTCCCCCAAGTCCAACAAAGAGACAAGTCAGGAGGAAGGCAAGAAGTTTTCTTTCACAATGAGTTCCAAAAATTGACATGCATCATAACAATAATTGTGGGACACAGCCTTTCAAAGTTATCAGTAGCTTCAACAAAACAAAGAAACAGCAAAGAAGCTGAGGCTTTGTCAACCTCAAGCAAGGCTTGGCTCAATGAAAATGATTAGGCTGGCTGAGCAACTGCAAGATTAGCTGAGGCTTTATCGATTGTCCACTGAATAGTAGGTTTCTGTAGAAAGCAAATTCTTACCCTCTGTTCCCAGGCTCAGGCTTTGTGATTATTCCAGGGACTTGCCCTAAAAGAGTGTCTGGTCTGAGTTCCACAACACTTTAAAGAGGTTAATGACATTAAATTATGTCTGAGCCACTGTTAGTGTCAGGTGACTCCATACAGCACATAAAATGGGTGATGAATGAAGAAGTTTGGGATTTTTTTGAACATTTTTAGATGTTTTAATGGCATGCTGGATTAAATTATCATTTTTTAAATATATGCTGCTAAAAATATTAGTTTAATGTCTAAAACCGCTCCAAAAACAAAAACAAAAAAAAATAGTGTATTGGGACATAAAAGCTTTTCTTTTTGTTATGTCTTGGACATTTTTATACTATCTAAAGGCAGTATTTCCTAAACATTAGAATAACCTAGTATGTTTGCTTAAAATATGGATTCCCTGCACTCACCCCAGAAATGTAAAGTCAGATTCTCCAGGGTAGGACCATGGATGCTATAATTTAACAAGCACTTCAGGTGAGCTTCATCCTCAGTCAGGTTTGGAAACACACTGTTCCAAAGATCTAAAAATGTCACCACCATCCATAATAAAGATGGGAAATGAACAGAAGCCCAATTTTAAAAAATTTAAAGCTAAGCAGGAATTCAGAATATCATGCTTATGATACACTGAGACTAGAAAATCTTGAACAGGCATGAAAGCACAGTAAACCTTTCCATAACCCAAAGATCCAAAAAAGCACAAGTGTTTTCAACTCAATCCAGCTGCCAGGAGCACCAAGGCATCTATCTCCAGAGGTGGCCCTTCACTTCTAATCCTGGCTCAATTCTTCCACCTCTAGCAAAGTCAAGCAACTGCCCTGCTCTTCAACTCTATCTAAAAGATAGCCATAGAAAAGTAAAAACAAAACAAAACAAAAAGCAAAATTATCTCTGCCCCAGGTGAATCCTTCATGGTTTGGGCACATTTTTCAGCCATAGGGAAAGGTAATCAATGAAGGATTCTCAGATCTAAGCAGTTAACAGAGCAGGTCAGGAATGGGGCAATGAATGGCAGGAATCTCACTGGGGTAGGGGAGGAAAGTGAGGGGCATATCTACTGCAAAAGACCCTAGTAGTTATTATGTATCAATTAAAAATTTTAATGAAATTACAATTTCGATAAAAGGCCCCAAATAGCTGTGGCTATTCATTGAAAGTGTTTGAAATCCCCTTTCCAAGAGAAGCAGTCCAACATCAACTAGAAAAAAGAAGAGGAGGAACAGAGAGGAGAGTGATAAACCCCCACACAAAGCTATGAGTGCATCTCCTCTGGACAGGGATCTGGAGAGGGTGCTCTTTAAAAAGTGTATGGAAACATCTGGGATTCATTCAATGTCTCAAATTCCCTCTCCCTGCAAGGCCTGCAGATACTGAGAGCAGAGCTTAGAGGAGTCCAGTGGAGGAAGCTGATCCCCATACATATCCCACCTCAAAGAGTCTGTAAACCATGCCCGGGGACATTAACAAAGGGGGTCTGTGGTATAGGTCAAATTATCATATTTAAAAAATACATGCTGCTAAAAATATTAGTTTAACACCTAAAACTGATCAGAAACAAACAAAAAGAAACAGTGCCTTTGAACATTAAAGCTTTTCTCTTTTTTACTGTTATGCCTTGGGCACTTTTACAATATTTAAGGCTTCTCAGAAACAGGAATTCCTAATGTTAAGTACCATAAAACATGGTACTCCCAAGTCCCCTAGAAGGGCATGGCCCTGGCCAGCTGGGGCAGTCCTTGAAGAAGCTGGCAGACGCTCCCACAGAACAGAGGAGATGCCATCTGCTGGAAAGACTGCACCAGATGCCTCTTGCCCCACATCCCTGGGGCACACCTGGGGAGTGGCAGCCAGCCTTGAGGCAGAAACAGGCCGCAAGTGTGTTTCTGCGTGTCCGGGAGTAACTTTCTCCACTCCCAGGGCTCCCACGGAGGAGCAATGCTCTGCCACCCAGGGTCCCTTTCAGGGCAGGGGACCAACTGCACGGGCTAGTTGTTCCTGTTTCAAGATTCCGAGGGTCAAACCACCCCACCTCCCCTGTATTTTATCAGGCCCATTGCCATGACCGCCTCCCTCAACACACACACACACACACATGCAACACCTGACTCCCATAAATAGCTCCCCCATAAATAGCTTGGACCACTCCCAGACCCAACCTCTCCAGTAGGGATTCTCCTGACACACCCCAGAGATGGTCCACGCCACCGCTGCCCCGGGGAGGTTTTCTCCGGAGCTAGGGAAAGTCTACCATCACGGTTAGGAGAAGTCGGAAGCTCAGAGAACCTCTTTCTCCACAGCTACTGGTGATCTGTGCTGTATTTTAGTGCAGTCACCTCCCGCAGCCCTACGAATACACACACCTGGGCCACAGGTAACAGGCAAGCGCATGGAGCCTTCGAAGTTCTCTTTAAAGTTCCTTTCAGGCAAGACCGCACCCAGGAAGCTGGGACCGACCAGCCCCCGCGGGAGATGCCCACCTGTCCCCCTCCCAACCACACACACACACACACACACACACACACACACACCCCAACCCCGCTTCAGGGGTCCCCTCCGAGAGGCTCCGCGCCCCCCAGGGCCGGGTGGCGCCGGTACTCACGTCTCGAAAGCGGTTCCAGTACTTGTCCCGGTCGTACTGGGAGACGGTGCTCAGCCACTGGTCATTGTCTAGGAAATTGCCGTGGTTGGGGCCCGCGCCTCCGGCGAGCGCGTCCAGGTGCCGGCTCTCGACTTGGAGGAAGCACCACGCCGCGGCGGCCGCCGCCAACACCGCGATCGCCGGCATCTGCGGGGCAGGGCGCGCAGGGCGATGAGCGAAGAGGGCGGGCGGCCGCGAGCCCCGGGCACCCAGGCGTCCCAGCGCCCCAGCCCGGAGGCGGGGACCCCGCGGCGGGCACGGGCAGCGCTCGCGCACCTGGGGCGCCTGTCGCGCCTCTAGACCCAGGGACCCCTCTCACGAATGGGGGACTCATCTACGAACGAGGAGGCTGCGTCACGAATCCGAGGCTGCCGTCCAACTACAGGGGACCCGTCTCGTCTATTCTCCGAGTGCCCCACAGATGCCGCCCTCCTATCAGGGGCTTGGTACCCCTCCCCAGAAGCGGGGAGCCCGGGTCCGCACGCCGCACTCCCACAGACGGTGCGGTGCACACGGCTTTGGGGCAGGAGAGGGGAGAACAGGGCTCCAGCAGCACCCGAGCTCCGGCAAGCGGGGTGGGGGCTGCCAGCAGCTGGGGGTCCCCGGCGACAGCTAAGGGAAAGGTCTCCCTTGAGCGCCCTGAGGTCTCGGGGGTAAGAAAGGCGCGCGGAGGTAACCCCAGGCCCTGACCCTGCCAGCCCCCTAGGCGGCCGCGGGGAGGTCCCAACTACTCCAAGTTGGGGCGCGGGGTTCCTCTGGGCACGTACCTTGGGGGCCGGCCCGGGTCCCCTAGTCCGAGTTGCTCGAGCTCCCGCGGCACGGTCGCCGGGAAGGCTGATCGCCGGCTCGCGCCCCTGCGCTCCTGCCACACGCCGCCGCCGAGCGTCTGGCCGCTTTGTGAGCCCGCAGCGATGTGCTCTGCTCGCTCGCTGGCTCGGGCGCGGCGTCCGCGGGCGGAGGAGGCCGAGCGCGCGAGCCAAGGCTCTGGCGCCCCCTGGTGGCCGCGCGCTGCCTGCCCGACAGCCCGGCCGCCCCAGCCCGGAACGTGGTCATTCACATCTTTTTTTTTTTTTTTTTTTTTTTTAATTTACTTCTATTTTTTTTTTTAATTATACTTTAAGTTTTAGGGTACATGTGCACATTGTGCAGGTTAGTTACATATGTATACATGTGCCATGCTGGTGCGCTGCACCCACTAACTCGTCATCTAGCATTAGGTATATCTCCCAATGCTATCCCTCCCCACTCCCCCCACCCCACCACAGTCCCCAGAGTGTGATATTCCCCTTCCTGTGTCCATGTGATCTCATTGTTCAATTCCCACCTATGAGTGAGAATATGCGGTGTTTGGTTTTTTGTTCTTGCGATAGTTTACTGAGAATGATGGTTTCCAATTTCATCCACGTCCCTACAAAGGACATGAACTCATCCTTTTTTATGGCTGCATAGTATTCCATGGTGTATATGTGCCACATTTTCTTAATCCAGTCTATCATTGATGGACATTTGGGTTGGTTCCAAGTCTTTGCTATTGTGAATAATGCCGCAATACACATACGTGTGCATGTGGCTTTATAGCAGCATGATTTATAGTCCTTTGGGTATATACCCAGTAATGGGATGGCTGGGTCAAATGGTATTTCTAGTTCTAGATCCCTGAGGAATCGCCACACTGACTTCCACAATGGTTGAACTAGTTTACAGTCCCACCAACAGTGTAAAAGTGTTCCTATTTCTCCACATCCTCTCCAGCACCTGTTGTTTCCTGACTTTTTAATGATTGCCATTCTAACTGGTGTGAGATGATATCTCATAGTGGTTTTGATTTGCATTGCTCTGATGGCCAGTGATGATGAGCATTTTTTCATGTATTTTTTGGCTGCATAAATGTCTTCTTTTGAGAAGTGTCTGTTCATGTCCTTCGCCCACTTTTTGATGGGGTTGTTTGTTTTTTTCTTGTAAATTTGTTTGAGTTCATTGTAGATTCTGGATATTAGCCCTTTGTCAGATGAGTAGGTTGCGAAAATTTTCTCCCATGTTGTAGGTTGCCTGTTCACTCTGATGGTAGTTTCTTTTGCTGTGCAGAAGCTCTTTAGTTTAATTAGATCCCATTTGTCAATTTTGGCTTTTGTTGCCATTGCTTTTGGTGTTTTGGACATGAAGTCCTTGCCCACGCCTATGTCCTGGGTCATTCACATCTTAATGCAGGGCTAAAATCAGCTTTCAGGCCCAGGCTGGTGCGAGACAGAAGAGGGGACTGAGGATATGAGGCCAAGACGCAGGCCAGCATGGAGGCATTCTCAAAAGGAAGGCCGTCGGGTTATCTAGATCAAAATCACCTGGGTGGAGAGAGAAGCGAACTTCCTAAAAATGATTCCTGCCCCACCGCCCCACTTGCTGAGTCAGCATTCCTTAGGAAAGCTTCCAAGTCTGCACTTTTAATGAGCTCCCGAGGCGTTTTTTATGCATGGCAAAGTTTGATAACCACCGTCCTGCCATTCCCTGGATAAGTGAATATCTGCACTGCCCATCCCAAGTCATGCACCCACCTGCATCTCTGCACTCCCATGCCCTATGCCATGCTTACCACTGTCCTGCCCCTTGAGAACCGGCCCCAGCACTAACCTGTTGAGTTCCCCTAGATGGGAGGGAGGGGAGAGAGGAAAAACAGATCAGGCTACAGGGACAGAACACTGAGAAGCAGAAGTCTGGTCCTGCCCCATCCCCCACCCCGTTTCCAAATACCAGCAATGTTTGGTGAAATAGGGCTGGAAGGGACTTAATGTCTTCCCCTGCCTGTATACAAGTGATACTGGCCTGTCACCTTTCTCTGTACAACTACACCCCATTCCCCAGACACCTGAGCGCTCTTTCAGAACAAGTCTGACCATCCCATCACCCCTCTCCCCTCAACACAAAATTCTTCACAATGCTTTCCTGATAAAGACCAATCTCCTGGCTGGAGCCCCCAGGCCCCGCACATCTGGACCCCGCCTCTCACCCCACTCTCTCCTCCTCTGACCTTCTGGACGGGCTGGCCCTGACCCCAGTGGAAATGGGCTCCCTCCACTCCTGGGTATTCACTTCTGCCTGGGCTGCTGTCCATACCCAGTCCCAGCACAAGTCTCATTAATTCTGCTCTCTGCTTATTCATCCTCACTTCTTCAGAGACTCTTGCTACACCTGTGGACCAGGCCAGCACCTGCAGTGATGCTGTCTTTGAGAACACAGTGCTTCTCTGGCTGTAAGCTCAACTGATATCACTTACTCTATGTCTGCCTCCCCACCTGGCTAGAGCTCCTGAGGGCAGAGGCTATCTTTGTCTTGTTCACCACTTCTCCCAGTGCCCAGAGTTGACACATTGTTAGTGCTCAAAAAAATTTGATAAATGAATGAATGATTTAATGAATGAATGCCACCCAACCATGTCTGGAACAACAACACATCTCAGCCAGCATGCCAACAATAATGTATGGTGTGATCAATAATAAGTTGCGCTACAAATAATTTGGTTACATATAATAGTTGAATGTGTGGAAGTCAGCAGATCTGTGGTTTTCCCAACATTACTCTGCCTGATTTGCATTCCTAGAAACTTTCTCAAAAGGGAGAAAAAGGAATGGAGTCACAGCTACTATGTTGGGGACTGCACATCATCCACGGTTTATTTTATCATGGAATGCTGTGGGTGGGTGCATCAGAGTGGGAGAGAGGTTTAGAAATGATGAAGAGACTGTTTCTTATGTTCATAGAAACCCAAGTAAGCAGCACTTCCCCATTTATCTGCCCAGTGTGACAGCAAGATCTCTCCAAGGAGTTGTCCCTAAATGTCACTTTTGCCTCCTCACCTCCAACTCATTCTTCAACCCACTCCAATCTGCCTTTCATCCTCACTAACTGAAATGACTTGTCACCATCAGCAGCCTCCTCCAAGTCACCAGATCCAGTGGGTACCCTCGATCCTCCCCAGTGTGGCCTCTGAGCAGTTTCTTTTGGCTCCCGTGGCTCCAACCCTCCTGGCTTTCCTGCTCCCCCCATCATTCCTGCTGACATTCCAGTGCTTCTTAGGGCTCAGACCTATCCCTCTTCTCTCCCCCAAAACCCTTTCCCCAGGTGCCCAAGTCCAGTCCTATGCTGAGATCCTCCAGGTACATTTCCAGCCCAGAAATTCCAATGACTTCTGACTGTACCTCCAGCTTCATACTTTACATCTCCTCAATGCCCCACGGGCACGTCAGATCTGTGACCAGGCCAAAACAGAAGTCTGGATGTCCTCCATGCCTCTGTGTTCTCCTTTCATCCCTGTTAGAGTGAATGTATCCGCATCCACATGGCTGCTTAAGTCAGAACCCCACAAGTCATCTCCAGTTCATCCATCTCCTCGCCCCTCACCTCCCATCCATCAGCAAAGGGGGTCCATCCCACTTTCGAACACCCCCTGGAGCCACCCACTTCACCCCACTTCCACAGATACTCCTGAGTCCACAAGACCATCACTTCTCACGTGAAGAACGACGGTGCTTCTTGGCTGGTTTCCTTCTTTCCTTTCCCTTGCAACCCATTATCCACTCAGGTGAGAGCAATCTTTTTTTAAGAGAGCCTTCTCTTTTTAAAATTTTTGTGGGTACATAGTGGGTGTTTGTATTTAGGGGGTACATGAGATGTTTGATACAGGCATGCAATGCATAATGATCACATCACGTAGAATTGGATATCCATCCCCTCAAGTGTTTATCCTTTGTGTTACAAACCATCCAATTACATTCTTTTAGTTATTTTTAAATGTACAATTAACTTATTGACTATAGTCACCCTGTTGTGCTATCAAATACTATGTCTTATTCATTCTTTCTGTTTTTTTTGGACCCATTAACCATCCCCACCCTCCCTGCAACCCTCCACTACCCTTCCTGGCCTCTGGTAACCATCCTTCTACTCTCTATGTCCATAAGTTCAATTATTTTGATTTTTAGATCCCACAAATAAATAAGAACATGTGACATTCGTCTTTCCATACCTGGCTTATTTCACTTGACATAATGATATCCAGTTCCATCCATGTTGTTGCAAATGACAGGATCTCATTCTTTTTATGGCTGAATAGTACTCCATTGTATATATGTAGCAATCTTTTTAAAATAGAAATCACTCCCTTAAATAAAACCTTTCAATAGCTTGCCATGACAGTAAAACAAAAATTCACATTCCCTCCCATGACTCACAAAGCTTTGCACCATCTGGTCCCTTACCTCTGCCCTTCATTCCCTAGGTTCTAGCCAGATTTCTTCTCATGGTTCTGCAAACTTAGCAAGCTTGGGCCCCACAGGTCCTCTCTTCTGGCCAGGCTCTCTGCCCACAGTGTTCCTTTCCCTGCTTTTCACAGGGCAACTCCTTCTTAGCTGTCAGGTCTCACTCAAATGTCACCACCTCATTGAAGCCTTCCCTGACCACACCTTCTAAGATAGACACTTCCCTCCCAGCCACATCAGCATTCTCTCTTGTTGTATCTGGTTGCTCAGTCGTTCAAGAGTGTTTTACTCCTTTGTTTATTATCTCTCTCTTCCTCAATTTGAATATTAATTCCAAGAGGGCAAACACTGTCTTTTTCACTCCTGTATCCCTGAGCTAATCTCAGAACCTGGCATTCAGTGGGCCCTCAACAAATATTTATCCAGTGGTTCAATGAATGAAGCAAATTCCATAACCCTTGATGCATCCTGAAGTATGAAAGCCCTGTCTAGGGCCATTTCCTTTGTCCTCCTTAAATTCCTTGTTCTGCAGATCCAAGTTCCACTTTCCTCGGGGACCTGTCCCCAGTTTAATCAGAGAGCATCTGCTGCTAGCCATGCTCCAATTTCACAACCGGAATCTTCCCCATAACCATCCCCTGCATGGGAAGGGTGACCAAAGGAGCAGGGGCAGGTGTGGCCATGCTGGATCTGGCCTGAGCCAAGGAAGGACATAACCTTGGAGCAGGGGCAAGGAGGCTGGGAGCTGGAGACCTGCCATCAGCTCAGCCAGCACTCGAGGGGAGAAATGGCAGATTTATTCAGCCGCAGGAAGCACCCAGGACCAAAATCAATACTGAGCCTTGGGGCTGTATTTCTGCTTTTCATTGGCTTATGCACAACTATAATAACTCCTTGTTTTAACATAGTTCTTATTTCTACGAGCCCCACATGTTTTATTTTCAGTTTAATGGATCCTCAAACCTGTGCTACTGGTAGTCAGAAGTAGACATAACTATCACCATTTTATGCTGAGGCTAGGGGAGCCCAGAAAGGCAGATAAATTGGTGAAGGTCACAGAGAGAGAAAGAAAGATGGACCTACTTGCAGAAAGTTCTAGGTGTACTCCCTGACCCCTGTTCATGATGCTATGCTGGCAAGAATCAAATCACCCACTAGGTTCCATCCAATAAAAGAGGTGCCTATAATACCTTATCATCAGCACAGATTTATTTTTAGCTGCAAACTCATATATCTACCTGCTACATGGCATCTCCATTGTGCTGTCTCATTGGCACTCTCTGAATTCAGTGTGTCCAAAATTGAACATCTGAGCTGCATCCCCCCTGTTAAACCTACCCTCTTTCCTGTGTCCCCATGTTGGGGAAACCACTTCCCACCCCACCAAGACCCTAGTGTCACTCTGCCCTCCTTCTCAGCCCCCACTTTCAGTGACTCACTCATCTGTCAATCTCTCTTTCACTCCTTTCAGCTCCACCCACTCCCCACTGCTGTACTTCTAGAATCTACTTCCCACCACATGTCACCTGCACACCACAGAGCCCTTATAAGGGTCTCCCTCTCTCAGTTCACCCATGGTTATTCATTATCCACACAGGAGCCAAAGTGGTCCTCTCTGAAGGTAAATATGATCACTTTTCTCTACTTACTTCCCTTCCTGTGCCCTCAGGACAAAGGCCAGGCACTGCACCATGACTCCTGGTACATCCTGCTAAGCCCAGGGGCCTCTAGATCCTTCTGTCCTGGATGTTCCTGCCCCTCCTGCTCTGGTCACCAGCATCCTGCCCCCTCCACTCAGGCCCTTTCCTGCAGGGCTCGCTCCTGCTGAGACGCTCTCCTCCCTGTCCCCTCTTCTCCTGGAGACAGCCCCACTCACCCTTCTGGCCACAGCTTCTGCAAGTCCTCAGAAAAGTCACCCCTGACCCTCACAACTTTGCACTCATCACAACTGCACAATTGCTTGATGTCATTCTCCCACCTGACATTCAGCGGCACAAAGGCAGGGTCCGGGTTTGTGTCTGTCTCATTTGCTGCTGAACCCATAGTGCTGAAAAAAGGGACA